>NC_000017.11:45060980-45685980 GCF_000001405.40 Homo sapiens
GGAACCTCCACGCCTGAAACCCTAAACCAGCATCGAACTACAACTCCCATCATGCCAGGCGGCCGCCCGGTTCCCAAGGGTCGGTCCCACCAACCTTGCGCCCCTTCTTTCCTCAAAGCGTGGCCGAATGCCTAGGCTTCCGGGTATCAGTGGCCCCGCCTCTTAATCCGACCGGAGCCGTCCCTCGTGATTCCTGGGTATTGTAGTCAGTTTCCTGGGAAAGAGTCGCTCCTAGTGGCAGCTCGCTTCGCCAGAAAAACTACAAAACCCAGAATGCAGCGCAAATTCCCCTTGTCCAATAGGAACCCCCCATGTAGTGGGGCGCGGAGCCCTGCTCTCGCAACTCAAGATGGCGGACGAGAGTGAGACAGCAGTGAAGCCGCCGGCACCTCCGCTGCCGCAGATGATGGAAGGGAACGGGAACGGCCATGAGCACTGCAGCGATTGCGAGAATGAGGAGGACAACAGCTACAACCGGGGGTAACGAAATCCTCGGAGTCCAATTCCCGTCCAGCCTCCCACAACCTGGGTCTCTGGGGTGCGGGGAAGTCACCGGGAGCTTAGTCTAGCCCCACCCTCATGTTCTTATTGGCTAAGTCACTAGGATTCTGCCTGGCGATTGGTTATTGCCTTTGTCATTTACCAAGGGTGGGTGCTCTGGATATTAAGGGCCGGAGACGTTCAGTACTTTTATTATATAAAAGTTCTATGCAGTGTTCCACTCGTGTGCTTCAGGCCATTCCTGGGAAAAGAGCATGTTGGACGATGGTTTTCGATGGTACAACACAGGACAGTCTAGTAACAGTACAGTTCAAAGGGAACGTTACTTATAGACGTGTTGTTTGAACAACGTGACTAGCAATAAACGAATCATAAAACATTTCGCAGCAGTTCACCCTCAGTGAGGAAACTCATCAGACTATACAAACTGTATGTATAATTATATTGTAAAATATCACTACCAGAGAATCCCAAAATATAAACTCACCTTATAAACCTATGTAATTAACGGTATGGTAATGCTTTGATTTACATAGTTTCCATTGCTCCAAATAATCCATAAGTATCCTGAACGATATATTAATATAATTAAGTCTTCGAACATCTTTGCCTTGTTACCTTTGCAGAGCAGCCCCAGGCTTCAAGAAATGAGCGATGTTGTTTCTTGGAGAGTATTTGGAATCCTCGGGCTCCATACTGCCTATCCTGTACTTTAGGGTCTTGCCATTAGTTACTATTTGTTCCTAGGGATGAAGAAACACACCAGGCATTTGAATGTTGAATTCTTTTCCCAAATTAGTTTTTACTTCTGTAAGCCACAGCTTATTCATCTTTCTTCACATGGTTAGTGCCTGGCACTGGCACTCACGCTGTCTCTCCCCATCTTCCTGTCTATATTTGTAGATATATTTTTAAACTGAAAGTCGTGAGAGATTTTTGGGTGTATAACTTGCTGAGTCTGAGGTAGTCTGATTTTCGTAGCCAGCTTGTTATTCGCAGTATTGGTGGCAGTGCAGATATAAAGGTATAAAGACCAAGGACTGCGTAGAAGAGATGGTCCCACAAGATTATAGTACATATTTTTATTGTATCCTTTCTATGTTTAGGTATGCTTAGATACACAAATACTTACCATTGTATTATAGTTGCCTGCAGTACTCAGTAACATGCAGCAGCCTATTGCTCCTAGGCTACAAACCTGTATAGCATGTTACTGTAATGTACACCATATAGCCTAGGCATTTAGTAGGCTATACCATCTAGATTTGTGTAAGTACACCCTATAATGTTGGCAAGGCAAAAATCACCTAACCATGCATTTCCCAGCACATATGCCTGACGTTCAGTGAAGCATGACTGTATTTAAGTGGTTTATAATCTGCTTGTGGTAAATCTTAGGTTAAAAGATCTAGCTTTTATGTTCTTCAGCCGGCATTAAAAATCACAGGAAGGGCCGGGCATGGTGGCTCATGCCTGTAATCCCAGTACTTTGGGAGGCAGATCACGAGGTCAGGAGATCGAGACCATCCTGGCTAACACTGTGAAATCCCATCTCTACTAAAAATACAAAAAATTTAGCCGGGCGTGGTGGCGGGCGCCTGTAGTCCCAACTACTCGGGAGGCTAAGGCAGGAGAATGGCGTGAACCCAGGAGGCAGAGCTTGCAGTGAGCTGAGATCACGCCACTGCACTCCAGCCTGGGCGACAGAGCGAGACTCCGACTCAAAAAAAAAAAAAAAAAAAAAAAATCACAGGAAGAAAGTAGAGGAATAGGAAGCTTGCCAAATTTAGTTTTTATAAGACTGTTCTGTTGCTGTAACTCACAACAGATCTAATGTAATAAAAGTCTTCTTTTGAAGTTTGATATTCCTAAAAATGGAAGAGCTGAGAAAGAGGAAGTAGGAACAGGAAGAAGGGAAAGTGAAGCTCTCCTGAGTAGAGATCTGAATCACAGATGAGAGTTGGTGAATGTGAAAGTCATTCCAGAAGTGAAAGTGTGGCATTTTCTTTGCTCTTTTTGTAGTTGCTTTTATTTTTATCTTCTTAACTGTTGTCCTGACCAGTGTCCTTAGGTTTGTGCCCTATAATCTGTGAATCACTTTTCAAAACTGTGTGCCAGAAAGTTATTTTATTGGCCTGGCGTGGTAGCTCACACCTGTAATCCCAGCACTTTGGGAGGCCGAGGCAGGTGGATCACTTGAGGTCAGCAGTTCGAGAACAGCATGGCCAACATGGTGAAACCCCGTCTCCACTAAAAATACAAAATTTAGCTGGGCATGGTGGCGTACGCCTATAGTCCCAGCTACTCCGGAGACTGAGGCAGGAGAATCACTTGAACCTGGGAGGTGGAGGCTGCAGTGAGTTGAGATTGCACCACTGCACTCCAGCCTGGGCAATAGAGCAAAGCCCTGTCTCAGAAAAAAAAGTGGCACACAGTGGCTCATGCCTGTAATCCCATCACTCTGGGAGGCCGAGGCGGGTGGATCACGAGGTCAAGAGATTGAGACCATCCTGGCTAACATGGTGAAACCCTGTCTCTATTAAAAATAGAAAAATTAGCTGGGCATGGTGGTGCATACCTGTAGTCCCAGCTACTCGGGAGGCTGAGGCAGGAGAATCACTCGAACCCGGGAGGCGGAGGTTGCAGTGAGCTGAGATTGCGCCACTGCACACCAGCTTGGCAACGGAGCGAGACTCCATCTCAAAAAAATAAATAAATAAAATTATTTTATTTGTAGTAGAAGTAAGTGATAACCTTAAAAACTTTGACAGTTTGCAGTGGTGTCTCTGTGCATGGTTATGGTCTGGGTGAAAAAATTATGTTTATTAGCGTCCCAAATCTAAAGATCTGTGAAAATGAGTTTGGAGGTAGTAGGTGAAAAACCAAGGGCCTAGTCTGGAGGAGAGAGTCTAATTCTGGCACTAAGAATCTGGGGTAGAGTCAACATTTTTCCATGAACTTTGAGAGGAAATGGTTTTGGGGAGAAGCAGCAATGTGGGAAAATGCAGCACGGCACAGTAGAAAAGCATGGACTTTGGAATAATTTAAATCTGGTCTGAGGCCAGGCGCGGTGGCGCACATCTGTAATCCCAGCACTTTGGGAGGCTGAGGTGGGCAGATCGCTTGTGGTCAGGAGTTTGAGACCAGCCTGGCCAGCATAGTGAAACCTCATCTCTACTAAAAATACAAAAATTAGCTGGGCATGATGGCAGGCGCCTGTAATCCTAGCTACTTAGGAGGCTGAGGCAGGAGAATCACTTGAAAACAGGAGGCAGAGGTTGCACTGAGCTGAGATCTCTCCAGTGCACTCCAGCCTGGGCGACAGAGCAAGCCTCTGATCTCAAAATCTCATCTCAAAGCTTGGCTCTGACACTTAACAGTCCTGTGACCTTGGGAAAGGTACTTAACTCAGAGTTGTAGGGATTAATGAGATAACATCTGGAATGCACTCCTTTTCCTCCCTCCTCCTCTTTCTTCAGATCGTCCCTAACCTCCCAGCTTGCCCCTCTGCTCTTATCACATACTGTATTGTAGCTTTTATCGTAACAATAGTTATAATAACAATAAATATAACTACATGTTTGGTAATTTTTCTTAATGTGTCTGGTACCTGTCTCATCTGACAGTAAGGAGCATGTAAACAGGATTGTGTCTTCGAAATGCCTAGCACTTAGTGGGCATTAATGAGTATTTGCTGTATGAATGAATGGCAGATATTAAAGTGCCTAGCCCAGTATTAGTGGAGTTTCATCTCCCCTCACCAAGTGAGAGGATGTCAGATTTTTCTTACATACACATTTTCTCTCCCCAAATAATTCTCATTGTAAGCCTCACTACAGTTTTTATGAAATACCTACAGAGGCAGGGCATGGTGGCTCACACCTGTAATCCCAGCACTTTGGGAGGCTAAGGCGGGCGGGATCATGAGGTCAGGAGATCGAGACCATCCTGGCTAACACAGTGAAACCCCATCTCTAATAAAAATACAAAAAATTAGCCAGGTGTGGTGGCGCATGCCTGTAGTCCCAGCTACTCGGGAGGCTGAGGCAGGAGAATGGTGTGACCCTGTGAGGCGGAGCTTGCAGTGAGCCGAGATTGCGCCATTGCACTCCAGCCTGGGCGACAGAGCCAGACTCTGTCTCAAAAAAAAAAAAAAAAAAAAAGAAATACCTACAGAAACCAGGAAGCTCCAATTTGCTGTGGAGCTTTCCACTGTTGTGTGCTTTCCACTGTGTTTTGCTTCTTGAAATGTTTTTTGTCTTAATATTATTTAAAATGTTCTCAAAAATCATGTAAAAATTGACAGAGAAGTTTTCCTTTCAATGCTAGAGAGTCTAAAATGTGTAATATATAATAAAGGTTAATGATAGTTCGAGCTAACCCTTATTCTCCTGGGCCTTTTTTTTTTTTTAAAGAGACTGTGTCTCGCTATGTTGCTCAGACTAGTCTCAAACTCCTGGGTTCAAGTGATCCTCCTGCCTTAGCCTCCCAAAGTGCTGGGATTGTAAGCATGAGCCACCACACCCAGCCTCCTGCCCCTTTTTTTCAGGAACTAAAGTCATAGTACTCTATGCTAATAAAATGAGCTAAATTCATGTACTGGATTCTGTTGCCCGGGCTGGAGTGCTGTGGCGCGATCTTGGCTCACTGCAACCTCTGCCTCCCGGGTTCAAGAAATTCTCCTGCCTCAGCCTCCTGAGTAGCTGGGACTACAGGAGCACACTGCCACACCCGGCTAATTTTTCATATTTTAGTAGAGACGGGGTTTCACCGTTGTTGCCCAGGCTGGTCTTGAACTCCTGAGCTCAGGCAATCCACCTGCCTTGGCCTCCGAAAGTGCTAGGATTACAGGTGTGAGCCACCACGCCCGGCCAGTTGTATTAGTTACTTATGTCTCTTTGTATATGAATTTAGTTCTTGACTTTTCTGGTCTTGTGTTTCCTCCGTAATTAAATCAGCATAAACATTTGGTGAATATAAAACTTCATGTGGTTGTGTGTAGTGGCTCATGCCTGTAATCTCAGCACTTTGGGAGGCTGAGGCAGAAAAATCACTTGAGCTCAGGAGTTCGAGACCAGCCTGGGCAACATGGTGAGACCCCATCTCTATAAATAAAAACAAAAAAACCCAAACCCTTCATGTATACATATAGGTATACATGCATACATATGCAGTGTGTATGGGTGCGTCTCTTCAGTTTTTCTATTTAAAAATTTTTTAATTTAATTTTAAAATTATTGTTATTACTTTGGAAACAGGGCCTCGCTCTGTCGTCCAGGCTATAGTACAGTGGTGTGATCATGGCTTACTGCAGCCTTTGACCTGGGCTCAAGCGATCCTCCCACCTCAGCCTCCCAAGTAGCTAGGATTGTAGACATGCACCATCATCCCTGGCTAATTTTCTTTTTAAAAAGTTTCTGTAGAGATGGGGTCTCACTATTTAGCCCAGGCTGGTCTCAAACTGCTGGCCTCAAGTGATGCTGCCACCTTGGCCTCCCAAACTGCTGGGATTGTGGGCATAAGCTCCTGCATCCAGCTGGTTTTGTTTGTTTTTTTACTGCACTCAATTTCCCCCAGTTACGTGCCTAGCGTAATTATCCTGAACAATTGAGAGGAGAGTCAGATAAGATAACCTTTATGCAGCATCCCCCTGTAGTTCGTGATTCATCTATATGGTTTAATTTGATTTTTTTTTTTTTTTAATGAGAGTCTTTCCAAGAAGTATTGCCAAAGAATAAATCTCATCAGTTGGCAGATTTTAATTTGGGGGTAATAAGTGAAGATTGTCTGAGTGTTTTGGAACAAAAAAGAACTTTTAGACTATTGTGTTCTAGGAATCTTTCGGAATTTATTTTGCAGTGTCTTCAGTGTCATTGAGATCCTGGTAAGCACGGGTCAAGAGCCCTCTGACAAGAGGTGTCTCATCTCCATCCTGCTCTCTTACTCCCTGGGACAGGTTAACATGGATTCTTTATAAGTTCTCCTCATTTCCTGGTTGTGAGATACTATCCCTTATGAAAACTTAGGAGGAGAGAAAAGTCTTTCTGAAAATAAATTCCATAAAGCTAGCCTTACTTGTTTTTGTTTTTTTCTTCAGCTTCTCCAAGAGTCGTTCTTTCCCTATTTATTTGATGGCTTATAGCTGCAGCTAGCTCTTGGAAATAAGAAATCTTTTTAGTTCCTTTTTAATTTCTCCCTTCAACTTTTGGTTTTTCAAAACTAGATCAAAGCAGAATGGAAAGAGAAACCTCATCACTGATATCAAATAAGTGTTCTAATTTTGTTTCCCAATTAAATGGCAATTAAAAAGAAACTAATCAAGAGCTGCTTCAAAGAGAAGAGACTGGAAAGCAGAAGAAATGGAAAGTAAATGAGAGCCTATTTCAGGGACTCGCTGCTCATGGCACAGCAGTTTTGCTGATTTTTCACATTGTTCAACTAATATGCTCACGCTAAAATTCCCCAGCTTTACTAAGTTGGCAGTTAACCCTTTCCCTATAGAGCCCATAGATTTATGAGCCATACATTTAGTAACTTCAGGAGGATGCTTCTTTAACTCTTTCTCTTCAGCTTTTTATCTGAAATCTCTACCCTTCAGGCCTCTCTTCCAATTCCTCAAAGAAGATGTCCTTGTGATTGTTACATTTAAGGGACAAAAATATGGTGTTCTCTATTGAGAGCGCCAAAAATACTAAACCGGAATTCCTCCATAGGCTCAGTATTTGCCTCAAAAATGTCCCAGCACTTTGAGAGGCTGAAGTGCGCAGATCACTTGAGGTCAGGAGTTCGAGACCAGCCGGGCCAACATGGCAAAACCCCATCTCTACTAAAAATACAAAAATTAGCTGGGCGTGGTGGCACACACCTGTAGTCCCAGCTACATGGGAGGCTGAGACAAGAGAATCACTTGAACCCGGGAGGCAGAGGTTGCAGTGAGCCCAGATGGCGCCATTGCACTTCAGTCTGGGCGACAGAGAGAGCCTCCATCTCAAAAAAATAAACAGAACAACAACTTTCTAGAGCTGCTCTCTTGAGAGACAACTGAGGAGTCACTATGGTTAAGTGTTTAGTAAATGTTACTATTATTACTACGTAGTGGGCATTGTGCTAAGCCCTTTACTTGGATTATATCCTCCATGATTTCACTTATGAAGACTTTAGCGATTTTTGTTTGTTTGTTTCTTTTTTTGAGTCTCACTCTGTCGCCCAGGCTGGAGTACAGTGGCACGATCTTAGCTCACTACAACCTCTGCCTTACAGGTTCAAGCAATTCTTGTGTCTTAACCTCCCAAATAGCTGGGATCACAGGTGTGCACCACCATTCCCGGCTAATTTCTGTATTTTTAATAGAGACACGGTTTTGCCATGTTGGTCAGGCTGGTCTCGAACTCCTGGCCTCAAGCAGTCCACCTGCCTTGGCCTCCCAAAGTGCTGGGATTATTACAGGCGTGAGCCACCATGCCTGGACTTTAGTTTTTTGTTTTTTTGGGTTTTTTTGAGACAGAGTCTCACTCTGTCGCCCAGGCTGGAGTGCAGTGGCGCGATCTCGGCTCACTGCAACCTCTGCCACCCAGGTTCAAGCGACTCTCCTGCGTCAGCCTCCTAAGTAGCTGGGATTACAGGTGCCTGCCACTGTGCCTAACTAACTTTTGTAGTTTTAGTAGAGACGGGGTTTCACCATCTTGGCCAGGCTGGTCTTGAACTCCTGACCTCGTGATCCATCCTCCTTGTCCTCCCAAAGTGCTGGGATTACAGGCGTGAGCCACCATGCCTGGCCAGACTTTATTTTTTATTATTTATTTATTTATTTATTTATTTATTTATTTTTGAGACAGAGTCTCGCTCTGTTGCCCAGGCTGGAGTGCAGTGGCGTGATCTTGGCTCACCACAACCTCCACCTCCCAGGTTCCAGTGATTCTCCTGCCTCAGCCTCCTGGATAGCTGGGACTACAGGCACATGCCACCACGCCCAGCTGATTTTTGTATTTTTAGTAGAGATGGGGTTTCACCATCTTGGCCAGGCTGGTCTTGGAACTCCTAATCTCGTGATCTGCCCACCTCAGCCTCCCAAAGTGCTGGGATTACAGGCATGAGCCACCACTGCGCCCAGCTAGACTTTAGTTTTTATAGTGAGGCTTGAGATTTGCATCTCCACTGGTCTCTTTGACATCTCAGAGGATCCATTCTGAACTTGCTAGGTTTCTTTCCCCTGCTGAATTGAGTTCTGCATCTTGAGTCTGCAGCAGTGTGAATCCTATCTTTGGCTCCATTTAACAGCCTATGGACGTTCCCAAACTTGGGACCCAGTTTGTCTCTTCATGATAGACAAATATTATTTTCAGAAGTCATTCTAATCGCACCACTGCACTCCAGCCTGGCAACAGTGAGACTCCATCTCAAAAAAAAAAAAAAAAGTCATTCTAGTAGGTGAGATTTCTGCCAGCATTGAGCCACTGCTCAACATATTCTTGATAATGGTCTCTGAACAGCATTTGATTTTACCTTGGAGTTGCAAAGTCAAAGTCTAACTCGCCAAACAAACTCAGTGTGGAATATACACATTTGTCTCATTCCGGTTTTAAGGAGTTTAGTATACCAGAGCTTTTGTGACCTCTAAAAAGCAGTTATCGTCCATGACAAGAATTGGCTCGTTCACCCTCAGTACTCTGGCTTACTATCCCAGGGAGGGCCGAGGGTGGCAGCAAAAGTGGTCTTTTGTAATCCCTTTTTATAACCTGCTGTTCTCTTCACAGACCTCCCAGGGTACCTTTTTTTGTGTGTGTGTGTGTGAGATGGAGTCTCACTCTCACCCAGGCTGGAGTGCAGTGGCGTAATCTCGGCTCACTGCAACCTCTGCCTCCTGGGTTCAAACTATTCTCTTGCCTCAGCCTCTCAAGTAGCTGGGATTACAGGCACCCGCCACCATGCCTAGCTAATTTTTATTTTTTATTTTTGAGACAGAGTCTCGCTCTGTCACCCAGGCTGGAGTACAGTGGCGCGGTCTTGGCTCACTGCAAGCTGCGTCTCCCGGGCTCACGCCATTCTCCTGCCTCAGCCTCCTGGGTAGCTGGGACTGTAGTCGCCCGTCACCACGCCCGGCTAATTTTTTGTATTTTTAGTAGAGACGGGGTTTCACCGTATTAGCCAGGATGGTCTCGATCTCCTGACCTCATGATCCGCCCACCTCGGCCTCCCTAAGAGCTGGAATTACAGGCGTGAGCCACCGCGCCTGGCCAATTTTTGTAATTTTTAGTAGAGAAGGGTTTTGCTATGTTGGCCAGGCTTGTCTCGAGCTCCAGACCTTAGGTGATCTGCCCGCCTTGGCCTCCCAAAGTGCTGGGATTACAGGCATGAGCCACTGTGCCCAGCCCCAGGGTACCTTGATGGCAGTACTAAAGTGTTTTTATTTTTCCCATCATTTGGGATTCACAAGCAGTTTTTGATATAACTAATTGGTGGGAATGTGCGGAGTTGGGGGTATTGCACTGAGTGATCCTTAGCCGCAGAAGTACAGAGACTAGACAGCTGATACTGATTCATGCCATGTCATTTCCTTCTGGGCATCTTTGCCATTTCATTCACCTCTCTTTGGTCTTTCTGAGTACTAATAGGATTATTAGTGAACTTACCATACTTCAAGAGTTAATTGATTTGCAAAAGGATTTCCTGATGTCTAAAAGTAGAATCAAAAGGATATTAGAGGTTAGAGTTTATTTTAATAAGTTTCTCTGGAAAATTTGAATTTCTGCCCAAAAAATTCATTTTTTATTTGAGACAAGGTTTCACTCTGTCACCCAGATCGTAGTGCCATGGTGCAGTCCTCCTACTTCAGCCTCCCGAGTGACTGGGACTACAGGCTAATTTTTTTGTCTGTGTGTGTAGAGACAAGATCTCACTATGTTGCCCAGGCTGATCTCTAACTCCTGTCTTTTTGTTTTTCAGAGGTAGAAAACAAGTGGTGGCTGGTCCAAGTGCAGTGGTGTTTACGACTAATTTGTCATAACCAGTTATAGATTTCTTTGTTCCTTTTCCACTCCCACTGCTTCACTTGACTAGCCTTTGAAAAATAAAAGTAAAAAGCAAGTGGCCATGAGATCTGAGAGCTACAGTGAAAAAGAAAAGTGGCCAAATTTGTGAATTTTATTTCCCAAACTTTTTTTTCTTATGTTGTAAACCTGTGGTCTGTGTTTAAGACATTGAAACCATTAGAAGTAGTTACATTAGAGCTTTTTTGTTTGTGCTTTATTTACTTATTAGAGATGGGGTCTCACTTTGTCACCCAGGATGGAGTACAGTGGCTATTCACAAGCGTGGTCGTGGGGCACTACTACATCGTGAGACTCCTGGGCTCAAGAGATCCTCCCGCCTCAGCTTCCTCAGTAGCTGGGACTACAAGTTCACACCACCACACCTGGCTGGACCTGTTTTAGCTTCTCAAGGAGTAGGACAGAGCCTAAGGAGAGAGAAGACAATGAATAAGAAAATTAGGGCTGGACATGGTAGCTCACATCTGTAATCCCAGCATTTTGGGAAATTGAAGCAGGTGGATAGCTTGAGTCCAGGAATTCAAGACCAGCCTGGGCAACATAGAGAAACTTTGTCTCTACAAAACATATAAAAATTAGCCAGGTATGGTGGCGTACGCCTGTAGTCCCAGCTACGCAGGAGGCTGAGGTGAGATGATCGCTTGAACCTGGGAGGTTGAGGCTGCAGTGAGCCATGATTGTGCCACTGCACTCCAGCCTGGGTAACAGAGTAAGAAACTGTCTTTACAAAAAAAAAAAAACTCAGTATTTTTTTATTTGAGATGGAGTCTCACTCAGGCTGGAGTGCAGTAGTGTGATCTCAGCTCACTGCAACCTCCCCCTCCCAGGTTCAAGCGATTCTTCTGCCTCAGCCTCCCAAGTAGCTGGGATTACAGGCGTGTACCACCACCACACCTGGCTAATTTTTCTATTTTTTTAGTAGAGATGGGGTTTCGCCATGTTGGCCAGGCTGATCTGAAACTCCTGACCTCAGCTGATCCACCCACCTTGGTCTCCCAAAGTGCTGGGATTACAGGTGTGAGCCACCGCACCTGGCCTATTTTTTTTTTTGAGATGGAGTCTCTCTCTCTTGCCCAGGCTGGAGTGCAGTGGTGCGATCTCAGCTCACTGCAAGCTCCGCCTCCCGGGTTCACGCCATTCTCCTGCCTCAGCCTCCCGAGTAGCTGGGACTACAGGCGCCCGCCACGATGCCTGCCTAATTTTTTGCGTTTTTAGTAGAGACGGGGTTTCACCATGTTAGCCAGGATGGTCTCGATCTCCTGACGTCGTGATCCACCCGCCTCGGCCTCCCAAAGTGCTGGGATTACAGGCGTGAGCCACCGCGCCTGGCCTATTTTTTTTAATAAAAAAAGAAAGTTGATAATTTAAAATCCCAATCAGTAGCTCAAGAGCACAGCATTTCCATTGCTCTCATAGAATATTAACACAGCTGTCCTGTGCAAACAGAACTGAAGATGTTTTGCTGACCCTCTTTTGGGCTCTAGCTTTTCAAGGTCTTATTTTAGTCTATTATGCCTGTAAAGCATCAGTCAAGCATATAATTGTTGAACTGTTAACTGTGTGCTCAGCACAACTAGAGGCGCTGTGGGAAGCAGCTGTATAAGATGTAGTCTGGCCGGGCGCGGTGGCTCACACCCGTAATCCCAGCACTGTAGGAGGCTGAGGCAGATCACTTGAGGCCAGGAGTTCGAGACCAGCCTGGCCAACATGGTGAAACCCTGTCTCTACTAAAAATACAAAAATTAGCCAGGCATGATGGCACATGCCTGAAATCCCAGCTTTTCAGGAGGCTGAGGAAGAGAATCGCTTGAACCCAGGAGGCGGAGGTTGCAGTGAGCCAAGATCACGCCACTGCACTCCAGCCTGGGCAACAGAGCAAGACTCTGTCTCAAAAAAAAAAAAGATGTAGTCCCTATTCTTAGGAAATTGTTAATGTCATCGGGAAGCCAAGAAAGCAATATATTATTATATATTAAGTGTTTTAGGAGATTATAGTTTTAAAACAGGCAGACATCAGAGAACTAGAATAGTCAGAGCTGACTTTCTGGATAAAACATGACTCACTTTCCTCATTACTTCTAATGCTTGCTCCTCTCAAACACCAAAGCTGTGTTCTATAGCCCAGTGTGAGGAAACAATATTCTCTTGGCTTTGGAGGATTCTCAAATCAATTCTTACAGGGAACGAAGCCATAGCCTTTGGGGGGAAATGGCCCCAAGCCAAGTCTTTAGAGATTGATGGCTCCTCCCTAGATGCTAGTTGGTTGGTTGATAACCAATTTGCCTCACATCTCTGGGCCTTAGTTTCCTCATCTGTAAACAACAAGTTAAGCCAGATGGTTCTGAGATTCCAGTGTTGGAAGCTCAGCTTCCCCTCCCCTATGATAGAGCTTTTTCTTCCCAGGCATGCAGTTTTGAGCGGATTGCATCATCCAGTAAGACTGAGAGGAGGCCCACATATGGACCCTCGCTGCTCCTGTTGTCTAGAAGTTCCTCTTCTCCTGCTGTTCATCTGCCAGCTTACCCTTACCTCCCACCCGCTCACATACCCAGCATTGCGCTCTATTTCTAGAAATAAGTACTGAAGTTAGTTTTCCATCTCCTCCCCAAGGTCTGAATTTATACAGGAGCATCCTTAGGATGTCTTACATCTTTGAACTTGTAACATTTTGGTCTTCATTAAAAGATGACTTTTTTTTTTTTTTTGAGACAGAGTCTCGCTCAGTCGCCCAGGCCGGAGTGCAGTGGCTGGTTCTCTGCTCACTGCAAGCTCCGCCTCCTGGGTTCACGCCATTCTCCTGCCTCAGCCTCCCGAGTAGCTGGGACTACAGGCGCCCACCACCACGCCCAGCTAATTTTTTTGTATTGTTTTTTAGTAGAGACGGGGTTTCACCATGTTAGCCAGGATGGTCGCGATCTCCTGACCTCGTGATCTGCCCACCTCGGCCTCCCAAAGTGCTGGTATTACAGGCGTGAGCCATCGTGCCCGGCCGAGATGACATTTCTTGATTGCTTTTCTGCTCTGTTCCTGGATCTTTTATTCTAATTCACCCTGTATTTGCTAGGTTGGTCATTGATGACTTCTTGAGTTGATCAACTTTAGAATATAAGTCTCACAATTTTTGTATGAACTGCCATCTGCCTTCTGGGGGAGGAGGCACTTCTGTTGCTGCACCAAGGCAAACTTTACTGAATTCTCTACTCTTTATTTTGGAACCAAGTGAAACAAGTTGGACTTTGGTTTGCTGTATTCTAAGATTCTGGTTCTGGCCAATCTCAGTTTGAAATAAGGTGACTGGCAGCTTAGATCTGTGAGAGATTTCTATTTCAGTGTGCCGAATCGCAGCATGCCCTAGGATTCCCACCCAGTGGGTGTGGACTTCAAATCCCTTTAAAAAGGATGCCAGCCAGGCACGGTGGCTCATTCCCATAATCCCAGCACTTTTGGAGGCCAAGGCAGGAGGATTGCTTGAGCCCAGGAGTTTGAGCCCAGCCTAAAATTAGCCAGGCATGGTGGTGCACACCTGTAGCCCCAATTACTCAGGATGCTGAAGCAGGAGGATTGTTTGAGCCAGGAGTTGGAGGCAGGAGCTGGAGGCTGCAGTGAGCCATGATCGTGCCACTGCACTCCAGCCTGGGTGACAGAGCAAGACCCTGTCTCAAAAATGAACAAACAGCCAGGTGCGGTGGCTCACGCCTGTAATCCTAGCATGTTGGGAGGCTGAGGTGAGTGGATCACTTGAGGTCAGGAGTCCAAGACCAGACTGGCCAACATGGTGAAACCCCGTCTCTACTAAAAATATAAAAATTAGCTGGGCCTGATGCTGGGCGCCTGTAATCCCAGCTACTCAGGAGGCCGAGGTGTGAGGATTTGCTTGAACCTGGGAGGTGGAGGTTGCAGTGAGCCGAGATCACACCACTGCACTAGAGGCTGGGCAACAGAGCGAGACTCTTGTCTTAAAAAAAAAAAAATGGCTGGGCGTGGTGGCTCACGCCTGTAATCCCAGCACTTTGGGAGGCCAAGGCTGGCAGATCATGAGGTCAGGAGTTCAAGACCAGCCTGGCCAACATGGTGAAACCCCGTCTCTACTAAAAGTATGAAAAATTAGCCAGGCATGGTGGTAGTCCCAGCTACTCAGGAGGCTGAGGCAGGAGAATCGCTGAACCCAGGAGGCGGAGGTTGCAGTGAGCTGAGAACACGGCACTGCACTCCAGGCTGGCAACAGAGCAAGACTCCGTCTCAAAACAAAACAAAAAAAGAGGCCAGGCACGGTGGCTTACGCCTGTAATCCTAGCACTTTGAGCGGCTGAGGCAGGCAGATCACCTGAAGTCAGGAGTTCAAGACCAGCCTGACCAACATGGCGAGACCTCATCTCTACTAAAAATACACAGATTAGCTGGGTATGGTGGTATGTGCCTGTATTCCCAGCTACCCAGGAGGCTGAGGCAGAAGAATCACTGGAACCTGTGATGAGGAGGCTGCAGTGAGCCAAGATTGTGCCATTGTACTCCAGCCTGGGTGACAGAGCGAGACTCCATCTCAAAAACAAAAAACATGAATCAAGAAACAAACAAAAAATGATGCCAGATTCCTGGAGAAGGATTAGCCTGGCTTCTGTGGGGTCCTCTAGTTTTGTTTTCCCTTAGTCCAAATTGAGGCCATTCTTCTGTGAAGTGGCGTTGGCTTGCTAGGATGCTTTTTGAAGTTCTACTCTCAAGGCCTCTGAGCTTGGTTCCCTATGAATAATTAAAATTATTATAATTACCATGAAAGCTAACTGGAGTGGGCTCCTTGGAAGTCTGGTTTTGCTGAATTGGTTGTCTTCTGTTTGGGGGTGTTGACTGTAAGACTATGTGTACTCATAATGTGTCCTCACGGATGGGGCTCAATACTTGGTAGCTCAGTGAAAATGACTCATTAAAGAAAAAAAAAAAAAAGTGGCCAGGCACGGTGGCTCATGCCTGTAATCCTAGTACTTTGGGAAGCTGAGGCAGGTGAATCACCTGAGGTCAGGAGTTTGAGACCAGACTGACCAACTTGGTGAGACCCTGTCTCTACTAAAAATACAAAAATTAGCTGGGTGTGATGGCACATGCTTATAATCCCAACTACTTGGGAAGCTGAGGCAGGAGAATCCCTTGAACCTAGGAGGCGGAGGCTGCAGTGAGCTGAGATCGTGCCATTGCACTCCAGCCTGGGCAACAAGAGTGAAACTCTGTCTCAAAAAAAAAAAAAGAAAAGAAAAAACAACTTCCCTGTGTTCTTCAGCCGTGTGCTTGATGTACAAGTTGAAACAGGATTTTTGCTCAGTAACTGGCTGCTTGTACAAATTCAAGCCAATATAAAGAAAATGAAATTTGCTCTCTGATTTTAGTTTCGGTCTTGGAGATTTCTAGATACTTGTATTGGCAATGCATAAAGCAGAACAAGAGTTCAGCCCAAGATCCTTCCACAAAAATTGGGTTCATGAGGTGATAGCTACATGGAAGTATCTCCGCTAAATAGGAAGAACAAAGGCAGGAAGGTAGTTTTTACAGTGATTTTGCATATTTGTAAAGACTTTTAAAGTTGGAAGAAGTAATTATTTTCCCCATGTGAAATTATGTTTAGTAAGTATCCAGTTGGTTAATCTACAGCAGTTCTTCACCTTACCTTTTTGATTCTTTCTTTTGTAGAATTATAAAAAGTTATTCTTATGGTAATTCATATTACCATAATTTGTTCCATAAGCTGTTATGGAACCAGCTAATTTGTGGTTATGGACCAGATAATTTGTTCCATAAGCTGTTATGAATAAGAATTTATATTATAAATTGTATCCAACAATGGGACACTGCTTTGTCTCCTAATATCAGCCAGGTCTTGTTTGTTTGTTTTTTGAGATGGAGTTTTGATCTTCTTACCCAGGCTGTAGTATAGTGGTGCAATCTTGGCTTACCACAATCTTCACCTCCCAGGTTCAAGTGATTCTCCTGCCTCAGCCTCCCGAGTAGCTGGGATTACAGGCATGTGCCACCACGCCCGGCTAATTTTGTATTTTTAGTAGAGACAGGGTTTCTCCTTATTGGTCAGGCTGGTCTCGAACTCCCGACCTCAGGTGATCCGCCTGCCTTGGCCTCCCAAAGTGCTGAGATTACAGGCGTGAGCCACCGCACCCAGCCTATGAGCCAGTTTTTAAATCTTATAATGCTTCACGTAATCCTGAGACTGAAGTGAAAATATCTGGAGTAGGAAAACCACAGAGTTGTCCTAGGCTGCAGATGGTCCTGTGTGCAATAACAAAATTGAGTTACTAAGAAGAAGAAGTTATCTTTAGGCCATAAATGACTTTATGGTTTCTGTTGTTTGCCATGGCCTTGGGGGTTTTGCTGAGCATCTGGTTTTAAGGAAGTTACCTTATTTCCCCTTTGAATGTTCTCAGTCTTCCTTCCATGTTAATGCCTTCTGGGTCTCATTAATATCATACCAAGTAGGTGTACTTGCATCTAGACTTCATGACCTTATGCTTGGACTAAAGGAACCTTCAGACTTAACTGGATCTCTCCCTGTCACAGTCTTTCTGCATCAGGGGCACTGAGAGGCCCGGCCAGATGGAAGCTGTGGGAGGCAAGAGTGGACAGCGTAAGTGGGAAATGAGGGTGATAGGCCTAGGGAAAAATTGGGCTTGATACCTTCCAAGTTAAGAAGCCGCTGTTACTCTAGGATTTCAAGCATGGGGGGGACACATGGAAAGCCATTTTCACAGAGGTGAGTCCCACAGCTATATAGAGTTCAGGTGATGCAGAAAGATTGTGAAGGCAAAGAGATCCAGAAAAGGCTGGAGGTAACTTAAGTCCAAGGGTAAGGTCATGAAGTCTGGATGTGAGCATTCCTCCCAGGAACAGGAAGAGATAGGAGAATCTGAAGACATTCTGTGAAGAGAATTGGCAGCATGTGATTTCAGATCACTTTCTCCCTGTATATATATATATACACAGTATCTGTCTGTGAGATGATAGTAATATTCATAATAACTCCGAGGCATTTTGAGACCCTGAAGTCTTTCTGAATTATAAATTGTATTTAACATAATGTTAATGGAAAATTGTATTTTATATTGTTTTAATTCTTGGGGGTTTTGGTGTTTTTTTGTTTGTTTGTTTGTTTGTTTTGAGACAGTGTCTGGCTGTATTGCCCAGGCTGGAGTATAGTTGTGCGATTTTAGCTCACTGCAGGCTCCTCCTCCCAGGCTTCAAGCCAACCTCTCAACTCAGCCTCCCCAGTAGTTGGGACTACAAGTGTGCACCACCACACCTGGCTAATTTTTGGATTTGTGTTAGAGACGGGGTTTCGCCATGTTGCCCAGGCTGGTCTCAAACTCCTGAGCTCAAGTGATCCGCCTGCCTTTTCCTCCCAAAGTGTTGGGATTACAGGCATGACCCACCATGCTGGACCTTTCAATTATTTGAAAATTGATTGTCTAAAATATACAGTTAAAATTACCTCTGTGTTTAGCTGATTCTACAGATTAGGATTCACTGTACTCAGGTTGGACTCCTAATTTTGACTTTTCTTTTTTTCTTTTCTTTTCTTTTTCTTTTTTTTTTTTTCCCCAAGATGGAGTCTTGCTCTGTCGCCCAGAGCTGGAGTGCAATGGCATGATATTGGCTCACTGCAACCACAGCCTCCCGGGTTCAAGCAGTTCTCCTGCCTCAGCCTCCCAAGTAGCTGGGATTACAGGCGCATGCCTCCACGCCTGGCTAATTTTGTATTTTTAGTAGAGACGGGGTTTCACCATGTGGGTCAGGCTGGTCTCGAACTCCTGACCTCATGATCTGTCTGCCGCGGCTTCCCAAAGTGCTGGGATTACAGGCATAAGCCACCGCGCCCAGCCAATTTTGACTTTTCAGTGTGGCTAAGAGGCTGAGCATGGTGGCTCACACCTGTAATCCCAGCACTTTGGGAGTTCAAGGCAGCAGGATCACTCAAACCTAGAATTTGAGACCAGCCTGGGTAACATAGGGAGACCCCTGTCTCTATTTTTTAATTTAATAAAACATTAATGAGGCTAAGAAACTTTTTGCTTCATTCATGGGGTGTGTCATGTAGGGGAAAGCAGCACAAGGAAGTCCCCTTGATCACGTGCACACATGCACACGTGCATACACACAGACATGTTTCTTTTATTTATTTATTTATTTTTATTTTTTGAGACGGAGTCTCGCTCTGTCGCCCAGGCTGGAGTGCAGTGGCGCAATCTCGGCTCACTGCAAGCTCCGCCTCCCAGGTTCACGCCATTCTCCTACCTCAGCCTCCCAAGTAGCTGGGACTATAGGCGCCTGCCACCACGCCTGGCTAATTTTTTGTATTTTTAGTAGAGACGGTGTTTTACCATTTAGCCAGAATGGTCTCAATCTCCTGACCTAGTGATCCGCCCGCCTCGGCCTCCCAAAATACTGGGATTACAGGCGTGAGCCACTGCGCCCGGCCACATGTTTCTTGTAATCTCTCCATGGCAGGAGTAACTGGGTGCTATTGTTGTTTTAGTTTCCCAAGATTCCTAATGCTGGGTTTTGCCAGTGGTGATCCCTCAGTCTGAGCTTGCCGACAGTTGTCCTCAATCCTGCAGATCTGGTTTAGGCATTTCTTTTTTTTTTCCCTTTTTTTTTTGAGACGGAGTTTCGCTCTTGTTTCCCAGGCTGGAGTGCCGTGGCGCGATCTTGGCTCACAACAACCTCTGCCTCCTGGGTTCAAGCGATTCTCCTGCCTTAGCCTCCCGAGTAGCTGGGATTACAGGCATGCGCCACCATGCCCGGCTTATTTTGTATTTTTAGTAGAGACAGGCTTTCTCCATGTTGGTCAGGCTGGTCTCGAACTCTGCACCTCAGGTGATCCGCCTGCCTTGGCCTCCCAAAGTGCTGAGATTACAGGTGTGAGCCACCACACCCAGCCTTTTCCTTTTTTTTTTTTTTTTTTTTTGAGACAGAGTCTCGCTTTGTCACCCAGGCTGAAATGCAGTGGCATGATCTCGGCTCACTGCAAGCTCTACCTCCCAGGTTCACACCATTCTCCTGCCTCAGCCTCCCGAGTAGCTGGGACTACAGGCGCCCGCCACCGTGCCCGGCTAATTTTTTTGTATTTTTAGTAGAGATGGGGTTTCAACATGTTAGCCAGGATGGTCTTGATCTCCTGACCTCATGATCTGCCCGCCTCGGCCTCCCAAAGTGCTGAGATTACAGGTGTGAGCCACCGCGCATTGCTGCCTTTTCCTTTTTTTGAGACGAGGTCTGTCTCTGTCATACAGGCTGGAGTGCAATGACGTGATCTCAACTCACTGCAACCTCCACCTCCCGGGTTCAAGCAGTTCTCCTGCCTCGTCCTCCTGAGTAGCTGGGACTACAGGCATGTGCCACCAGGCCCCAGCTAATGTTTATATTTTTAGTAGAAACAGGGTTTTGCCATGTTGGCCAGTCTGGCCTTAAACTCCTGACCTCAAGTGATCCACCTGCCTCGGCCTCCCAAAGTGTTGGGATTACAGGTGTGAGCTACCACGCCTGGCTGATTTGGGCATTTCTCATGACTGACCATTTTGGACACAGATTGTGGCAATGTTAATGTGCCTTTTTCCTCATCCCTCACTCCCTTTTCATACTGTCTTGTGCTCCAGATCCAGCTGGGGAAAATCATGAAACCTAATACATTTGGGAGGTGGAGGAAGGAAGGGCAAAGCATTCCAGAAAGCCCATCACTGCCTTTTGGCTGTCATCCTTTTACATTCAGAGTTCAAGGAAGTATTGTGGTATGAATGCCTTGTTAACAATTATCATTCGTCTTTGGTGCCATTACCCTGGCAATATAAAGAAAATAAGCAACATAAAAGCAAGAACGGAAAAGGCCCTTTCACACAAATAGGACATCCCTTGCCCAGCACTCCCTCCCTGAAAGCCGAGGGGGCGCGAGTCAGGAGGAGTGCTGGTGTCCTCCAAATGCCCTTTCTGGACCTGGGTTCTTCAGCCTGCTTCTGAAGCCAACAGGCTTGATTAAGGAAGGTCTGGCTCCACAGAAAGCTCTTTGTCAGGGGTAGCACAAAACAGATTTTTTTTAAACCCTGCATTAGTATTTACTTTTTGTTACAGTGGTTTGAGTCCAGCCAATGACACTGGAGCCAAAAAGAAGAAAAAGAAACAAAAAAAGAAGAAAGAAAAAGGCAGTGAGACAGATTCAGCCCAGGATCAGCCTGTGAAGGTAACAAGGAGGTTCTGTTTTTTGTGACTCAGTCACTTTTTCACATGAGAGAGTTTTGAGGTGAATGTATAGGATCAACTTGGATTGACGTTCTCCACTGGTATTACTTCAAGATGGAAGAGTTGGATCCCAGTGCTGTCCTCTGCTGCCCTAGACCTAGGTGATGAAACTGCTCTCAGTACCCTAAAAGACACAGCAGGTCAGACACTGACTCCCAAGCATGGTGCCCATCAGAATGGACAGGTGCGTACTGCATGTGCTGCTGTGCCAGTGCCCTGGGGAGCTACGTGTGACAGCCCCTGGCGCCTAGAGCAGTGGTTCTCTGTCTTAAGTCCCCACCGCTCTGACAATGAAAGGCCCCCCCTTTCTTTTTGAGACAGAGTCTTACTCTGTTGCCCAGGCTAGAGTGTAGTTCATGATTATAGCTCACTGCAGCCTCCACTCCTGGGCTCAAGTGATCCTCCCACCTCAGCCTCCCAAGTAGCTGGGACTGCAGGTGCATGCCACCACACCTGTCCAGTTTTTTTTTTTTTTTAATTTTTTGTAAAGATGGAGTCTCACTATGTTACCCAAGCTGGGTCTTGAACTCCTGGGCTCAAGCAATCCTCCTGCCCTAGCCTCCCAAAGTGCTGGGATTACAAGCGTGAGCCACTGCATTCAGCCAAAGACTTCTTCTTAAGACCTTTATATATTTGCAAACATTCTCTTAATGCCATAGTCATTATAATGAAAGCCATGAGTCCCACAGAGTCTTTCTGAGTTCTACTCCATGAGAACCACTGGCCTAAAGGCTTACAACCTGAGAGTGATGCACTGGCATGAAACCCAGAGATATGGGTAAGGATTGTTTTGTTTCTTAAATAAAACAACATTACAAAATAAAACAATTGCAGGTAAGTGTTGTCTTCTTCAAAGTAGGCTGACAGAGGCAGGGGGACAACTCAAACATATTCATAATTCACCTTTTAAAACTGCCTCTGAGACCTGGGGTGGTGGTTTATGCCTGTAATACCAGCACTTTGGGAGGCCAAGGCGGGTGGATCACCTGAGGTCAGGAGTTCAAGACCACCCTGGCCAACATGGTAAAACCCTGTCTCTGCTAAAAATATAAAAAATTAGTTGGGCGTGGTGGCAGGCGCCTGTAATCCCAGCTACTTGGGAGGACAAGGCAGGAGAATCGCTTGAACCCAGGAGGCAGAGGTTGAAGTGAGCTGAGATCACGCCACTGCACTCCAGCCTGGGCAACAGAGTGAGACTCTGTCTCAAAAAATAAAAATTAAGTGGCCAGGCATGGTGGCTCACGCTTGTAATCTCAGCACTTTGGGAGGCCAAGGCGGGTGGATCACGAGGTCAGGAATTTGAGACCAGCCTGGCCAACATGGTGAAACCCTGCCTCTACTGAAGATACAAAAAAAAATTAGCCAGGCGTGGTGGCACGCACCTGTAATCTCAGCTACTCAGGAGGCTGAGACAGGAGAATCACTTGAACCCAGGCGGCAGAGGTTGCAGTGAGCCGAGATCACGCCATTGCACTTCAGCCTGGGCGAAAGGGTGAGACTTTGTCTCAAAAAAAAAAAAAAATTAAAAAAAAATTTAAAAAAAGGAACAGCCTCTGAAACAGTTTATAAGCCTCGCAAAAATCCATATTCATTCCAATATACCCACACTTTGCTGTATGCCTCAAATGTTATGCCTCAGCTTGAATCTGCTACCTTATTGAGATATGACTTCAAGTAATTTTTTTACTATTTCCAATATAAAACCCGCTATGAAAAAATACCATTATTATTTAATACCATGTTGCACTTCATTTAAATTAGCTCCAAACCATCACCATCCCTACAAGGTAGGTAGGGGTCTTCCCTTTTTATTCATTTAATTTATTTTTGAGACTCTGTCATTCAGGTTGGAGTGCAGAAGTACGAACATGGCTGACCGCAGCCTCAACCTCCTGGGCTCAAGCAATCTTCCCACCTCAGCCTCCCGAGTAGCCAGGACTACAGGTGTGCACCACGACACCCAGCTAATTTTTTTATTATTTGTAGACATGGGGTCTCCCTGCATTACTCAGGTTGATCTCTAACTCAGGCTCAAGAGATCTGCCTGCCATGGCCTCCTAAATTGCTGAGATTACAGGAGTGAGCCATCACACATGGCCGAGAATTTATTTAATAAACTGCAAGGGGAAGAAAATTAAAATGCCACTTCCCAGGCCTAAGCAATATGAACATACTGGTTTATATTCTTTCTTTCCTTTATAATCTAAGTGAAAAACAGAAAACTAAATAAAAATATTAGAAGAAAATGTATGTAGTTTTATTAATCTAAGTCTGACATAGGACCCAGAAGCCATAAAACAGAAATTGACAAATTTAAAACTTTGTAGAAGTCAAAAGATAAACAATAATCTGGGAAAATATTTGCAACATATGTATTAGTTTAAAATAATTGAATGAATAGGCAGTTCAGAAAGAAAAAATGTGTAATCAGTAAATAATAAGATGGTTAAAGTCATAATGGAAGAAATGACCATTAAAGCAATAATTATTTCTCTTAGATTGGCATAGATTAAGGCTTGGTAAACTTTTTTTTTTTTTTGCGAGACGGAGTCTCGCTCTGTCGCCCAGGCTAGAGTGCAGTGGCGCAGTCTTGGCTCACTGCCAGCTCCACCTCCTGGGTTCACGCCATTCTCCTGCCTCAGCCTCCCGAGTAGCTGGGACTACAGCCGCCCGTGACCACACTGGCTAATTTTTTGTATTTTTAGTAGGGACGGGGTTTCACTGTGTTAGCCAGGATGGTCTCGATCTCCTGACCTCGTGATCCACCCGCCTCGACCTCCCAAAGTGCTAGGATTACAGGCGTGAGCCACCGCGCCCGGCCACTTTTTTTTTTTTAATAGGGACAGGGGTCTCACTATATTGCCCAGGCTGGCCTTGAACTCCTGGGCTTAAGCAGTCCTCCCGCCTCAGCCTCCCAAAGTGCTGGGATTACAGGTGTGAGCCACCAAGCTCAGCTGAGGCTTGGTAAATCTAATGGTGAGGGTCAGGAGCTACTCTCATACACTGTTCGTTGGATTACTGATAGTCTCTTTTTAGAGAGCAAATTGATGATAAATCATTTCAAAAGTGCATACCTTTTGACCCAGCAGGCCTCTTTCTTAACTTCATCCTACAGAAATATATATCCCAGTGGGTAAAAATAGATGTATAAGAAAATTTATGCTGGGTGTGGTGGCCTGTAATCCCAGCATTTTGGGAGGCTGAGTTGGGCAGATCGCTTGAGCCCAGGAGTTCGAGGCCAGCCCAGGCAACATAGTGAGACCCCGTCTCGACAAAAAAACAAACAAAAAAATTACCTGGGCCTGGTGGCACACGCCTATAGTTCCAGCTACTCAAGAGGCTGAAGTGGGAGAATCCCTTCAGCCCATGAGGTTGAAGCCGCAGTAAGCCATGATTGTGCCACTGCACTCCAGCCTGGGCAACAGAGCGAGACCCTGTCTCAAAAAAAAAAGAAATTCACTGCAACATTGTTGTATTACTAAAGAACAAAATCACCAAAATGCCCATGAGTAGGGGGCTGGCTAAATATACTGTGGTCCATACATACAGTGGACTTGGTAGAATGGGTAGGTCCAGGTGTTTTCACCTGGAAAGGTCTCTAAGACAGTCTTTAAAGAGCAGTTTGTACGATAATATTATATGATCCAATTTTAGTTTTTGAAAAGTGTGTGTGCATTTGGAACTTGTATGCAAAAAAGTCTGGAATTATATTTGCCTCTTCTCACCTTCCCAAGTGAAGACTATTGATCACAAAGATTATATTTGGGGGATGGGATTGTGGGTGTTTACTTTCTATGTGTCTTACACATTTCTGCATTGTTTGAAATTTACATTGAGCATGTATTACTTTTGCCATCAAACAACATAAGACTAATAAGGGGAGAAACCCTGCGGGCAGCACCCACCCATCATATAGCTCATTGTCAACCACTTTTTCTCTGGTTGTAATGACCTCTGGGATTAGGACAGAGGAACCAAACCCCTTCTTTGAATTGTACCCTTTAACTCTTTTTTTTTTTTTCTTTTTTGAGATGGATTCTTGCTCTGTCACCCAGGCTGGAGTGCAGTGGTGTGATCTTAGCTTACTGCAACATCTGCCTCCCAGGTTCAAGCAATTCTCGTGTCTCAGCCTCCTGAGTAGCTGGGATTACAGGGACACGCCGCCATGCCTGGCTAATTTTTTGTATTTTAGTAGAGACAGGGTTTCACCATGTTGCCCAGGCTGGTCTTGAACTCCTGAGCTCAGGCAATCCACCTCCCTCGGCCTCCCAAAGTGCTGGGATTACAGGCATGAGCCACTGCGCCCAGCACTCTTTTTTTTTTTTTTTTTGAGACGGAGTCTAGCTTTGTCGCCCAGGCTGGAGTGCAATGGCGCCATCTCGGTTCACTGCATCCTCTGCCTCCCAGGTTCAAGTGATTCTCCTGCCTCAGCCTCCCAAAATAGCTAGGATTACAGGTGCCCGCCACCACGCCTGGCTAATTTTTGTATTTTTAGTAGAGACAGGGTTTCACCATGTTGGTCAGGTGGGTCTCGAACTCCTAACCTCAAGTGATCTGCCCGCCTTGGCCTCCCAAAATGTTGGGATTACAGGCATGAGCCACTGCACCCAGCTCCCCTTAACTCTTGAACTCATAATTAATCAAAAGTCTTACTAACATAATGGGCCTTTTTTCTCCCCAACTTTGTCTTGTCCAGATGAACTCTTTGCCAGCAGAGAGGATCCAGGAAATACAGAAGGCCATTGAGCTGTTCTCAGTGGGTCAGGGACCTGCCAAAACCATGGAGGAGGCTAGCAAGCGAAGCTACCAGTTCTGGGATACGCAGCCCGTCCCCAAGCTGGGTATGTACATGCTTGCTTTCTTTGCCAGGTCAGGGGCGAGGGATCTGCCTCAGCTGTGCCTTCATGAGGGTTTCATGCTGAATTACTGTAGGGAGGGCAGTAGAGTCCTGGAGTTCCTTGGTAGTTGTTTTCAGAGGGTGGTTTTTAAAAATGCAGCATAAAGACTATCATTCAGAGACCTTACCATTTTATAGCAGCACACCTTGAGAACAAATAATGATTCTTGCCAACAGCACTGGCTCACACCTATAATCTCAGCACTTTGGGAGGCCGAGGTGGGAGGATTGTTTGAGCCCAAAAGTTCGAGACCAGCCTGGGCAACATAGACCTTGTTTCCACAAAAAGTAAAAAAAAAAAAAATAGCCAGGCATAGTGACATGCACCTGTAGTCCCAGCTACTCAGGAGGCTGAGGTGGGAAGATCACTTGAACCTGGGAGGTCAAGGCGGCAGTGAGCTGAGATCACGCCACCGCACTCCAGCCTATGTGACAGGAGTGAGACCCCCAACTCAAAAAACGAACAAACCAAAAAACCCAAAAAAAAAACAAAACAAAACTATTGGCACATGAAGAGTGGGAATGTCTGCCCAGAGGTCTTTTTTCCACTTAGGTTTATAGAGACTTTGTCTTGTTTGTCTGGGCACATGTTTATTCCTGGAATGGGCAAAGTCCCCAGCCTCTTCCCCTTTGTCTCCTAGCCAATGCATGCTTACTAAATGCAAAGTGGTTTGAGATTTTGCTTAGCAGTGATGGTTCAACAACAGGAATACTATATATAGATTTCATTAGCACCCCTTAAAAAAGCTATAATGAATTGCTAAAGGGGTGGAATAGGCAGAATATCTAAAAGGATTCTGGAAGGGACTGGATCCTGTTAGACGTGCCTGCCAAGACTGAGCCAAGCCAACCTTGATGGCTGACTTCAGGACTCAGCTGACAAAGTTTCTGAAGTGGTTGTAACATGATTCTGGACCCATTGGTGGCCTAGTTCCTGTTTTCTTTGTGACTGGGAAAGTAAGTATGTTGAAAAAAACATATTCCAACACCAAATGTAAATGACTTTCAGCTTGTCCACATTACTGCTCCCCTCCAGAAACACAATGAGACTTCACTAGTATGTTCGGTGCAGAGGAGGAGGGTGGGGCAGGGCCAGACAGGGTAGGGCTAAAGACTGGTGAGGTGAGGAAGGCAGCTGTGCCCAAGGAGATTTGTTTGCTGCAGAGGTTGGGAGCAGCTAATCCATGAGGCCTGCAGACCTGCAGGATGGGCATTGCCTAATTGCTAGTAGAAATGCAGTTTGTCGGGCCCCACCCCAAAGCTGCAGAATCAGAACTGCCAGAGGATTTCTGTCCACTTTGAAAGTTTGAGAAGCTCTGCTCTAGAGCGGATGCAGTTCTTAGAAGCTTGGTCACAATAGAAGCAAGCTGAGGAGGTGCATCCCCACGGGTGAGGGAGAGCAGAGCACTGCCCAGGTGGACAAGAGGGGTGCTGATTCCCCCATCACCGTGTGTGTTTGGCTGCCCTCATCGGCCAGGTCCCAGGCCCACTGGCTAAGCCCTCCAGCAAGGCTTTGGGCCACAGGGTAGGGTCCCAGTGACCAGTTTCTCGCTGAGGAGCAGGAAAGATGCAGAGAGCCACACATCTCACCTCTGAATGAAATCCCTGATGAGGTGTTGTGTGGTGGCTGCCATGTATCTTGGCTCTGTTTTCAGATGGCATTTTGGAGTTTTGGTTTGATTTTATTTTTCCTGAGGAATTTGCAAATGAGTAACCTTGCTACATTCTTCACAGATAGTGGCACTTGGGAAAGAGGCAGATTGAGGCTGGGCGCAGTGGCTCACGCCTGTAATCCCAGCACTTTGGGAGGTCGAGGCAGGCGGATGACCTGAGGTCAGGAGTTCGAGACCAGCCTGGCCAACATGGTAAAACCTCGTCTCTACTAAAAATACAAAAACTAGCTGGGCTGGTGGCATGGGCCTGTGATCCCAGCTACTTGAGAGTCTGAGGTGGGAGAATCACTTGAACCTAGGAGACAGAGGTTGCAGTAAGCTGAGATCGCACCACTGCACTCCAGCCTGGGCAGCAGAGCAAGAATGCATCTCAAAAATGAATTTAAAAAAAAAAAAAAAGAGGCAGCTTGGGATTAATTTGCTTCTGTTCCTCTTCAGCCCAGCATACTTTGTTTTCCTTTCACCTGTAAATGTAGAAAGTGCTTCAGTTTAGTTCTCAGAAAGCTCAAGAGAAAACCACACAGTTGCTCATACGGGCCCTGACACTTTGAGGAAGGAGGAACAAGGTCTGGTTTTATTTCTTCTGGCTTTGCCTTCTGTGCAGTGTGTGGTGTCGGACTCCATGGAAGAGCAGTCACCCTGAGCATCTGACTAGTCTGCCTTTGAGGTCCAGGGTCAGTCAAGCCCCAGTTAGATTCCTGTGTTTGTGTCAGCCTGTAAAAAGTGCCACCTTGGCAGGCGTGTTAGCCTGCATGGCTGAGGCGTCACCCTAGTTCTGAGTTTTCTCAGGGGTGGTGGTACCTACAGCTTCTTGCCCTAATTTTTTTTTCACTTAATTGGAGGACTAATGATTATAAATCTCGTGCATATCAGCTGCACTGTGTTTTTACAGTACTCTCCACCTTCTTGGGAGAGTTTTAATTAGATGGTATTCCACTAAAGAAACCTACAAGTCTCTCTGATTTATTTATTTATTTATGAGACAGAGTCTCACTCTGTCGCCCAGGCTGGAGTGCAGTGGCGTTTTCTCGGCTCACTGCAACCTCTGCCTCCCAGGTTCAAGCAGTTCTCTGCCTCAGCCTCCCGAGTAGTTGGGATTACAGGTGCCCACCACCACGCCCGGCTAATTTTTGTATTTTTAGTAGAGACAGGGTTTCACCATCTTGGCCAGGCTGGTCTTGAACTCCTGACCTCGTGATCCACGTGCCTTGGCCTCCCAAAGTGCTAGGATTACAGGCATGAGCTACCGCACCCGGCCCTCTCTTTTATTTTCTTGAGACAGGATCTCGCTCTGCTGCCCAGGCTGGAGTGCAGTGGTATGATCATGGCTCACTGCAGCCTTGATCTCCTGGGCTCAAGCAATCCTCCCACCTTAGCCTCCTGAGTAGCTGGGACTACAGGTGCCTGCCACATGCCTGGCTAATTTTTAAATTTTTTGTGGAGACATGGTTTCACTATGTTGACCAGGCTGGTCTCAAACTCCTAGGCTCAAGCTGTCCTCCTGTCTTAGCCTCCCAAAGTGCTGGGATTATAGGCGTGAGCCACTGCACCTGACTGAGACCTGCAATTCTTTAGAAGCTTAAAATTATCCTAGGTTTACCATGGAAAGGCCTTCTTAGGCCGGGTGTAGTGGCTCAATGCCTGTAATCCCAGCACTTTGGGAGGCCAAGGCAGGAGGATTGCTTGAGCCCAGCAGCTCAAGACCAGCCTGGACAACAGGGAAAGACCTCGTCTCTACAAAAAAATTTAAAAATTAGCCAGACATGGTAGCACATGCCTATGGTCCCAGTTTCTCAGGAGACTGAGGTGGGAGGATCGTTTGAGTCCTGGAGGTCGAGGCTGTAGTGAGCCATGATCGTGCCACTGCACTCTAGCCTGGGTGACAAAGCGAGTCCCTGTCTCAAAGATTAAAAAATAAATAAATAAAAATGAAAGGCCTTCTTAGCAGAAGTGTTTTAGTCTGTGTAACAACTGTAAGAGCCGCAGATGAACTTTTGATCCCCCACTCGAGATCATGTCGTTCTTCTTTTTAAAGTCACCCCTTTCCCACTCATGTCAACGGAAGCAGTATCCTTTTCTGTCTTTGGTCAGTGGAATGCAGTGTGGCCACTCTGTTTTAAAAAGTCACTATCAAAGGGAGGATGTGCACTCACCTGGTTTCCATGGGTCCCAGAGAGAAGCTTCCCCTCTCTTTTTCCTCTCCTTGGCCTTTGTTTGGTTTAATGTTTTCCGCATCTCAGACATTCTCATTTCTCCGAAGTCCTTCACAGTTGCACCGCATTGCTTAGTTTTGGGTCTCTGATGTTTGATGTCATGGAGAGAATTTTGAGGGAAGAGTGTGCAGAAAGAAACCCATTGAAAGCTCAGGGTTTTCTTTAAACTTCCAGATTCTTTTAAAGCAAGTTCGAAGTGTCATCCTTAGTCATTTATTGGTTCATGTTGGCCTTGAGAGAATCAGCTGCATTCTTGCTGTGCTCTGCAGAGCAGCCTTCCACCCCTGCTCAGCAGGAGGTACTCAAAGGCCATTGTAAGGGAGAAGGCAGGCTGCTCCCCACAGAGCAGGACAAGCAGAGGCCATGATGCTGGCACCACACCGAGGACAGCACAGGAGCCTTGGGCTGCTTCTTGGCATCGAGGGCACTCCACAGTGGGAGTCTAGTAAAAGTGGCTGCTCCCTTTTCAGTGTTTCCTGTAGCTCTACTTTTTCACACCCACCCTGCCCCACATAGTCCACCTGCAGCCTGGCTGATTCCTAATTATCCTTGAGGTCTTGTCGTTAGATATTTCCTCTGAGAGGTCTTTCCTGACACACACACACACACACACACACACACACACACACACACACACACACACGTCCCATAGCACCCTGTACTTCATTCTTACTGGCCCTCACCATGCCGGGTGGCATGTGCATCCTTGCTCATCTCTTTGGTGTCCATGATGGTGAGGACCTGTGTCTGTTTCATTCGCCAGCCCCTGCCACAGAACTGGCACATTCTAGGATTCAGTGAACACTTGGTGAAGGAGTGAGTGAATGGAAGTGCCTGTTGCGTGTAGGACCTAGTAGCCAGCCTAAATGAGAAGATTTAGCCTTGAGGTTATTTTAGTACAATAGGGAAGACCATCAGTATTCTTGGCCATGGAAATAATTCAGGGGGAAAAAAAGAAGGTTCTGAAGTGTATAGGAAAAGGTATAAATTCAATACAAGTTGGGAAATTAGCACCTAGATAAGACTAGAGGGTCTGGCCCTCAGTTTTGTAGGCTCAAAAATGTTTTTTTAATATACATAGCTGTCAGTTGGAAGCGGATTGACTTAAATTCACAAGAGCTACTTTATGAATAATCAAATGGTGGGTTTTGGCTGGGCGCCGTGGCTCATGCTATAATCCCAGCATTTTGGGAGGCCAAGGCAGGAGGATCACTTGAGTCTAGGAGTTTGAGACCAGCCTGGGCAACAGTGAGACCTCATCTCTATGAAAAATAAAATTAGCCAGGCGTAGTGGCGCATGCCTATAGTCCCAACCACTCGAGAGGCTGAGATGGGAGGATCGTTTGGGCCTAGGAGGTCGAGGCTGTAGTGAACCAAGGTTACGCCACTGCATTCCAGCCTGGGCAACAGAGCAAGACCCCATCTCGCCAGTCATGAGTTTCCTAACTAGGGAAGAAAAATATGACCTCTCTCCCAAGCAAACCTGTTGGGAAGCCTGATTACCAACAGAGCAGGCTGCTTCCCTGTTGTGTGTCCCTGCACTTTCCAGATCCTGACCTGCAGCACGTGGATAATGACTCATTTATTTACTATTTCCCCAGAAGATGGTATGTCTCATGAGGACAGGGACTTGGTCCTTTTTCCTGCTGTACACTAGGGGCTGGCATGGTCACTGAGTCACTGGTGCACGGTTGGTGCTCAGTAATGTGTCTGATGGAAGAGGGTGAGATGATCAGTGCCAGCGGTGGTGTCGTGTGCTGCAGCCTGATGCAGCCCTTTCCACCACACTTGCCCCACAGATTATCATTCTGGGAAGGTCTAGAGCTTCCTGTTACATGTTAGAATGAAATGTTTGGACTTTGGGAGGCCGAGGCGGGTGGATCACTTGAGGCCAGGGGTTTGAAACCAGCCTGGCCAACATGGTGAAACTCCATCTCTACTGAAAAAAAAAAAACAAAACACCAAAATTAGCCAGCGTGGTGGCGGACACCTGTAATTCCAGCCACTCGGGAGTCTGAGGCAGGAGAATTGCTTGAACCAGGGAGGTGAAGGTTGCAGTGAGCCAAGATCGCACCACTGTACTCCAACCTGGGCGACAGAATGAGACTGTCTCAAAAAAAAAAAAAAGAAAAGAAAAGAAAAAAAAAATATTTGGGATCAGGAGTCTGAAAGTCAGTAAAAGCATGAATTGAGTGCCTAGTCTATACAGAGCCCTTTGCTAGGAACACTGTTACTGGGTTGGTCCCTTTTGAAGACTCCATTTTCCAAAATGCACTAAACATTGCATTCTTCCCAGTGTAAACATGAGTGAGCCCATTGTAGAACCGAAATCATCCCAAGGGCCAGAATTCAGTGGTGAATCTCTCAGCATATATGAGTCCGATTGAGCTCTGGATAGGAATGAGGGCTGTGTCTTTGGAGCACTCCCCACATGCTCCCACAGAGGAGGGGCCTATCCTGCTCAGGGAGGGGATGTTGTGTCAGGGTGACTTCCCGGCAGCACTATGTAGACTTGGTGATTCAGCCCAAAGGCACTTGCAGGACTCTAAACACTGAGGGCCTGAGTTGGCAGTAGCAGTTAACTGGCTCACGCTGCTGAAAGCCAAGGCTGGCAGGGCCACGATTGAGCCTGGCGCCTAGAAGCCATCATCTGGTTCAGAAATGGGCCCAGTACATTGTTGTTGCTGTTGACACAAAAGCAGCCTTGTTGTGACTCCTTACAAACCCATCCAGACTGATGGGCCTGGGCCAGGGCCCTGACAGCACTCTTTACACCAACCAGGAGGCAGGAAGCCAAATTACTAAAGATAAATGTTTGTCATTCAGTGACCCAAGGGAGATTTAAATGGATTTCCAAAACACGAACCACCTTGGATCCCAGTGATTGTCCTGAGGTTTTGCCATGAATTGGCCCTCAGTTAGGGGCTAAGGGTAGCTGGAAAGACGGTTTGCAGTTGCCAAGCACAGAATGTTCTTCAGATAGAGGGCTCCTAGGGACAGGAGGAATTTGCTCTGGTTGAGTTTTGAACTGAGCCCTTTACTGCCCCGAGGGGGCAAAGGGTGAGGCTCACAGCTGTGCTCTTCTTTCAGGCGAAGTGGTGAACACCCATGGCCCCGTGGAGCCTGACAAGGACAATATCCGCCAGGAGCCCTACACCCTGCCCCAGGGCTTCACCTGGGATGCTTTGGACCTGGGCGATCGTGGTGTGGTGAGTGGGCCCTCAGAAGGTTACACCTGCGGGTAGGAGCCACTTTCACAGTAAGCCCTGCAGTCTCACCTAGACTACGTTTACTCGAGCCCTAGAGAGCTGAGCCAAGGAGGTCTGAACAGACTCCCGTCTGTAACTTCCTGGGGCATGGCCAAGACTCCACATAAATAGCTCTTAGCTTTTCTGGCAGGTTGGAAGTTAACCTCTGTAGGTCCCCGATGTGGATACCTGTTTTTCATTTATTCTTTTTTGTTCATTCATTTCCTCATTTTCTTTCTAGTCTGTCTCCTGACTGGAGCAGCTGGGGCTGCTAAATGAGGCCCTGTCCTCCCCTTTCCACCCCGGCCACCCAGAGCCCCTTGTTTTGACCTGAGGGATTTATTTCCCTTATAAAGAATGATGAAAATGTCGCCGGGCGTGGTGGCTCACACCTGTAATCCCACCGTTTTGGGAGGCTGAGGCAGGCGGATCATGAGGTCAGGAGTTTGAGACCAGTCTGACCAACATAATAAAACCCCATTTCTACTAAAAATACAAAAAATTAGCCAGGTGTGGTGGTGTACGCCTGTATCCCAGCTACTCAGGAGGCTGAGGCAGGAGAATCTCGTGAACCTGGGAGGGGGATGTTGTAGTGAACTGAGATCTCACCATTGCACTCCAGCCCAGGTGACAGTGCGAGACTCTTTGTCTCAAAAAAAAAAAAAAGTCAACAGAATTTTTTTTTTTTTTGAGATGGAGTCTCGCTCTGTTGCCCAGGCTGGAGTGCAGTGACACCATCTCAGTTCACTGCAGTCTCTGCCTCCTGGGTTCAAGCGATTCTCCTGCCTCAGCCTCCCGAGTAGCTGGGATTACAGGTGAGTGCCACCACGCCCAGCTAATTTTTATATTTTTAGAAAAGATGGTGTTTCACCATGTTGGCCAGGCTGGTTTCGAACTCCTGACCTCAGGTGATCTGCCCATCTTGGCCTCCCAAAGTGCTGGGATTACAGGCAATGAGCCACTAGGCCTGGCTTTTTTTTTTTTTTTTGAGACAGAGTCTGGTTCTGTTGCCCAGGCTGGAGTGCAGTGGCGCGATCTTGGCTTACCCCAACCTCCACCTTCCAGGTTCAAGTGATTCTCCTGCCTCAGCCTCCCAGGTAGCTGAGATTACAACCATCTGTCACCATGCATGGATAATTTTTGTATTTTTAGTAGAGATGGGGTTTCACTGTGTTGGCCAGTCTGGTCTCGAACTCCTGACCTCATGATCCACCCATCTCGGCCTCCCAAAGTGCTGGGATTACAGGCATGAGCCACTGCGCCCAGTCTTTTTTTTTTTTTTGAGATGGAGTCTTGCTCTGTTGCTCAGACTGGAGTGCAATGGCACAATCTTGGCTCACTGCAACGTCCACCTCCTGTGTTCAAGCAATTCTCCTGCCTCAGCCTCCCCAGTGGCTGGGATTACAGGTGTCTGTCACCACGCCAGGCTAATTTTTTTATTTTTTAGTAGAGATGGGGTTTCACCACATTGGCCAGGCTGGTCTTAAACTTCTGACCTCAGGTGATCCGCCCACCTCAGCCTCCCAAAGTGCTGGGATTACAGGCTTGAGCCACCACACCGGGCCAACAGAATTTTTTAATACCAAAGTTGGGCCAGCAGATGGAGATAGCTGAGAAGGCAGAAAAAGGCCTTTGTGGTTGGGTGTGGTGGCTCACACCTGTAATTCCAACAATTTGGGAGTCTAAGGTGGGAAGATCGATTGAGCCCAGGAGTTCAAAATCAATCAGCCGGGTCAATATAGTGAGACTGCCCCCGCTACAAAAGAAAAAAATTTAATAATTAGCCGGACATGGTAGTATGCCCCAGTAGTCTCAGCTACCCAGGAGGCTGAAGTAGGAGGATCGCTTGAAACCAGGAGTTGGAGGCTGCAGTGAGCCATGATCACACCAGTGCACTCCAGCCTGGGTAACAGAGTGAGACTCTATCTTGAAAAGAAAGGAAAAAAGGCCTTTGTTTGGGCCAGATGGTAAAAAATCAGACAAGGTGGGAAACAGCAGTGACTCTCCGTGGTAATTCCTTGACTAGCTTCGAGAGTCGTCCCTCTATAGCACTTCACAGAAGTTGAGACCAGTGGCTCTCCATTGTTGATGGCGCAGAATGATGAAGTGGTTGGTTAGTTAGGTGGCATTCTCGGTCTGCCACTCTACCACGTGATGGCTCAGTTTTCTACTATAACTAGGGTGTTTGCTCCAAGAGTTCCTACCATGCCAGGGGGCAGAAGGATTTGTGAGACTCCACGTCGTTTTTGGTAGTTTGCTTCATCCTTCTGAAAAGCCTAGAGCCCCAGGGTATTGGAGTTGGTCTACTACCTGGCAGAATACCTCCAAGTGAGCTGCTTATTTCTTTACAGCTAAAAGAACTGTACACCCTCCTGAATGAGAACTATGTGGAAGATGATGACAACATGTTCCGATTTGATTATTCCCCGGAGTTTCTTTTGTGGTAAGTTGTGGGGGCTTTCTTGAGGTTCTTGAGAGGAAGGCATAGAGCAGATCCACCAGAGGGCACCAGAGTTTTCATCCCTGCCAGGGGCCAACCTTTGAATGGCAAATTAGTGTGTCATTTTTGAGTTCCTGCATCTGAAGGACACTTGCTTTCATTAGCACTTAGAATTGCAGCCTTGTTTAAGACAATTGACTGGGTGAGGGAGACCTTCGTAGAGCTAGTACCCAGGGAAGAGGTATTCATTGTCTGGTGACTTTATATAAGAAAGGAACGGGCATGAGACCTACTAAGACTGAAAGAAAAGAAGGCACATTTTCTATCTAGTTCCTGAGCATGCTCAGTTGTATAGCCTTGCCTGGCTGAGCCATCCACCTGCCCAGGCCACGTTTAATATCCAGGAAGAGAGAGGCATGGGCCGAAATGGAGAGGGACTACCTGAAAGGGAAGGAAGAATTTGTACCAGAAAGAGGGAGACAGGACACCAGAGCTCCAGGGTTGCCACAGTCAGCTCTCAACCATGGGACCCACTGGCCTCCGAACCAAAGATGCCAGTACCTTGGTTCAAGCTGTCAAAGTGAACACAGAAATTGGATCAGGCATGAAATCCTCAGTATGATAACCTTGGGTTGGATGAGTAACTAGGCCAAATGGGATGAGCAGCCAGAAATGGTGATGGCTCGATTCTGTGTGTCCAGGAGGGCTTGGCCCTAAAGAGAATCCAGCTATTAACCCTCAGGGAGGTGGTAGCACCAGGTCCGAACCAAATTTGGCTGTGGAGCCCAAGCGGCTTGTCCAGCCTGCCGGCAAGCAGCACAACCACCCCAGCCTCTCTTTTCCAGGGCTCTCCGGCCACCCGGCTGGCTCCCCCAGTGGCACTGTGGGGTTCGAGTGGTCTCAAGTCGGAAATTGGTTGGGTTCATTAGCGCCATCCCAGCAAACATCCATATCTATGACACGTAAGCACCTGCACCTACCCCCACCCCCCACAACACCGCCATCCTGCTTGGTCTGGGAGAGAGTAGAAAAAGGCTGCACAATGTGCCCCATGAAAGGAAGAGGGAAGGTCTCAGGAAGGGAGGATGCCCAGGTGCGGGGACTGCAGATTCATCCTAGGAACCACCTGTTCTGCTCAGAGTCCCAGCCAGCTCCCTTGTTTGTGGCCCAGGTTGGAAGGAGCCCACCCTGAGGCCTGGTGTGCCTGCTCAGCAGAGGCTTGTTTTTGTTTTTGTTTATTATTTTTTACATTTTATAGAGGCAAGGTCTTGCTATGTTGCCCACGCTAGTCTCAAACTCCTGAGCTCAAGTGATCCACTCACCTCTGCCTCCCAAGAGTGTTGGGAATATAGACGTGAGCCATTGTGCCTGGCCAGAGGCTTTTCTTAGTCTCACTCTGTTGCCCGGGCTGGAGTGCAGTGGTGCGATCTTGGTTCACTGCAAGCTCCACCTCCAGGGTTCAAACGATTCTCCTGCCTCAGCCTCCCAAGTAGCTGGGATTACAGGCATGCGCCACCACACCTGGCTAATCAGAGGCTCATTTTTGAACGCCTGTACCAGTCACACATGGAAGCACTTGAACAGCAGCAGAAATGGGCCAGAGCGAGTGTGACCCAGATTCAGATAGTCCTTGGGGCCTGTGATCTCTGCTCTTCATTTTCCCTGGAAGTGTTGAAACCATCTGCCTGCCACAGTCTTCAGGGCTTATTACCAGCTGTGTTCTTGAGGGAATCAGAACCCTTGAAACCCTAGAATTGCCTTGACCTGCCCCGTGGGTTCCCTGTGCTGCTTCCCTGCATGCTAAAGGTGGGATTCCCCAGCCAACTCCTAGGGACTCATCAGGGAGATGCTGGTGGTACCTTCAAATAAAGGTGTTTGCTTGGGTCCCACCTTCCTTTGGAAATAGATTCTGTTGAAGTGAGGCAGGCTCCTTGCCTGGTGGAGTGTGGTGGGGAGTCCCAGTACTGAGTGCAGGTGGCAGCTAAAAGTACACCCGTGCTGCAGACCTGGTCCTTCTAGGTGTGGCTGCACGTGCTTGATGGGATCACCATTCCCTTCCCTGTTAAAAACCTTGTCACCTGGATTTTTCCCCCTCTTAGAGAGAAGAAGATGGTAGAGATCAACTTCCTGTGTGTCCACAAGAAGCTGCGTTCCAAGAGGGTTGCTCCAGTTCTGATCCGAGAGATCACCAGGCGGGTTCACCTGGAGGGCATCTTCCAAGCAGTTTACACTGCCGGGGTGGTACTACCAAAGCCCGTTGGCACCTGCAGGTAAAACTGTCTTCCTGTAAGGCCCCAAAAATGCGGGTGTCTGCACTGTAGTTGAGGAGCATGTGCCACTGTGAGTCACAGCTCCGCCCTTAGCATCCCACCTCTGGCGTATCTGGTAAGGCGGGCACTTGGTGCCTGCAGGAGCCAGATGGGGAGCATGGAGAGGGCGGGAGGGTTGTAGGGATGGCAGATTGGCAAGTCCCTGCCTTGTCTGGAGGGCTCTTGGTGTCTGCTGGCTGCTGCCATTTGGAGATGGTGGGGGGCGGTACTGGTGGTTTGTTTTTGTTTTTAGGGATGAGCCCAAATCTGGATTTTTATGGGAAATGTCCTAAAGTTTTAAATGGTTGGCTCAAATTGTTTTGAATATTGTGTGCACCAAATAGAGCAAGTCAGCTATGTGATCTAAGGGCAACCTCTGCCTTAGAAAGTTGTTTAAAACAATTGAATAATCTCTCCTTAGAGAACTTTAAAAGTAAAAACACCAGGTGTGAAAGCAGAAGGGGAGGAGGGAGGAGGGTGAGTGCCTCTGCCATCATCTTCTGGGCATGACTACAGTCCTTTTCCGTTGACTTGATTCTAGGAGTGAGGATTGGTCTCCCCAGACAACCGCTGTAGCAAAGGAATAGTTTTTGAAATTGAGCAAGAAAAATAGGGAGAAAGAAAATCCAGGAGGAGCTTTGGCAGCACTCACTGTGGGGAGGGGGAGGCTGGAGAGCAGGGTGACACCACTGACTCCGGAGGCACCTGATGTGTCTCTCACGCCACCTGCTGGCCAGCTGGGGTCTCCCTGCCATTGTCCTTGTAATAGGGATTGGCCAGAACCCTGAGGACAGGACATTTGTGTCCCCACAGGTATTGGCATCGGTCCCTAAACCCACGGAAGCTGATTGAAGTGAAGTTCTCCCACCTGAGCAGAAATATGACCATGCAGCGCACCATGAAGCTCTACCGACTGCCAGAGGCCAGTGCTGCCCCGGGTGGTGGGCAGGGGGCAGAGAGAGGGCAAGGAGAGCCTGGCTGTCAGCAGGAGAGAAGGGCTCTGGGTGGAGAGGGAGCTTTCTCCTACTGGAAAAGCGAACCAGCCCATAGTCTTCAGATTTCCTGGACTTTCTATTTCTGTTATCTGAAGCAGGATTTTATTTTAGTTTAACTTTCTCAGTTCCTCTGAGTCTGTGCCTGGACTAGCTTCTCTGCCATCTGTTGAAAGGCTCAGAGAACACCTATTCTCTGTAATTTTAGCCTAAGTAAAGCATAAATAGAATGATGAATCCACTTAGTGAACCTTCATACACACGGCAGCGCGTTCCAAAGCCCAGCGCAGATGCACTACAGGGTCTGTGACGCCCCTCTGCCGGGTCAGGTAAAGGGTGACCTGAGCTTGTGAGGGATCCCCGATTTCTAATCCCAATTTCCCCACCCAGATTTGGCTGAAGGACTGGGCAACCTTAAAGTGAGCTGCTTTTCTGTTCTGGGTCTCAGTTTTCCTAGTTTCCCAAAGAAACAAATGCTCCAACTGTGGCTGGCTTCAGGTAGGGATTCTTTTTTTTTTGTTTTGAGACAGGGTCTCATTCTGTTGCCCAGGCTGGAGTGCAGTGGCACAGTCACAGCTCACTGCAGCCTCGACCTCCCAGACTCAACTGATTCTCCCACCTCAGCCTCCCAAGTAGCTGGGACTACAGGCGTGTGCCGCCATGCCCGGCCAATTTTTGTTTTTATAGAAACGGGGTTTTGCTGCCAGGCGCAGTGGCTCACGCCTGTAATCCCAGCACTTTGGGAGGCTGAGGTGGGCAGATCACGAGATCAGGAGATCAAGACCATCCTGGCTAACACGGTGAAACCCCGTCTCTAGTAAAAATATAAAAAATTAGCCAGTCGTGGTGTGGTGGGTGCCTGTAGTCCCAGCTACTTGGGAGGCTGAGGCAGGAGAATGGCATGGACCCGGGAGGTGGAGCTTGCAGTGAGCCAAGATCACGTCATTGCACTCCAGCCTAGGCGACAGAGCGAGACTCCGTCTCAAAATAAAAGAAGCCTGGGCGTGGTGGCTCACGCCTGTAATCCCAGCACTTTGGGAGGCCAAGGCAGGCGGATCACGAGGTCAGGAGATCGAGACCATCCTGGCCAACACGGTGAAACCCTGTCTCTAATAAAAATACAAAAAATTAGCTGGTCGTGGCGTGGCGGGCACCTGTAGTCCCAGCTACTTGGGAGGCTGAGGCAGGAGAATGGCATGAACCTGGGAGGCGGAGCTTGCAGTGAGCCAAGATCGCACCACTGCACTCCAACCTAGGCAACAGAGCAAGACTCCGTCTCAAAAAAAAAAAAAAAAAAAAAAAAAAAAAAAAAAGAAGGCCAGGCGCGGTGGCTCACACCTGTAATCCCAGCACTTTGGGAGGCCTAGGCGAGTGGATCACGAGGTCAGGAGATCGAGACCATCCTGGCTAACATGGTGAAACCCCGTCTCTACTAAAAATACAAAAAAAAATTAGCCGGGCTTGGTGGTGGGCGCCTGTAGTCCCAGCTACTCGGGAGGCTGAGGCAGGAGAATGGCGTGAACCCGGGAGGCGGAGCTTGCAGTGAGCTGAGATAGCGCCATTGCACTCCAGCCTGGCCCACAGAGCGAGACTCCATCTCAAAAAAAACAACAACAACAAAAAAAGGATTTTGCCATGTTGCCCAGGCTCATCTGAATTCCTGGGCTCAAGTGATCCACCCACCTCAGCCTCTCAAAGTGCTGGGATTACAGGCATGAGCCACTGTGCCCATCCCAGTAGGGATTCTTAAAATCCCTTCTCAGGTGGGCGGTGGCTCACGCCTGTAATCCCAGCACTTTGGCAGGACAAGGCGGGTGGATCACGAGGTCAAGAGATTGAGACCATCCTGCCAACATGGTGAAACCCTGTCTCTACTAAAAACACAAAAATTAGCTGGGTGTGGTATGTGCCTGTAATCCCAGCTACTTGGGAAGCTGAGGCAGCAGAGTTGCTTGAACCTGGGAGGCAGAGGTTGCAGCGAGCCGAGATCGCACCATTGGACTCCAGCCTGGCGACAGAGCAAGACTCCGTCGCAAAAAAAAAAAAAAAAAAAAAAGGAAAGAAAGAAAAAATCTCTTCTCTTTCCTCGGAGTGCTTCTTCCTATTGGTCATCAGTGCACACAGTCACTGCGTTCCTGCTGACATGAGGCTGCCTGCCTGGACTCCTCAGCCTCTAAACAGGATTGATCACTCTGAAATCAGGCTAATCCACCTAGTGATTGGGGTCATTAGTGTCCCATCTTGAGAGACTGCTGCAGTACCGTTAGACACTGCCAAAAGCACAGGCTTGGGGGACTGTGGTATGTGTCTTCTCCCTTCTGTTCTCATGACAGATCTGCCTTGCGTTCTAGGCCGGTGGGCAGGCAGGCAGAGAGCATTCTTAGAGTGCTGCAGCAGCAGAAGAATGTCTCACCCATGTCTGGGTGGAAACCCCAGCATGGCTGTGTTTTCAGTCCAGGATTTGAGGTATCATTGTGGGAGCTGCCATGTAGAATGAGGTCATTGAGCGTTCCCCTAAAGAGACGAGGATTTAGCAAGGAATTTTAGAGGCTGGAGGTTCTAGAACTGAAGTTTTAAAAGCAATTCCTGCACTGGGAAGCATTGTGTCAGGCACTGACTGAGGCCTGTAAACTGTGACACCACCCTGTTTGCAGATTGCCCCAAGGCCACCTTTGTGTATCTGAGCCTCTGGGGATGTTCTACCAGCCCCGGTATTTGCTCCACAGGATCACATGGTTTCATTCCACTGAAGCATTTTTCTAGCAAAAGCAGCTGCCGGGTGGGACGCTGACTGGGGATAAAATCCTGGGAGTATGCTGCTTTTCTTCTGAATGTAACCCACAGCCGTGTCTCTCTGGGAAGTACTGGTGTAATAGTGTCTGGGTGGGCAGACCCTGGCTGGGCCCTGGGGTCTGTCCGCGAAGTGCTCTAAGTCTAGCAGAGAAAGAGCAGTGAGTGTGGGATGGCATCAGTCACAGTTCAGTGAGAAGCCTGTGAGGACTGTTGGGCTGCGTGGGCAGAAGGTACAGCTAGAAAGGCCAACCTGGCCCAAGGGTAGAAATTCTTGTCTTCTGGGGTGGGGAGTTTGAAACAAGGGTGGAGCATGAAGGGTTGTGTTTTCTTAGGGAGTCAGCCTGGGGCCATGTAGATGGTTGATTGATGTAGCAGTCTGAGTCTGCCTGGACTAGGAGGGAAAGGGCCAGAAGATACGGAAGAGGCAGGCCCTGTGCCTGAGGAGATATGCACGGGGGTGCAGGGAGCCGCCGAATGACCAGGGATTCTCTCTTGAGGGCCTGATCTGTCCTTGCCATGGATAGATCCAGGGTGATCAGCTCATCTCACTCCATCTCTTCTGTCTTGCCTCCAGACTCCCAAGACAGCTGGGCTGCGACCAATGGAAACAAAGGACATTCCAGTAGTGCACCAGCTCCTCACCAGGTACTTGAAGCAATTTCACCTTACGCCCGTCATGAGCCAGGAGGAGGTGGAGCACTGGTTCTACCCCCAGGAGAATATCATCGACACTTTCGTGGTGGAGGTGAGTCAGGGAGTGGTGTTCCAGGTCTCTAACACGTTCCCAGAGAGGCACCCCCCTGAGTGGCCGGGTTCCCAGGGCTCGAGTGTTGGCACCTTAGACTTCCTTGACCATCCGTGTTTGGTCCTCCCTAAAAACAGGGAGTTGGTGCTTGAATTTGCTGAAAAGATACCTCTGGATCTGGCTTGAGCCCTTCTCCCCCTCTGCCCCACTTTGATAACACAAAATAGAGAGAACTGAGCCCCGCTTAATCCTTCAGGAAAGCCTGCAATTCCCTGCCTGTCCCAGCTTAACCCAGTGCTGACCAGACATAGGAGACACAGTCTGGGGGGATGTGAGCTGCAAGAAGAGGTCCCTGGCGGTGCCCATGCTGGGAAAGAGGTCTGGCAGGTTCAGCCCACGATCACGGCTCTGTCCTCAAGTGCCCTGAGCCAATGTCCCTCCTCCTCCCCACATGTCCTGTTGCAGTTTCCAGCCATTTATCTAGAGGGGCAGAGCTGCCTGAAGGTGGAGTGAGAGAAACATTTTGTTCCCGGGCCGCAGTGCCACTGTGCATGCTTGACATTGCCTCTTTATTGCCTTCCCTTCAGAACGCAAACGGAGAGGTGACAGATTTCCTGAGCTTTTATACGCTGCCCTCCACCATCATGAACCATCCAACCCACAAGAGTCTCAAAGCTGCTTATTCTTTCTACAACGTTCACACCCAGACCCCTCTTCTAGACCTCATGAGCGACGCCCTTGTCCTCGCCAAAATGGTGAGGAGCAGACGGGGGGGTCTCTGGAGATGTGCAGGGAAGAGGCAGTGGAGCCATGGTGAGCACAGCTCCCGGGACGCAGCCTCCCATGGGCTGGAGGCTCTGAGCCCTCCTCATCTGTTCTGCTTAGGCAGGGTTCCCGCAGTTTTTAGGCAGAAACTCAAAACTTGGAGGGAACAAGGAGCATCCGAAGTGAAGGCATTGAACTCCTCCTGATTCATTTCAGTGAGTTTCGTTCTCACAGGAGGCGCCACCAAGGAGCCTGAATAGCCAGGCCTTCCCTGGGAGGACAGGGCTTCTCCTCACAGCTTTCCCAGCGTGGGAAAGGGGTGATTGCTGTCTGTCGTGGTGAGTCATTGGAGCATCCAACTGCCAGTAGCGGATGGCGAGCCCGTCTGTCAGTGCTTTGCTGTGGGTTCTGGTAACCTGTGCCCAGCCCAGCCCAGCCTGCTGTAGGCAATCTGGTCCCTGCCCTGTGAGAGCTTCTGCTCCAGTTGGTGAGGTTTAGGAAGCATCTTCACAGTCTCCAAGCAACACAGCAGGTGTCATACAACATGAGGTGCACTGAGGGCCTGAGAGTTGGGGCATCCATGGAGTAAGGAAGCAACACAAACCCCATGTAGCTGACCAGAGCCAGCTTCTCAGAGGAATGGGCTCAGGGTTTGGACTCCAGAGAGGACTGTGGAAATTACTAGAGTTTCAGGGAGGCATAACCAGGAATAGCAAGAGCCCCGGCCTGGACACTGAGTACATATGTGTACACTCTGAGGGACACTGGGCAGAGGCCAGGCTGGAGGGGGCGCTCAGAGTGTCCTGAGAACCACCCGGAGAGCGGGGATTAACGTGGAAGCAGCGGAGCTTCTGAGGGAACCTTGTTCTTGTGGCTGCCCACAGGACAGCTTTGAAATGGCAGCAAAGGGGTAGGAAGGAGGCTGTCCCCACCTGTCCTCACCTGTTCTTGTTTGTCCCTGCTGCTTTGCAGAAAGGGTTTGATGTGTTCAATGCACTGGATCTCATGGAGAACAAAACCTTCCTGGAGAAGCTCAAGTTTGGCATAGGGGACGGCAACCTGCAGTATTACCTTTACAATTGGAAATGCCCCAGCATGGGGGCAGAGAAGGTAGGCGACACATAGCCAGAGTCCAGGCTGCCCGGCCCAGGGTGTCCATGTCTCCAGCAGAAACCGGGCCATGGGTTGAGGAGACAGCCGCAGTCTGGGTCCTTGTTACCTCGAGTTGAACCTTTGAAAATGCCCTCCCTCTGCTGGCCAGACCAGCAGGTCAGCGTTCCCCTCTCAGCAACTGGTGTGAGGATGGCAGAGGGGACAGAGCCACACAGTAGCACGAAGATCATCTCCAATGAGGCCTTCCCACGTGAGGGAACCGTGGAAGTTGAGTTGCCCACGGTTTGCCAGGAGGGTAGGGCTGGGGGAACTCTGAGGAGGTTTCCTCTCCTGAGCTGCTGCCCTCTTCTGGCATGACACTTTCTTAGCCCTTCCTCCCCCAGTGCCACAGGGGACATAGGGGTGAGCTGGAGCGTGGGCCAGTTTTCCCTGGGAGGTCTGATGGACGTGTGAACCCTGGTGTGGAGGTTGAGTGTGGGGCCGGCTGGGTGTGAGTCTGCTCCCACAGCACAGGCGGTGGACCCGGGCCCAGCCACTCGGAACTTCAGGGATAGGGGGTGTGGGAGAGTCTTTGGGCCACTGTCAACTCAGCTCTGCCTCTCCCTGTTGGCTTTCCTAGGTTGGACTGGTGCTACAATAACCAGTCACCAGTGCGATTCTGGATAAAGCCACTGAAAATTCGAACCAGGAAATGGAACCCCACCACTGTTGGTCCAATTTTCACACACGTGAGAATCCCTGGCAAAGGGAGCAGAACTGAACCGGCTTTACCAAACCGCCAGCGAACTTGACAATTGTATTGCGATGGCGTGGGCTGCGTGACGTCACCTCCGGTCGTGTCTCTGGTCTCCGTGTTTTCCAGTTAATTACATCCTCATGCAGCCGTGATCAAGGGAATGTAACTGCTGAAAACTAGCTCGTGATTGGCATATAATGGAGTTAACGGGTGAATAATAAAAGTATATATATATATTATATATATATAAATATTTTAAATATCTTTCATGTTCCAAATGTACAAGGATGTTTGGTCTTTAATGAAAAGCTGAATCCAGATCATTCCTCAGAATGAGGACCCGAGGACAGTGGCAGACAGACGCGTTGGCACAGTTCATGGTTTCCTCCAGAGGAGACATTGGCTTATCATGGGGAAAAAGAGGATCTGGAGAACCTCATCCAGCTCCCCTTCTGAATCAGCTGGGATGACTGGCTTTGAGAAGGAAGGGAAGATGGAACAGGCTCAGATCTCATGGGATAGCACGTGGAGCTCTTGGCTGGGGCTGACCCTGGGCAGGGACTTTCCTGCAGGGCCAGACCTGCCTGCATTCTGAGACAAAGCAATGGACGGTCCGCAGAAGCAGACCTCATTGATTGAGTCCTTTCTTCCATCCCCTTGGCCTGCTCCCTGTAGGAAGTCATCCTGCCAACTGATTTAAAAGGGCTCTTTAGCCAGTTGTTGCCAACCTTATAGGGATGAGTCCCCTGTGAGATTTTGCTTTTCCACTGCCTGGGATGATGCAGTTTGAAGAGGCCCTTGGACCTCCTTGTAACATCAGGGACCTTTGGAGACCATTATCAGTGTAAGCCCTGCTTAGCTCATCTTAGAGCAAAGAGCCAGCACCCTGATGTCCCTGGGGTGGCTAGGCAGGAGTGGCGTGGGGCCAATACCCAGACCCCTTCAGCCACCAGCCCCTGGCCTGTGCCTTCCAACCCATTAGCCATTTCTTGTTGTGCCCCTTTCCAAGATACAGCCTGCAAGTGGTAGCAAGAAGTGATTAGAGGCAGATCTGGACTTGGCAACAGAAGTGGTTTCCCATCTCCATTGTCTGAGTCTGATTTTCGCTGATGCTGTTTTGTGGATTTTTGTGGTAGTGATGGTTGTCAGTGCTGCCAGTTTCCCAAAACGTAATCAAGCCTCTGGTCACATGGCTGTCGATGTAGGCATTCTGGAGTGGTGTTCAGCCAAGTGACCGGGCAAAATTGGGCTGTGAAATTGTACTTCCAGGCTTGGATGTAATTTTTGCTCTAGAGAGAAGCAAGTGGTGGGAAGGAGGTAGCATGACGTGTGGTGTGCGGGTTTCCTTGCTGCCGTCACCTCTCCGCTCATACAGGAATGAAGCCTTAGCCAGGAGGCCAGGCTCAGCCCTGTGCCACTCACCGAAGCCACTTTCTACAGGCCAGCAGGGGCTTGTTGCAGGCTGTGGGTTTTGGTGTGGTTTGTCAGAGGCTAATTCTGCAGAGTTTCCAAAACCAGAAGACATCGTATGCTTGGGATGGGGGCCGTGCCACCCGTGGGAATGCTGCCCGCTCTGCAGACTGCTGCTAGAGCCAGCAACTCCACTAAGGTGGATTTTCATCAGGGGCCTGCAGGGCCCTCCCTTTTCCCATTGTTCCTGCGCTGCAAATTGCAGGCCCCAGCAATCGTGACTGACGTTTGCTCCTTGACTCCAAGAAACTGAGACCAAAGAAGCTGCTGTTCTTAGCAAGATGCGCACTGCATTCCACAGGTGGGAGGAGTCGGAGAGGCAGGGGCTTGCTTTGCAGCCCCACAGACAACAGTTGCACAGTGCCTCAAGCCCCAGAGTGGCTCACCCTGTCCAGACCTTTGAGGATATCAAAGGACAAAGTGCCCAAGTCTTTCCTACCTTGGGGGAACCTGGAACTTGGAAAGGCTCCCTGTCCTAGTCTTGATCTGTTCTGGGCCAGGTCCCAGCTTGAGCTGCCTCTGAGATTTGGGCTGTGCGGATCTCTGGAGTGAGCTCTGTTTCGGTTGACCCAGGTCATGGAATGGAAACGGTGAGGCCCCAGTGGCTGTTCTGGAAGAAACAGATCTCCTGGCAAAGGCCCCAGCATCTCCCTCACTGAAACCAGGTGGCCGGCTCCTCGGACTCTGCTTTATGTTGCGGTGAGAACTCTGCCCAGGTGTGCAGGGTTTGGCTTGTGGGCTGCTTGCTGCTCATCTGATTTTTGTCCCAGTAGTCCCTGCGTTCTTCATTCAACCCCTTCTGGGACTTCAGCTCAGAGAGCACCATCCCGGGGGTCAGGGCCTCCCCACAGGAGCCCTGCAGTGTGGTAGCGCCATGGCTGTCTCAAACCAAGCAAAGGAAGGACCCTGAGGCCTTCACGCTAACCGTCCTCGAGCAACTGCTGTTGGAAGGCCTCCCTGGGCCTGGCCCCCACCCTCTGCCACCCAGTCCTCCCAGCTGCCATGTTTCAAAGACGACCTTTACCTCCTGCCTTTGGATTGACTCTGCATTTGACCACGGACTCCAGTCTGTGTGTAGGGAGAGAGCTGAGTAGGAGGCCTCCACTCCGGATCGAGGCCTGTATAGGGCTCGTTTCCCCACACATGCCTATTTCTGAAGAGGCTTCTGTCTTATTTGAAGGCCAGCCCACACCCAGCTACTTTAACACCAGGTTTATGGAAAATGTCAGGCCTTCCCCACAACTCCTGTCTAACTGCTGTCGCCCCCCTACTTGCTGGCTCTCAGAAGCCTAGGGGAGTCCCTGTGGTCCTGAATTCTTTCCCCAAAGACGACCAGCATTTAACCAACCTAAGGGCCCAAAGGCCTTGGACAACTGCATGGAGCTGCACTCTAGGAGAAGGAGGGGAACCAGATGTTAGATCAGGGGAGGGAGCAGGAGTGTCCCTCCCGTCAGTGCCTACCCACCTGTGAGGCAGCCTTCTGATGGCCTGGCCCACCTTCCCCAGAACCAGGGGAGGCCTGAGGCTTCAGTTTTACTCTGCTGCAAAATGAAGGCGGGCCTGCAAGCCGACTACACCTACGGAGGCTGTTGAGGACAATTTCATTCCATTAAATTAAAAAATACTGACTGGCTGGCAGGCAGGTGCCATGTCTGGGAACAGGGACGGGGGAGCTTCACCTTTTTGTCTTGGCTTTTCTTTGGGCTGTGGGGGGGCATCCATTTCCAGGGTCGGGGAGGAAATACCAAATGCATTGTTGTTCTGCTCAATACATCTCACTTGTTTCTAATAAAGAAAGCAGCTGAACAAAACCTTCTGTCCTGGTATTCCTGGTCAGCAGGTGGCAGTGGAAGAAATGGAGTGCTGGAGCCTAGGCTGGAGCCAGGACGACAGGGCTTGGACACAAAGTCCCTCAAGCCCACAGCACCAGGCCAGCTTCCAAAGGCCTTCCTTTAAGGCTGCCCTTCTTCCAGGGCAAACTTGGTGTTGTCAGACCCTTCCCACCCGCCAGAGACGAGCTGCTATTGACCCAGGTTCACTCCAAGTTAGAGCAGCAACTGGGCTCTCAGCCAGCACCTGAGCACCTCAGCACAGGAGCCGGCCCAGGCTTCCCTAGCTGGGCACAGAGCAGCCCCCTTGGTCCAGGTCAGCAGTGGCTCCTCTGGTGGAGGTGCAGGCCCCGTGCCTTCCCACTGTGCCCAGGTGCCACATCTCTCCTCCTGCACCACTGGCCGGGTGGTTCTTTGAGTCACTAGGGGTGCATTTTAACATGGCAAGTTGCTGGGCCCCAGTAGCTGTGTTTAAGACTTCCCATTCCCCCTCTTCTCATCCTCTGGAACTTACCCATTCCCTGACCCCCTGATCCTTTCAGGTCCATGACTGGTGCCTCCAAGCCCCTTTCCAGGGAAACTGAGAGGACACAGGACCTGCCTGACCCCTCTAAAGCCCCCCAACCCTCCTGTCCCAAACCAAGTCACTCAGGCTCCTATGGCCCATGCCTTTTTTCCTGCCCTTAGCTTTGGGCTGAGAGAACATAGCCCTATGTGTTGTTTCTACCCATGGGCCTCTGGGATAAAAAGCTGTGATTTCAGGCTGGGCATGGTGGCTCACGCCTGTAATCCCAGCACTTTGGGAGGGCGAGGCGGGTGGATCACGAGGTCAGGAGATCGAGACCATCCTGGCTAACACTATGAAACCCTGTCTCTACTAAAAACACAAAAAAATTAGCCGGGCATGGTGGTGGGCGCCTGTAGTCCCAGCTACTTGGGAAGCTGAGGCAGGAGAATGGTGTGAACCCGGGAGGCGGAGCTTGCAGTGAGCCAAGGTCGTGCCACTGCACTCTAGCCTAGGCGACAGAGCGAGACTCCATCTCAAAAAAACAAACAAAAAAAAAACCCTGTGATTTCTCCCTTGCTTCTGCTTCCCAGTTCACTTCCTTAAAGACTCTTGCCCTTTTGGCTGGGTGCAGTGGCTCACGCCTGTAATCCCAGCACTTTGGGAGGTCAAGGCGGGTGGATCACCTGAGGTCAGGAGTTCGAGACCAGCCTGGCCAACATGGTGAAACCCCGTCTCTACTAAAAATACAAAAATTAGCTGGGTATGGTGGCGGGCGCCTGTAATCCCAGCTACTCCGGAGGCTGAGGCAAGAGAATCGCTTGAACCCGGGAGGCAGAGGTTGCAGTGAGCCGAGATCACGCCATCGCACTCCATCCTGGGGGACGAGCAAGACTTTGTCTCAAAAGAAAAAAAAAAAAGACTCTTGCCCTTTCAAGGCAGCCTTCTCAGTATTGGGCCCTCATCCTAGCCTTCACCCCTTCCTCTTGGTACCAGATACGAAACCAGAGAAGCCAAGCAGGATGGGCACTCAGCCCTGGGTCTGGTGCTCACCTGACCCAGACCCCCCAGCCAGCCCCTGGCCAGACCTGGCTCTGCAGGGGCTGGGCAATGCTAATGGCTCTTCATTTGCTAAAACTGGACTTAGCCTCACTGTGCCTCCCATCCTGAGGCTGCAGTTTGGCAGCCTGACCCTCTGACAGCCCTGAGTGCCAGATGCCCGGGCTGCCTGGCCCGGCCCGCCTGGCTCGGCCCATTCCTTCTGGGCCCTTTTGATTCTGATTATCCTCTTTCAGACACACAAATTAACCAGAGCCAAACGCCACTCCCAGCATGAAGGAGCGGGGGACACTGCCACTTTCTGCATTAGTTCTTGGAGTTGCTAGAAGGTGGAGTCTGCCCCAGCCCTGTGTTTTGGTTTCTGTGGGGCTTGGGGCCAGTTCAAGGCCTATCCCAGCCCAGTTCCAGGCCACCCTCTGGGGACTAATGTCAAGTTCTGCCCTTGTCCAGTGCCGGCACTGTTGGCTGGCAGAACCTAAAACACCAGGCCTCCACATTTCACCCTGCTGGCAGGGGCGGGTGCAGGATTTTCTCCAGATTCTGTCGCCTAGTGTCCAGTGCGCTCTCCTGGCATTTCTATAGAGGCGGCCCAAGCAGCGTTTCCAGCCTTTGTGTAAAAGGCTGGCTGGCTGGAGGAAGGGAAGCCCGTGTCCTTGGGATTTGCCCTACTGAGCAGACAGGGGCCTTGAGCCCAGCCAAGCCTGGAGAGTGGCAGTCTGAGGGTCCCTCAGACTCCTGTCTCCTCCTCATTCAAGGCCCCTCTGTGTATGTGTGAGTGTGTGTGTGTGTGTGTGTGTGTGTGTGTTGTGGGGAGGCGCTGACCTGCTGAATTGGCATCCTCAGACAGTCTTGTGATACTCGCAGCAGCTTTAAGCCAGGAGCAGGGATCGGGCTATTTAGAGCTGTGGCATCTCCTGCTGCCACCCCCTGGCTGTCTTAGCCAAGTCCATGCCCTGTTGAGGGGAGAGGCCCAAGAAACTCATCCAGCCCTGTCCCTCCTCATGGGCCTGTGGGGGTGGCAGCATAGAGGTGCTCAGGGAGTGGCGGTGGTGAAATCAACGTGCTTCTTTATTTTTTAAACTAGATAGGCTCATTCTACTGTCTTCTCCAGGGCTCTTCTATGAAACAGTTACAAACCTACGGCCAGGCCAGGCAGTGGCTCACACCTGTAATCCCAGCACTTTGGAATGCTGGGGCAGGAGGATCACTTGAGGTCAGGAGCTCGAGACCAGCCTGGGCAACATAGGGAGACCCCCGCCCCCCCCGCCATCTCTACATAAAATTTAAACATTAGCCAGGTTTGGTGGCCTGTGCCTGTAGTCCCAGCTACTCAGGAGGCTGAGATGGGAGGATCGCTTGAGCCTGGGAGTTCAAAGCTGCAGTGAGCCATGATTGCAACATTGCACTCCAGCCTGGGCGACGGAGCGAGACCCTGTCTCAAAAAATAAAAACCAAAACCTACTGCCAGTTTCCCCAGGGCTTCATGCCTCAGCGCTCCCTTCTTGCTTTGAGAAGGGAAGGGGAGCTCAGGTTCCGGAGCTGGAGGGAGGAGTCCAGGAAGGCCTGGGGTAAAGGAGGGCTTAGGGGCTAAGCTCGGGGTCGGGGCCAAGTGGAGTGACTGCGCTCCTCTGGGGGAAGGAGGCTGGGATGGCCCACGGGAGGACAGAGGGGAACTGAGGGCCCACAAGTGTCCTGCTCCCCAAGTCTCCTGGCAGCAACAGGCTTGCTCCTCATAAGTCACAATGAGGGGTGGGCTGAGGACAAGAGGAGCTGGGGCCATCTCAGGGCCCCAGGGTTGGAGCTCACTGAAGTCACATGAACACCTTTCTGTTCTTCAGGAGGGGCCCAGGCAGCCCTCAGCACCCAGGTGAGACCAGCGCCTGGTGAATGGGCTGAGTGGGCCAAGTGGGTGGGCTGGGGGGCTGGTACTCCCACCACCTGACTCCAGAGGAGGAGAGGGCTCTGCAGGGGATGTGGACTGGCACTCGCAGAACCCCAAGGCGAGTGAGGTGGGCCCTCAGGAGCGCTGGATGCGGATTTGGATGAAGAGCGTGGCTGGTGACAGTGAGGCCCCGTCCTTGGAAAGCAGGTGTATGTGGCGGTACCCTGTAGGGAGGACAGCCAGGCCTCAGGTCCTCTGTGCACCCTGGGGGTCTGGCCCAGCCCGGGCCTGCTTCAGGGCAGGAAATTCGAGGCACAAAGGTGAACAGGGTCTGCAGGACCTGGACCCACATCCCTCTCCATCCCCACCAGCCTCCACCAACCTTGCTTTAGGCTGCTAAGAGGCAGTGTAAACTGGCCCACAAAGTCATTGGGGGAGGTGGCGTCATAATCTTCCACCACAAACCGGACCAGTGCCAGCTCCGGAGCCCGCAGCTGGAACTGCAGGGTCTGCCCCCAGCGGGGGTTGAAGCCTAGGGCACAGGGATGGCAGTCAGAGCCCAGGGGCCCCAGGACCCACCCTGCACCACCCTTCGCTCTCTGCAGTCTCCCCCAACCCCACTTCCGCCAGTGGCTGCCCACCATTGTTGAGCACGTAGTCAGTCTCCTGCCGGGCACAGTCTGCGGGCACCCCATGGATCTCAATGCGCACCAGGGGGTCCACAATGGAGTGTGGCTTCTCGGCATTCAGCTTGGGCAGCTGCTGTGCAGTCAGCACCTGTGGGTGAGGGAGGGAGTGGCTGGGGCCCACGCCCACCTTGGCCATCCCCTCATGGGCCTCAAGCTCACACCACCCTCACTTCCAAATGTCCCCAGCCTCCCTTGCCTTCCTCCACCTCACAAAGAGCCTTTCTAGAACCAGTCTGACCCCACACTGGGGCCCGTTCCAGCCTGCTGACCTGGATGCTGAGAGTGGTTCTGGGAGGTCCTGGGTACTCGGGGTCAAAGGTCGAGTCAGGTTGCCGCAGGCAGGCAGGTTTTAGGACGTAGCCACACTGCCCATTGACTAGGAAGCGCCCGGCATTGAGGTCCATCTCGTAGCCTGGCGTCTGGAAGTTCAAGGCCACTGTGGACACAGCAGGGTCAGAGCAGGGGCTCTTAGCGGCCCTGTTCTCACTACTCAGTTTCAGGGGACTGCATTCCTCTCTACAAAGGGCCTGGGGTCCCACTGTCTGCTTAGTGCTGCTCTGCTCCCACCATGACTTTAGGGGAGGGGGTCATGGACCCAGCCCCCACTGTCACCTGTACTTCTGCCCTGGGATCCCTCAAGACTGGGGTGGGAGGTACTAAAAAAGCCCCCACCCTCAGGGCCAGGCTTGGGTCAGAGCCAGGGGTCTGAGGAAGCCTGGGGTTTCCATCCTTACCCCAAGGAGACGATACAGCCCTCCTTTGGTGGGGCTCAGCGTCCCCCAGAGCCCACCCTTGTCAGTGTTGACTTAGTGGGACTGCCAGGTGTGTGGGGGTTGTGTGTGTCCGGGGGACATGGGAGTGGAGATTTTAATTTCTACCATGATAAAAATGCGAGACCTGTACACTGTCAAGAACAAACGAGCCTGATTTGATTTTCCCACCTACATTGCTGGCAACTTTAAAAATAATCAACAAAATGCGTGTTTCCACCGTCTGGAAGGCTGTGTGGGCCCCTCACTGCTGAGGCCTCCCCCACACTGTGGCACCCCGCCTGCTCTCATTCCTGTGGCCCCCACTTACCCAGCTGACAGCCCGAGTTCCACATCTCCTGGGGACTGTAGTTGGCTGAGTTCATCCGCAGCCCCAGCGGGTACACGCGGGTCAGCTGGCGGGCATTGTGCCTGACAAAGCTGTTCCCTGGGGCAGAGTTGGGGTGAGACCGTGACAGACTCCGGGGGTCCCTCACCCAAAGCCCCGGCCTGTAACCTCCAGGGAACAGAGCCCAAGCCCGTCCCCAGGTCACCCTGCCCCCGCTCCTCACTCTCTTCTGACCTAGAGTGAGAGGGGAGCTCACTGAGGAGGCTGCAGGGACCCCCTCCAGCCACACAGCCTGGCCCTGCATCCCCAGCCCCCAATTCCCAGCTCCTGACAAAGTTCCAACCAAGTACACTGAATGCCCACGGCCCTCCAGCTCCACTGTGGTTCCTGGAATTCTTCTCCAGGCCAAGGCCCCAGGCCTTCAACAACCTGTTCCTCCTGTCTGGAAAGCGCTCTCCCCTCTTCACCTGGCTGCTTCCTAGTCCTCCAGGTGATGTGTCCTCTCAGCATCACCTGCCCCAGGAATTCCTCCCCAGTGTTGCAGCAGCTGCTGGGCTCCCCCAGCCCCCAGCCCAGCCTGACCCATCACCCTCTATGGCCGGCCCCACCACAGGGCTCTGAAGGCAGACAGCAGGCCGCCCTCAGCGTGCCACTCCCCTCCATCCACCCTGGCATGTGCGGGGCCCTCATTCCCTCAGCCCAGCCCCTCTTTGGGGTCCTCTTGACCTCTTTACTGTCCCCCAAAGCCCCCTCAACTCCTTTCCAGACTCCCTTCAGGAGGTCTCTCACCCTCTCGCCCCCAGACACCCAGTGCCCCAGCTCCTACCTGCCTCCCGAATGAGTTTCTTGGCTTTGCGCTCGCTGAGGGAGCTGACCTGGCAGGGTTGTGGGGCGTTGGGGGCAGGGTGCAGGGTCCGCAGGCGGGTGGCGTGGCAGTACACAGCCAGGGCCGACAGCTCCGGGGAGATCTGCTTGGCCTAGGAGACCAGGCTCAGCGGGGTTCAGCTGGCCCCCGCTTCCCACATCCGTCCTCCCACCTTCCCCCCCTTCCCCACCCCACCCATCCCAGCTCTCACCAGCCGCCTCTGCGCTGCAGCCTCCACCTCCTCTTCTTCCTCCTCGTCATCCTCCTCCTCCTCCTCCCGATCCGACAGAGCCCGGCCATCCTCGCTCCGAGCAGCGGGCAACTTCTTTCCCTTCACCAGGACCCGGCCCTTCAGCTGCTGTGGGGGCCAACGTGGAGGATGAAGGGTTAGGCCTTCTCGCCCCTGTGGCAGCCAGTCAGTCAGTTATTCAACCACCGCCTTGTGAGGGGCTGGCTAGGGGTGGGAGGCAGGAAAGGAGACACAGAGATGAGCGATGTTTCTAATAGGAAAGAGTGGAGAATGGCCCGGGAGGCCATCAGGAAGGGATGCTTAATAAGGTCCCTCAACATCAGAATATACACAGCAGCCACTACAATGCACGCGACAGCTCAGGACTGAAAGGAAAGGGACCCTCTTCAAAGAAGATCTTACGTGGAAGAAGTGAGGCTACAACCTGGAATCACATGTCCTTTTTTGGTACCATTTAAAAGAGAAGACAGTACACATATGTACACAGGTAATGTGTGTGGGGAAATTCTTGAAGGACATGCAAGAAAGTTAGAGATGGTTACTTCTTGTGAAAGAGGACAGGTCAGTGGAGGGAGGGGAGCACTGCTCATCGCGTCCCTTAGTACAGCTCAGTTTTCTTTTACCATACGGGTGTGATTTTCACAGTAATAACAAAAATCACATCTCACACACACACGAGGGTGAGTCAACCCTGCCTGCATGTTGGGGATTGGAAGTAGGAGGAGAGTTTTCTCAAGGAGCCCGACAGGATAAATGTCTGGAGAGAGCCGAGGACGCGCTCTGGTGTCTGGGGGAGAGCAGGAGGCCGCCTCAGGCCCGAGAGTTGGGGAAGTGGATAAGGCCACAGGAAGAGGCGGCTGAAGTTGAGCTGAATTCTAAGCAGGTGACGCTTGGCAAGTGTGGATGGCCGAGAAGGGACTTCCAGGTGGAGAAAGTGTCAAGCGGGGCCTTGCAGGTGGGAATGGCAGAGCCTGCAGGACTCTACGGGCAGGGACACAGGGCCAGCAGGGCAAAGCCAGGTTACAGAAGAGGGTGTGTGTGTGGGGGGGTCTAGTCAAGAATGGAGAGCCAGAGGGCAGCAGAAGGACAAGACCAGGGGATGGCAGACCTCAGATGAACAGAGGAACAGAGAAAAGTTAAGGCAGCAAGAGGTGAGGGGTCCTGAGCCACAGAGGTGGCACGAGCAGTGCGGGGAGGCGGACTCCCACCAGACCTCCCTCCACCCAGGCTAGGGGCTGGGGGGCGTCACCTCTGGGGATGGCAGCTCCTCGGGATTTGGGGAGTCCAGCGCCTGTGTCACCAGCATGTCCCCCAGGATGGTGCAGAGGTGGCGGGCCATGGCAGCCTGCTGCTCCAGCCCGCAGTGGTTCTCCAGGGATAGGATGACAGGGTAAGGGGACAGCTGTGGGGGGAAGGGCAGCAGCTCAGAGCCACTCCCCTCCCTCTGCCAGTATCTCCCAACATCTGGCTCCCAGACCCTTCAGGACAGGCAGGCAAAGGCAGGGCTCTGGAGAACCCAGGGAAGCAGCAGACTGTCCAGGAGGCTGAGGGCGGCTGCAGGAATTATTTTTTTTTTCTTTGAGATGGAGTGTTGCTCTGTCGCCCATGCTGGAGTATAGTGGTGCAATCTCAGCTCACTACAATTCCATCTCCCGGGTTCAAGCGATTCTCCCTGCCTCAGCCTCCTAAGTAGCTGGGATTACAGGCGCCCGCCACCACACCCGGCTAATTTTTGTATTTTTAATAGAGATGAGGTTTCACCATGTTGGCCAGGCTGGTCTCAAACTCCTGACCTCAGGTGATCTGCCCACCTCAGCCTCCCAAAGTGCTGGGATTACAGGTGAGAGCCACCACGCCTGGCCGATTTTTTGTTGTTGTTGTCTATGCTTTGGTCTCTCTCCATCACCCAGGCTGAAGTGCAGTGGCACAGTCAGTCTCCCTGTGTTCTCCAGTCCTGGGCTCAAGTGATCCCCCCACCTCAGCCTCCTGAGTAACTCAGCCTACAGGCACATGCCCCCACACTCAGCTAATTTTTATTTTTGTTGAGACAGGATGTAGCTATTTGCTCAGGCTGGTCTGGAATTCCTGGCCTCAAGTGATCCTCGCGTCAGCCTCCCAGAGTGCTGGGAATACGGGTGTGAGCCACCGCACCTGGTCCCATAAATGCTTTTTACATGTGAATGACATTGACTATGTCAGTGATGTGAAAACTCTCCTCCCATCATTTGCTGATGGGAAGATTTGCACACTGTGACCAAAGTTGCAGTGTTTATGCAGATGCCACTGGTGAGCTTCTCTTACAGCTTATTTATTCTTTGGAAGTCATGATTAAAATGTCCTTCCCTCCCCCAAAGGTTTTCTTCTGGAAACTCTGTGATTTTTAGGACATTTCCCAAATATGAGAGAGGGAACATATTTCCCAAATATGAGGGTGGCATCTCATTCAGCTTTATGCCACCCCATTGGCCACTTATCCCAGCAGCACTTGGTGAATGAATGATTCTCTGGGCAAGGGTTTCCTCTGGAAGGACGGAGGGCAGCTGGCATGTGAGTGCGGACGGAGGTCATTGGGAAGGCTGTGGGGCTGGGGCTGGGCATCCCAGGGGCTCACCGTGAAGGCATGGTCGCGCACGGCTTGGACCACGTCCCGGAAGAGAATCTTGGAGGTGAGGGTATGGCCATGATAGATGACGGGCTCCCCTCCTGGCCCCTCCCAGCAGTCCAGCTCCACGCAGCGGCATCCCTGGGCAAAGGCCCTGTGTGTGGACAGATGGGTGGACGGGCAAGGTGTTGCCAGAGTGCCACAGAGCAGGGCAGCAGGCAGGCTGGGCCAGGAAGGCCCCAGGAAGCCAGCCCATGTCTCTCCCCAGGTGGGGCTCCCGGAAACATTCACCCCCTGCTACAGTACCTAACATAGGCCTCGGTGCTGCTGGGCCCCCCGATCTGGGAGTCAGTCAGATAGGTGTTGTGGGAGGAAGAGATGAAGTAGTGGGCAAGGGGCTGGTTCATGTCCTGGAACACACACGTGTGGGTGTTGTCCAAGGCAGCCCCCTCCGGCGACAACAGGTACATCATGAAGCCATCCAGTGTCATCAGCTCATGCTGCTTGGCTGCAGGGGTGGCAGGAGAGGGCATCAGGCCACATAGGGATCCCCCATGTCCAGCTTCCAATGCCCCCAAGGCCCACTCAGCTTAGGAATAATGACTAGACAATCTACTGACTAGACTCCATGTAAGTCATGCCACTTAACCTTCGACCAGACCCTGGGAGGAAGACAAACTGTTGTGCCATTTTACACATGTGGAAGCTGAGTCTGGAGGAGGTGAGGTAACCTGCCCGAGATGATGCCCGCGCCAGCCCGCAGCAGAACCCGCTTAGCTGGGAACACAGCCCTTTCAGGTGCCACGACCTGGCCGTGCCACCCCCCCCACCTGTCTCGTTGAGCTCATAGGTCTGAATGAGCTGCTGGGCGCGGGCCAGTGTGGCGCCCTCCTCGCCCTGGTCCTCCAGGAACTCCAGCAGCTCAGGGGCACTCAGCACGCGGTCCTCGCCCGAGTACTGATGGAAGATCTCCTCCAGCTCCGGCCGCTTCAGCAGCCGCCGCAGGAACTCCTCGATCTCAGCCCCCTCTAGACGGTCGTTGTTGGAGTGGTCACACTCCTGGGGAGCAGCAGGAGAAGCTCAGAGGAGGCAGACACTCCAGGAAACCTGGCCCCTTTGACCCATCTGTCATCTACCACATCTGAGAAGGCAATGGTCCCCATTTCACAGGTGGAAAAACAGAGTAAGACTTGTGACTCTAGCTCACACAGCTGGTAAATTACAGGGCAGGATTTTTTGGTTTGTTTTTTAGGTTTGTTTGTTTGTTTGGTCTTGCTCTGTTACCCAGGCTGGAGCGCAGTGGCATGATCATAGCTCACTGCAGCTTCCAACGCGTGATCTCAAGTGATCCTCCCACCTCAGCCTTCCAAATAGCTGGACAGCTGGGACCACTGGTGTGCACCACTGCACCTGGCTAATTTTTGTATTTTTTGTAGAGATGGGGTCTTGCTGTGTTGCCCAAGCTGATCTCAAACTCCTGGCTTCAAGCAATCCTCCCGCCTAGGCCTCTCAAAGTGCTGGGATGACAGGGGTGAGCCACTGAGCCTGGCCGGCAGGGCTGGACTTAAAAGGTCTCTCTGGTTCAGTGCCTGCCCCTCTGCACCATGACCTACCCCAGGAATCAAGATGTGGAAGGAAAAATGGTGACCCTGGGCCAAGACAGGGCCCTTGGGCCCTCACACTCCCCTAGGTGGACACGTTACTATCCTGACATGCACATATTCACACCCAGCATCATTGAACAAGTCAATGAGAATTCATGGAGCATCCCTGTGAAGCTGTGGCCCAGGGGTCCAGCTGCCATGGGCTCTCCTGTCTTTCGGGGTCACAGGTGGGTCCCACCATCCACATGCACACAGAGGTCTGCCATGGGCTCCAGCTGGGCCATAGCTGCAGAGCCCACTCCTGTGTGCCCCTGTGCTCCCATGCATGAGGTGCCAACACGTGCCACAGTGGAGGGTCTGCGTGGAGAAGGGTGCACACGTGTATCCGTGCACATGCACACCTGTAGGCTGGCTCCTGCCTGTGCCCCCACGTGCAAAAGGTGCCTTGCAGACTCAGGGAAATGAAAACAGCTTTGCTGCTCACTTTGGAGGGGTAGGAACTGAGGATGAGGAAAGTTCTGGGCCCCGGCTCCCCACTCCCTTCCTGGCCCAGTGGCCTCAGGGGAGGCAAAAGGCTAACTAACCCCAGATGTTGCCTTTGTGCAGGGAAAGGCTGCTCGCTCCAAAAAAGCTGCAGGTGGAGAGGGCAGGGGAGCTGATGATTCAGATGGCTGGGGGCAGGCAGAGGTCAGAGTGATGGCAGAGCCAGGGGCTGGGGTTCAGGGCGGAAGCCCACCTTGAAGAGGAGGTAGGCGTACATGTCGTTCATGTCCACGTTGACCATTCTCAGCAGGCTCTTGATCTCCTTGAAGCTCATCTTGCTGTCCTGGTTGGAGTCAGCCCGGTGCAGATAGGAGTGGATCCAGGTGTGGGTGCTCAGGAAATAACAGCAACACGCCAGGCTGCCCCCAGCCCTCAGGTAACTGGCTGGTAAGTCACCCCCACCTGGGTCTGGGGGATCCCCAGTTTAGGGGCTGTACTTTCCCCTTGGCCTGTGCACTCCCCGAGCACGGTAGCAGTGTCTCCTCCGCAGGACTGGGGCTTACCAAAGACAGGAGGCCCTGTCTTCACCCTCAGAAGGCCTCAGGCCTCCCTGAAGGAGGCGCCGCGCCACCCCTCCTGGTGGGAGCTTGGGCCTAGCCAGGGCGCGTGTCCCCACCCTCAGTTTCGAAGACCAAGGGCTCCGACCCAGACCGTGCGCCCTCAGGACAGGGCCCTGCCTTCCCTGGGCGTGGGGGCTCTCCAAGGATGGGGCTCTCCAAGGTTAGGGCTCTCCAAGGATGGGGCCCTCCCTCCCAGCCCCGGCAGGATATTGGTCTAGCCGCTCGCGCTGGCTCATGGCGTCCAGGCGCGCGCGGAGCTTGGTCAGACCGCGCACCCAGCGCTGCGCTTCCTCAGCCGTGGGCGCCGCCAGGTCCAGGTTCTTGCGGCGGCCCTTGAAGGCGATGGTGAGGCAGCGCGCTGGCGCGAAGGCACCCCCGAAGCGCCGCAGGCCCTCGGACTGGTGGCCCTCGCGGACCGCCTCGATGTGCTGCACGAAGACTGAGAGGAGGGCCGGGTCAGGGCGGAGGACCGGGCCTGTCCCCACCTCCCTGTCCGCCCGGCGCTCCCCGGCCTCTCACAGATGTGCTGCGATGGCGCACGCGGGATGCGCCGCTGGAACCACACGCTCAGGCCGTCCTCCTGCAGCCGGTACAGCCGCTCCTTGTGCCACGTGCGCGAGCGGATCTTGCGGAGCCGGGAGCCCCGCAGCATGGCGCGCACGTCCTCGTCCTCCGTCAGGCCTGGCGGGGCGGGAGGACCCGGGGCGTCAGGCCGTACCTGCCCAGAGGCTCCCCTGCCCTCCCCCGCTAGGACCTGCTGCCCCATCCTCCAGCCTCTCCAAACCCAGGCCTTCATCCCACAGTAAGCTTCCCTCCCCCTCACAGGACTCCCCTCCTCCCCGATTGTAAGAAGCCTCCTGCACTGGGTTTGGCTTTAGGCTTTGGAGCCCTAAACGCCCCCCAACCCGTACCCCATCTCCCTCCTTCCTTCCAAGCAGCGGCCTCTGCAGTCCCTCAGTGTGGAACTGCCCTCGGACAATGCCTGGGACTCAGGCCTCACTAAAGGTTGCCCTTTCTGGCAGGGCGCGGTGGCTCACGCCTATAATCTCAGCACTTGGGAGGCCGAGGTGGGTGGATCACTTGAGGTCGGGAGTTCGAGACCAGCCTGGCCAACATGGTGCAACCCCACCTCTACTAAAAATACAAAATTAGCTGGGTGTGGTGGCACATGCCTGTAATCCCAGCTACTTAGGAGGCTGAGGTTGCCATGAGCCAAGATTGTGCCACTGCACTGCAGCCTAAGCGACAGAGTGAGACTGCGTCTTAACAAAAAAAAAAAAAAATTGCCTTTTCTGCCACTATCCCCCACCACATGGCTTCCAGCCTTCAAGTCCAGAATTTGCCACCAACAGCCTTTTTCCCTTGATGTGAAACCGTAGCCATCAGGAAGGTCTCACCATCTAACCTAGATCTCTCTTGCTGTAACCCAAGCACCTTGCCTCTGCTTTCCCAAAGACAAGGAGGACAGCAGAGGCCACCCTGGCTCCAGGGTCACAGGCCAAGGACTCCAGGATCAGCCCTGCCCAGCTGATCTCCAGGCATGGGAGGCTGAGGCATGAGAATCACTTGAATCCGGGAGGCGGAGGTTGCAGTGAGCCAAGATTGCGCCACTGCACTCCAGCTTGGGCAACAGAGTGAGACTCTGTCTCTAAAAAATAAATAAATAAAAGCATCTCCTGTGTGCAGGCCCTGCTCATGTACTAATAGACAAGGAAACTGAGGCTCAGGGAAGCTTAAGTAAGTTGTCAGAATTCCATACTGGTAGAAGCCACTTTGGGCTCTGGAGGTCGGGGTCCAGCGCCTCTGACCTTTGGCCCTGCACTGCACGGCTCTTCTAGTGCTTCTAAATTCCGAAGTCTGGGGAGTAAGTCTCAACACTGTCACTTCCCAGTTATTTAATACATGGCCCCAGTGGCACTAACCTGTCACTAAGCCTCATGTTCTCCATCCATAAAATGGAGACCACAATCATACCTGCTGCAAAATCCAAAATTCAGAGGTTTCTACAGCGTGACCGACACTGTGCCCCGGAGAGTTTCGGCCCTCTCCTGGCTCTGGCCCCCTGGAACACGTGATGCCCAGCCCAAACAGTGCCACACCCTGCTCTACAATGCCTCAACGAGAGTCACAACCAAAGATTTTTGAGTCAGAGGACAATAGAGGAGGTGGGAACTGGGTAAACGGAGAGTCCATGGCCTTTGGAGGTGGGGCACAGCCCGGAGTGAATGAGGGCCCAGAGTTTCCAGAGAACCGAATATAGATCTGTGTGTGAAGCCTCCAGATATTCTAATGTTGACAACGAAATCAAATTGAAAAAAAATAAAAATCAATAACCCCTGTGTGGGCCAAAAGAAGTAAGACAGAGGGCCTCTCTTCCTCCCTTTATTTCGACAAGCCCCTAATACTGGGTTTGGCTTTGTGACCCCAAGGCCCTGGCTTGCCCAATTGCAAATTCTGACCTAAGGAATTGAGTCTATATCTCTGGACCATCTCCTCTCACCCTCTCTTGGACCCTTTTGTAGGATCCTTCTCCCTTCTCTTCCTCCTATCTGAGTCCTTGAAGGACCAGTTCAGATATCACCTCCTCCAGGAACCCTTCCTTGATTTGTCCTCAAGTGGACATTCTCCCTCTCTGACCACTAACAGCACTTTTTGCTTTAATTAAAATAAAACACAAAACCCACCTATATACTTTAATAAATCTGAGGGCGGAATGAGGTCTTATCTCCTCACCACAGTGCTCATCCCAGAGCCAGGATACCAGCTAGTGTTGACTGAAGGGGCAGACAGGTAGACGGACAGATGGGGGGACTAAGTGAATTCTATCCCCAGCTCTGCCCCATCTGTCCAGAGTTCAGGACAGAGGCCTCGCAGGGCAGAGGCCTCGCAGGTCAGGGTTTCTCAACCTTAGCTGTGCATCGGAATTACCCAGGGGAGGCTGCAGACACCACAGCCCAGGGCATCTCACCCAGCTGGTGTGGGATGGGGCCTGGGCATCTGTATTTTTAAAACCCACTTTGACCATGACTGAAAATCAGGGTCTCAGGGGCAAGAGGAGAAATCCACCTCCTTAAGAGGCCATGACCCCTTGGGGCCAGCCTGTGGCCCTAACAGCTCCAGAGGGTCCCTCAGGGTCTAGACTGTGGCCCTCTGAGTGAATGCCCACTCGGTACCCCCTGGTCAGGAAGGGGAAAGTGGAACCCTCCTCTTTCCAGACAAAGAGCTGGGTGTACACGGCACGTGCCAGGCCGAGGGGCTCACCAGACCCCCCCCCCAACCAGGTCCAGGTAGCCTCTAAATGGTCCCATCCTGAGCAATGACACGGTGAGGGCAGAGGGGAGCCTGCAGCGCCACTACACTTAGGCACATCCTCCTACACCCCCTTGGCCATGGGAAGGGGGACTGCTCATTGCCATGACAACCAGGCTCTGCAGCTGGGGCTGCCTCCCCTACCTAGGCCAGCCCTCTGATGCCAAGCCCATGGGTGTGGGGGAGATGAGTGACTAAGGCCGGAAATGGGGGTGAGTCACCGGGGCCTGCTCTGTCCAGAGCCTTCTGCAAACAGGCCATCAACACAGGCAGCCTGAACGCCTGACTGGGCCCCCACTTGGGCAGGCTCCCAATGGAGGGGGCCCCTACTTCTGGCCCCTTACCCTCAGCTCCCCAGGAACCTGTTGGGGGAAGGGGTGACATTCCAGGCTGCCCCGCAAACTGGCACTGCCCCCCAAACACACACCCAGTGGAAAAGCCAAACAGAAGGAGGGTGCAGTCCCAGGCGGGGCCAGGTGCTGAGTCCCTGGTTGGGTGCTTCTGTGTCCCCACTGCTCGTGCTTCTGAACCCTGGGGCAGTGAGAGGACTGGGGTGTCCAGCAGGAAGGGCAGGGCCAACAGAGGTAAGGAGGCAAGGTCAGAGGGAGGGCTCAGGGCCAGGGCAGCGATGCTGCGAGGACCGTGGCTCTCCATCCAGCCACCCAGTAGACATTTATAGGTCCTGCCAGGCCCAAGCCCACAGATGTCGCCTTGACCTTGTTCCTACCTGCTCTGAGCAGGTGCACAAGCCGCCCACCTCCTACTGTTCCTGTGGGGTTTGTATCTACTTGAACCATCTCTGCCTTGATCCTGTAGCTGCCGGGCCAGTGACTGAGTGGGTGGAGACAATCACAAAATAATAGCAGTGAAAATGAGGGCAAACGAAAGCCAAAAGGTGGAAACAACCCGAGTGCTCATCAACAGATGAGCCTGTAATCCCAGCACTTTGGGAGGCCAAGGCAGGCGGGTCATTTGAGGTCAGGAGTTCAAGACCAGCCTGACCAATATGGTGAAACCCTGTCTCTACAAAAAATAAAAAACATTAGCTGGGCATGGTGGCTCACACCTGTAATCCCAGTACTTTGGAAGGCCGAAGCAGGCAGATCATTTGAGGTCAGGAGTTCAAGACCAGCCTGACCAACATGGTGAAACCCTGTTTCTGTTTAAAATATAAAACATCAGCCGGGCATGGTGGCTCACACCTGCAATCCCAGCACTTTGGGAGGCTGAGGCATGTGGATCATTTGAGGCAAGGAGTTCGAGACCAGCCTAACCAACATGGTGAAACCCTGTCTCTACTAAAAACATAAAACATTAGCTGGGCATGGTGGCTCACACCTGTAATCCCAGCACTTTGGGAGGCCGAGGCAGGCAGATCATTTGAGGTCAGGAGTTCGAGACCAGCCTGACCAACATGGTGAAACCCCGTCTCTACTAAAAATAGAAAACAGCCGAGCATGGTGGCCCACGCCTGTAATCTCAGCTACTAGGGAGGCTAAGGCAGGAGAATGCTTGAACCCGGAAGGCAGAGGTTGCAGCGAGCTGAGATTGTGCCACTATACTCCAGCCTGGGAGACATGGCGAGACTCCGTCTCAAAAAACAAAACAAAACAAAACAAACAAAAAACATATGAGACAGATGAGTGCATAAGCAAAATATGGTTTATCGATACAATGGAATAGTATTCAGCCATGTAAAGGAGTGAAATCTGATGCACGCTACAACATGGATGAACCTTGAAAACATCATGCTAAGTGAAAGAAGCCAGACCCCAAACGACAAATACTATGTGATTCCACCCATGTGAGGTACCCAGAGCGGCAAGTTCATAGAGACAGAAAGTAGCTGGGAGGGTACCAGGGGCTGGAATGGGGAGGTAATGGAGAGTTATTGCTTGATGGTTAGTTTCTGTTTGGATGATGAAAAAGTTTTGGAAATAGGCAACAGTAATAGTTGCACAACAGCGTGAATGTAATTAATGCCAGTGAATTAACCACTTAAAAATGGTTGCAATGGCCAATTTCATTATATATATTTTACCATATTTTTTTTTTTTTTTTGAGATGGAGTCTCGCTCTGTTGCCCAGGCTGGAGTGCAGTAGCACGAACTTGGCTCACTGCAAGCTCCGCCTCCTGGGTTCACGCCATTCTCCTGCCTCAGCCTCCTGAGTAGCTAGGACTGCAGGTGCCCGCCACCACACCTGGCTAATTTTTTTTGTATTTTTTAGTAGAGACGGGGTTTCACCGTGTTAGCCAGGATGGTCTTGATATCCTGACCTCATGATCCGCCCACCTCAGCCTCCCAAAGTGCTGGGATTACAGGCATGAGCCACTGCGCCCAGCCTATTTTTTTTTTTTTTTTTTTTTTTTGAGACAGCATCTCGTTCTGTTGCCCAGGCTGGAGTGCAGTGGCACGATCTCAGCTCACTGCAACCCCCACCTCCCGGGTTCAAGTGATTTCCGGCTAATTGTTGTATTTTTAGTAGAGATGGGGTTTCACCATGTTGGCCAGGCTGGTCTCGAACTCCTGACTTCAAGTGATCCACTCGCCTCGGCCTCCCAAAGTGCTAGGATTACAGGCGTGAGCCACAGCACCCGGCCTATTTTACCATAATTTTTAAAGTTTAATGATATAATATGCTGGAAACCATTGTATACTTTTTTTTTTTTTCTGAGACAGGGTCTTGCTCTGTAGCCAGGCTGGGGTGCAGTGGCACAATAATGGCTCACTGCAGCAGCCTCAAACTCTTGGGCTCAAACAATCCACCTACCTCAGCCTCCCGAGGAGCTGGGACTACAGACTTGCACTACCAGGCCTGAATAATTTTTAAATTTTTTTGTAGAGTTGGGGTCACACTATGATGCCCAGGCTGGTCTCAAACTCCTGGCCTCAAGTGATTCAACAGCCTCTGCCTCCCAAAGTGCTCCGCACTGTGTACTTTCAATGGATAAATTATAAGGTATGTGAATGAATATCTCAAAAATGCTGTTAAAGAAGCAGACAGCCAGGTCGGCACCCGGTGGGGCTGAAATGTGGTGGAAGTTGGGGGAGTCTGACCCCAAAGGGCTGTGTGTGGCCACAACAGGCACAAGCACATGGAGCCTGGTTTAGGCCTGGCCCATAGTGGGTGCTCAGTAAATGATCACAAAGAAGGAAACTGAGGCAGGGCTCTGGGGAAGTGAGTTAGTGCCCCGGGTGGAAAGAGGCACCCACGTGTTCTGATCCATCTGTCCCCTTAGTCCCATGGCCTCCAGGGGGTACCTTCCCCAGACCAGGACAGCGGCACCTCCCGCCCAATTCAGTGTTGTCAGCTGGGGCTCAGACACCTTCCCAAGCTGCCCGCTTATCTCAGCCTCAGAGAGGGGTCAGGCGTGCTGAGGAAAGGGCAGGCCCAGTTTCTCAACTTCCACCTGCAGCCCGGGCGGTTTGGGGCGTGGATGGTCTGGGGCCTGAGCAGTTCTGTAAGGGTAGCCAAGACCAGGGACCAGAAACTACCTCATGTCAGAGCTGGAAGGGGCCCCAAATCCCACCCTTTTCACAGGTGCACCACTGAGCTCAGAGAGGACAAGCCCTGTGTGCTGAAGATAGTGCAGGTCGCCCCCAGGCAGGGATGGATATAGAGGCTGTGCAGTGGAGACAGGCGCCAGGGCAGCTGGCAGGGAGGGTGGGAGTTCTGTCCAGGCGTGTCCCGGAGGGGTGGCATGCAGGCAGGGCAGGGTGTGTGTGGGGTGTATGCATAGGTGGGGAGTGTGTGTGTGCGTGAGACAGTGTGTGTGTATGAGTGTGAGTGAATGTGTGTGAGTGTGTGCGTGTGAGTGTGTGTGTGCGTACAGGGTTCATGGGTGGAGAGGGTGGAAGGTGGGCCAGCCAGGGGGAAATAGGCGGCTCGCACTCGGGAGGTGCACACAGGGCTCCACAGGAATGCGAGTCATGCAGGGAACTGCTACAGCCAGCAGCTGTGGCCAAGGCCGAGCAGGGAGTAGAGAAAGAGCGTTTCCAGGTGGCCGGGGCTGTGAGGCTCTAGGAGAGGACACACAATGGCGAGGGGTCCCAAAGACCCTCCCACCCTAATCCTTTAGCCAGCAGGCAGCCTCCACACCTCAGGCACCAAGCATGTCCCCCGTGACCCAGCTGGCTGCCACACCCAGGGCTGGAGCCTGGCGGGGGCTCGGTGCCAGAGTCCATAACATTCCTTGGAGAATCAACAAAGTCAGGAAAGGCAGGCGGTGCTTCCCTTGGCCCCGGGTGGGACACAGCAAGTGGGGGTGGCAGCACCCTTTTCTCTGGGGCCAGAACAGGCATGAAACCTGGTTGGGTGCGGAAGTCAGGGTAGGGGACAGGGAAAGATGTGAGGGGGACCACAGGGCCTGGCAGAGCCAGCCCCCTAGTCCCACCTGGCATGCCCCTGCTTAGACTGGAGGGCCACCCAGCTTACCCACCACCCAGGCCAGGCACCTGCCAGGGCTGGGGGTTGTTCTGAAGACCCTCACCTGCCAAGTCACCCACAGCAGTCCCACTCACCCTGCGGAAGACATCCCAGGCAGGCCATGGGCCGAGCCCTCTCGCTCAGGGGCACTTGGTAGTGTGTGTAGGCTGGGGAGGCAAGGGGGCAGGATTCTGCCCACTCAGGCCTCTGCCCATGGGGAGGATGAGGGGCAGGGGCGGAGCATCAGGGCACAGGCACACACGGGGCTGTGGGGACACAGGGTGGCCAGAGAAAATCCAGGACACCCGTTAAATGTGAAATTCAGATAAAGAATAATTTTTTAGTATAAATACATTCCATATTCCGCATTTAGCGGAATTCCAAACTTAACCGGGTGTTCTGTATTTTATTTGGCAGCCCTGTGAGGACGCTCCTGGGGGCTGGCAGGGCCCCCATGGGAGAGGAGCGGCCAGGAGGCCCCCTGCAGGTATCAGCTTCTCTATCAGTCACTGTGTGACAAGCACGGACTCTGGGCCACACTGCCTGGGTTCAAATTTTCTCTCAGCTACTTCCCAGCTTTGAACCCTAGGCAAGTTACCAAATCTCTCTGAGTCTTAGTTTCCTCATCTGTAAGAGAAGGCTACTGGTACCACCTACCTCATATTAGTGTGAGCATTACATGAGATAATATGCGAAAAGCGCCTGGGACAGTGACAAAATTGTTCATTAGTATTCATCAGGCTAGCCAAGAATGGTGGCTTACACCTGTAATCCCAGCACTTTGGGAATCCAAGGCAGGAGGATTCTTTTAGCCCAGGAGTTCAAGACCAGCCTGGACAACACAGTGAGACCCCAACTCTACAAAAAACAGAAACAAAATTAGCTGGATGTGGTGGTACCCAGTCTCCCAGTCTCCTGAGTCCCAGCTACTTGGGAGACTGAGGTGGGAGGATCACTTGAGGTCAGGAATTTGAGGTTGCAGTGAGCCATGATCATGCCACTGCACTCCAGCCTGGGTGACAGAATGAGACCCTGTCTCATAAACAACTAACAACAACAGCAACAACAAAAAGTATTCACTGGGAGCCATCATGGAAAACTAGGCTCTGGCAGCAGGCAGGCATGTGGCCTTGGGCGGTGATTTCACCCCTCCGCCTTGAGCTTCCCGTCTGTAATGTGACATGAGGACAGCACCTCCCGCACAGGGATGCCTGAGGATTAAGCAGGATCAGGTCTGATGCAAGCTCAGCACAGTGCCTCACGCATGGCGGGTGCTCACTGGGCTCTAGCGCTCCTCTCTCTTCAATGATTCCCTGCAAGTCCGCAGCCCAGCCCAGGAGCGGGGGACTGGAGGGGGGACAAAGGACTCCCACTCACTGTGGGGGTGTTTTCTTCCTCCTTCCCCGCTCATCTGGGTCTCCCTAGTGTGGCCCTAAAGGATTTTCCTTCCTCAGGCCCCTCTAAGCCACTCCCTGCCCTAGTCCCTTGACCTGATTTGATATAAAATCTATTCTCTGTTAGGCTAAGGGGTGTGGTGATGGCAGGGGCAGAGCGAGGCGGGGGAGGCTACCTGGGTGACAGGCCTAGGCCTTGGCCTCTGATGGCCCAAGGGGCTGGGCCCCAAGACTGGGTTTCCTTCTCCACCCTGTCCCTGGACTCCCTATGGCCTGGGGAAGGGACATTCCCAACAGACTCGGACTCAACATTCCTCTCTCTGCAGTCACTCAGCAGGACAGGGCAGTGGTGAGGAATGAGGGTGACCTAGATGACATTCTGATATCTATGTAGTTCCCGAGAGTGTCACCTTGATGAGGTGCCCAGAGCTCCCGTGCAGCCTTACTCAGCTGATGAGTACCGAGGCCCGGGCTCAGCTGTAATTATTTGTCTGCATGTGACTCTGCCCACTAAACTGTGCACTCCCTGAGGGCAAAGCTCTGTGCTACTCATCTCTGTAGCCCCAGCCCCTGGCACAGCACCCTGGCCCACTAATGGCGCTCAGCAAACGTGTGGGATGAAGAGGCCAATGGGCATGGGGCCTCCCCTCAGCCCTTCCGCGGCACCCGTGACCCTGCCAGGGCTGACTCCCAGGGCTGCCCTCAGCCATCCCCAAACCACACCATTTCTTAGCCCAGAGAATGACACCTGTCGATCACAGAGTCCAGCCCAGTCTATCTCCTGGGAGTTCTGGGGTCCATCCTGGGTGTCCCCCAAGTCTGGTCCCCACCCCTTGCCCAACTAACTCCTCAGCCTCCCTCCTTGGGTCTCCCTGTTTCGCCCCTGCCTTCATCCAACCTGCCCCCCACTCTCCACACTCACTCCTGCCCAAGCCCTTTCTGGGGCTCCTGATGCCCTCCAGATAAAGTCCATGACTCTCCAGGGAGGGCCTGGAGGAGCTCCTCCCACCCCCAGCCTCTCCCCTTTGCCACTCCCGTCTTCCTCAGCTGGGGCCAGCCAGGGCCTGCTGGCTCCCCAGCCCCTCATGTGCTGCCCCCTGTTCCCCCACCCCCAAGGTCCTGTTCCTTTGTTTCACTGTCTGATCTCCCTGCTGGAACCTCAGCTCTCTAATGCAAGAGCCCCAGGGTGGAGCATACCATAGGCACTCCACAAGTGCTTGTACCATAGTACCATACCATGGGCACCGCATAAGTGCTTGTCCAATGCATGCACAGTTGAATGGATGGCAGGGTAGAGATGGTGTCCTATGTCTCAGTAACCAGAGTGCCAGGCACAGCGCCCAGACATAGTCAGCGCTCAGGTGGAATGAGTCGAGGTAACAAGAAGGCAAAACTGGCAATCAGGACCCCTGAATTCTGCCCCAAGTTCTACACGGGGTCCCTGGCAGCCTTGTCCTTCTGTTCCGGAGTTCCACACCTAGCCTCTCCATCACTGACTATTCTACCAATGGCAGGTCCAACGCAGCACTTCAGTGGCGCGGTCCTTTCCACGTCAGACAACATTCTCGCACACACCCTCTCATTCAAGCCCTCCACTGCCCTGCGGGTCCCACTTTTCCCAGACTCTGAGAGGGTACCAGGGCCCATGTGGTGGGGCACCACCGGGGTGCCAGTCACACTTTGCCCTTTGTTGGCTGTGTGGTCATAGGCAAATTCCTTGCCGTCTCTGAGTCAGTTTCCTCACTTGTGAAATGAGGATTCACCTCCCACCTAGGAAGTCGAGGAAGATTGCAAGACACCACCTGTGTAACCCACCCAGTGCCAGCTGCCTCTGTGATGTTCCAATGAGCCACAGTTACATTCCTTCTCCACGACTGACTTCCCCAAATCTGAGGTGAGAGCCTTGGCTGTCGGACGTAGGCTGTTAGACCAGTCCTGCCAGAGCAGTGTGGCTGTGGCCGCCTCTGTGGGGCCGCGGCTTGGAGGGCTGCTGTGGAGGCCAGCCTCTTCTGCGGAGGCCGACCGCAAACTCGCATCCTTCCTAAGGGCTGCCAAGACCCCGAGACACCCTGGCAGAACCTAGATACTGCTGGGGAGCCGGACGAGGGACACCCCAAGCCTCCCTCTCCCGCTCCATTCTCCTTGGAGACCCCACCAGCGCCCCGTGCCCGAATTCGCGCTTCAGACGCCCCGCGAGCGCCCCCTGGTGGGAAGCAAAGAACACCCTGGGCGCCCGGCTCGCCCCGGGACCCTCGGATGACCCCAGGTGCGACCCCCAGCTGGAGGGAGCTGGCCCTCCGCCCCTAGCCATAGCCTCCCAGCCCCGTGCAGCCTGGGGAATCCACGAACTGCTCCCTGGAGCGCCCCAGACTGGGCCTCTGGGAACGGTCCGCGCCCACCCCACCGCCCCTTGCCCGTCACTGACCCATCTTCTTCAGCGCCCGCAGCCCGGGCCTCTTGGTGCCGCCATCGGAGGGAGTCGGCGGGGACGGGAGAGCGACCGGCGCCGCGACTTGGGCTGCGACCTGGGCGGCCACCGGGGGCTCCTCGGGCGGGCGGCGGCAACGCCTCCAGCGGCCGCACAGCATGGCTTGGCGGGGGGCCGGGGCCGGGCCCGGGGTCTGCACGCGGGGACAGGGCAGCGGGGCGCCGCTCTGGCCCGGCCCCGGCTCTGAGCGAGGCGGCGAGCGAAGAAACTTAGCGGCGCGGGAGGGAGTCGGAGGAGGCAGCAGGAGGTGGGGCGGGGCGGGGCGGGAAGGGAAGGGGGCGGGGCCGGGGCGGTGCGAGGGCGGGGCCAGGCGGTGGCCTGGAAGCCCGGAGCCTCAGCGCTCGCCCCTGCTCGTGAGTCCGTCTCCCCTTAGTCCGGGCGAGCCTCTGATCTTGGCCGCAAGGGTGACTAGAGCCCCCATGCTGCGGGGCTGGGGGTGGGAGCCGGCACCGGGGACGAGGGCCATCCTCTGGCACAGACACCCTCTCCTTCCCGGGGGCCCTGACTCGAGGCTGACGCAGGACCCCCTCCTCCTTCCCTTCCGCGTCCCCGTCGCGCCGCAGGCCTCAGCAGGGAACCAGAGCCGGGACAGGACGCAGGGCCGGGAGCGAAGGCAGAACCCCGGGAGCTGAGCCGCTCGGGGCAGCGCGAACCCGAAGGGATGGGCATGGGGGTGGGGAGGTTGGCAGTGACGTCATAGGATTAACCTCCCTGTGCCAGGCCAGGTGCTGCCCCCTCGGAGAGCCACAGTCTCGGAGCTGACGGACCTGGGGAGCGTGAGGCGGAGCCGAGCCTGGAGTCCCCAGCAACTGGTTCTGGGTTCGAGGCTTGGACAGGCCGGCACCCCAGCCCGGCACCCGCGGTGTAGTTGTCCGCGACGTCAACCCGTGGGTGGGCATCCGTGTGCAGGTTCTGGTGGCCGAGTCGGGTGTGCACTTACTATTTATATGCAAGCACCAGAGTGCGTGCGCGAAGTGGGGGACGTCCAGGTGGCAGCGTTTCTGCGGCCGGTGGCCTGGGTCCGGCAGAGACATGGGCGCACACCGCCACTTTGCGGCGGCCAGCGGCGTGGCATCCTACAGAGAGGCTAGTGCTCAGGGCCTGATTTGCCACCTACTTGCCCTGCTCTACCCCATCCTCAGATCTCCCAGGCCCAGAGATTCTGCACACTGGCTTGGGTCCCTACGCCACTCTGGGGTCCTGAATTTTCTTTTTTTTTTTTTTTTTTTTTTTTTTTTTGAGACGGAGTCTCGCTCCGTCGCCCAGGCTGGAGTGCAGTGGCGGGATCTCGGCTCACTGCAAGCTCCGCCTCCCGGGTTCACGCCATTCTCCTGCCTCAGCCTCCCAAGTAGCTGGGACTACAGGCGCCCGCCACTACGCCCGGCTAATTTTTTGTATTTTTAGTAGAGACGGGGTTTCACCGTTTTAGCCGGGATGGTCTCGATCTCCTGACCTCGTGATCCGCCCGCCTCGGCCTCCCAAAGTGCTGGGATTACAGGCGTGAGCCACCGCGCCCGGCCCTGAATTTTCTTCTTGATTATCGTATTCGCCTTTGTGCTTTTGATCCTGCCGTTCCTTCCTCCAGAAACAACCTTCCTTATTCTCCTGGTTTACCCTTTTGTTATTCTTGTTGTTGGATAGGCTAAGTCTACATTTCTTTTAATTGTTATGGACACTTAATAGTTGCAGAGAATTATGGAGAGGCATGTAATGTTTTGATACAGGTATAAAATGTGTAATGATCAAATCAAGGTAATTGAAGTAACCATCACCTCAAGCATTTATCATTCCTTTGTATTAGGAACATTCCAATTCCGCTTTTAGTTATTTGTATTTGTATTTTATTTGTTTATTAGAGACAAGGTCTCACTACTTGGTTGCCCAGGGTGGAGTGCAGTGGCATGATCATAGCTCACTGCAGCCTCAAAGCAATTCTCTTGCCTTGGCCTCCCAAAGTGTTGGGACTACAGGCCTGAGCCACCACTTCCCGCCCAGTTATTTTGAAATATACAATAAATTGGCCGGATGCGGTGGCTCACGCCTGTAATCCCAGCACTTTGGGAGGCAGAGGTGGGATGATCACTTGAGGCCAGGTATTGAATGAAGACCAGCCTGGGCAACATAATGAGACTTCTGCCTCTACAAAAATTGTTTTTAAAATAATTAATTTAAAAAGATACAATAGGCCGGGCGCGGTGGCTCACGCCTGTAATCCCAACACTTTGGGAGGCCGAGGTCGGCGGATCACGAGGTCAGGAGATCGAGACCATCCTGGCTAATATGGTGAAACCCCGTCTCTACTAAAAAATACAAAAAATTAGCTGGGCGTGGTGGCGAGCGCCTGTAATCCCAGTTGCTCGGGAGGCTGAGGCAGGAGAATGGCGTGAACCCGGGAGGCGGAGATTGCAGTGAGCCGAGATCACGCCACTGCACTCCAGCCCGGGAGAGAGTGAGACTCCGTCTCAAAAAAATAAATAAATAAAATAAAATAAACAAAATAAAAAGATACAATAAATTATTGGTAACTATAATCGTTGTATTGTGCTACCGAACACTGGATCTCATTCATTCTAACTGTATTTTTGTACCCATTTCCCCCCCTCCCCAGTACCCTTCCCAGCCTCTGGTAACCATCATTCTGCGATGTCCATTTTGCTTACTCTTTTTTTTTTTTTGAGATGGAGTCTCACTCTCGCCCAGGCTGGAGTGCAGTGGGGCAATCTTGGCTCACTGCAATCTCCACCTCCCGGGTTCAAGCGATTCTCCTGCCTCAGCCTCCCGTGTAGCTGGGATTACAGGCGCGCGCCACCACGCCCGGCTAATTTGTGTATTTTTAGTAGAGATGGGGTTTCACTATGTTGGCCCGGCTGGTCTCGAACTCCTGACCTCAGGTGATCCGCCCGCCTTGGCCTCCCAAAGTTCTGGGATTACAGGCATGAGCCACCGTGCCCGACCATCTTCCAAAACTGAGCTGTGATGTCCTTCCTCTAGAACACCTGACCACAGGACATGACTTTTTTTAATCCCCAGTGCCTAAGTGTCTAGAGAGCTGAGTGGGTTGCCTCGGATCGGCCAGGCCTGGATATCAGCGAACAGATGCGGATTTCCACCAGGGGGCGCTAGGACGCCACGACCTTTCACTATGTGCACCAGGGGGCGCTGCCGCCCGCCTTGGCCATCCCGGGCTGGGAAGTCCGACCCTTCGATTAAGCCCCGCCTGATTGGGAAAGGCTCTGAGAAACTATTTGCATGATCTTGAAAGAGCTGTGCTGAATGGTTGAGGTAGGTAAGCCGAATGTGAAACAGGCTCTCTCATTGGCCTAAATTCCCCCCCTCGATCTGCGTCGCCATCCCGGCCCTGCTGGACCCCGGGGTCAGTAGGAAGCCGCGGGGTGGTGGCGAGAGAGGACCCAGGTGTCCTGGCAGTGGGCGCCGCGGGGCACACGCTGGGCCAAGGTGCAGGCGGCCAGGGTGGGAGACTGTTCGCCCCGCCCTGAGTACTCCTATCTTGTTTCTCCACCTGTTCGGGAGTTGGAGATGTGCACCTAAAGGAGGCGCATCTGGGGACGGACACATCTGGCACTGAGGCCCTCGCCACCTGCCTCGCCACCTGGCGACCCTGACCCCACCACACTGCCTTGAGGTAGGAAAAGGAGGCTCCTCAACCACAACTTCTGACCTCCCAGGGTGTCTGAGGCCTCTAAAGAGCTTAGTTTGCCCCTCTGGGAAGTGAATCCTTGGCTTATGGTGCCGGGGGGACCCTGGAGGCCCCCTCACACGAAGGCTGCTTCTTGCAGAGTCGCTCAAAAGTAGGGCCCCAGGGCTCGCAGCAGCATGGGCACCGAGAAAGAAAGCCCAGAGCCCGACTGCCAGAAACAGTTCCAGGCTGCAGTGAGCGTCATCCAGAACCTGCCCAAGAACGGTGAGGCTGCGGGGACTCGCATTTGGACTCGCATTCAGGACGCCTGGGGTCTGACTCTGAAGAAAGAATGGTCCTGATCACTGCAGTTTTTGCAGACAAGCCCCTGCCTGGGCTGTCCTGGGGGTTCCCTCCGCTTCCTATCCTAGTCCAGATGCCCTGGGTGGGACCCATCACCACCTCTGCCCTTTCCAAGCAGGGTTCTCCCGCCCCTCCGCCCCTTGGAGCTGGGAGTGATGCTTTGCCCTGGCTTCCCAACTCTCTGCCCAGGTTCTTACCGCCCCTCCTATGAAGAGATGCTGCGATTCTACAGTTACTACAAGCAGGCCACCATGGGGCCCTGCCTGGTCCCCCGGCCCGGGTTCTGGGACCCCATTGGACGATATAAGTGGTGAGCTCCCTGCTGGCTGGGCAGACAAGCCTCAGCTGTCAAGCAGCCCTCTCACAGCCCTCTGCCCCCAGGGACGCCTGGAACAGTCTGGGCAAGATGAGCAGGGAGGAGGCCATGTCTGCCTACATCACTGAAATGAAACTGGTGGCACAGAAGGTAAGGGCTGCAGGTTCTCTGTCCCCAGGCTCCTGGCCAGGTGGCCTCACCCTTCCAGTTCTGACCCCCACTACGTTTCCTACACATGGACCCCCTCATGGGAATCACCACCTTCATGTTACCCCCAACCCTGCCTATCTTTGGCCCCTGACTGGGCACAGGGTGGAGGTGTGTGACAGGGCAGGAGCAGGGAGGAAGGGACAGGAGGCCACTCCGTCCCCAACAGACCCCCTCCCCTACAGGTGATCGACACAGTGCCCCTGGGTGAGGTGGCAGAGGACATGTTTGGTTACTTCGAGCCCCTGTACCAGGTGATCCCTGACATGCCGAGGCCCCCAGAGACCTTCCTGAGAAGGGTCACAGGTCAGACTCCCAGGCTGGGAGCTCCAAAAGTGCTGAGTGAACCGTCTTAGGTCTAGGCTGAGGTGGGCTGGGGGCAGAGGGCTCCAGGCGACATCCCTGTTAGGGCCCCCAAGCCCCCGAGAGGTGGATCCCAGGCAGCATCCACGGCTCATCACGAGTAGGGGCTTGATCACACTGGGAGGTGCCAGCCTCTCCCCAGGCCCACCTCTGGGTGCTGTGTCTTGGCAGGTTGGAAAGAGCAGGTTGTGAATGGAGATGTTGGGGCTGTTTCAGAGCCTCCCTGCCTCCCCAAGGAACCGGCACCCCCAAGCCCAGGTTAGTGCTTGAGCAGGAGGGGTGGACCAAACTCAGGCTGGGGGAGGGCTGGAGGGGAGAAGGCTGGATGCCACGCTGTGCCCTCCACAGACACTGAGACTTCCTGTGCTCCCAAAGGTGGGGACCGGGGTCTAGGATTCCTGTTCCAGGGCCTTGCTTCTGGCGCCCATCTGTGCCTCAGGTGTTGATATCTCTAGTGCCTCGTATCTCTAGTGTCTCCTAAACAGGTGCTTCTGCCCAGTGCACACTCCTGCTCTCCCTCCACAGCTTCCCTCTGGGCAGTAACTCTACCAACCCCTCCACAGAGTCCCATTCACCCAGGGACCTGGACTCCGAGGTTTTCTGTGATTCCCTGGAGCAGCTGGAGCCTGAGCTGGTGAGCCCAGTCCCCATTCCCCCCTTTTCCCACCCCACTGTGCTCCCACTCCCACCCTCAGCTCTCTGACTCATCTCAGCAGGTTTGGACAGAGCAGCGGGCAGCATCTGGAGGAAAGCGTGATCCCAGGAACAGCCCCGTGCCCCCCACAAAGAAAGGTGAGCTCCTACCCAACCTCTCACCCACTTCTGCCCTTTCCCGTGGTCCTGGCACCCCAGGCTTTCTCTTGGCTGCCTTCCTAGGGCAGAGTTGAAAGTCCATTGCTGGGCACTGAGCGAGAAGCCTCTGTCCAGGAAGGGCTGCCAACCAGCCAGATACCTGCCTGGATGGGCAAAGTCCCCGCCCTCCCTCCTCTCCCCAAAGGGCACCCAGGAGTCTGCACCCTCTGCAGGTCCTGAGTAAGGCCAGCGGGATGGGAGTCCTAGCCCAGTTCTCCCACCTACAGCTGCACAGCCTCAGGAAGTCATCCATATTCTCTGGACTCCCCCGTTTGGAAATCTCAGAAGACAATGAGTTCTGCCCTCTTCCCTTCTAGAACTCCTGTTGTGTGTCAGGTCCTGTATGGACATTTTGAAAAGTTTCTCCTTTTTTCCTCTGAGCAAGCAGCCCTGTGAGAGAAATGACATCTTCTCCTAATTTTTAGATGACAAAATGATGCCCAGAGAAGTTAATGACTTTGGCCGGGCACGATGGCTCACGCCTGTAATCCCAGCACTTTGGGAGGCCAAGGCAGGCAGATCACCTGAGGTCAGGAGTTTGAGACCAGCCTGGCCAACATGGTGAAACCCTGTCTGTATTAAAAATACAAATATTAGCCGGGTGTGGTGGGCACCTATAATCCCAGGTATTCGGGAGGCTGAGGCAGGAGAATCGCTTGAATCCAGGAGGCGGAGGTTGCAGTGAGCCGAGGTCATTGTGCCACTGCACTCCAGCCTGGGCAACAGAGCAAGACTGTCTAAAAAAAAAAAAAAAAAGGTAATGACTTGATCTGTGTCATAAGCGGCCATGCTGGGATTAAACCCATAGCAGCCCATTACTCAGCTACATAGATGGACTTTGCAAGAATCACACTTGGTACAGCGACTGGGTTCCACTCCTACACTTTCCTGGGCTTGCCCCAGCCTGCCCCCACCCTGCCCAGAGCTGAATTGCCTCCTGAGCCCCCTTCCCTGTGTGTCTGTGCTCCGCAGAGGGGTTGCGGGGCAGCCCGCCGGGGCCCCAGGAGTTGGACGTGTGGCTGCTGGGGACAGTTCGAGCACTACAGGAGAGCATGCAGGAGGTGCAGGCGAGGGTGCAGAGCCTGGAGAGCATGCCCCGGCCCCCTGAGCAGGTAGAGTCCCCCACCCCATAGGACAAGATGATGGCAGAATCCGGTCTTTATTCTGGGCTCCTCTTCCAGCCACTTTTGTTTTTGTCCTCACGCCTCCACCTGCCCACATCTCTCTCCAGAGAATGGCATGGCTCCTGCTACAGGCAGGAGGTGGGGGTGAGGGTGGAGGGGGCTGACATGCTTCTACTCTGAAGGCACAGTGGGTGGGGCCCTTTGCCGTTCTCCCCTCCCTCTGCCTGGAGAGAAGCTAAGCCTCAGGACTAATCCCGTGTGGGAAGGGCCATGATGTGTCTGCTCTGGGCATTGAGGATGCGGGTCCCTATTGCCCCTCAGTCAGGACTTCCATTCCCAGAATTAGGATTTGCCCCAAATGGTTCAGCCCTTGCATCCCTCTCCTCAACTCCTAGCTCTGCTTGCCTCTGACACTTGGGATCCTGGGCTCCTGCAAACTAAATAACAGCTGCCATTGCTGGAGCCCCGCTGGGTGCGAAACACTCATGGGCATCTTCCCACTGAATCCACACAACAGCCCTATGAGATAGAGTTTCTTTTCACCTCCCTTTTAGAGAGGGAAACTAAAGCTCCAAGGGGCTAATTTGCCTGAGGGCACACAGCCTGGGAGAGCCTCTCTGAGCTACTGTGAGGATTCAACCATGCATGTTGGTGCTTCAGTGGTGCCCACCAAACAGAAAGCCTTCTCCAGTCGGTTCTGTTGCTACTATTGCTGTTAATATTAACATTAAGCGATGGAGTTGGCAGTGGCCCCTATTCTGTCTCCCTGCAAAGCTGGTACCCACCATTAACTCTGAGTGGGTCTGTTCTTGAAAAGCCTGAGGTAGTGGGGGCAGAGAGGGCTGGGTTCCCAGATGTGAGGCATCTCTGGGGTGACCGCTAATCCACTCAGCACAGCAGGTGTGAGCCCACAGCAGCAGGATTTCCTCAGATCCACGATGGCTAACTTTTCAACACTGCTCCTCCCCCTCAACAGGGCTTTCTTTCTTTTCTTCTGTTTTTTTTTTTTTCTTTTTGTTTTTTGTTTTTGAGATAGAGTCTTGCTCTGTCGCCCAGGCTGAAGTACAGTGGCATGATCTCGGCTCACTGCAACCTCCGCCTCCCGGGTTCAAGTGATTCTCCTGCCTCAGCCTCCGGAGTAGCTGGGACTACAGGCAGCACCACCATGCCCAGATACTTTTTGTATTTTTAGTAGAGACGGGGTTTCACCACGGTCCCCAGGATGGTATCAATCTCTTGACCTCGTAATCCACCTGCCTCAGCCTCCCAAAGTGCTGGGATTACAGGTGTGAGCCACCACGCCTGGCCCCCTTTTCTTTTTTTCCTACCATTTACTACTTTTAAATGTTGAAGATTTTAAAGTAGATTACAGGCCAGCGTGGTGGCTCACACCTGTAATCCCAGCACTTTGGGAGGCTGAGGAGGGAGGATCTCTTGAGCCTGGGAGTTCGAGACCAGCCTAGGCAACATAGCAAGATCCTGCCTCAAAAAAAAAAAAAAAGATTCTAAACATCATGATGTTCCACCCCGAAAGAGTTGGGTTCATATTCTCAAAATAGGCTGGGCGTGGTGGCTCACGCCTGTAATCCTAGCACTTTGGGAGGCCAAGGCGTGTGGATCACCTGAGGTCAGGAGTTCCAGACCAGCCTGGCCAACATGGCAAAACCCCGTCTCTACTAAAAATACAAAACTTAGCTGGGCGAGGTGGCAGGCACCTGTAATCCCAGCTACTCAGGAGGCTGAGGCAGGAGAATCACTTGAAACTGGCAGGCAGAGGTTGCAGTGAGCTGAGATGGTGCCATTGCACTCCAGCCTGAGCTACAGAGCAAGACTCCATCTCAAAAACAAACAAACAAAAAACCATATCTCTCAAAATAAGAACATTCTACCTAGCCCAAACAACATTTTATTACACACAATTATTAATTTCTTAATATCATCAAATATCCAATCTAAATTCCAGTTTCTCCAGTTATCCTGAAACCGCCTTTTCCAGCTGCTCTGTTTTTCCAGGCTAGGACCACACATTGCATTTGTTCCCCTTTCAATTCTCTTTTAATCTAGCCCAGTCCTTCTCCTTGCTATTGACTTGCTGACCAGTCTGGGCTGGTGTCCTATAGAATGTTCCACCTTTTGGGTCTAATTACATCCTCATGGGTGGTTCCTCGATACACATTTCCTGTGAACTGGAGGTTAGATCTAAACACTTGATTAGAGTCACATTAAACATTTGGGCTGGGCATGGTGGCTCACGCCTGTAATCCCAGCACTTTGGGAGGCTGAGGCAGGCAGATCGCTTGAGCCCAGGAGCTTGAGACCAGTCTGGGTAACATAGTGAGACCCTGTCTCCACAAAATATATGTTTAAAAATTAGCTGGGTGTGGACTGAAGCAGGAGGATCACTTGAGCCCAGGAGATTGAGGCTGCAGTGAACTATGATGGTGTCACTGCACTCCAGCTTGGGTGACAGAGTGAGACCCTGTCTCAAAAAAACGCAAAGCACAAAAAACCACAACATTTTGGACCAGACTACATCAGAGGTGATGTTTTTTCATGGCAGAGGACACATGCTATCTGGATGTCCCATTATTAGTAACTCTAGCATGGACCACTGGCATGGTTGAAGGGGGTCTGATCCCACCATTGTAAAGTCATGTTTTCCTCCTGCAGTCGGAGAATATCCAGTCCCCCATCAACTCCATTTGCTAGTTTTTGACAATTGCTAATCCTTGCCTGAGTCAATAATTTAGTAATTGCCAAAAAAAAAAAAGCTGACTTTTAAATGCTATGATTCCTTTAACATCTACTAGCTATCAGCTATCATTTGTATACTCTTTCCTTCATCATCTTGGGTTTCCCTGAAATACAGTGGAAAGGCAAGATAAATACTTCATTCTTTCTCTTTAGTTATCTATTTTTAAAGTAAGAAATTAATTTAGGCTGGGTACGGTGGCTCACGCCTGTAATCCTAGCACTTTGGGAGGCTGAGGTGGGTGGATCACCCGAGGTCAGGAGTTCGAGACCAGCCTGACCAACATGGTGAAACCCTGTGTCTTCTAAAAATACAAAAATTAGCTAGGCATGGTGGCAGGTTTCTGTAATCCCAGCTACTCAGGAGGCTGATGCGGGAGAATCGCTTGAACCCAGGAGGCGGAGGTTGCACTGAGCCGAGATCACGCCATTGCACTCTAGCCTGGGAGACAGAGCAAGACTCCTCAAAAAAAAAAAAAAAAAAAAAAAAAAAAAAGAAAGAAAGAAAGAAAAAGAAAGAAATTAATTTAAAAGCCACCTAAATGGTGACAAAAATTCCAGTTTTCTCTTGAGTATCACTGTGGGCTCATGGATTTCACAGATTCAGTATTCCCAGGAGCCACAGTAATTCTTTTTTTTTTTTTTTTTTTGAGATGCAGTCTCACTCTGTCGGTCAGACTGGAGTGAAGTGGCGTGAACTCAGCTCACTGCAACCTCCGCCTCCCCGGGTTCAAGCAATTCTCTGCCTCAGCCTCCCGAGTAGCTGGGATTACAGGCGCCCACCACCATGCCCGGCTAATTTTTTTTGTATTTTTAGTAGAGACGGGGTTTCACCATCTTGGCCACGCTGGTCTTGAACTCCTGACCTCGTGACCACCTGCCTCGGCCTCCCAAAGTGCTGGGATGACAGGCGTGAGCCATCCCACCCGGTCTGCCACAGTCATTCTTTTTTATGCTCAGACAGTCACAACTTTGGCCATTCAAGACCCTTTCATACCGGATCTTATGTTCTTATAACACGACCTGATGAATCTTTAAAAGCGACCTTGCTTTCCTGGTACAAGGCGCCCCACATTCACTCCCACCTTCCCTGCCCCAGGCCTGGAACCAGCCACTTCTCCAAGGAGCCTTGGCTCCTTTTTAGTGGAGAATGATACTTGGAAACTAAAATCTAGGTACCCAGGGTCCTCATTTGACATATGTGGCACATCCTTAACAACACAGGTCTTCAGGTCATACCAAGGGTCATTGCTTTGTGGCCCAGAGAAGATGGCATGGAAGCCGCTCCCTCTACCCGCAGCCCCGCCAGCCTCTCTTGATACTGGGATTGCCCTGGGGAGGAAGATGTGGGAGGGAGTTGGCATTCAACCTGTCAGGACCACCTGGGGGCCACTTCCTTTCTAGTGGTGCAGACTTAGGGGCAGGGTCTTTCCAATCTTCCACTGAATTGGAAGCAGGTTCCTAGGGAGGCTGTGCTGAGGCCTGGACTGGCCTCTGACTCCCTCCCTCTTGGCTGCAGAGGCCGCAGCCCAGGCCCAGTGCTCGGCCATGGCCCCTTGGGCTCCCGGGGCCCGCGCTGCTCTTCTTCCTCCTGTGGCCCTTCGTCGTCCAGTGGCTCTTCCGAATGTTTCGGACCCAAAAGAGGTGACTGTCAGTGGAGGGGTCTCTGCAGCCAACTGAGACTATCTTGCTGTGCCCTGAGCCTTCCTAGGGTTTAGAAGAACAGCATTCAAAATTCCCCGTCCTGTCAGTGTTTGCCTTCGCACCTCCTCCCCTAAAGCAGCGCGGGGGGCAAATAAGACCCCACCCCTCCCTGCAGCTTCACAGGGACGCTTCCTTCCCTCCCCGCAACCACCCCAGGCTCCCCTGGGAGGCTGCAGTTGTGGTACACGTCCCCGGTGCTGGGTTGGCCGTGACTCGGGGGCGGGGCGATCGGGTCTCAGCCCCTGCCTTCCCCAGTCTCTGGGTCACCCGAATTTTCCCACCCCTGCTTCTCCCCGAGGAGGTTGAGCTCTTGAGCAAGTTGGGACTTGGGCCGGGGCCTGGAAGAATGATTGGCTGGGAGGCCGCGGGAGGGAGGCCAGGAGGCCCGGACCAGTTGGGAGGAGTGAGCAGGCCCCGGGGGAGGGGGATGAGCGCAGTTTGCTCGCTTTCCTCCCCTGCCGGCCCCCTCCGCCCCCACACACACTCGGGACGTCTTCATTGAAGATTCACTTACAAAGGAATGTTTCACTAAATAAAAGAAAACCAGAATCTTCTGCTGTCTGGTCCCCTACGGAGGGAGCGGGGAGCGGGGCCCGGCGCGAGCGAGGCACAAGTCCCTTTCCTGCTCCCCACCCAATGCCCCCCTGATGGCCCTGAAAGAAGCCAGCGGTTGGTGTTTCTGAATGGGGAATATTTTCCCTCCTCCCCGGGCAAGCGAAGGGAAAACAGGCCTCTGTGTGGAGGGGAGAGGGAGGGGAACCAAGGGTGGCCCGGGCTGGGAGCGGGGCGCCCTTGGGAAGGCGGGGCCAATGCGGGGGGCCGAGGGCGCGGCCCAGCCCGCCGCCCCGTCGGGGACGCGGGGTCCGAGCGAGCTGGGGGTGGCGGGGAGGAGCGGAGCACGGCTGGGCGGGGCCGAGGAGCTGGTTTGGCCCCCGCCCAAAGCGGACCGCGGCTGCTCCAGCTCCGCGCCCCGGGCGTAGAGATGGGGTTCCGAGCCCCCGGCCCCAGAAATGTCCGCTGCCCCCTCCTCAGCTGCCTCAGTTCCCGGTGCCCCACCTTGACCTCCGGGCCTGGGCCTTCCCAGGGGATTTTCTGGGAGGCCAAGGCCCAGCGAGAGCCTCGTCCTCGCCCCGCCCTGAGTAGGGAGCAGGGCCCTGCGCGCCTGGAAGCCCCTGTCGGGGTGGGCCGAGCGCCCGCGTGCAGTCGCCGTCGGGGGGTACGGGCCAGAAGCCTTGGCCTCCCTCTGTCCAGCACAAGCCCTGTCGTCCGTGGGCCGTCTTGGCTCAAGCCTCGGTCCGGCCTGTATTCAGTGGCGAAACTGGCCGCTCTGAGGGCCGCCTGGTGCCAGCGCCTCCAAGTCCACTGGCCAGGGTCTCTACCGCAGTCCCCCGCCGCTGCCACCACCTGGGCCCTAGGACCTTCCTACCCCTGGGTAAGGAAGAGGCAGTTCTGAAGGCCCCTGGCTGAGATCCTTAAACTCCTGAGTTCCCTGTCAGCCTCTAGTCTCGACCACCGTCCCAGGCTTCGCCATCATTGGCCCCACTGGAAGCCACAGTCACTCTTTAGTCGTCAGTCCTCTCAAAGCCGGGAAGGCATCCCTGAGGCTAGACGGTGCGCTCTGCACCTGCACGGCTCAGCCCAGGGTCACAAGCACAGGCTGAATAGCCCCTGTGATAAGGCTGGACTGCAGCAAGCAGGACAGACAACAGCAGGGCCACCTTGGTGGGGGATGCAGGCCTGGAGCTGAAGCCAGCTCCACCACTTGCACAGTAGCTGTGGAACTTGGGTAAGATATTTTTTTTTTTTTTTTTTTTTTGAGACCGAGTCTCGCTTTGTTGTCAGGCTGGAGTGCAGTGGCGCGATCTCGGCTCATTGCAACCTCCGCCTCCCAGATTCAAGCGATTCTCCTGCCTCAGCCTCCCGGAAGTAGCTGGGACTACAGGCGGGGGCCACCACGCCCGGCTAATTTTTTGTATTTTTAGTAGAGATGGGGTTTCACCATGTTAGCCAGGATGGTCTCGATCTCCTGACCTCGTGATCCGCCCACCTCGGCCTCCCAAAGTGCTAGGATTACAGGCGTGAGCCACCGCGCCCGGCCCCCTTGGGGAAGATTCTTAACTGCTCTGGCCTTGGGTGGCCTCTTTTGTGAAATAGAGTTGATCTCTTTTTCATAAGGCAGTCCTGGGGTTTACCAGTGATGGGGCATGTTAAATGCCTGGCAAAGGGTTAGAACCCAGCTAACAGTAAGGTTGCCTGGCCCCTTGACAGAATTCTAGAATTCCACAACCTATTCGTCAGTCCACCTCTCCCCCAATAGAACACGAGACCATACAGTGGAGCCCAGTCCAGGACACTGAGGCTAGGCTCAGCAGTGCCTTCCAAATGCCCTGACTGGGGGTACCCCAGAATCCTCTGGAGTCTGAAGATGGGGTAACAATTTGGAGGTCTCTGTGATAACTCTCTGTGATAACCAAGTTATCTGCAAAATCCCTTTTTCCTCCAGGAGTGCTCTGAGGGGCAGTTCTTGCTCTCAGGAAGCCTCCTAAGGGATGAAGCCACACGGAGTGGCGAACTTTTCAGGTGGACCCGAATTCTTGGAAGCCCAGAGAAAACAAATGAAGGTGTTCATTTTCAGAACATATAGCTGTGCCCAGAGGCCCGCGTGCTTGCGGCTCCCCTTAGAGGCATCTACATTGGCCATGCCCATCACCACTGGCCCCCACCCCCGATATCTCACACTGCCCAGAGCCACCGAAGTCCCAGACTAGCCCTTTCCTGGCACATGATGCTTGGGCTTCCTAAAATGCCCCTCTTCGTGCCACTTTGCCTGAAAGCTCTTCATCCTTCAGAGCCAGCCAGGAAGTCACTTGCTCCTGACACTTGTCCATAATTCCCAGCTCCCATGCACTCGGCTCATCAGCTCCCACCAGGATTTCCCTCACTTGCCATTTAGGCTGGCTGTGGTCTGATGGCCTCTCCACAGTCCAGGAGCAACTTGAAGGCAAGAATGGCATCCCACCCCTCTTTGTACCCTCCTGTTTGCCAAGTGATATAGGGGCTGAATAAGGTTGAAGTTGTTGGGAATAAAAAGAACGAAATCCAGAGTATTCCCCGATTTTAAGAAAAAATGGGTTTTGTGTTTGTGACAGAAAGAAAAATGGCACGGGGGGGGTCACAAAGACCAGCGCTCTAGCCAGAACTGCCCCATGGTTGTCATGTGACCTTGGACAAGTCACTTATTTTCCAGTGTCTTAGAGATGCCTTATCTGTAAAATGGAGACACTCATTCCTATCGTGTCTAACTTGCCAGGCTGTGGTGAGGTCACATGGCTCTGTGCGTAAAAGGTACACAGTGCAAACGTGCTGGAATGTCAGGGATGCTATTAAGGAAGCAATAAGAAGAAAGGGTCACTGGGTGTGTGGCGAAGGAGAAGTGGAAAGGGCGCCAAGATTTTAGGCCTCAGTGACTGGTATGGAGGGTTCTCTGGGTCCTCTCAGTCCCTGTTTATGGAGGGCTGGGGGCTTGGGTCTAGAGAATTTCTCTCTGAGAAACTACGCCCCCGGGGGAATCGGCCCCCCCAGCCCTGCGCCAGAATCCCCTGCAGCAAGTTTCGGAGCAAGGCCTCCTCCATGCTTCCCTCCCAGTCTTGCCCAGCGCCCACTGATGAGGAAGGGCCTCTGCGGGTGAGACCTGCTTCCCTCTCGGATAGCCAGGGCTGATGATTTCAACTCATTAATCATTCCGAACTCTTCCCAACAAACAGCCTCATGGCTGTCCCGGACCTCCTCTGTCCCGGCTCAGGAAATGATCTCGGTCGGAAGTGAAAAGACCAAATCGGCCCCAGGAGGCCATTTTCTTCGACAGAAGCTGAGGCGTGGGGGCGTGGCCTTCCCCCGCTTCCCCCTCCACTCCCCCGCCCGCCCCCGGCCCCGGCTTTCCGATCTCGGCCCAGGGAAGAGCCTTGGTCGCGAATCACCAGTTTGCATTTGCCCCTGGGGCGGGGGCGGCTTTCTGAGACCAGGCTGGGGCTGGGACTCCGCCACCTTCAGCTAAGGGTACCGAGGTCAGTCCGGGAGTCGCGTCACCGGGACTCGAACCCGCCTCTTCGTCTTCCGAGGCCTAGTGCGAGCCTGCGGCGCTAAACGCAGTCACACTGTCCCTTTAAGGCGGCACTTTTTATTCTTCATTTGTTTACTTCTTCATGCGCTCTTCGGTCTTTACAAAATGTGCTCGCGATATCCTTCCGCAAGTGTCAGTCTCAGGCACTCACCACCCGCCTTGAAGCCATTTCTATAATCTTAAGACTCGCGAGTTAGCAGCCGTGGGCCGACGTCTCTCTTTATAGGATTTAATTCTTTTACATTTTAGGGACTACTTTTTAGGAATAAACCATTCTTGCGTTAGTTAATAAAGGTTCATAACCTTCGGAACCCCTCCGCTGAGAACAAAATACGATAATAGCCTTTATAACGCACCTTTTCATAAAAATATTCTGTGAGGACTCTCATAGGCCATCGAATCTTCTCGTATTCCTGAAACAGAATGGTACGGTCCAGAACCCGCCCCATCTTCTCTGCGATTGGCCGTCCTTCCTCAGCGAGTCGTGTGATTTTTCACCAATGGCCGCTCGCGTTTCTTTAGCGAGGTCTAAGCGATGGAAGGTGGCGGCCAGGGAGACGCCCCCTACGCGTCCTGGGATTGGCTACGTCGCACGGCGCGCGAGGGCGGCGGGCCCGAAAGATAAGAACTACGACTCCCGGCGCCCCGCAAAGGGAACTCCGTTACGCATGCGCACGGGCGGGGCGAAAAAGCTTCTATATAAAAGGGGCGCAGAGGACTGGGAGACAGCAGTTGGAAGTTGGCAGGTGGAGAGGCAGGTTGGGAGGGAAAGTCGGGGGAGGACGCGGAAGAGGAGCTGTGGGAAGGGGGAGGAGGGAGGGAGGAAAAGAGGAGGAGGCGGAGGAGAACTGAGCAGAGCAGAGCATCGAGCCAAAGGGGAGATGAGTTTGTCTGTCCTCTGCTGAGGCTACGGCCGGGCCTAGGGAACTGGGAGCTTGGGTGGAAGCGACACCCGTGGAAGTGGGAGGAGGTGGCGCCGGGACTTTAACCCCTTGTGGGCTCTGCGGCAGGGGATTTAACCCTTTGTGGATCTGGCCCCTCGGAGGCAGCGTCATCGGTAGTTTTAACCCCTTCGGGGCTGGGTTTCACGCACTGGACTTACCCTCATCACCTTGCTCACCAACTCCTTTATTGGGGTGCTCCGCTTGGAGGTTTGAGGCCCACCTCCGCCCATTACGTACTGTTCCTGCCGCTGCACCCCCTTGGACCCGCTAGCTGGCCGCACTGTGGGCGCTTAACCCTTTACTGACTTGAGCTCCCCAGATTGCAGTTGGAGTTTGCTGATAGAAGGACTAGCTAAAGGCGTCACTGCAGGAATTACAAACTGAAGAGGACTCTGTTGGACTGTTTTTTTTTTCTTTTTCTTTTTTTTAAGAAAAACCCATTTTTTTCCTTAAGGACTTACTAGCCAAAATTTCTTAAACTTCGAGGACTCTACTAGCCATGGCCGAGCCATTCTTGTCAGAATATCAACACCAGCCTCAAACTAGCAACTGTACAGGTGCTGCTGCTGTCCAGGAAGAGCTGAACCCTGAGCGCCCCCCAGGCGCGGAGGAGCGGGTGCCCGAGGAGGACAGTAGGTGGCAATCGAGAGCGTTCCCCCAGTTGGGTGGCCGTCCGGGGCCGGAGGGGGAAGGGAGCCTGGAATCCCAACCACCTCCCTTGCAGACCCAGGCCTGTCCAGAATCTAGCTGCCTGAGAGAGGGCGAGAAGGGCCAGAATGGGGACGACTCGTCCGCTGGCGGCGACTTCCCGCCGCCGGCAGAAGTGGAACCGACGCCCGAGGCCGAGCTGCTCGCCCAGCCTTGTCATGACTCCGAGGCCAGTAAGTTGGGGGCTCCTGCCGCAGGGGGCGAAGAGGAGTGGGGACAGCAGCAGAGACAGCTGGGGAAGAAAAAACATAGGAGACGCCCGTCCAAGAAGAAGCGGCATTGGAAACCGTACTACAAGCTGACCTGGGAAGAGAAGAAAAAGTTCGACGAGAAACAGAGCCTTCGAGCTTCAAGGATCCGAGCCGAGATGTTCGCCAAGGGCCAGCCGGTCGCGCCCTATAACACCACGCAGTTCCTCATGGATGATCACGACCAGGAGGAGCCGGATCTCAAAACCGGCCTGTACTCCAAGCGGGCCGCCGCCAAATCCGACGACACCAGCGATGACGACTTCATGGAAGAAGGGGGTGAGGAGGATGGGGGCAGCGATGGGATGGGAGGGGACGGCAGCGAGTTTCTGCAGCGGGACTTCTCGGAGACGTACGAGCGGTACCACACGGAGAGCCTGCAGAACATGAGCAAGCAGGAGCTCATCAAGGAGTACCTGGAACTGGAGAAGTGCCTCTCGCGCATGGAGGACGAGAACAACCGGCTGCGGCTGGAGAGCAAGCGGCTGGGTGGCGACGACGCGCGTGTGCGGGAGCTGGAGCTGGAGCTGGACCGGCTGCGCGCCGAGAACCTCCAGCTGCTGACCGAGAACGAACTGCACCGGCAGCAGGAGCGAGCGCCGCTTTCCAAGTTTGGAGACTAGACTGAAACTTTTTTGGGGGAGGGGGCAAAGGGGACTTTTTACAGTGATGGAATGTAACATTATATACATGTGTATATAAGACAGTGGACCTTTTTATGACACATAATCAGAAGAGAAATCCCCCTGGCTTTGGTTTCGTAAATTTAGCTATATGTAGCTTGCGTGCTTTCTCCTGTTCTTTTAATTATGTGAAACTGAAGAGTTGCTTTTCTTGTTTTCCTTTTTAGAAGTTTTTTTCCTTAATGTGAAAGTAATTTGACCAAGTTATAATGCATTTTTGTTTTTAACAAATCCCCTCCTTAAACGGAGCTATAAGGTGGCCAAATCTGAGAACAATTAAATTCATTTTAGTTATAATAAATTTAATATTTGTAAATGTAACATAGTTTCAGTGTGATTTCTAGAGCTAATTCAAAATAGTATTGATATATTTTATGTGACTGCATTTTTGGGGAGGGGTACCGAAATCGTTAAATTTGTCAGTTTGCAAAAATATCAATCTTTAATGGGAGAATTTTCAATTTGCCAATTTTTTCCTTGAATGGGTTTAAGTATGCTACAATATACAGTTCAGGCAAAATTTAAGATGTAATTATCTTCAATACTTAAGTGTGCTTGCTTTCTAGTGCCTTGGTTTTCTTTCTTGATGCTGGAAAAATAAACAAACCGGTATTGAGTGTTTAGGCGAGTGGAAAGTGGCTACAATCCAAAATTTTAAATTTAACTCTGCCTCGGCCATTCAAAAGTCTAATAACAAAAAATGTAAACCTAATTTGGCAGTTTGTTAGGTTAGACAACTGACAGCCTCATTTCATTCCTACAAGTTGGTTTTCAGTAATCTCTTCCTTCCCCCCAGTAAGGCTGGAAGAGGCTCTTGGCAAACTTCTTAGTGCAAGCAATGGTTAGATTAATTTGTGAGGCAGCTCTTTAAGACGTTCAGAGGTAAGAAATACTGGATTTATAAAGCAAATGGCTGTTTGGGGGATTCCAAGGATTTACCTAATTGTCCAATTCTACGTGCTCTCTATACCAAAACAAAAAAAAAAAGCTATCCACCTTTCCATGTGGGTCAAACTAAAATTAGAAATGTCCCCTCACTGCAGATCAAATGTAAAGCTTCCAGTTAAGGAGCTAAATGAGGTCCTCAGCTGAATGAGGAACCCTGTACATCCCCTTGCACAGCCCTATTCTAAATCGCTTAAACTATGCTGATAGCTGCTTAGGTTCTTGAGTAGTTCTGCTCTTAAACGTAGGGAGGCCCTGAGAACTAAATTTTGCCCCAAAATAAAAACAGAAATTATGAGATTGCCTCCTGTCATTTTGGTTAACCCAGTCCTTCACCTGCCCTGTGTCAGTGTCTTCTGAGGGCAATTGCGTTGCTCAAATCACTAGCACAGAGGTTCCTTAATTTGGGGCCTTAGAAACCATTGTGGGCCTTGGGGTCCATGAACCCCATGAAATTATTTGTAGACTTGTATGTACATTTTTCTGGGGAGAAGGTTCAAGAGATTCATAAGATTGTCAAACTCCTTGAAGGTTCAGAACCTCTGCAGGGAAGGGGGAAGAAAACCCTCCCATTAGGAAGCATGCTTTTGCAGTTAAATGGCGATGGTGGAGGTGATAGGGACTTCAAGAGTAAAATGCACCTTGTATTGCATAAGAAGCATACACAAATCAATAAATCAAGGGAGATTATACCAGTAGGACTGAATCAGGGCCTTCAAAGCTGGACTGAGTTGGTCCTGTTCTGGCACATATGGTCCACTGGAGACAATGTATGATTGAGTTTTTCTTTGGTCTAAAAATTATATTAAACATTTATTTTGAAATAGTTTTCTTCGTGTTTTTTTCTTCTGCTATGACGTCATGCAGCAGCCCCAGAAAAACAGCTGCTTGGAAAGGCAGCAACAGTGCCCTCTGGCTTTACAGTGCAGAGCTGAAGCCTCATTTTGACTGAACTGTAAGATGCAGCAGTGATTATCTCTGATATTAGACCCTTTTTCTTTATTTTTTTTTTTTTTTGAGACGGAGTTTCGCTCTTGTTGCCCAGGCTGGAGTGCAATGGTGCAATCTTGGCTCACCGCAACCTCTGCCTCCCAGGTTCAAGCGATTCTCCTGCCTCAGCCTCCCTAGTAGCTGGGATTACAGGCATGTGCCACCACCCCCAGCTAATTTTGTATTTTTAGTAGAGACGTAGTTTCTCCATGTTGGTCAGGGTGCTCTCGAACTCACGACCTCAGGTGATCCGCCCGCCTCGGCCTCCCAAAGTGCTGGGATTACAGGCATGAGCCACTGCGCCCAGCCCAGACCCTCTTCTTAAAGAGGGATTCAGCTATGAAAATCTTATTTCCCCTAGTATTAGAAAAATGATATTTAGAAAATGAATCTTGGAAAGACTATAAATGCATTTATCATCAGAAAAAGTATGTTTTAGAAGACAAATTCAGCCCAGTCTTCAAATATACAGATATCTAGGCTGGGCACAGTGGCTCATGCCTGTAATCCCAGCACTTTGGGAGGCTGAGGTGGGCAGATCACCTGAGGTCAGGAGTTAAGAGACCAGCCTGACCAACATACAGAAGCCCCGTCTCTACTAAAAATACAAAAATTAGCCGGGTGTGGTGGCACATGCCTGTAATCCCAGCTACTCGGGAGGCTGAGGCAGCAGAATCGTTTGAACCCGGGAGGTGGAGGTTGCAGTGAGAGGAGATCGCGCCATTGCACTCCAGCCTAGGCAAGAAGAGCGAAACTGTCTCAAAAATATATATATACACAAATATCTAATTACAAATAACTCTCATACATCAATTTACCTTAAGCTATGCAAGTATGTCTGAATTTTGCTTTCAAAGGCACTAGCATTTTACCTTTTTTTTTGCATTTATATTCTCACAATGATGAGGTTTATTCAAAATTTCAGTTTTAACACTTTCTATACTTTTTTTTTTTTTTTGAGACGGAGTCTCACTCTGTCGCCAGGCTGGAGTGCAGTAGCGTGATTTCGGCTCACTGCAACCTCAGCCTCCTGGGTTCAACCGATTCTCCTGCCTCAGCCTCCCGAGTAGCTGGGATTACAGGTGCACGCCACTGCAACTGGCTAATTTTTCTATTTTTAGTAGAGACGGGGTCTCGCCATGGTTGCCAGGCTGGTCTCGAACTCCTGACTTCAAGTGATCCGCCCGTCTCAGCCTCCCAAAGTGTTGGCAATATAGGCATAAGCCACCGCGCCTGGCTTTTTTTTTTTTTTTTTTTTGAGATGGGTCTTGCTCTGTTGCCTAGGCTGGAGTGCAGTGTCGCGATCTGGACTTACGGCAACCTCCACTTCCCAGGCTAAAGCGATCCTCCCACTGCAGCCTCCTGAGTAGCTGGTACTTGCCACCACGCCTGGCTATTTTTTTTTTTTTTTTTTTTTTTTTGGAGAGACAGGGTTTCACCCTGTTGCACAGGCTGGTCTCAAACTCCTGGGCTCAAACTCCTGGGCTCAAGCAATGCGCCCTCCTCCGCCTCCCAAAATTACAGTTGTGAGCCACCAAGCCCAGCCTATTCCTACACTTTTCTTTTTTTTGGGGGGGGGGTGAGGGATGGAGTCTTGCTCTGTCGCCCAGGCTGGAGTGCAGTGGCGCGATCTCGGCTCACTGCAAGTTCCGCCTCTCAGGTTCATGCCATTCTCCTGCCTCAGCCTCTCAAGTAGCTGGGACTACAGGCACCCGCCACCACGCTCAGCTAATTTTTTTTTTGTAGTTTTAGTAGAGACGGGGTTTCACCGTGTTAGCCAGGATGATCTCGATCTCCTGACCTCGTGATCCACCTGCCTCGGCCTCCCAAAGTGCTGGGATGATGGGTGTGAGCCACCACACCCGGCCTCCTATTTCTTCACTTTCTATTGAAACATTTAACTAGCATATTGCTCTCCTGGCAGAGAAAACAATTAGTTACCTATATTTTAATTTAAAAAAAAAAAGGTTGGGCCGGGCGTGGTGGTTCATGCCTATAATCTCAGCACTTTGGGAGGCTGAGGTGGGTGGATCTCTTGAGATCTGGAGTTAAGAGACCAGCCTGACCAATATGGAGAAACCTCATCTCTACTAAAAATACAAAATACAAAATTAGCCGAGCATGGTGGCAGGTGCCTGTAGTCCCAGCTACTTGAGAGGCTGAGGCAGGAGAATGGCATGAACCCGGGATGCGGAGTTTGCAGTGAGCCGAGATCGCCCCATTGTGCTCCGGCCTGGGCAACAGGAGTGAAACTCAGCCTCAAAAAAAAAAAAAAAAAAAGGCCGGGCGCAGTGGCTCACGCCTGTAATCCCAGCACTTTGGGAGGCCGAGGCAGGCAGATCACCTGAGGTCAAGAGTTCCAGACCAGCCTGGCCAACATGGTGAAACCCTGTCTCTACTAAAAATACAAAAATTGGCCAGGTGTGGTGGCTCACGCCTGTAATCCCAGCACTTTGGGAGGCCAAGGCGGGCGGATCACGAGGTCAGGAGATCGAGACCATCCTGGCTAACATGGTGAAACCCCGTCTCTACTAAAAATACAAAAAATTAGCTGGGTGTGGTGGCGGGCGCCTTTAGTCCCAGCTACTCGGGAGGCTAAGACAGGAGAATGGCGTGAACCCGGAAGGCAGAGCTTGCAGTGGGCCGAGATCACACCACTGCACTCCAGCCTGGGCAACAGAGCGAGACTCCGTCTCAAAAACAAAAACAACAACAAAAAAACACAAAAATTAGCTGGGCATGGTGGTGGGTGCCTGTAATCCCAGCTACTTGGGAGGCTGAGGCAGGAGAATCACTTGAATCCGGGAGGCAAAGGTTGCAGTGAGCCAACATCACGCCACACTGCACTCCAGCCTAGGTGGCAGAATAAGACTCTGTCTCAAAAAAAAAAAAAAAAAAAGCTTTTTTTTTTTTTTTAAAGAATTGGGGTTTCAACAGGCCCGGTGACTCACACCTGTAACCCTAGCACTTTGGAAGGCCAAGGTGGGCAGAATCCTTGAGCTCAGTAGTTTGAGACCAGCCTGGGTAACATAGTGAAACCCTGTCTCAAAAAAAAAAAAAAAGTTGAAAAAAAAAAAAAAAGATGGGGTCTCCCTCAGTTGCCCAAGCTAGACTGCAGTGGCGCTATCATATCTCACTGCAGCCTCAAATTCCTGGGCTTGAGTGATCCTCCCACCTCAGGTTCCTGAGTAGCTGGGACTAAAGGTGGATACCAACACACCCCGCTGATTTACCTACATTGAACAGGGGGCTTTGATGATAAATGAACCCCAAGCCCACTCTAGCCTTTCACTTAAGTCCTCTGTCAAGCATTTTAACTGAGCTGCTCAAAAGACCAGGCTTACAAATTAGCAATTTCAGTTTGTTCCCTTTTTCCTACTGGGGCCTAGGTATTCAATCAGGAAAAACTGCTTCTCAAACTGACACAGCTAGCTGGACAGCTTTTCTTAGAGCCCTCAGGAGACAGGGTCCTCTAGACTTCAGAGTTTTAGGAGAGAGAGCCAGGGAGTTCCAGATTGGTTTAGTTCTGAAAAACAGACTAAGTATCTCTAAAGAGGGGAAGCATAATAAAGATTAGACAGGCCAGGCGCAGTGGCTTCATGCCTGTAATCCTAACACTTTGGGAAGCCAAGGCAGGAGGGTCACTTGAGCTCAAGCACTTGACACCAGCCTAGGCAACACAGTTACCAACACAGGCAACATAACCAGCCTCGTCTCTATTAAAAAGTAAATTTAGGCCAGGCATGGTGGCTCACGCCTGTAATCCCAGCACGTTGGGAGGCCAAGGCAGATGGATCACTTGAGGTCAAAAGTTCGAAACCAGCCTGGCCAACATGGCAAAATCTCGTCTCTATTAAAAATACAAAAATTAGCCAGGCATCGTGGCGGGTATCTGTAATCCCAGCTACTCGGGAGGCTGAGGCAGGACAATTGCTTGAACCTGGGAGGCAGAGGTTGTAGTGAGCCGAGATCGCGCCACCGTACTCCAGCCTGGGCAACAGAGCAAGACTTTGCTTGGAGAAATGTAAATAAATATACTCTGCCCTAATGACTGCAAAAGTTAAAGAAACCAAAGAGGGACTCCACAGACTTAAACAACAAAACCCACAACCAAATACTCTACCTACTTAAGGGCTGGCTATATTTAGTCAAGCATTAGGTAATGCATCAGTTCTTCCCTTGATCACTTATACCCATAACAGCTAGCAACAAATATTCACAACAGTGTGGTGGAAAAGTTGGTTATAGTTAAAAAGTACTTGAACGTTAAGTACTTAAGTACACTTGAGTTTGTGGGGTTTCGAGGTTTGTTTTTTTGGGGGAAGTACTATTTCTCACATTTGCACAACATCACTGGAATAACAATTCCACTTTATTATTCTTTCTCAAGCAAAGTGTAAATGGTTGAGGCTAGAAATAAAAAGTTATTTTTTTAAAAAAAGAGAATGTTGCCAGGTACGGTGGCTCACGCCTGTAATCCCAGCACTTTGGGAGGCCGAGGCGGGCGCATCACAAGGTCAAGAGATCGAGACCATCCTGGCCAATATGGTAAAACTCCGTCTCTACTAAAAATACAGAAAAAAAATTAGCTAGGCATGGTGGTGCCCACCCGTAGTCCCAGCTACTTGGGAAGCTGAGGCAGGAGAATTGCTTGAACCCAGGAGGCAGAGGTTGCAGTGAGCCGAGACTGCGCCACTGCACTCCAGTCTGGTGACAGAGTGAGACTCTCAAAAACAAACAAACAAACAAAAAAAGCTACAAAAATTAGCCGGGTGTGGTGGTGGGCGCCTGTAATCCCAGATATTTGGGAGGCTGAGGCAGGGAGAACTGCTTGAAGCCGGGAGGCAGAGGTTGCGGCAAGCCGAGATCGTGCCACTGCACTCCAGCCTGGGCAACAGAGCTAGACTCCATCTCAAAAAGAAAAAAAAAAAAGAATGTCAAATTCAGGCCCTAAACACCATGGGAACTGCTGACCAAAGGATAAAAGTCATACTTTGCAACTGGAGCAAAATATATGGTCCAGGAGGCAAAATTTCAATCTTTGGCCAAATTTTTGCCAAAAAAGATCAAGAACAGGATGTTGGGGCCTAAACACAGGAGGGTAAAAAACTGATTAACTGGCCAGGCACCGTAGCTCACGCCTGCAATCCTAGCACACTGGGAGGCCGAGGTGGGCGGACCACCTGAGGTCAGGAGTTGGAGACCAGCCTGGCCAACATGGTAAAACCCTGTCTCTACTAAAAATACAAATACAGGCCGGGCACAGTGGCTCACTGACTGTAATCCCAGCACTTTGGGAGGCCAAGGTGGGAGGATCACCTGAGGTTGGGAGTTCAAGACCAGCCTGACCAACATGGAGAAACCCCATCTCTACTAAAAATACAAAACTAGCCGTGCATGGTGGCGCATGCCTATAGTCCCAGCTCCTTGGGAGGCTGAGGCAGGAGAATCGCTTGAACCCAGGAGGCAGAGGTTGTGGTGAGCCAAGATCACACCATCGCGCTCCAGCCTTGGCAACCAGGTGAAACTCCGTTCCAGAAAAAAATAAAATGCAAAAATTAGCCAGGCATGGTGGTGAGTGCCTGTAATCCTAGCTACGCGGGAGGCTGAGGCAGGAGAATCGCTTAAACCTGGGAGGTGGAGGTTGCAGTGGGCGAAATCGCGCCACTGCACTCCAGCCTGGGCGACAGAGCAAGATTCCATCTCAAAAGAAAAGGAAAAAAAATTGATTTAACTGTGGAAACCAAACAGAAGCAAGCATCTTCATCCCGAAGAGGGGGAATTACTGTAAAGAATCACTCCTTTTCTGCAATTATACAGGCAGCAGGAAAAAAAAACAAAAAAAAAACCTCCTACCTCTGTCAACGAATCCTACTCACACATAGTCACTGCTCCCTAGGATTTGGCCATCAGGCAAAATGAGTGTCCAGGACTTCACAGCCACAACCAGTGGGCACCCTGAGAGACTGATCCTCATTCAGCCTACTTGGATGGCTCTTTTGTGATGCTATGGACAACTAAGGCCACACTTTGGTAAGGCAGGCTTTCCAACTGCCCCAATGATCTTTGAAGCATTCCTTGTGAAGTTCTCATATAACAAAGTTACAAGGAGTAAGTGTTTACATAGCGACTTAAGACTAGTTACTCCTCTAGGTATTTATGAGGGAGACAGTGCTGATACCATTTTCAAATGAATATAGAGTTTGTAGAATTTGTCATAAAAGCATAATGCAACTCATCTGAGAGGGGAGAGCTGAAAAGGAAGTTGAAAGTCTGGTTGAACAGTAGATGAACAATAGACTAAGCAGCAAAATGACCAGTTTGGCCTCATTATCAGTATTTGGCCTCTGGCCAAGTCAACCAAGTTAAGGGCAGCACACACAGAAACAGAGCTCGGAGTTCCTAATTTTCAGTCCTACAGTCCTGTGTTTTCCTTAGATAACCAGGAGGCCACTAATAAGCTGGTTTTATTCCCATTTTTTCTTTTTTTTTTTTTGAGACAGAATCTTGCTCTGTCACCCAGGCTGGAGTGCAGTGGCACGATCTCGGCTCACTGCAACCTCCAGCCCCGGGGTTCAAGCAATTCTCCTGCCTCAGCTTCCCAAGTAGCTGTGACTACAGGTGCACACCACCACACTCAGCTAATTTTTGTATTTTTAGTAGAGATGGGGTTTCACCATGTCTGCCAGGACGGTCTCAATCTCTTGACCTCGTGATCTGCCCGCCTTGGCCTCCCAAAGTGCTGGGATTACAGGCGTGAGCCACTGTGCCCGGCCTATTCCCAATTTTTCTTAGCAAAGAATGGAAAAGCTTGTGGGTCAACCTTAAGGATAGTAAGTTTCATTTACAAATGAGTAACAAATTTCTGCTGCTGGTACAGTATTTGCCACTCAGTAGCATCCAAAAATTTCACTAGATTACTTCATAATGGAGGATGAATCCCAAGTGTCTAGGATCCTCCATTAAATTCTTGACAGAAGACCCACAAAGATCGTCTTTAAAAGCCTTTTCTGTTCCTATGACTATTTAAGTCCTACCAAGTTAGTTAGCTTTTTTAAACTCACATCTCTTGATCAGTGTAGAGCGAACATGTCATATGTAGGTAAAAAATCAAACCACAGTAGGCATCAAGTGTACTGAAGCTTCAGTTAGGAGTAAGTGGTTCCAGTTTTGGATTGAGGACCCTAGTCAATGATGATCCTATTTTGTAATCCAGTTGTAAAACATCTGGGGAGCAGAGGGAAAAAAGTTAATGCTATGGAGTTGTCACTCCAACTGAAGAAAAATTATTAATAGGAGGAGCAGAACTTCAGTTCTGGAAAACTTTTTTTTTTTTTTGAGACAGAGTCTTACTCTGTCACCCAGGCTGGAGTGCAACGGTGAGAGGCTCATGGCAAACTCTGCCTCCTGGGTTCAAGCGATTCTCCTGCCTCAGCCTCCCGAGTAGCTGGGATTACAGGCACGCAACTCCACACCCGGCTAATTTTGTATTTTTAGTAGAGAAGGGGCTTCACCATGTTGGCCAGGTTGGTCTCAAACTCCTGACCTCAGGTGATCCACCCGCCTCCACCTCCCAAAGGGCTGGGATTACAGGTGTGAGCCACCGCGCCAGGCCAAGTTCTGTTAAACTTTTAGTAAGGCTGAAGGCTTAGGCATGTTTTGACCATTTGTAACTGATAATAAGACTCATCACAAGGTACCCACAAAATTCACTGCCAGTCACTCTGCTACGTCAAAGCCTCTCCTACTTCAGCACCTACCTAGGCATAATTTTAACTGACATTTTAGCAATAAAACTTTTATTTGAAGATATCCTTGAGCCACAAATCTCTCTGGATTTAGATTTCAAGCAGTAGGAAGTAAGATGGTTTAACCTGCAATTCAATAAAAGAACTTCACATCAAACTTCAATCTTTAAGAAGCTGCTACAGCTATAATGTAAGGTTAAGAGTTTATTCTTTCAAAGCAGGTCTCCTCATCTCTTAAACGCTATACATATGAAGTAGATAAAAACTGGTTTCTTTTTTGGTAGCATTTAGGATCTACAAAAGTGATCCTTCAATTACTTGGAATTTCAAAAAATTGAGGTTACCTAGTAACAATGCACCAGTAGAACACAAAATACTCTGACTTTGTTTAGTCTGTGGGAAAAGAAAAATCTTTAAACTGGAAAGATTTTGTAGTCTTACAAAGATTACATTGGAATTGGAATTACTGTAGTTCGTTTTTCCCTCTAGGAGGGCAGCCATTTCTCTAAAAGTTGTGTAAAAGTTAAGACTAGGATTTCAAAATGCAAGCAGATGTTGATGAAGCATACGAAATGGGCAACTCCGTTTCTATTTCGGAGCCGCAGCGACTCCGACTTTGTGCCCCAACCCTGTAAAGGGCAAAACCTCATCCCTTCGGTGTAAACTTTCAAGAGAAGTGGGGCAGCACACTTTAGGCGTTTCACCAAGAGGCTGGCGACATGCTAGGTCAGGTTGTCCGGAGAATCGGGGCTGAATGGGAGAGATCTTGAGGGCAAGAGCCTCAGAGACCTTCAGGCACCGAGCTCGTGAAGGTTTCCAAGTGCCCCTCTCTAGCTGCTCCCAGGGGGAATTAGTGGTTGCTACAGTAGTTTAAGAGGGTCGTGGTTTTTCGCAACCCGGGCGGCGAGATGGCGCTTTGGTGTAAGCGAGGTAAGGTGGGTGCACTGGGATCTCCGCTCTCGGAGCCTCCAGCTGACTGCCACGCCGACTTGTGGCCAGACCTGCGACCTCCGCCCTCCCCCGCGGCGCCAGCCTCTGGAATCTGGCGTCGCCCCCACCTCTCCAGTCGAAGTGGGAGTCCCTCTGTGCGGGGCCTCGCCGCCATACCCAGGCCGAATGGGGGTGGGGAGGGAAGCTGGCAGAGCTCGGCCTCAGGATCCGCGCCCCTGTGGAAAGACCGCAGAGGGAAGCCGTTTCACCAGCCTCTCCCCTTCTGGGGTCTCGGGAAACACGCGGTAATTACCGAAGAACCCCGCACTCTGTGAGAGGCGAGGCTGCGGGGCTGCCGGGACGGTTTGAGGACCGGGCTCGGCCGAGGAGACTCCAACCTTCACCCTCCCTGGCCCCCGGTCCCACTTCCCGCCGTCTCCCGGCGCCGCCACTTCAGGTAGCCCACTCGGCCCGGCCTCTCCCCGCGCCCGGACCACCCCCCACGGGGTGCTCTCACTGCGCAGCGAGTCCCTCCGCTGCCTCCTCCCAGCCCAAAATGGCGGCGATGGCCGCCGAGCTTCTCGTCGCCTTCCTCAAAGGCCAAGGATCCCTCCGCGCCTGCTGCCCCGCCCACCTTAGCCGGATCTATTTTCTGCCCCGTAAAGATTAACGCCATCAATGAACTCTTTAATTGAGTTCGGAGAAGGCGGGTCCAGTTGTGCCTCCTCACAGCTAATCGTTGCCAAAAAAGCGAGAATATTGGCAGAAGGCTTGACCAATCAAAGAAGGCAGTGATGCGCGCGCGGTCTGCCCCCGCGCAAGGGTAGATGGGTTTTGGAGTCTCGGGTGTGGCTGTTGACGTTACAGGCCCTTGGATCGCTTTTCAGGCCAGAAGAACTACAATCCCCAGCAGGCACCGCGCGTCCAGGCTCTCTCTTCCCCCCCATCTTAGTGGCCTGAGCGGCTTGACCAGAGCTGCTGCAACTGCAGCAAGAGGTAGGGCTCAGGCGTTGGGAATTGCACCGACAGGCAGTCGCACAGAAAGGCACACAGATGTAGTGGTGTGCATAGCCCTTGACAGCGAATAGGTCAGTTCCACCTTTGCAAAACCTCTTTCCATGACTGTCTCCCTTCTTCCAAGAAATCCATCCTTATCCTAGTTGGGTTTCCCTCCCAGCTGCATGTAGTGCAAAGACCTCTTTCCCCTTTTCTCCTGTTTCCCTTTCTGAGAGGAAGGAGGGAGGCAGGCCAGGACCTTAGAGGAAAAGTCCTCAGCACTAGGCTGGCCCAGGTCCCAGCTGTGCTTCTGGCCTTTGGAGCCCAGCTTGGGGAGAAGGTTGGGGGTGCAGGGCTGCATCAAGATTGGGGCCACTGGAGACAGTGGGGAAGGACTCGTGAGCTTGCTCCATGTTCTCCCGTGGCAGCAGCAGCCCCGCTGCACTCCCAGCCTCCCCAGGCAGTCCTCCTTTGCCCCTTTGGTGGTTGGGGAAACAAAACTTACACCTGGCTTCCTGGCTGCCAACCTGGGCCTCGGTGACTTCCAGGAGGACAGTACAGGACATGAGTCCTGGTGAGGGACCCGAGGAGCAGGACAGAGAAGACGGCCCCTGAATCCCATTTGGCCCCTTGCTGGCTGGAGGTGTGAAAACCAGCGGTGGAGGCAGCCTTCGGGGCCTGCATTTGAGAATAAGGGTATGAAGGGCTGGGGTACAAAATGGCTGCCACTGCCTGGGCAAACAATTCTGGGCAGCCAGAGTATTCCTGACGTTCCTTCAGGATTTAGGTTTCTGTTGTTGTTCAAAGCAGGTGTCACTAGTTCCAGGCGTCTGCTGAAAGATTTGGAACAGAAGATGATGGCCACTCCGAACCAGACCGCCTGTAATGCAGAGTCACCAGTGGCCCTGGAGGAGGCCAAGGTAAGTCCCTGCCCTCCTGCCCACCCAAGCACCACGAGCACGGGTCCCACAGCTGAGATCCAAACTTCTTGTCCCAGATGTGTTGGTAGATTTGGAAAACCAGTATTTTGACGAATCAGTACTATGCACTAGGCAATAGGCCGGAATCCCAGTCTATGCTAGCTGATGAAATCTTAGTAACTGGCCGGGTGCGGTGGCTCACACCTGTAATCCCAGCACTTTGGGAGGCCTAGGTGGGTGGATCACCTGAGGTCAGGAGTTCGAGACCAGCCTGACCAACATGGCAAAACCCTGGCTGTACTGAAAATGCAAAATTAGCCTGGCATAGTGGTGGCGCATGCCTGTGATCCCAGCTACTTGGGAGGTTGAGGCAGGAGAATCGCTTGAACCCAGGGGTCGGAGGTTGCAGTGAGCCAAGATCTCGCAATTGCACTCCAGCCTGGGCGTCAGAGCGAGACTCCGTCTCAAAAAAAAAAAAAAAAAAAAAAAATCCTAGTAACCCTTTCAGGTAGGAATTATTTCCAATTCCCAGAAGCTAAGGTTCTGAGACCTGAAATACCTGTTCCAGAATCATGCTATCTACAAGCAACAGACCCAGGGTTTAAACTTAGGGCCTTCTGACAACAGAACATTGCCTTGACCTCAAGTCCAAAGAGGGCATGGAGGGACTGGGTTGAATGTTTACATTTTGTCCAGGCTAAGAACCAAGTCTGAAGCAGGAAGAAGAGTTTTTGGTTCATAATTTGGAATGGACCCAGGCAGGCAATTCACTTGAGACCAGAAGTTCAAGACCAGCCTGGCCAACATGGTGAAACCTCATCTCTACTAAAAATACAAAAATTAGCTGGGCATGGTGGCACATGCCTGTAATACCAGCTACTCAGGAGGCTGATGCACCAGAATCACTTGAACCCAGGATGCAGAGGTTGCAGTGAGCTGAGATCACACCACTGCACTTTAGCCTGGGCGACAGAGTGACACTCCATCTCAAAAAAGAAACAAAAACAAAAACAGGCCAGGCGCAGTGGCTCACGCCTGTAATCCTAGCACTTTTGGAGGCTGAGGTGGGTGGATCACCTGAGGTCAAGAGTTCAAGACCAGCCTGGCCAACATGGTGAAACTCTGTCTCTACTAAAAATACAAAAATTAGATGGGCGTAATGACAGGCGGCTGTAATCCCAGCGACTCAGGAGGCTGAAGCAGGAGAATCACTTGAACCCATGAGGCAGAAGTTGCAGTGAGCTGAGATTGTGCCATTGCACTCCAGCTTGGGCAACAAGAACAAAACTCTCTCAAAAAAAAAAAAATGCTGGAAGCCGGGTGCAGTGGCTCACGCCTGTAATCCCAGCACTTTGGGAGGCCGAGGTGGGCGGATCACCTGAGGTCACGAGTTCGAGACCAGCCTGACCAACATGGAGAAACCCCATCTCTACTAAAAATACAAAATTAGCCAGGCGTGGTGGCACATTTCTATAATCCCAGCTAGTTGGGAGGCTGAGGCAGGAGAATCGCTTGAAACTGGGAGGCGGAGTTTGCAGTGAACTGAGATCACGCCCCTGCACTCCAGCCTGGGCAACAGAGCGAGACTCCGTCTCAAAAAAAAACCAAAAAAACAAAAAAACCTGAAATTAGCCCGGCGTGGTGGTGCATGCCTGTAATCCCAGCTGCTTGGGAGGCTGAGGCATGATAATCACTTGAACCCAGGAGGCAGAGGTTGCACTGAGCTGAGATCATGCCACTGCACTCCAGCCTGGGTGACAAAGTCAGACTTTCTCAAAAATAATAATAATTTGTAATGGAGGTGGGGGTAGGATATAACCCACGAAAGAGGAGAGAGAAAGATCATATCAGGCCCTCAGAGGATGGCACTTCCCAACCTGGCAACAGGAACCCATGCTTGTTCGGCCCATGTTCTCTCAGTACCTGCCCTTACCCATTCTTCCTTAGTCCACGACTCCCTATAGATGAGCAGGGGGCTTAGGACAGAGGTCAGAGAGCTTCTGACCCACCCTGCCTAGCCCATTCCGTGTTTTCTGGATTGACTGAATTCGGAATTCATGACATGTCAGGGCTACAATGTTCAGCCAGGTCACACAGCTTATCTACAGTAGTGGTCATGGTGGTAGAGGGCCAAGTCTTCAGGAGGGAGGCAGCAGGTAGGGCTAGGGGGCTGGGCTCGCTTGGGTGAGGGTGGAGGATCAATAGGGCACTTCTACTGAGGGCTGGGAGCATGTGACTGATTGTGCACACCAACAAGCCACCATGCCTTGGCATCCCAGTGGCCTTGCCTGTCCCAGCTGGGGCAACAGCTCTGTCTTATTTGGCCCAAGCCACTGGTGGAGACAAGGGCTATTGCTTTTATTTCGTGATCTCCCTGCAGGTGAAGTAACACAACAAACTCCACATACGTACACACCCCACACACATACACACCCTGACATACCTCCTTTTCCCTGAAATTCTCTTCGGGGTCTGCAAAACACACATGACATATGCCTGGCTCTTAAGGGCCGCGCATACACCACATTCCTCAGTACACACCCTGTGTGCATGGACCACGCTCACATGTCTCTGAACTGCGTTGCATATTATTCAACAACATACCAGTGGTAGTGGTTATTATTAGAAATTGCCCAAACCACAAACTTAGAGCAATTCATTTCCCATCTCCCACACCCAGTACTCCCACCCTTCCCACAACAGAGATAAACAGATGCCCTGAACATACACTCTCTTGACAGCCTTTATACCTCTTAGATAAGTTCTGGAACTCTCTCACTGCAGACTGGAGGCTGACCCTCCCTCTCTTTGGAGAGGATCTCTTTCCTGCCATTCATATTGGAGAGTGATACCACCTACCAACTTCTGCCTGGAATAAATATGTTCCATCATTTTATTTTATTTTATTTTTTAATTTAATTTAATTTAATTTAATTATTTTATTTTATTTTTTGAGCCAGAGTCTTACTCTGTTGCCCAGGCTGGAGTGCAGTGGCGTGATCTCGCCTCACTGCAACCTCCGCCTCCCAGGTTCAAGCGATTCTCCTACCTCAGCCTCCCAAGTAGCTGGGATTACAGGTGCGTGCCACCACACCCGGCCAATTTTTTTGTATTTTTAGTAGAGACGGGGTTTGGCCATGTTGGTCAGGCTGGTCTCAAACTCCTGAACTCAGGTGATCTACCTGCCTTGGCCTCCCAAAGTGCTGGGATTACAGGCGTGAGCCACCACGCCCGGCCCGCTGCATCTTCTTTATGCCAGAAGGATAGAGAAGGGGAGTCTTTTTTTTGAGACTCCAGCTCTGTCACTCAGGCTGGAGCGCAGTGGCGCAATCACAGCTCACTGCAGCCTCAACCTTCTGGACTCAAGTGATCCTCCCACTTCAGCCTCCCAAGCAGCTGGGATTACAGGTGCTCACCACCATGCCTGGCTAATTTTTTGTAATTTTTGGTAGAGATGGGGTTTCGCCATGTTGCCCAGGCTGGTCTTGAACTCCTGGGCTTGAGCAATCCACCCTCCTTGGCCTCCCAAAGTGCTAGGATTACCAGCGTGAGCCACTACACCCGGCCGTAAGTCTTATTTCCCAATATCTTTTGGATCTCCCTATCCTATAATCTTTAGTCCACTTAACAGATATTTACTGAGCACTGCCCTTGTGCTGTGCATAGGAATATAGTGGTGACTTGGACAGACAGACGAGATGCGTTCTCACATGAGGAAGACAGATGTTAAATGGCCATATGCTAAATGCTATGTGCTAACTGTGTGATGTGATAGAATCACTAGGGAGGCGAGATGGGGGAGTCTACATTAGGTAGGGTGGTCAAGGAGGGGCTCCCTAAGGAAGTGACATTGGAACTAAGCTCTAAAAGATGAAAAAAGGTAGCTGGCAGTGGTGGCTCACACCTGTAATCCCAGTACTTTGGGAGGCCGAGGCGGGTGGATCACTTGATGTCAGGAGTTTGAGACCAGCCTGGCCAACATGGTGAAACCCCATCTCTACTAAAAATACAAAAAATTAGCTGGGCATGGTAGTGGGCACCTGTGATCCCAGCTACTCTGGAGGCTGAGGCAGGATAATCGCTTGAACCTGGGAGGTGGAGGTTGCAGTGAGCTGAGGTCGGGCCACTGCACTCCAGCCTGGGTGACAGAGCAAGACTCTGTCTCAAAAAAAAAAAAAAAAAAAGCCCAGGTGCAGTGGCTCATGCCTATAATCCCAGCACTTTGGGAGGCCAAGGTGGGCAGATTACTTGAGGTCAGGAGTTCCACACCAGCCTGGCCAACATGGTGAAACCCCATCTGTACTAAAAATACTAAAATTAGCCTGGCATGGTGGTACACGCCTGTAGTCCCAGCTACTCAGGAGGCTGAGGCAGGAGAATCGCTTGAACCTGGAAGGCGGAGGTTGCAGTGAGCTGAGATGGCAACACTGCACTCCAGCCTGGGCAACAGAGCAAGACTCTCACACACACACAAAAAAAAAGATGAAAAAAAAGCCATGCAAATAGCTGGAAGCAGGATCAGCTGCATAATTTGTGGGGCCCAGTGCAAAAGGGCACCTTATTCAAAAATTATTAAAAAGTTAAAGACAGTGGCCAGGTGTGGTGGCGCATGCCTGTAGATCCAGTTACTTGAGAGGCTAAGGCAAGAGGATTGCTTGAGTCTAGGAGTTTGAGGCTGCAGGGAGTTATTATTGCACCTCACTGCATTCTTGCCTGGGCAACAGAGTAAGACCCTGTCTCTAAAAATAAGAGTCTTTTTTGTTTGTTTGTTTGTTTGTTTGTTTCGAGATGGAGTCTCACTCTGTCGCCCAGGCTGAAGTGCAGTGGCGCGATCTCAGCTCACTGCAAGCTCCGCGTCCCGACTAGCTGGGACTACAGGCGCCCGCCATCACACCCAGCTAATTTTTTTTGTATTTTTAGTAGAGATGGGGTTTCACCACATTAACTAGGATAGTCTCGATCTCCTGACCTCGTGATTCACCCATCTTGGCCTCCCAAAGTGCTGGGATTACAGGTGTGAGCCACCTCGCCCGGCCTGTTTGTTTGTTTTTGAGATGGAGTCTCGCTCTGTCACCCAGGCTGGAGTGCAGTGGTGTAATCTTGGCTCACTGCAACTTCCGCCGCCCACATTCTCCAGCCTCAGCCTCCTGCATAGCTGGGATCACAGGCACGTGCCACCACGCCCGGCTTATTTTTGTATTTTTCGTAGACATAGGGTTTCACCATGTTGGCCATCCTAGTCTCGAACTCCTGACCTCAGGTGATCCGCCCACCTCGGCCTCCCAAAGTGCTGGGATTACAGGCCTGAGCCACCATGCTGAGCCTAAAAAACTTATTTTAGGCCTTGCGCGGTGGCTCACACCTGTAATCTCAGCACTTTGGGAGGCCGAGGCGGGTGGATCACCTGAGGTCAGGAGTTTGAGACTAGGCTGGCCAACATGGTGAAACCCTGTCTCTACTAAAAATACAAAAAATTAGCCAGGCGTGGTGGCACGTGCCTGTGATCCCAGCTACGCGGGAGGCTGAGGCTGGAGAATTCCGGAGGCAGAGGTTACAGTGAGCCGAGATTGCACCACTGCACTCCAGCCTGGGTGACAGAGCGAGACTCCATCTCAAAAAATGAAATAAAATAAGGTTTTTTTTTTTTTTGAATAACATGTTTAAGAGAAGGACAGCATGAAGCCAGGTGTGGGGCCTCTGTGGGACTTCACAGGTCACCTGCCCATGAAGCCAGTGGTGTTTGAAAGTCAGGTTTTCTGGGAAGAGGGAAGAGCCGGTGCCATTTGGGCTTCTGATCAAGCAAATGCATCAAGATCCACCTTCTATCCCAGTTTTCTTCTTCTCCTACTTTACTCATTTGGACAGTATTTATGGAACTCCTACTCAGTGCCAGGTATTATTCTAGGCATTGAAATTACAGAGTGAAACACACAGGCAAAATTCCTGCTCTCACCATGAGTTTACTTGGGGAAGGTTGGGGGACAGACAGTAGACAGGTCTCTTTGTAAACAAATGGTTCCAAAAGGTTGAGGGGCTAAGAGTGACCAAGTTAGCTGAGTGTAGGAAGGTAGGCTTCAGGCTAGGTAGAGAGGGAAAGGTTCCACCTCCAAGGACAGGCTGTCTGATCCATCCTTCTTCCTCCTCCCTCTCTTTAGACCTCTGGTGCCCCGGGGAGCCCCCAAACACCCCCTGAGCGTCATGACTCTGGTGGTTCCCTGCCCCTGACACCGCGGATGGAGAGCCACTCAGAGGATGAAGATCTTGCTGGGGCTGTCGGTGGCCTGGGCTGGAACAGTAGGAGTCCCCGGACCCAGAGCCCAGGGGGCTGCTCAGCGGAGGCTGTGCTGGCCCGGAAGAAACACCGTCGGCGGCCATCGAAGCGCAAAAGGCACTGGCGACCCTACCTGGAGCTGAGCTGGGCTGAGAAACAACAGCGGGATGAGAGGCAGAGCCAGAGGGCCTCCCGGGTCCGCGAAGAGATGTTCGCCAAAGGCCAGCCCGTGGCCCCCTACAACACCACCCAGTTCCTGATGAATGACAGGGACCCGGAGGAGCCCAACTTGGATGTGCCCCATGGGATCTCCCACCCAGGTTCCAGTGGGGAGAGTGAGGCCGGGGACAGTGATGGGCGGGGCCGAGCGCACGGTGAGTTCCAGCGGAAGGACTTCTCTGAGACTTACGAACGCTTCCACACCGAGAGCCTGCAGGGCCGCAGCAAGCAGGAGCTGGTGCGAGACTACCTGGAGCTGGAGAAGCGGCTGTCGCAGGCGGAGGAGGAGACTAGGAGGCTGCAGCAGCTGCAGGCGTGCACCGGCCAGCAGTCCTGCCGCCAGGTGGAGGAGCTGGCTGCCGAGGTCCAGAGGCTCCGGACCGAAAACCAGCGGCTTCGTCAGGAGAACCAGATGTGGAACCGAGAGGGCTGCCGCTGTGATGAGGAGCCGGGTACCTAGGGGTGCCTCCCAGCCTGGTGGACCCAAGGAGAAGGTCCCATTTCGTGCACACTCAGGCCAGCTGGGTCTCAAGGAGGCAGGTGGCAGATGAAAACCACCGTCAACACCCTGTGCGCCCTGAGAACAGCTAAATCGGTTCAGACTCCCACCTCACCGTTTCCATAGTTGGCTCTTTTGTGTCATCTTACCCTTTACAGAGAAATTAAATGGCCTTGGTGGGACCAAATGGGAGTATCTAGGATTGATTTCACTAGGGCTGTTGTGAGAACCAAAACATTTGCCCCAGAGAGGTCTGAGTGGGGTCCCAGTCCCTGCTGCCCCAAGCCTGGCAGGACAGCAGACCTCTGGATGGGGACCTCCCAAGGTCTCCGGGATACCTGAATCCTGCTCTGTGGGTGTTGGAGCAATCAGACTGCACAGAAGGTTTTCTAGGTGGGAGGGAGTTCAGTCAGGAGCCCCCAGTTTCGGCCAGAAACTGACGCTCAAGATACCAGATCGCTGTGAGGAGTTGTGAGCTTTCCCTGGAGGAGAGAACGGGGGTTTTCGGAGAAGACCCAGGCCCAGGGGTTCCTTCAGAGTTTGCTCCTGAGCTCCCTGTATTCTCCCCACAGTTTAAAGGCTGGACTAGACGGGTTCTGGGTGCCTTGTGCCTCCTTGTTCTTGACAGCCCCCAACCCTGACCCCTCTCTGCAGGGGGTTGGGCCTGAGGTTAGTCATCATGTGTTTGTGTTTGTCCCTTACCTCCCAAGGGTAATAAGGGAGGCGCTCTCCTGATGGAAAATAAAGTCAAGAGACAGAGGGGGACAGCACATGGATCGCCAGCAGAGCAGAGCAGCCTGGCTCTCCTGGTGCCTGCCATGTGTCTGTGCGTCCTGCTCCTCTCAGCCTCATCATGTGGGTGTGAATTCTCTGAAGTGTGTGAGGCCCTCGCCTGTCTGCATCAGAGAGAGCTGGGTCAGCCTGGGTAACGCAGATACCACCAGCCAGCGTCAGGCTCTGAGACAAGCTCACCCACCCCCTCGCACTCAGACCCACCCTTCCCCAGACACCCTGTCTCTTCCATCCCCTCCTGGTGCCCTTGCAGACTGGTGTTGGGTGTCAGGCAGCAATGAACATGGACAACTAATGGTGGCGGAGGAAATTAGTCAACTCACCAGTGAGCCAGTGCTGGCTGTGCCACCAGGCAAGGGGAGGGGCAGAGGCCTGGCTGCCCAGTCTGGCTTCTCTTCCAGGCCGTCATCTTGACAGGCCACACTGGGCAAGATGAGGCTTGGCCCAGGAGCTGCTGGGGATGGAAATGTTGATGAAATCTTGTGTGTTGCCAGGACAACTTTCATTTCTATCCTGCCACACCCAGGCCTGGCCAGAGCCTCCTACAATGAAACACAGAACAGATTCTAGGAACGCATGGGTTTCAAGAGAAAGCAAAATCTCATCCTGGGAGACCTGCCCCTGGAACCCTGGGTCCTCAGACAGCTCAGTCAGGAAGGGCAGCAGGAATGATCATCGCCACTTTGCAGACGGGAAACCGGAGGCTTAGCGAGGAAGTGGCTTTTTGGATTCCAGGAGAGCCTCTGGAGGCCTGCCTGCCCCTGTGGGGTGCTGTGGGGTGCTAGCCTGGGACCCAGAGGCCCCTTGGCATTTGCTGGCAGCCTCCCAGCTGCATTCCTCAGCATGGAGCCCGAGGGAGAGAGGAGGCCTGGGACAAAGGTGGACAAAGGTTGTTTACCCGGAGGTGCCTCTGTGTGTGTGTGTCTAGGAGGTGAGAGAAGATTCCAGAGGGCTGCTGGAGTGTCGGGGGAGGGGTGTGGGTGAGGGTGCTGGGTGCTCATTGTGGGCTGGTTATGCCAGGGAGGGGCAGGTGAAGAGTTTGGCCTTTCTTGGCCCAGAAGCTGAGGAGCCTGGAGGCAGGGAAGCTGCCAGCTGCTCCTCCAACATCCCCCTTACACGTAAAAGGCTGAAGGGCGCAAATAGGGCAGCACCTCGGTGGGTTAATTCCCGCACCCCCACCTCACCCCGCTGGAGGGCGGGTGGGGCAAGAAGAGAACAAAGGAGAGGATGCTAGCCGGGAGTGTGGGAGGGCCTGAACCCAAATGGGAGGGGTCCGTGAAAAGGGTCCCTGTCTGCCCCTCCCCCTGTCTGGCTCCCTGATTCCTGGGTAAGGGGTGTGCAGGGAGGAGATCGTCCTGGGGCCAGAGCTGGGGCTTAGCACTGGAGAGAACCGGCTCAGCTGTGGGTGGGAGCCAGGCCTGGGTCCCTCGGTGCCCCGCCCCCTTCGCTGCTTCCAGTTGTTCCCACACCTGCTGCTTGGTCTTGAAGCCTGGGCCTCCACTCCGCCTACTGCAATGGTGGAAGCTCCAGTTTACAAGACACCCCCACCCCCACATCACACGCCCTAGCTGGGGAAGTTGGGCTTGGACACAGCCTCCCTGGGCCTTTCCACAGCTGCCCTCACGCCCTGTGCTTTCTGGGACCCTCTTGGTCAACTGGGCCGGGGAAGGGAAGCGCAGAGAACATATGTTTCATGGGAGTGACTGTTGAAGCCTCCCACCACCCCTGCCCAGCCTGTCTTAGGATCCCTCTTTCTTCCCCGGCAGGAACTGCCCGACCCCAGGTGGAAACTCCTGTGCCCAGTGGACAGACCCTGCCTGCAATAGGGTCAGAGTATGAGGGAGAGGGGTAGGCAGAGATTGGTGGGCTGGGGCAGGAAGAAGCTGCCAGGGAGTGGGGGGAGGGGGTCCAAAGGGAAGTAACGGTATTGGGGGGAAAGGTGGCCAGGTCCCATTGCCCTTGTTGGGAACAGGCAAGTGTGGCACTGGCCCTTTAAGTGGGGGTGCCAGTCAGTGCCCTCCCCCAACCAACCCAATTCATGGGCACACTGAGCATGTGCAGGGGCTGTGCATGTGGGGAGGGGAGGAGAGGGGAGGGGAGAGGGGGGCATACATTCCGGAGGGAGCTTCTCATCCCCCTACTTCCGGTAGCTGCCCCCACTCTCCTTCCTGGGTCTGACAAAGGAGCCCATGGTGCTCACCCAATCCCTTCCCCCACCCCAGGCCCCAGGGGGTGCTGCCCTCTGCAAGTGCTGAAGCTGCCATGGGTGCTGGGCAGGCCCTCTCTGCCCTGGGGAGTCTCCTGGCCGCCTGGAGGTGGCACACATGCAGCCCAGTGCCGGCCTCACTTCCCTGGTGTGGGCGGCGGCGAATCTTCCTGCTGCCTACGTGTTCCATTTCATTCCATTGGTGCCAGGGTTTTTAAAAGAACCATCCACCTGTGATGCCACTTTGAAAGTGAAACAGCTCAAAGGATGCAGGCCCTACCCCCTAACCAGGACCTTCCAGTCAGAGAGGAAGCAAACAGCCCAGAGGCTGCAAGGGCCTTCCTTGAATCCCGCTCCTTCTGCTTCTCCCCTGCTGGCCAAGGGATCAAAGTCAGCTTCCTCCAGACTACCTTCACCTGCAGCCTGGGACCTTCCCTCAAACCTTTCCACCACCTAAACCTTACCTGTTTCTGCCAAGTCTTCCCCTCTCCCAGCCCTCAGCCCCTCCTGTTACCACCCCTACCTCTTTAGCACTTGTCCACTCTTAGCTACTGGTACCATTCTTTTTATTTTTTATTTATTTATTTTTTTTTGAGACAGAGTCTCACTGTTGCTCAGGCTGGAGTGCAGTGGTGCGATCTCAGCTCACTGCAACCTCTGCCCCCCCAGGTTCAAGCAATTCTCCTGCCTCAGCCTCCCGAGTAGCTGGGATTACGGGCACCTGCCACGACGCCCAGCTTATTTTTGTATTTTTAGTAGAGACGGGTTTACATCCTGTTGGCCAGGCTGGTCTCAAAAACTCCTGACCTCAGGTGATCTGCCCATCTCAGCCTCCCAAAGTGCTGGGATTATAGGCATGAGCCACCATGCCCAGCTTATTTTTCATTCTTTTTTTGTTTGTTGTTTTGGTTTTTGAGACGCAGTTTCACTCTTGTTGCCCAGGCTGGAGTGCAATGGCGCAGTCTCAGCTCACTGCAACCTCCGCCTCCCAGGTTCAAGCAATTCTCCTGCCTCAGCCTCCGATGTAGCTGGGATTACAGGTGCCCGCCACCATGCCCAGCTAGTTTTTGTATTTTTAGTAGAGACAGAGTTTCAGCCTGTTGGCCAGGCTGGTCTCAAAAACTCCTGGCCAGGCGCAGTGGCTCACGCCTGTAATCCCAGCACTTTGGGAGGCTGAGGTGGGCGGATCACGAGGTCAGGAGATCGAGACCATCCTGGCTAACACTGTGAAACACTGTCTCTACTGAAAATACAAAAAAATAACCGGGTGTGCTGGCGGGCGCCTGTAGTCCCAGCTACCGGGAGGCTGAGGCAGGAGAATGGCATGAACCTGGGAGGCGGAGCTTGCAGTGAGCCGAGATCGCGCCACTGCACTCCAGCCTGGGCGACAGAGCCAGACTCCGTCTCAAAAAAAAAAAAAACAAAAAACTCCTGACCTCAGGTGATCCGTCCACCTTGGCCTCCCAAAGTGCCAGGATTAAAGGCGTGAGCCACCGCACCCAGCCTATTTTTCATTCTTGAAGTGAAATTTACATGCCACAAAATCACCCCTTTAAAAGTGAACAAAGGGCGGGTGTGGGTGGCTCATGCCTGTAATCCCAGCACTTTGGGAGGCTGAGGTGGGCGGATTACCTGAGGTCAGGAGTTCGAGACCAGCCTGGCCAACAGGGTGAAACCCCATCTCTACTAAAAAATATAAAAATTAAGTCAGGCACGCTGGCTCACACCTGTAATCCCAGCACTTTGGGAGGCCAAAGCAAGTGGATCATGAGGTCAGTAGTTTGAGACCAGCATGACCAACATGGTGAAACCCCGTCTCTACTAAAAATACAAAAATTAGCCGGGTGTGGTGGCGTGCACCTGTAATCCCAGCTACTCAGGAGGCTGAGGCAGGAGAATCACTTGAACCCGGGAGGTGGAGGTTGCAGTGAGCTGAGATCGCACCACTGCACTCCAGCCTGGGCAGCAGAGTGAGACTCCGTCTCAAAAAAACAAAAAAAAAAAAAAAGAAAAAAGAAAAAAAATTAGTTGAGCGTGGCGGCATGTGCCTATAATCCCAGCTTCTTGGGAGGCTGAGGCAGGACAATCTCTTGAACCCAGGAGGCGGAGGTTGCAGTGAGCCGAGATCGCACCACTGTACTCCAGCCTGGGCGACAGAGCGAGACTCCTTTTAAAAAAAAAAAAAAAGAAAAGAAAAAAAGTGAATAAGGCCAGGGCATGGTGGCTCACATGTGTAATCCCAGCACTTTGAGAGGCCCAGGTGGGAAGATTGCTTGAGCCCGAGTTCGAGACCAACCTGTGCAACATGATGAGACCCTGTCTCTACCAAAAAAAAAAAAAAACAACCAAACAAAACATTCAGGTGTGTTGGTGCACATCTGTAGTCCCAGCTACTCAGGAAGCTGAGGTGGAAGGATTGCTTAAACCCAGAAGGTCAAGGATGCAGTGAGCTGTGATTGCGTCACTGCACTCCATCCTGGGTGACAGTGAGACCTTGCCTCAAAAAAAAAAAAAAAAAAAAAAAAGGCTGGGCTCAGTGGCTCATGTCTGTAATCCCAGCACTTTGGGAGGCCGAGGCGGGTGGATCGTGAGGTCAGGGGATGGAGATCATCCTGTCCAATGTGGTGAAACCCTGTCTCCACTAAAAATACAAAAAATTAGCTGGGTGTGGGTGGCGCGCGCCTGTAGTCCCAGCTACTCAGGAGGCTGAGGCAGGAGAATCGCTTGAACCCAGGCGGTGGAGGTTGCAGTGAGCCAAGATCGCGCCACTGCCCTCCAGCCTGGCGACAGAGCAAGACTCCGTCTCAAAAAAAAACAAAAACAAAAACGTGAACAACCCAGTGGCATTTAGTACATATTCATGATGTGTGCAACTGCCACTTCTAGTTTCAAACATTATCACTCCAAAAGGAAACCCTGTACCCATTAAGCATTTACTCCCCATTCCGTCCTTCCCTAGTCTGGCAGCCACCAATCTGCTTTTTGTTTCTATGGGTTTACTCATTCTGGATATTCTGGTGGTAGAGCCACGAGGGGAAAACTCTCTGGTCTCTTGGTGTCTGTACCTGAAACACACAGACTCCCCGAGGGTGCTGCTGTAGAGGGAGCACTGGACCAGGAGTCCTGAGCCCTGTGATCCATCCCAGTTCTTCTTCTCACTCAGGGGCTCTTTTTCTTCATTTGTTCAAAGGGTTGGGAGGTGGCCTCAGGCCAGTTTAGGATCCTGCATCCTCCAGGACCCATCCCTGGCCAGGGGGCTTCTACCTGGAACAATGCTGCCTGGCCAACCACCCCGTTGATCTCCTGCCTCCTCCCTGTGAGTCCAGGCAGTGAAGGTGGAGCCAGGGGACAGTGTGATTAATACTGTGGGGTTTAGGGTAAGACACAGGAGATGAAGAAACTTGAGCTCAGAGAGGTTGAGAAACTTGCCCAAGGCCACACAATTCCTGCCATACTGGAGCCTTAGCCGGTTCTCTGATTGTAGTTTGAGCCCTTGACCACCTTAGTCTCCTATCTTCAAAGAGATAAAGTAAATTAAAGGCTTAGCCAAGTGCCAGCTGTGTGGGAGGTGTGCTCAGATGGAAGCAGCCATACATTTTACGACTTCCAGGACATTGTGTAATCATGAGTAGCTCTATTACAAGGTGGTTCTTGGGAGTTCTCACTGTCTCCCTCCCTTAACTTTTTTCTTTTTTCTTTTTTTTTTTTTTCTTGAGACAGAGTCTCGCTCTGTTGCCAGGCTGGAGTGCAGTGGCGCGATCTTGGCTCACTGCAACCTCCTACTCCCTGCTACTCCCTGGTTCAAGCAATTCTCCTGCCTTGGCCTCCCGAGTAGCTGAGATTACAGGCACAGGCCACCACGCCCAGCTAATTTTTGTATTTTTAGTAGAGATGGGGTTTCACCGTGTTGGCCAGGATGATCTCGATCATGAGCCACCGCTCCCGGCCCTCCCTCCCTTAACTTTGGGAGCAGGTTTCCTCTCTGCCCTCTCTACCAGCCTCTCTAGGAAGACAGCTTTTTCTTTCTTTCTTTCTTTCTTTCTTTCTTTCTTTCTTTCTTTCTTTCTTTCTTTCTTTCTTTCTTTCTTTCTTTCTTTCTTTTCTTTCTTTCTTTCTTTTTTTTTTTTTTTGAGATGGAGTCTCGCTGTGTCACCCAGGCTGGAGTGCAGTGGTGCAATCTCGGCTCACCGCAACCTCTGCCTCCCAGGTTCACTCCATTCTCCTGCCTTGGCCTCCCAAGTAGCTGGAACCACAGGCACCCGCCACCAGGCCTGGCTAATTTTTTGTATTTTTAATAGAGATGGGGTTTCACCATGTTAGCCAGGATGATCTCGATCTCCTGACCTCGTGATCCACCTGCCTCAGCCTCCCAAAGTGCTGGGATTACAGGCATGAGCCACCACGCCTGGCCTTTTTTTTTTTTTTTAATTGAGACAGAGTCTCGCTCTGTTGCCCACGCTGGAGTGCAGTGGCATGATCTCGACTCACTGCAATTTCTGCCTCCTGGGTTCAAGCAATTCTCCTGTCTCAGTCTCCTGAGTAGCTGGGACTACAGGCGCCCGCCACCACGCCTGGCTAATTTTTGTATTTTTAGTAGAAACGGGTTTTTACCTTGTTGGTCAGGCTGGTCTTGAACTCCTGACCTCAGGTGATCCACCGGCCTCGGCCTCCCAAAGTGCTGGGATTACAGGCGTGAGCCACTGCGCCAGGCTGAGGACAGCCTTCGTGGGGGCTGGGAGGGGGCCCTGGACCCCGAGCCCTTCAGGCAAGTGGATGTGTGGGAAGCATTGTTTTTCTTCCCCCTCAAATAAGGAGATTTTATTGTTCCTCCCCGCATCCCTTCAAACTGTATTTATCCATATTTTCATGGCTGAACCTCCACCCTTGCCCCTCAAAGAGGAAGTCTTTTGTGGAGCCAGAGAAAGGAGGGGACTGCTCAGGCCTGGCCTGTCAGGGGGACAGGCTGCACAGCTGACACCCAGTTGGCCACTGTGTCCCGGCGGCTTGTGAGCATGGACATTCCAGAGACCACCTGCCCCAGAAGCCCCCTCTAGACCCCGTTTAAGATGGAAAACCCCAGACGAGCCCTCAAGGCACCTGCTGTGTCCTGCCTCAGGGCATCCATGACAGGTCCCTCTCCTTACCTGATGCCTCAGGAGGATGTGCTCAAGGAGACTAAGTCATGAGATGGACATTGTGACCCACGTGAGCCTCAGTCAGCCATGTGGTGACTGCTTTGCCACAGTTTGAGGACCTGGACAGGCTCCCTCGTGGCCCGTACCTTGAGCCGAGCCCTGTGGCTGCCGGGCTGGCAAGTTCCCAGCCTGAGGACCACGAAGTCCCCAGGCCCCACATCCTTAAGGGCTTGACCTCCATGCCTTTGCTTCTCAGCACCAGCCAGCTGTTTCCCTCTTGAGCCTCTGAGAAAGAGGATCTTTTTTCTCTGGGCCCCTGGTCCCACTGTCCTCACTTGTAATTCACATTAGTTGTGTTTGTTGCCACAGGTCTATACCCTTCCTCCCAGGCTCTCTCCTGAACAACCCTGGCTTCCCTGGCCTCCCCAGGCAGCAATCCCCTGCTCCCTCTCCTCCCCTCTTTCCCTGAGCTCCAGATTCTAGCAGATTTTAAAAATTATTGTTGTAGGCCGGGCGCGGTGGCTCACGCCTGTAATCCCAGCACTTTGGGAGGCTGAGGCAGGCAGATCACGATGTCAGGAGATCGAGACCATCCTGGCTAACATGGTGAAACCCGTCTCCACTAAAAATACAAAAAAAAAAAAAATTAGCCGGGTGTGGTGGCGGGCGCCTGTAGTCCCAGCTACTCAGGAGGCTGAGGCAGGAGAGTGGTGTGAACCCAGGAGGCGGAGGTTGCAGTGAGCCGAGATTGCACCACTGCACTTCAGCCTGGGCAACAGAGTGAGACTCCATCTCAAAAAAAAAAAAAAAAATTGTTGTAGGCTGGGCATGGTGGCTCATGCCTGTAATCCCAGCACTTTGGGAGGCTGAGGCAGGTGGATCACGAGGTCAGGAGTTTGAGACCAGCCTGGCCAAGATGGTGAAACCCCGTCTCTACTAAAAATACAAGAATTAGCTGGGCGTGGTGTCAGGCGCCTGTAATCCCAGCTACGCAGGAGGCTGAGGCAGGAGGCTTGAACCCAGGAGTTGGAGGTTGCAGTGAGTTGAGATGGCACCACTGCACTCCAGACTGGGCAACAGAGCTAGACTCTCTCTCTCTCTGTCTCTCTCTCTCTCACACACACACACACACACACACACAAAATTATTGTTGTAGTCTTAATTTTTCCAAATGGCTATACAGGCCGGGCATGGTGGCTCACACCTGTAATTCCAGCACTTTGAGAGGCCGAGGCAGAGGGATCGCTTGAGGTCAGGAGTTCTAGACTAGCTTGGGCAACACAAGGAGATCCCATCTCTACTAAAAGTAAAAAACAAACAAAAACAAATGGACTGGGCACAGTGGCTCACACCTATAAGCCCAGCACTTTGGGAGGACGAGGCAGGTGGATCACTTGAGGTTAGGAGTTTGAGCCCAGCCTGGCCAACATGGTGAAAGCCCATCTCTACTAAAAATACAAAAATTATCCGGGTGTGGTGGTGCACACCTGGAGGCTGAGGTGGGAGGATCACTTGAACCCAGGAGGTTGAGGCTGCAGTGAGCTGTGATCGCGGCACTGCACTCTAGCCTGGGTGACAGAGTGAGACCCTGTCTCAAAAAAAAAAAAAAGATTAGATGGGTGGACAGATAGATGTGCAGATATAGACACAGATATAGATGTGTTGGAAAGAGACATGCGAGATACTCATAGACGTTAGCTAATTCAACATCCTAGCTTTAGGCTGGATTAAATATCTGCCTAAATCTATGACTCTCTCTTTTATTTTTCTTTTATTGTTAGAAATATACATTATATATACATTACATAAAATTTGCCATTTTAACCATTTTATTAATATATATTTTTTGAGACAGTCTTGCTCTATCGCCCAGGCTAGAGTGCAATGGCACGATTTTGGCTCACTGCAACCTCCACCTCCCCGGTTCAAGCAATTCTCTCACCTCCGACTCCCAAATAGGTGGGACTACAGGCATGCACCACCATGCCCGGCTAATGTTTCACCGTGTTGGCCAGGCTGGTCTCAAACTCCTGACCTCAAGTGATCTGCCCACCTTGGCCTTCCAAACTGTTAGGATTGCAGGCGTGAGCCACCGCTCTCAGCCCATTTTAATCGTTTTTGTTTGTTTGTTTTTTGACACAGAGTCTCACTCTGTCGCCCAGGCTGGAGTGCAGTGGCGTGATCTCGGCTCACTGCAAACTTCACCCCCCGGGTTCAAGCCATTCTCCTGTCTCAGCCTCCCGAGTAGCTGGGACTACAGGCGCCCGCCACCACGCCCAGCTAATTTTTTGTGTTTTTAGTAGAGACGGGGTTTCACCGTGTTAGCCAGGATGGTCTCGATCTCCTGACCTCGTGATCCGCCCGCCTTGGCCTCCCAAAGTGCTGGGATTACAGGCGTGAGCCACCGCGCCCAGCCAGTCATTTTCAAGTGTACAATTCACCCCGGGCATGGTGGCTCACGCCTGTAAATCCCAGCACTTTGGGAGGCCAAGGTGGGTGGATCACGAGGTCAGGAGATCGAGACCATCCTGGCTAACACGGTGAAACCCCGTCTCAAAAAAAAATTAAAAAATGAAGTGTACAATTCAGTGGCATTAAATACATTCAAATTGTTCTGTAACCTCGCCATCATCCATCTCTCTTCATCTTCTCAACTAAGACTCTATACACATTAAACAATAACTCATCATTTCCCACGTTCTTCTAGCCCCTGAATACCACCATTCTACTTTTCCATTTTTAAAAATTATTTATTATTATTATTATTATTTGAGATGGAGTCTCGCTCGGTCACCCAGGCTGGAGTGCAGTGGCACGATCTCAGCTCACTGCAACCTCTGCCTCCCGGGTTCAAGCAATTTGTCTGCTTCTCAGCCTCCTGAGTAGCTGGGGCTAGATGCTCGTGCCACTACGCCTGGCTAATTTTTGTATTTTTAGTAAAGACGGGCTTTCACCATGCTGACCAGGCTGGTCTTGAACTCTTGACCTCAGGTGATCTACCCGCCTCAGCTTCCCACAGTGTTGGGATTACAGGCGTGAGTACAATTCACCCCGGGCATGGTGGCTCACGCCTGTAAATCCCAGCACTTTGGGAGGCCAAGGTGGGTGGATCACGAGGTCAGGAGATCGAGACCATCCTGGCTAACACGGTGAAACCCCGTCTCTACTAAAAATACAAAAAATTAGCTGGGCGTGGTGGCGGGCGCCTGTAGTCCCAGCTACTCGGGAGGCTGAGGCAGGAGAATGGCCTGAACCCGGGAGGCGGAGCTTGCAGTGAGCAGAGATCGCGCCACTGTACTCCAACCTGGGTGACAGAGCGAGACTCCGTCTCAAAAAAAAATTAAAAAATGAAGTGTACAATTCAGTGGCATTAAATACATTCAAATTGTTCTGTAACCTCGCCATCATCCATCTCTCTTCATCTTCTCAACTAAGACTCTATACACATTAAACAATAACTCATCATTTCCCACGTTCTTCTAGCCCCTGAATACCACCATTCTACTTTTCCATTTTTAAAAATTATTTATTATTATTATTATTATTTGAGATGGAGTCTCGCTCGGTCACCCAGGCTGGAGTGCAGTGGCACGATCTCAGCTCACTGCAACCTCTGCCTCCCGGGTTCAAGCAATTTGTCTGCTTCTCAGCCTCCTGAGTAGCTGGGGCTAGATGCTCGTGCCACTACGCCTGGCTAATTTTTGTATTTTTAGTAAAGACGGGCTTTCACCATGCTGACCAGGCTGGTCTTGAACTCTTGACCTCAGGTGATCTACCCGCCTCAGCTTCCCACAGTGTTGGGATTACAGGCGTGAGCCACTGCATCCAGCCTATTTAATTTTTTAAACTCCTATCTGTACCAGACCTTCTACTTTTTTGGAAGCCTTTCCCTATGACTGCCTTCCTGCTGCTTTCCATCTTGCCAGAGTCCAGCTTCCCTCCCTTTGCAGAACTCCTATGTTCAAGAAATCATTGCTTCTCAATGTTACTTCCCACTGGAATTACCTGAGAAAGTTTTCACAGTTCCAGTGCCTGGGTTCCATGCCCAGAATTTCTTTTTTTTTCTTTTTCTTTCTTTCTTTCTTTTTTTTTTTTTTTGAGATGGAGTCTCGCTCTGTCTCCCAGGCTGGAGTGCAGTGGCGTGATCTTGGCTCACTGCAAGCTCCACCTCCCGGGTTCATGCCATTCTCCTGCCTCAGCCTCCTGAGTAGCTGGGACTACAGGCGCCCGCCACCACGCCTGGGTAATTTTTTATATTTTTAGTAGAGACGGGGTTTCACCATGTTGGCCAGGCTGGTTTCCAACTCCTGACCTCAAGTGATCTGCCCACCTCGGCCTCCCAAAGTCTTGGGATTACAGGCATGAGCCACCGCACCCGGCCCAGAATTTCTGATTTAATTGTTCTGGGATTTTTGAGGCTCCCTGGGGGATGCTCAGGTACACCCAGGGCTGAGAACCAGAGTTCAGAGAGCTGCAGAGGTTTTCTCTGCCCGGCTTGCCCTGACCAGGAGTCCCAAGTGTGGAGTGCCTTGCACCTGCCCACATCCCTAGGAGGATTCCAAGATGGCACGACCTCCAGGGTTTAGATACCAGGCAGGGGAGCTTTAGAGGGCCGACCAGGAAATGGGCAGAGCTCAAGTTAAAGGGAAGGAGGAATTTCCACCACTCAGCTAGGGGTCAGGCTGTCCCCAGAGACTCCTGGCTCCCATCAGTGGATGTGCCAGGGTGCCTGTGAAAGGGCAGGAGGTCAGACCAGAAAACATGCCAAGTGCTCCTCCAGCAATCAGATTCTGAAATTCTGCCTAGCAAGGAACTGTTGCTTTTTTGCCACAACAGCACAACGCCCTGCACCGGGGTGTGTGTGCATGTGTGTGTGTGTGTGTGTGTGTGTGTGTGTGTGTGTGTGTGTGCACGCGCGTGATGACTTCTGTCCTATCCAGGCGAGGGGGCCTCCGCACTGGGGTTTACTCCAGGCCTCCTGCTGGTGGCACACATGGGGGCAAGTGCTGTGTATGAGCTCCCCGGAAGTTTCAGAATCAAATGCTATCCTTGCTTCCTCCTTAGTATCTTCTTGATTATCCCAGCCCCATTTCTTCTGCTTCACTCAGAGCAGAGGTGGGGAAGAAGGAGGCCACTTGGAGGCCAGGACAGGGAGGGTTCTCTAGAGCCAGCTGAGTTACTCTGAGGTCTTGGCAAGTGCAGAGATTGAGAGCACAGACTGGTGTTGGACAGCCCAGGTTCAAATCCTGACTTTGGCCAGGTGCAGTGGCTCATGCCTGTAATTCCAGCACTCTGGGAGGCTGAGGCAGGTGGATCACTTGAGATCAGGAGTTTGAGATCAGCCTGGCCAATATGGTGAAACCTCATCTCTACTAAAAATACAAAAATTGGCCAGGCATGGTGGTGCACGCCTGTAATCTCAGCTACTTGAGAGACTGAGGCAGGAGAATCACTTGAACCTGGGAGGTGGAGGTTGCAGTGAGCTGAGATCATGCCATTGCACTCCAGCCTGGACAGCAAAGCGAGACTCCATCTCAAAAAAAAAAGTCCTGGCCGGGCACGGTGGCTCATGCCTGTAATCCCAGCACTTTGGGAGGCCGAGGCGGGCATATCACAAGGTCAGGAGATCGAGACCATCCTCGCTAACACGGTAAAACCCCATCTCTACTAAAAATACAAAAAAATTAGCCGGGCATGGTGGTGGGTGCCTGTAGTCCCAGCTACTCAGGAGGCTGAGGAAGGAGAATCACTTGAACTGGGGAGGCAGAGGCTGCAGTGAGCTGAGATTGCACCACTGCACTCCAGCCTGGGCCACAGAGCGAGACTCCATCTCAAAAAAAAAAAAAAAAAAAAAGAAGGTCCTGCCTTACCTGGCTCACTGCCACTCTGTACCCTCTGCAGAGCAGGCCAGGCACCTTTCCATTGTCCTGCCTGGACACACACATCCCTCTCTCCTGGTGAAAAGATGCCATGACTCATCAGGAACACAAGCAGCACCATTTGTTCATTCAACAGATATTGACTGGGTGTATTTGTTTCCTAAGTTGCTATAATAAAGTACCCCCGAGTGGTTTAGAACAATGGAAGTGTATTGTTTCAGTTTTGGAGGACAGAAGTCTTAAGGTGTTGGTAGGGCCACACTTTCTTTAAAACCAGTGGGAGAAAGATCCTTCCTTGCCTCTTTATTTACTTTTATGTATAGAGACAGGATATTGCTATAATGCCCAGGCTGGTCTCAAACTCCTGGCCCCCAGTAATCCTCCCACCTTGGCTTGTCAAAGAGCTGGGATTACAGGCATGAGCCACCGCACCTGGCCTTCCTTGCCTATTTTTAGCTTCTAGTGGTTTGCTGGCAATCTTTGGCATTCCTTGACTTGTAAATGCATGGCTTCAATTCCTTGTTTTCACATGTCCATCTTCCCTCTATGCATGTGTGTCTCTGTGTCCAAATTTTCCCTTTTTTTTTGAGATGGAGTTTCACTCTTGTCGCTCAGGATGGAGTGCAATGGCACAATCTCAGCTCATCGCAACCTCTGACTCCCGGGTTCAAGCGATTCTCCTACCTCAGCCTCCTGAGTAGCTGGAATTACAGGCATGCGCCACCATGCCCGGCTAATTTTTTGTATTTTTAGTAGAGACAGGGTTTCTCCATGTTGGTCAGGCTGGTCTTGAACTCCCAACCTCAGGTGATTAGCCCACCTCGGCCTCCCAAACTGCTGGGATTACAGGCGTAAGCCACCGCGCCCGGACTAAATTTCTCCTTTTTATAGAGACACCAGTCATTAGGGCCCACCCTAATAACCTCATTTTAACTTGATTACCTCTGTAAAGACTGTTTCCACATAAGGTTGCATTCAAAGATACTAGGAGTTGGGACTTTAACATATCTTTTTTGTCTGGGGTGTGTAATTCAATTCATAGCACTGGGTATCCACGCTGTGCATGCTGGGGATATCCCAGTGAGCTCGATGGACACAGTCACTACCCTTATGGAGCTTACACTCTCTTCTGATCTTTTCATATGAAGTTTTCTTTTTTGAGACAGGGTCTCACTCTGTCACCTAGGCTGGAGTGCAGTGGTGTGATCAGCTCACTGCAGCCTCGATTTTCTGGGCTCCAGCAATCCTCCCATCTCAGCCTCCTGAGTAGCTGGGACCACAAGCATGCGCCATGACACCTGGCTCATTTTTGTATTTTTGGTAGAGGCAGGGTTTCACCATGTTGCCCAGGCTGGAAGTTTTATTTATTTATTTTATTTGTTTTATTTTAATTAATTAATTTATTTATTATTATTATTTTTTTTTTTGAGACAGCGTTTCACTCTTGTCTCCCAGGCTGGAGTGCAATGGCATGATCTCAGCTCACTACAACCTCCACCTCCTGGGTTCAAGTGATTCTCCTGCCTCAGCCTCCCCAGTAGGTAGGATTACAGGCACACACCATCACACCCAGCTAATTTTTGTATTTTTAGTAGAGACAGGGTTTCACCATGTTGACCAGGCTGGTCTCAAACTCCTGACCTCAGGTGATCCTACCGCCTTGGCCTCCCAAAGTGCTTTACAGATGTGAGCCACCATGCCTGGCCAGTAGTTTTATTTTTAAACAATAACTCTCATTTACGAAGCACTTTGTAATATTCAAAGTGCTTTCATTAATATGAGTTTATTTTTTATTTTTTATTATTATTTTTTGAGACGGAGTCTCATTCTGTCTCCCAGGTGAGTGCAGTGGCGCCATCTCGGCTCACTGCAACCTTCACCTCCCGGGTTCAAGCGATTCTCCTGCCTCAGCCTCCTGAGTAGCTGGGAATACAGGTGCGTGCCACAACGCCCAGCTAATTTTTTGTATTTTTAGTAGAGACGGGGTTTCACCGTGTTAGCCAGGTTGGTCTTGATCTCCTGACCTCCTGATCCGCCCACCTTGGCCTCCCAAAGTGCTGGGATTACAGGCATCAGCCACCACGCCCGGCCATATGAGTTTATTTGGGTGATATGGTGAGATCCATTTCCCGAGTGGGAAGACTGTCTTTTGGAGATCTGAAATTACTTGTTTAGGGTCATGTGACTTATAAGTAATAATACAAGTGATAACAATATCCAGCACTTGCTCAATGCCAACCATTGTGATATGGCTTGAATGTCCCCTCCAAAACTAGTGTTAGGATTTAATTACCATTGCGACAATTTTTTTTTTTTTAGATAGAGTTTTGCTCTTGTCACCCAGGCTGGAGTGCAATGCCACAATCTCAGCTCATGGCAACCTCCGCCTCCCGGGTTCAAGCAATTCTCCTGTCTCAGCCTTCCAAGTAGCTGAAATTACAGGCATATACCAACACGCACAGCTAATTTTTGTATTTTTAGTGGAGATGGGGTTTCACCACGTTGGTCAGGCTGGTCTGGAACTCCTGACCTCAGGTGATCTGCCCGCCTTGGCCTCCCAAAGTGCTGGGATTACAGGCGTGAGCCACCATGCCTGGCCCATTGTGACAACATTAAGAAGTGAGACATTTGGCCAGGCGTGGTGGCTCATGCCTGTAATCCCAGCATTTTGGAAGGCCGAGGCGGGCGGATCATGAGGTCTGGAGTTGGAGACCATCCTGGCCAACATGGTGAAACCCCTTCTCTACTAAAAATACAAAAAATGAGCCTGGCGTGGTGGCACGTGCCTGTAGTCCCACCTACTCAGGAGGCTGAGGCAGGAGAATTGCTTGAACCCAGGAGGCAGAGATTGCAGTGAGCGCAGATTGCACTGCTGCACTCCAGCCTGGCGCCAGAGAGACTCTGTCTCCAGAAAAAAAAAAGAAGTGAGACGTTTAAGAGGGGATTAGGTCATGAGGGCTCTGCCCTCGTGAATGGATCAATGCCGTTATCGAGGAAGTGTGTTAGTTGTGGGATTGGGTCCTGATAAAAGGATAAGTTTGGCAGATTTCCTTTCTCTGTCTTGCATACTTCCACCATGTCATGCCTTCTGTCATGTCATGATGCAGCAAGGAGGCCCTCACCAGACAGGACCCCTTGATCTTGGACTTCTTGCCCTCCAGAACCATAAGCCAAATAAATCTCTTTTTTTTTTAAATAAATTACCCAGTCAGTAGTTCATCTTATATGATCCCCATAAACATTTTGCAGGATAAAGAAATTGAAGTAAGGTGTCCAAAGTCACATCGTTAATAAGAGGTCACATCCGGGCTGGGTGTGGCGGCTCATACTTGTAATCTTAGCACTTTGGGAGGCTGAGGTGGGAGAATCACTTGAGTTCTGGAGTTGGAGACTAGCCTGAGCAACATAGTGAGACCTCGTCTCTAAAAAAAAAAAAAAAAAAAAAAAGTCACACCAGGAGTTGAGCCCAGGCAGCCCAGCTGCAGCATCCAGCTCAGCCACCCCACGTTGCTCATTACATCAAGACACAGCCTCGGCTGGGCGCGGTGGCTCACGCCTGTAATCCCAGCACTGTGGGAGGCCGAGGCAGGTGGATCACAAGGTCAGGAGTTTGAGACTAGCCTGGCCAATATGGTGAAACCCCGTTTCTACTAAAAATACAAAAATTAGCCAGGCGTGGTGGTGGGAACCTGTAGTCCCAGCTACTTGGGAGGCTGAGGCAGGAGAATTGCTGGAACTGGGGAGGTGGAGGTTGCAGTGAGCCGAGATTGCACCGCTGCACTCCAGCCTGGGCGACAGAGCGAGACTACGTCTCAAAAAAAAAAAAAAAAAAAAAAGACACAGACTCATGTCTCTGTTGCTGCCCTCTGCTCTACACCAGCACGTCAAAACTTAGTGTTCCCTCCATGCCTAGCAGAGAGCCACCTCTTTGCTCTTCCTTATCAACTGCATTAACTGCTACCTTCCATCTTCCTTTTTTCTTCTATCTTCCCTTTATTTTTTCGTAGAGATGTGGTCTTCCTATGTTGCCCAGGCTGATCTCAAACTTCTGGCCTCAATCGATTCTCCTGCCTTGGCTTCCCAAGGTGCTGAGATTACAGGTGTGAGCTGCTGTGCCCAACCCCTTCTCCCTTTCTCCCTTCCTTCTTCCCTCCTCCTCCCGTCTTTTTCTTTCTTTTTTTTTTTTTAAATGGAGTTTTGCTCTGTCACCCAGGCTGGAGTTCAGTGGCACTATCTTGGCTCACTGCAACCTCCGCCTCCCAGGTTCAAGCAATTTTCCTGCCTCAGCCTCTCAAGTAGCTCGGATTACAGGCCTGCACTACAACACCTGGCTAATTTTTGTATTTGTATTTGTATTTTTTAATTTTTTGAGATGGAGTCCAGCTTTGTCGCCCAGGCTGGAGTGCAGTGGTGCAATCTTGCAACCTCTGTCTCCTGGATTCAAGCGATTCTCCTGCCTCAGCCTCCCCAGTATCTGGGACTACAGGCACACGCCACCACATCCAGCTAATTTTTTATATTTTTGCTAGAGACAGGGTTTCACCATGTTGGCCAGGCTGGTCTTGAACTCCTGACCTCAAGTGATCTACCTGCCTTGGCCTCCCAAAGTGCTGAGATTACAGGCGTGAACCACCCCTCTCGGCCCAGAGTTACTTTTCAAATGTTTAATTTATTATATGGTATTTTAGCCATAAAATATTATACAATATTTTAAGCTGGGTGCGGTGGCTCAAGCCTGTAATCCCCACGCTTTGGGAGGCCGAGGTGGGTGGATCACCTGAGGTCGGGAGTTCGAGACCAGCCTGACCAAAATGGTGAAACCCTGTCTCTACCAAAAATACAAAATTAGCTGGGTGTAGTGGCGCATGCCTGTAATCCCAGCTACTAGGGAGGATGAGGCAGGAGAATCACTTGAACCTGGGAAATGGAGGTTGCAGTGAGCCGAGATGGCGGCATTACACTCCAGCCTGGGCAACAAGAGCGAAACTACGTCTCAAAAAAAAAAAAAAAATACACACACACACACACACACACACACACACATGGCCGTAAAATATTATACAATATTTTATATAATATTTTATATTTATGGCTAAAATATTGATGGGGTTTTGCCATGTTGCCCAGCGAAATCCTGTCTCTACTAAAATACCTATGTACCCATCACCCGGTTTAAGAACTATCAACTCTTAATGCTGTGTGTGGGAAGCATTTAATGCTGTGTGTAGGAAGAAAAAAAGTTGCAACATTGTGGTGATTGTTGAAGCCCCAGCATTATTCTGCTCTCTAATTGCACTCTCCCTCCTAGAGGTAATTGGGATCCTAGCTTGGTGACAATCATTTCCATGCATCTTTAGAAACATGAAGTTGCTTTTGACTGACAGGGAATTTCGAGCTTGATTCTTGACAAGGAAACATAGCAGAAGGTAGGTCTAAAGATGGAAGTGTAGCTTGAATGGAATCTCTTTTGGAAATATATAATGATGAAATATTTCAGACACAGAAAGGCACATATAGAATAATAGAATGAACCTCTTGCTTAGGAAATAAAACATTAAAAATACTACCCCGCCCTCCTCAAAACAGTCCCCAGGGTTTTCCTTCCTGATTGCATCCTTCTTCTTTTTTTTTTCTTTATTTTTTTGAGACAGAGTTTTGCTCTTTTTGCCCAGGCTGGAGTGCAATGGCACAAATCTCGGCTCACTGCAACCTCCGCCTCCCAGGTTCAAGTGATTCCTCTGCTTCAGCCTCCCGAGTAGCTGGGATTACAGGCATGCACCACCATGCCTGGCTAATTTTGTATTTTTGTGTTTTTAGTAGAGACGGGGTTTCTCCATGTTGGTCAGGCTGGTCTCGAACTCCCGACCTCAGGTGATCCTCCTGCCTCAGCCTTCCAAAGTGCTGGGATTACAGGCATGAACCACCATGTCCAGGATTTTTTTTTTTTTTTTTTTTGCGATGGAGTCTCACTCTGTTGCCTAGGCTGGAGTGCAGTTGTGCCATCTCAGCTCACTGCAACCTCTGCCTCCCGGGTTCAAACAATTCTCCTTCCTCAGCCTCCCGAGTAGCTGGGACTACTGGTGTGTACCACCACACCCTGCTAACTTTTATATTTTTAGTAGAGACAGGGTTTCGCCAGGCTGGTCTCAAACTCTTGACCTCAGGTGATCCACGTGCCTCAGCCTCCCAAAGTGCTGGGATTACAGGCGTGAGCCACCCCGTCCAGCCATATATATATATTTTTACTAGACATCATGTTGGCCAGGCTGGTCTTGAACTCCTGACTTCAGGTGATCCACCAGCCTCAGACTCCCAAAGTGCTGAGAGGACAGGAGTGAGCCACCATGCCCAGCCTGATTTCATCCTTTTAGATGAACTGCCCTTCTGAATTTGGGGCCTATCATTTTGACCTGAATCCTGGGGGAGGAGCAGCAGTTTGGAGACAGGTAGGCGTAGGAAGGGGTGTCACCAACAGAAAGGCAGGGTAAAGACCCAGGGGAGTGAGTTTGGGAGGCAGGTGTTGGCATGGCTGGTAAGCTGGGTACCTGTCGGGGAGGGGCTGGGACAGGTAAGTAGCTGGCCCCACTCTCCTCTGGGCCCTGCCTTCCGTATTTCCCTCTATCATTGTCCTAATCACACAGAATCCTAATGATCTGTTAGCTTGACTCCAAGATCCTGAGGGTAGGGAACCTCTTGGTCATTGTCACCCCAGTGGCTAACACAGTGGCTGGCACAAATGGCTTTTTGTTAAATATTAAATTGATACATGAGCGAATGAGTAACTGACTGATTTCAGCCTGCCTGGTGAGGGAGTTGCTGGTAGCAAGACAGTCTGAGTGCAAAGTGTGAACGAGAGCATTTTTGAAGAGAATTGTCATTTTATTACCATTCAGTACAGTAACACCTCTGCCTTCATCAGTGTGGCCTAGTAGAGAACTTGCTTGAATGCATATCAGTCAGGGTGAGAAATCTGCTGTGCAGGCAGGTGTGCGATGATGCGGTAACCAGATGGGCTTCTTGCAGCTTCAACCACCGCCAGCGTCATTCACTACCCTTCAAACTATCAGCTCTGATTGGAGTTAAAGGAATAATCAGTCTCCCACAGAAGTAGGACCTATTTCTCTTCCTTCAAAACAATCCTCAAAGCCTGTGAATCCCCTCCAGTGTGCTTATTATGCAGTTAGCTCTGCTCGTGGCTGCAGAGACAGCTCGTTTTGCATTCCTAGAAGCCCCTCTCAGGGCTGGGCATGCTTCGGTGGGTTTTGAGTGGTGAGAAGTGCTTTTCTCAGAGGCTGCATTCCACATGAGGCCTAATAAACAGATAAAACGTGTCTGCAATTAGTGGCATCTCTGCACGCAGACTTAATGTGCTGAAGGCTGTTTGTTGATTTTTTTGCACTGTTCAAAGCAATGCCACAAGCTGTTTGGGCCAGACGTTGGCTTAGAGAGCCCCGTCTTCCCATGAAAAGGACAATGCAGTGATACAAAAGAGCCCAATGGGTTGAGCTACATCTATCACATAGGCAAATCTGAACAGGTTTCCAAAAAAGATCAAATTATTAAAAGATTTGGCTGGGCGTGGTTGTTCACACCTGTAATCCCAGCACTTTGGGAGGCCGAGGTGGGTGGATCATGACGTCAGGAGATCGAGACCATCCTGGCCAACATGGAGAAACTCCATCTCTACTGAAAATACAAAAATTAGCTGGGTGTGGGGGTGCATGGCTGTTATCCCAGCTACTCAGGAGGCTGAGGCAGGAGAATCGCTTAAACCTGGGAGTCGGCGGTTGCAGTGAGCCGAAATCACGCCACTGCACTCCAGCCTGGTGACAGAGCGAGACTCTGTCTCAAAACAAAACAAAACAAAACAAAACAAAACAAACAAAAAAACAAGAAGATTTGAGCAGTATTTATCCATAGAAATTTGGGGCCACCCGATTCTAAATTTGCAGTTTTTATTTTTTTTTTAGACAGGGTCTCACTCTGTCACCCAGGCTGGAGTGTGGTGGCGCAATCTCAGCTCACTGCAACCTCTGCCTCTTGGGTGCAAGTGATTCTCCTGAGTAGCTGGGATTACAGATACCCATCACCATGCCTGGCTAATTTTTGTATTTTTAGTAGAGACGGGGTTTCGCCATGTTGGCCAGGCTGGTCTTGAACTCCTGACCTCAAGTGATCCACCTGCCTCGGCCTCCCAAAGTGCTGGGATTACAGGCATGAGCCACTGCGCCCGGCCCTGAATTTGCAGAGTTCTGATTAATGAAGTTTTGTTCTTTCACTGTGCCCTGTAATTCAGTAATTCTGTAATTCAGTTCAGATACAGATAGTGCTGAGTCAGGTTGGGGTCTCTACTATTGCTACCCCTCTCCAGTCACCCCCTGTTTGCAGAAGAGTAGGGAATGGCCTGGACTTGGGATTTGGCATAGGAGGGTCTGGCATCAAACCATGGTTCTGATGCTTTACTGGCCAAGTGATCGAGTGATCTTTCATTCCCCAAGCACTTATTGAGGGCCAGCACTGGGTTGGTGCTGGAAAGACAAAGATAAATAGGACACAATTTCCTCCCTTCCTCCTTTTCTTTTTTCTTTTCTTTTCTCTTCTCTTCTTTTCTTTTTTTCTCTCTCTCCCTCTTTCTTTTACTGAGGAGTTCTTTTAACTATGTCAATCAGAAAAATATAAAGTATTCAGAATAATAAAATGAACACCCATGATAAGAACATCCCGCTTAAGACATAAAGCGGCTGAGTGTGGTGGCTCACCCCTGTAATCCCAGGATTTTGGGAGGCCGAGGTGGGCAGATCATGAGGTCAGGAGATCAAGACCATCCTGGCCAACATGATGAAACCCCGTCTCTACTAAAAACACAAAAATTAGCCGGGCGTGATGGCATGTGCCTGTAGTCCCAGCTACTTGGGAGGCTGAGAAAGGAGAATCGCTTGAACTGGGGAGGCAGAGGCTGCAGTGAGCTGAGATCGCGCCACTGCACTCCAGCTTGGATGACAGAGTGAGACTTTGTCTCAAAAAAAAGAAAGAAAGCTAGAAATACTTATTATTATTATTATTTTTTGAGACGGAGTCTCGCTCTGTCACCCAGGCTGGAGTGCAGTGGCGTGATCTCGGCTCATTGCAACCTCCGCCTCCTGGGTTCTCGCCATTCTCCTGCCTCAGCCTCCTGAGTAGCTGGGACTACAGGCACCTGCCACCACACCCGGCTAATTTTTTGTATTTTTAGTAGAGATGGGATTTCACCGTGTTAGCCAGAATGGTCTCGATCTCCTGACCTGTGATCCGCCTGCCTCGGCCTCCCAAACTGCTGGGATTACAGGCATGAGCCACCGCGCCCGGCCTCTTATTATTTTTTTAACTTTTAGAGACAGAGTCTCACTCTGTTGCCCAGACTGAAGTGAAGTGGCTTGATCACAGCTCAGTGCAATCTCCAACTCCTGAGCTCAAGCAATCCTCCAGTGTCAGCCTCCTGAGTAGCTAGGACTACAGGTACACACTACCAAGCCTGGTTAATTTTTAAATTTTTTTTTTTTTTTTTGAGACAGAGCCTCGCTCTGTCGCCCAGGCTGGCGTGATCTCAGCTCACTACAACCTCCGCCCCTCGGGTTCATGCCATTCTCCTGCCTCAGCCTCCTGAGTAGCTGGGATTACAGGCGCCGGCCACCACGCCCGGCTAATTTTTTGTATTTTTAGTAGAGACGGGGTTTCACAGTGTTAGCCATTATGGTCTCGGTCTCCTGACCTCATGATCTGCCCGCCTTGGCCTCCCAAAGTGCTGGGATTACAGGCGTGAGCTACCACGCCCAGCCAATTTTTAAATTTTTTGTAGAGATGGGGTGTCACTATGTTGTCCAGGCTGGAGTCAAACTCCTGACCTCAAGTGATCCTCCTACCTCAGCCTCCCAAAATGCTAGGATTATAGGCAAGAGTCACCACTCCCAGCCTAGAAAAACTTTTGAAACTTTTTCCTTTGTGCATATCTCAGTCCCTTCTCTCCCACTGAAGGAAAATCTCTGTTATGCATTCAGTGTTATCACTCCTCTGCATTTTTTTTTTTTTTTTGAGACGAAGTCTCACTCTGTCACCCAGGCTGGAGTGCAGTGGTGCAATCTCTGCTCATGTGAATCTCTGCCTCCCGGATTCAAATTATTCTCCTGCCTCAGCCTCCCGAGTAGCTGGGATTATGGGTGCCTGCCACCATGCCTGGCTAATTTTTGTATATTTAGTAGAGATGGGGTTTCACCATGTTGGCCAGGCTAGTCTCGCACTCCTGGCCTCAGGTGAACCACCCGCCTCGTGGGATTACAGGCGTGAGCCACCGCACCTGGCCCACTGCATGTCTTTTATTTGTACTACCTAGGTATGTATACTTAAATAATATGTAGTCTTAAGCACTTTAAAAATTTTTATGAATCATACTACCAAAATCTTATAACTTGCTGCTTACTTAAAACGTTTTAAGATTTATTTATGTGGGCGGGGCACAGTGGCTCACGCCTGTAATCCCAGCACTTTGGGAGGCTGAGGAGGGTGGACCACCTGAGGTCGGGAGTTAGAGACCAGCCTGGCCAACATGGAGAAACCCCATCTCTACTAAAAATACAAAAATTAGCCGGGCATGGTGGCACGTGCCTGTAGTCTGAAGGAGGCTGAAACAGGAGGATCGCTTGAACCCGGGAGGCGGAGGTTGCAGTGAGCCAAGATCACGCCACCACACGTCAGCCTGGGTGACAAAGGGAGACTCTGTCTCAAAAAAAAAAAAAAAGATTTATTTATGTGATACATGTAGCTCCATTCATTCGTCTTTGTTCTTTGTCTTATTTTATATTAAGGGTAATTTTTTTATGGAAGTATACAACATTTATACAAAAAAAGTAGATAAATAGTAAGTGTACAGCTTAATGAATTTTCATAGTCAACACACCTATGTAACCACACCCAATGAAGACACAACTGGCCAGGAATGGTGGCTCATGCCTGTAGTCCCATCACTTTTCGGGGACCAAGGTAGGCAGATCACTTGAGCCCAGGAGTTTGAGACCAGCCTGGGCAACATGGTGAAACCCTGTCTCTACCAAAAATACAAAAAATTAGCCGGGTACAGTGGCATGTGCCTGTGGTCCCAGCTGCTTGGGAGGCTGAGGTGGGAGGATTGCTTGAGCCTGGGAGGCGAAGGCTGCAGTGAGCTGAGGTCTCACAATAGCACTCCAGCCTGGGCAACAGAGTGAGACCTCATCTCACAAAAGAAACAAAGAAAAAGAGAAACAACTCTGTCTGTACTCAGAACCAGCCAAGCCCTGTTTTTTTTTTTTTGTTGTTGTTGTTGTTTTTGAGACAGAGTCTAGCTCTGTCACCCAGGCTGGAGTGCAATCGCACGATCTCGGCTCTCAGCTCACTATAACCTCTGCCTCCCAGGTTTAAGAGATTCTTCTGCCTCAGCCTCCTGAGTAGCTGGGACTACAGGCGTGCACCACCACGCCCAGCTCATTTTTGTGTTTTTAGTAGAGACAGGGTTTCACCATGTTGGCCAGGCTGGACTCGAACTCTTAACCTCAGGTGGTCTGCCTGCCTTGGCCTCCCAAAGTGCTGGGATTACAGGCATAAGCCACTGTGCCCAGCCCCAAGTCCTGTTTTTAATAACTGTTCCCCAAGGTAACCTCCATCCTGACCCCTAACATAGATTAGTTGGCTGTTTTGGAATTTTCTATGAAAATAAACATGCTATATGTACCCCTTTGGTGCTCAGTTTCTTTCCTTCAACATTATATCTGTGAGATTTATCCATGTTGTTATGAGTAGTAGCTGTTCATTCTTTTTCATTGCTGTATAATATTCCATTGAATTAATAAACTAAAGTGCCTTCATTCATTCTGCTGCTGCTGGACATTTGGGTTGCTTCCAGTTTGGGGTTATTATGTATGATTAGTGTTTCTATGAAAATTATTTTACATGTCTTTTGGTACACATGTGCATGCATTCCTCTTGAGTTTATATCTAGGATTGGAGTTGCTGGGTCATACTATATAAATATATTCAATTTTAACAGAAAATGTTAAATGGTTTTCCACCCTCACCAGTTCAGTATGAGAATTCCTTTGCTCCACGTACTTGGCCCACACTTGGTGTTGACTGCTTTTTTCATTTTAGCCATTCTAGTGGAGATGGACTTCCTTGTTTTGTTTTGTTTTGTTTTGTTTTGAGATGGAATTTCGCTCTTGTTGCCCAGGCTGGAGCGCAATGGCATGATCTTGGCTCACCACAACCTCTGCCTTCCAGGTTCAAGGGATTCTCTTGCCTCAGCCTCCCCAGTAGCTGGGATTACAGGCATGCGCCACCACGCCTGGCTAATTTTGTATTTTTTGTAGAGACGGGGTTTCTCCATGTTGGTCAGGCTGGTCTGGAACTCCTGACCTCAGGTGATCTGCCCTCCTCAGCCTCCCAAAGTGCTGGGATTACAGGGGTGAGCCACCTCTCCCAGCCCAACTTCCCTGTTTTAAGTTAAATTTATTGTGCTAAGCATTTTACATGCATTTTTTTTTTTTTTTTGGAGACAGAGTCTTGCTCTGTTGCCCAAGCTGGAGTGCAGTGGTATGATCTCGGCTCACTGCAACCTCCGCCTCCTGGGTTCAAGTGTTTGTCATGCCTCAGCCTCCCAAGAGCTGGGATTACAGGTGCATGCCACCATGCCTGGCTAATTTTTGTGTTTCTAGTAGATTGGGTTTCACGATGTTGACCAGGCTGGTCTCGAACTCCTGACCTCAAGCAATCTGCCAGCCTTGACCTCCCAAATGGCTGGGATTACAGGCATGAGCCACCAAGTCAGGCCTTTATATCATCTTCTTTTTTTACCTACATATCAACTCCATGAGGAAGGTATTGCTGTTAACCCTGTTTTACAGATGGGAAACTGAACTTAAAGTTAGGGAACTTCAAGGCCACATAGTGAGGGCTAGTGCAGAACCTCCAGGCTTTACTGTCCCTATTGCTGTGGTCTGTGCCATCTGGTAGTGGTGGAGGGGGTCCCACGAAGACAAATTACTGGAAGCCGATGACACAAATACAGTAACTGGGATATTATTCGAGGTGCACTGGGGGCCCCAAAGCCGAATGAGATGAATTCCACTGCACGGGCTGGAAGGAGTCACAGAGAAGGCCTGGATTGAACTGAATCTTTGGACAAATTTAGAGTGATAGTACCCATCTCTGATGGTCCTAGTGAGGATTTAAGGTGCTTTAAGCATTAGGTAAAGCTCCTGGTACTCGCACATAGCGGGTGCTCAGTGAAGGGCTGTTGAAGGAATTAGTGAACGCATGTAGGATCGGGAGACCTATGCACAGTTATGGTCTTTCCTGGAGCCAGGGGATGGACAAAATGACCTCTCTAGGCCTCTTTCGTCCTGAGTTTGAGTAGGTCAGGGGAAAGCCTAGGGTAAAGGGCCAGCTCCACTAGCCCAGGCAGGGAATGACTCCCCCTGCCCAGCCCCTATGACTAAGGGGCTGTGAGAGCAACTCCTTTCTAGACAAGGAAGAAATAATGTCACAGGGCATTGTCTGCGCTGCTCCCCAGCACCCTGTTACCCCTTCTCCAGCTCTACCCTGAGCTCTGGATCCAGCAGAAGGAACTGAAGTCTAGGACCCACAACCCCCAGAAAAAGGCCCAGGCAGGGGGATGGGCTGGGGAGGTGTGTGTTTGTTTTGAAAGCCTGTAGAGGAGGAGGAGGAGGGGGAGGAGAGGGAGATGGGGTGGAGGAGAGTAGGAGGTGGAGGAGAGGAGGAGGAGGAGGAGGAGAGGGAGATGGGGTGGAGGAGAGGGGTAGGATTAATTTGCAGCTTAGATTTTAGGGCCAAGGATTGAAGCCTCTTCCTGCACTCCTCCCCTCCTCCACTTGGCATTATCCCAAGGAGTTGCCTTGGGGCTTCCGTGATGGCGACGGGAATGCGGGGAAGTTGAGGGCCTGGGAGCCCGAGGCCAGATGGAGGCAAAGAGGAGTGAGGCTGCTCACAGACCCTGGTGGGCTGGGTTCTGGAAGAAAACCATGGGCTGACCAGCTCCAGGGCCTGGCTGAGCCTCAGCCAGGTTCTGCCAGAGCTGGCTCAACAGCGGCACCTGCCGGCTGGGGCCCTCTCTGCGGGGAAGGGCTCCTCCACCGCCCTGGGAGCCCCGCGGGTGAGTCGCTCCTGGCCTGGCTCTGTGGCCTCCCCAGAGGTCAGATCAGGAAATGTTGCGAGCCGAGGAATGTTCTGAAGCGGAGGGCCTCTGCCCTTCTGGCCTCCACCTGTGCCCCTAACACTACCCTGTTCACCCAGGACACTAACCGAGGGCCAGGGCTGGGGGAAAAAGAGTAGGATGAAGGCCACTCACTTTAGGGAGGTTCCTGGTTTGGGTAGTTATTATTATTATTATTTTTTAATTTGGAAATACTTTAAAGCTTACAGAAGAGCTTCAAGAATGATACAAAGATTCTTCCTCCCTTACCTAGATTTATCAGTTGATAACATTTTGCCCCATTTGCTTTCTTTCTCTCTTTGTATATACAGTAGATAAAAACGTAGTTTTAGTTGGTTGAACGTGGGGGACAAGAAAATGAAAAATAAAAAATTAACAAAACAACATAGTTTTAGGCCAGCAGCAGTGGCCCATGCCTGTAATCCCGGTACTTTGGGAAGCCAAGGCAGGATAATCACTTAAGCCCAGAAGTTTGAGACCAGCCTGGGCAACATAGTGAGACCTCGTCTCTGCAAAAAAATAAACAAAATTAGCCAGCTGTGGTGATGTGTAACTGTAGTCCCAGCTACTCAAGAGGCTGAGGTGGGAGGGTCGCTTGAGCCAGCGAGATTGAGGCTGCAGTGAGCCATGATTGCGCCACTGCACTCCAGCCTGGGCGACAGAGCGTGGCCTTGTCTCAAAAAACAAAAAACAAAAAAACAATAAAAGCATAGTTTTTTTTTGGTATATTAACTGAACTGAAAGTGGCAGCCATCATGCCCCTTTGCCCCCAAATACTTCAGTGGGTATTACCTAAGAACAAGGATATTTTCTCGCATCACCACAGTTCAGTGAAATTTAACATCAATACAATAATTTACTGTCTATATTCCAATTTTTATCAATAAGGATCCTTTAGAATATTTTTTCCCTGTAGTATAAGATCCAGATCAGGATCACACATTGCATTTAATTGGCTTCCTCTTCTCCTTTTTTTTTGAGACAATGTCTCACTGTGTCACCCAGCCTGGAGTGCAGTGGCGTGATATTGGCTCACTGCAGCCTCTACTTCCTGGGCTCAACAGATCCTCTCACCTCAGCCTCCTGAGTAGCTGGGACTACAGCGTGCCAGCACACCTGACTAATATTTCTTTTCTTCTTTTAGAAATGAGGTCTCGGCCAGGTGCGGTGGCTCACGCCTGTAATCCCAGCACTGTGGGAGGCCGAGGCAGGCAGATCACGAGGTCAGAAGATCGAGACCATCCTGGCTAACACAGTGAAACCCCGTCTCCACTAAAAATACAAAAAATTAGGCAGGCGCCTGTAGTCCTAGCTACTCGGAAGGCTGAGGCAGGAGAATAGCATGAACCCGGGAGGTGGAGCTTGCAGTGAGCTGAGATCACGCAACTGAACTCCAGCCTGGGTGACAGAGCGTGATTCCGTCTCAAAAAAAAAAAAAAAGAAAAAGAAAAAAAAGAAATGAGGTCTCACTATGTTGCCCAGGCTGATCTACCCACCTCGGCCTCCCAAAGTGCTGGGATTACAGGCGTGAACCACTGTGTCCGGCCATTTTTCTTCTTCTTCTTCTTTTTTTTTTTTTTGAGACGGACTCTTGCTCTGTCGCCAGGCTGGAGTGCAGTGGCGCGATCTTGGCTCACTGCAACCTCCGCCTCTTGGGTTCAAGCAATTCTCCTGCCTCAACCTCTGGAGTAGCTGGGATTACAGGCACTTGCCACCATGCCCAGCTAATTTTTGTATTTTTAGTAGAGATGGGGTTTCATCGTGTTGGCCATGATGGTCTCGATCTCCTGACCTCGTGATCTGCCCACCTCGGCCTCCCAAAATACTGAGATTACAGGCATGAGCCACCACGCCCAGCCATTTTTCTATTTTTTGTAGAGACAGGGGTCTCCCTATGTTGCTCAGGCTGGTCTTGAACTCCTGGGCTCAAGCAATCCTCCTGCCTCAGCCCCCAAAGTGCTTGCTGGGATTTCAGGCATGAGCCACCACACCCAGATATTTAGGCTTCTTTATTTTTTATTTATTTTTATTTTTTGAGACTGAGTTTTGCTCTTATTGCCCAGGCTGGAGTGCAGTGGTGCGATATCGGCTCAACTGGGTTCAAGTGATTCTCCTGCCTCAGCCACCTGAGTAGCTGGGATTACAGGTGCACGCCACCACACCCAGCTAATTTTTGTACTTTTAGTAGAGATGGGGTTTTGGCATATTGGCCAGGCTGGTCTCGAATTTCTGGCTTCAGGCCATCTGCCCATCTCAGCCTCCCAAAGTGTTGGGATTACAGGTGTGAGCCACCATGCTGGCCTAGGCTTCTTTAATCTGGGGCAATTCCTCATCTTTTTCATCTTTCATGACATTTTTTCAGAGTAGGACTCCCCCACACATTTTTCCTTTTAATCGAATGCACCTTATTTGAGGTTTGTCTGGTATTTCCTTATGGATAGATTCAGGCTATGTCTCCCTGGTGCAAATATAAGCAATATTATATTGTTTGGGTGGAGTTCTCTCCACTTTAAGGGATTCATGGAACTTCTGAACCTCTGAGGTTGATTAACCCCTGAGTTGTCTGTCAAAAAAATCAGATTTTCAAAACAAGTTAAGAAGGACATCATGAATTATGCGTGTGTCTTCACTCTGCTGATGGCTGGCTTAGGCTCTGCATTCTCTCTCTCCCTCTTCCCCTCCCGCTACCGAACTTGCCCTTGAAATTTCAGCAGCTGCTGTTGAAAGCATTCTTTTTGAAGGCCACTAGGGACCCCTAATTGCCCAACTCAGTCGCTTTCATAGTCTTCATCCTCTTGACCTCTTCTCAGGGCAACGGACTGGCTCACCCGCCCTTCTCCCTAAAACCACAGAAGGCCGCGCTTGGCTGTCCCAGTCTCTGCCCATTTCCTTCAACAAAAATGACAGAATGCCGGCTGCTCTGGGAGGTACAGAGGTGGATCCACTGTGGAGCCAGCTTTGCAGGTGGTGGCTTGTCAGGAAAATTCTGCAGGTCCTGGTCTTTTTTTCTTTTCTTTTCTTTCTTTTTTTTTTTTTTTTTTGAGACTGAGTCTCACTCTATTGCCCAGGCTGGAGTGCAGTGGCATGATCTCGGCTCACCGTGACCTCCGCCTCCCGGATTCAAGTGATCCTCTTGCCTGAGCCTCCCAGGTAGCTGGGATTACAGGCGCCCACCACCACGCCCAGCTTATTATTGTATTTTTAGTAGAGACAGAGTTTCACCATGTTGGCCAGGCTGGTCTCCAGAACTCCTGACCTCAGCTGATCTAGCCGCCTTGGCCTCCCAAAGTGCTGGGATTACAGGCATGAGCCACCACACCCGGCCTGGTCCTGGTATTTCTTGTATACTCCCCACACCCCAGTGAAGATGTTCTCTCAGCTTTTGTCCTCAGATGGGGTGCCTGGAATTGGTCTTTCCCCTGGAGGAGCCCCACCTTCTAGTGGTTTCAACTTTGCCTCTCCTTCAACAACCCAGGAGGGCAGCCCTGAGTCTCTGACCCTGACTCAGTGGATGTCCAGGCAGAATTATGTCAGGAATGGATCTGGGCTTAGTGTTTCTTCCTCAGCAGCCCCTAGGGCAAACAGACCTCCCCTCATACTCCTTTCCCAGGCCGTGAGCTCTTTTTAGGCAGGTTGGGGTCTAATTCTTCTCTATCCCTCGGCACTGGGCATGCAGTTGGCCCTCCATCAATATTTATGGAATAATGGCCAGGCGCAGTGGCTCATGCCTATAATCCCAGCACTTTGGGAGGCTGAGGCGGGAGGATTACTTGAGGTCAGGAGTTCAAGACCAGCCTGGTCAACATGGCAAAACCCAGTCTCTACTAAAAATACAAAAATTAGCTCGGTGTGGTGGCGCATGCCTGTAATTCCAGCTACTTGGGAGACTGAGGTAGGAGAATCATTTGAACCTGGGAGGCGGAGGTTGCAGTGAGCCGAGATTGGGTCATTGCATTCCAGCCTGGGTGACACAATGAGACTCTGTCTCGAAAAAAAAAAAAAAGTTATGCAATAATGAGCAAAGAGGTTCAGGGCTTGCCTAAGGCTTGGCCTTGCTCTTGGCTTTCATCACAGGGACCTACATGTTGGCTGGCTGTTGGGAGGGAGAGCTTTGGAAACTGGCTGTCCCTGGTACAGGGGAAACAGTGAAGAAAGCTGGGTCCCAATTTCTGGGTTATTGTCTCGGCTCTGCCATTTTCTTTTTCTTTTTTCCCCCCAGTTATTGTTTCCTGTTTTTTCTTTTTCTTTTTTTTTTATTTTTTGAGACGGACTCTCGCTCTGTCACCCAGGCTGGAGTGCAGTGGCACAATCTCGGCTCACTGCAAGCTCCGCCTCCTGGGTTCACGCCATTCTCCCGCCTCAGCCTCCCGAGTAGCTGGGACTACAGGTACCCGCCACCACGCCCGGCTAATTTTGTTTTTGTATTTTTAGTATAGACAGGGTTTCACCATGTTAGCCAGAATGGTCTCGATCTCCTGACCTCGTGATCCTCCCGCCTTGGCCTCCCAAAGTGCTGGGATTACAGGTGTGAGCCACGGTGCCTGGCCTGTTTTGTTTTGTTTTTGTTTTTGTTTTTTTAGATGGAGTCTCACTGTGTCACCCAGGCTGGAGTGCAGTGGCACAATCTCGGCTCACTGCAACCTCTGCCTCCTGGGTTCAAGTGATTCCCCTGCCTCAGCCTCCCAAGTAGCTGGGATTACAGGCACCTGCCACCACGCCCAGCTAATTTTTGTATTTTTAGTAGAGACGAGGTTTCACCATGTTGGCCAGGCTCATCTCAAACTCCTGACCTCAGTTGATCCACCCACCTCGGCCTCCCAAAGTGCTGGGATTACAGGCGTGAGCCACTGCGCCCAGCCCGTTCCTTTTATAAATTATTTCAGTAGGCTTTTGGGGAGCAGGTGGTGTTTGGTTACATGGATAAGTTCTTCAGTGGTGATTTCTGAGATTTTGGTGCATCCACCACCCAAGCTTGTACACTGTACCCAGTGTGTAGTCTTTTATCCCTCGCCCCCGCTCCCAATCTTCCCCTAGAGTCCCCAAAGTCCATTGTTCATTCTTATGCCTTTGTGTTCTCTTATACGTGAGAACATATGTTTGATTTTCCATTCCTGAGTTACTTCACTTAGAATAATGGTCTCCAATTCTATCCAGGTTGCTGCAAAGGCCATGATTTTGTTTCTCTTTTTTTTTTTTTTTTTGAGACAGAGTTTCGCTCTTGTTGCCCAGGCTAGAGTGCAATGATACAATCTCAGTTCACAGCAACCTCTGCCTCCCGGGTTCAAGTGATTCTCCTGCCTCAACCTCCCGAGTAGCTGGGATTACAGGCATGTGCCACCACGCCCAGCTAATTTTGTATTTTTAGTAGAGATGGGGTTTCTCCATGTTGGTCAGGCTGACCTCGAACTCCTGACCTCAGGTGATCCGCCCGCCTTGGCCTCCGAAAGTGCTGGGATTACAGGCATGAGCCTGTATATATGACATTTTCTTTACCCACTCATTGATTGATGGGCATTTGGGCTAGTTCCATATTTTTGCAATTGTGCAATTGTGAATTGTGCTGCTATAAACATGAGTGTGCAAGTCTCTTTTTCATATAATGACTTCTTTCCCTCTGGGTAGATACCCAGTAGTGGGATTGCTGGATCAAATGGTAGATCTACTTTTAGTTCTTTAAGGAATCTCCTGGCCCGGTGCGGTGGCTCATGCCTATAATCCCAGCACTTTGGGAGGCCCAGGTGGGCAGATCACGAGCTCAGGAGATCGAGACCATCCTGGCTAACACGGTGAAACCCCATCTCTACTAAAAATACAAAAAATTAGCCAGGCATGGTGGCAGGCGCCTGTAGTCCCAGTTACTTGGGAGGCTGAGGCAGGAGAATGGCATGAACCTGGGAGGCGGAGCTTGCAGTGAGCTGAGATTGCGCCACTGCACTCCAGCCTGGGTGACAGTTCAAGACTCCATCTCAAAAAAAAAAAAAAAAAAAAGGAATCTCCATACTGCTTTCCATAGTGGTTATACTAGTTTACATTCCCACCAGCATCATAAAAGTGTTCTCTTTTTACTACATCCATGCCTACATCTATTATTTTTTGATTTTTAAATTATGGCCATTCTTGCAGGAGTAAGGTGGTATCGCACTGTGGTTTTGATTTGCATTTCCCTGATAACTAGTGATGCTGAACATTTTTTCATATGTTTGTCGGCCATTTGTATATACTCTTTTGAGAATTGTCTATCTATTCATGTCCTTAGCCCACTTTTTGATGGGATTGTTTGTTTGTTTTTTTTCTTGCTGATTTGTTTGAGTTCCTTGCAGATTTGGGATATTAGTCCTTTGTCAGATGCATAGTTTGTGAAGATTTTCTGCCACTCTGTGGGTTGTCTATTTACTCTGCTGATTATTTCTTTTGCTGTGCAGAAGCTTTTTAGTTTAATTAAGTCCCGTCTATTTATCTTTGTTTTTGTTGCATTTGCCTTTGGGCTCTTGGTCATGATGTCTTTGCTGAAGCCAGTGTTTAGAAGGGTTTTTCAAATGTTATCTTCTAGAATTTTTATGGTTTCAAGTCTTAGATTTAAGTGTTTGATCCATCTTGAGCTGATTTTTATGTAAGGTGAGAGATAAGAATCCAGTTTCATTCTTCTACATGTGGCTTGCCAATTATCCCAGCCACCATTTGTTGAATAAGGTGTCTTTTCCCCACTTTATGTTTTTGTTTGAGTTGTTAAAGATCAGTTGGCTGTAAGTATTTGGATTTATTTCTTGGTTTTCTATTCTGTTCCATTGGTCTATGTGCCTGTTTTTATACAAGTACCATGCTGTTTTGGTGACTATGGCCTTATAATATAGTCTGAAGTTAGGTAATGTGATGCCTCCAGATTGGTTCTTTTTGATTAGCATTGCTTTGGCTATGCAGGCTCTTTTTTGGTTCCATGTGCATTTTTTTTTTCAGATGGATTTTTTTTTTTCTGTCGCCAGGCTGGTGTGCAGTGGCACAATCTCGGCTCACTGCAACCTCCGCCTCCCAGGTTCAAGTGATTCTCCTACCTCAGACTCCTGAGTAGCTGGGACTACAGGCACGCGCCACCATGCCTGGCTAATTTTTGCATTTTTAGTAGAGACAGGGTTTCACTGTGTTGGCCAGGATGGTCTCAATCTCTTGACCTTGTGATCTGCCCACCTCTGCCTCCCAAAGTGCTGGGATTACAGGTGTTAGCTACCATAGCCAGCCCCACATGAATTTTAGGATTGTCTTTTCTAGTTCTGTGAAGAATGATGATGGTATTTTGATGGGAATTGCCTTAGAGTTTTGAATTTCTTTTGGCAGTATGGTCATTTTCACAATATTGATTCTAACCATCCATGAGCATGGGATATGTTTCCATTTGTTTGTGTCTATGATTTATTTCAGCAGTGTTTTGTAGTTTTCCTTATGGAGGTCTTTCACCTCCTTGGTTAGGTATACTCCTAAGTATTTTATTATTATTTTTTGCAGCTATTGTAAAAAAGGTTAGATTCTTGATTCTCAGTTTGGTCATTGTTGATATACAGCAGTGCTACTGATTTGTGCAGATTGATTTTGTATCCTGAAACTTTACTAAATTTGTTTATAAAATCTGGGAGCTTTATGGATGAATCTTTAGAGTTTTTCTAGGTATATGACCATATGATTGGTGAACAGCGACGGTTTGACTTCCTCTTTACCAATATGGATGCCTTTTATTTCTTTTTTTTTTTTTTTGAGATGGGGTCTTGCTGTCTCCCAGGCTGGAGTGCAGTGGCGCAATCTCGGCTCACTGCAAGCTACCCCCCGGCTGGGTTCATGCCATTCTCCTGCTTCAGCCTCCCGAGTAGCTGGGACTACAGGCGCCTGCCACCACGCCCGGCTTATATATATATATATATATATATATATATATATATATATAGTATTTTTAGTAGAGATGGGGTTTCACCGTGTTCACCAGGATGGTCTTGATCTTCTGACCTTGTGATCCGCCCGCCTCGGCCTCCCAAAATGCTGGGATTACAGGTGTGAGCCACTGCGCCTGGCCTGGATGTCCTTTATTTCTTTCTCTTGTCTGATTGCTCTAGGTAGGACTCTGCCATTTTCTTGACCTTGGATATGTCACTAAGCCTCTCAGCGCCCCAGTCTCCGCATCTTAATGAAATAATGGGACTAGTAACACCAACCTAAATGTATTGCCACAAGGATGAAACTAACAAGACCCTTTCACAGGCCCAGTGCCTGGTGTTCAGCGGGTCTTCGATAATTGTTCCTTCTGTTAGCATTCATTAAACACCTACTGTGTACCAGATGCCAGGTTGTGCTCCCCTAGCCCCAAGAATGGACCTAGGTTTTCTAGGTGGCCCCCTTAGTCCACTCTCTCCTCTTAGCTCAGCAGCTCTGGGCAGCTGTGAGTCCCAGTCTATTTGGCTGCAGATTGGATGGGACCTCACCTGCCCTAGTTTGTTTGTTTGCTTTTTTAAGATGGAGTCTCGCTCTGTCGCCCAGGCTGGAGCACAGTGGCATGATCTTGGCTCACTGCAACCTCCACCTCCCTGGTTCCAGTGATTCACCTGCCTCAACCTCCCGAGTAGCTGGGATTATAGGCACCTGCCACCACTTCTGGCTAATTTTTTATTTTTAGTAGAGGTGGGGTTTCACTATTTTGGCCAGGCTGGTCTTGAACTACTGACCTCAAATGATCCACCTGCCTCAGCCTCCCAAAATGCTGGGATTACAGGCATGAGTCACCACACCTAGCCTGTTTATTTTTTGAGACAATTTCTCACTCTGTCACCCAGGCTGGAGTGCAGTGGTTTGATCACGGCTGACTGCAGCCTTGAGCTCCTAGGCTCAAGCGATATTCCCACCTCAGCCTCTTGAGTAGCTGGGACAACAGGCACACACCACCATGCCTTGCTAATTTTTTAGTTTCTATAGAGACAGGGTCTCACTATGTTGCCCAGGCTCATCTTGAACTCCTGGTCTCAAGTGATTCTCCGCCTTGGGCTCCCAAAGCAGTAGGATTACAGGCAGGAGCCACTGCAGCCGGTCCCCATCTGCCCTACTTTTTGTAAGACTTAGGGCCTTGAAAGAAATGACTACATTTTCCTCTTCTGGCTGGGTTGTCAGAGCTGTTTCAGACAGACTGACAGACCAGTAAAGGTGACAGCTGTGGTTTGTAGCCTCTCAGGTCAGTCAGACACAGCCAGAGTGAGAGAAGTGACCAAATGTCTCCTTGGCAGACCGTTTCGAAGATTAAGACACTTAATCTAAGATTAAGATTTGGAGGCTAAGTGTGGTGGCTCATGTCTGTAATCCTAGCACTTTGGAGGCTGAGGTGGGAGGATCACTTGAGGCCCAGGAGTTGGAGACCAGCCTAGGCAGCACAGGGAGAATCTGTTTCTACAAATAATTAAAAAAAAAAAAAATTAGCTGCGCATGGTGGTGCACGCCTGTAGTCCCAGCAACTCAGGAGGCTGTGGTAGGAGGATTGCCTAAACCCAGGAGGTGGAGTCTGTAGTGAGCCATGATTTTGTCACTGCACTCCAGCCTGGGCAATGGAGCAAGACTTTGCCTCAAAATAAATAAATAAATAGGCCAGGTGCAGTGGCTCACACCTGTAATCCCAGCACTTTGGGAGGCCGAGGCGGGTGGATCACGAGGTCAGGAGATTGAGACCATCCTGGCTAACACGGTGAAATCCCGTCTCTACTAAAAATACAAAAAAAAAAAATACAAAAAAAATTTTTTGAGACACTCCATCTCAAATAAATAAATAAATAAAATAAGTAAAAATATAAACATTTGTTGTTAACCAAGAAACTCCTCCTGGCCTCCCTCAGCTGTCCCCTCAGAGGCACCATGAAAAGCAAGAGGGCTAACGTGGGTTTGAATCCTGGCTCTGCCACTTTATAAGTGGGTGACTTGAGTTACTTCATCATTAGCAGCCTCAGTGGCCACTAATGTAAAATGAAACTAGAATAATCTCCAGTTCACAGGGTTTCTGTTTGTATCTCATCCTTTGGATTCTCTCTTCCCAGACTCAGTGATCACTCTCAAACTCAGCCCTTGAATTTTTGTTTTTTTTGAGACAGGGTCTGGCTCTGTTGGCCAGGCAGTGCAGTGGCACAATCATGGCTCACTTCACCCTCTACTTGCCTGGCTCAAGCAATCCTCCTGCCTTAGCCTCCTCAGTAGCTGGGACTACAGGTGTGCACCACTACACCTGGCTAATTTTTAAACTTTTTTTTTTTTTTTTTTGAGATGGAGTGTCACTCTGTCACCCAGGCTGGAGTGCAGTGGCGCGATCTTGGCTCACTGCAACCTCCGCCTCTCGGCTGATTCTCCTGCCTCAGCCTCCCGAGTAGCTGTGACTACAGGTGCACAGCACCACAGCTGGCTAATTTTTGTATTTTTAGTAGCGATGGGGTTTCACCATATTGGTTAGTCTGGTCTTGAACTCCTGACCTCATGATCTGCCTGCCTCGGCTTCCCAAAGTGTTGGGATTATGGGCATGAGCCACCGCGCCAGGCCTTTTTAAACACTTTGTAGAGACGGGGTTCCACTGTGTTGCTCAGGCTGTCCTCGTACTCCTAGGCTCAAGTAATCCTCCTGCCTTGGCCTCCTGAGTAGCTGAGACTTTGGGTTTGTGCTACCATGCCTAGCTAATTTTTTTTTTAATTTTTAGTAGAGACAAGGTCTTGCTATGTTGCTCAGGCTGGTCTCTAACTCCTGGACTCAAGCCGTCCTCCCACCTCAGACTCCCAAAGTGCTGGGATTACAGATGTGAGCCACCACAACTGGCCAGTCCTTTAGTCTTTACCCCTCCTCCTTTGACCTCAGAACTGACTATTGCCAAGTTTGTCCTGCAGATACCTTCCCTCCAAGCAATTGCTGCATATTCATCATCCTCACCTTCACTTCCATTTTTAGGGCACTGTGTGCTCAGAACTTTATACATGGCTTTTTTTGTTTGTTTTTGAGATGGAGTCTTGTTCTGTCGCCCAGACTGGAGTGCAGTGGCATGATCTCAGCTCACTGCAACCTCCACCTCCCAGGTTCAAGCGATTCTCCTGCCTCAGTCTCCTGAGTAGCTGGGACCATAGGTGCCCGCCAACATGCCTGGCTAATTTTTGTATTTTTAGTAGAGACAGGGTTTCACCATGTTGGCCAGGCTGGTCTCAAACTCCTGACCTCCGGTGATCCGCCCGTCTCAGGCTCCCAAAGTGCTGGGATTACAGGAGTGAGCCATAGCGCTCGGGCTATACAAGGTATTTTTGATGTTCTGTTGTAGATATTTTCTAATTTCTGTTAGGAGTTCTTCAAGCCACAAATTTTTAATTAATTCATTCATTAATTTATTTATTTTGAGACAGGGTCTCTGTGGTCCAGGCTGGAGTGCAGTGGTTTGATCATGAATCACTGCAGCCTTTAACTCCTGGGCTCAAGCAATCTTCCCACCTCTGTTTCCCGAGTAGCTGGGACTACAGGTGTGCGCCACCATGCCAGGCTATTTTTATTTTTAATTTTTTTTATAGAGACAGGGTCTCACTATGTTGCCCAGGCTGGTCTCAAACTCCTGCACTCAAGCGAGTCTCCTGCCTCAGCCTCTGAAAGTGCTGGGATTACGAGCATTAGCCACTGTGTCCAGCCCCATGAATTATTTAGAAGTGCATTTTGACTTTTTTTTGAGACGGAGTCTTACACTGTCACCTGGGTTGGTGTGCAGTGGCACGATCTTGGCTCTCTGCAACCTCCGTCTCTCGGGTTCAAGCGATTCTCCTGCCTCAGCCTCCCGAGTAGCAGGATTACAGGCGCCTGCCATCACGCTCGGCTAATTTTTGTATTTTTAGTAGAGATGAGGTTTCACTATCTTGGCCAGGCTGATCTTGAACTACTGACCTCATGATCCACCCTCTTTGGCCTCCCAAAGTGCTGGCATTACAGGCGTGAGCCACTGCGCCCAGTGCATTTTGACATTTAAAAATGCATGGGGTTGTTTATTTTTAAAAATTATTGATTTCTAATTTAATTCTATTGCTGTTAGAAAATGTGGTCTATATGATATTTTGAGTTGATGGAGACTACTTGCTTTATGATCTGATATGTGGTCATTTTTGTAAATAGTCCGTGTGTATCTGAAAGTAAAAGTGTGTTCACTAATTGTTTGAACTGGAGTATTTAAAATATTCTATTAGATTATGCTTGCTGATTGCATCGCTCAAACCTTTTAAATCCTTACTGAATGTTTTGTCTGCTTGATGTACCAGATCCAGAGGGAGGTGATTTAAATCTTCCATTGGTAGATTTGTCTATTTTTCCCAGTATTTCTTTCTTTTTTTTCTTTCTTTTTTTTTTTTTTTGAGACGGAGTCTCGCTCTCTCGCCCAGGCTGGAGTGCAGTGGTGCGATCTCGGCTCACTGCAAGCTCCGCCTCCCGGGTTCACGCCATTCTCCTGCCTCAGCCTCCCGAGTAGCTGGGACTACAGGCACCCGCCACCACCCTCGGCTAATTTTTTGTATTTTTAGTAGAGACGGGGTTTCACCGTGTTAGCCAGGATGGTCTCCATCTCCTGACCTTGTGATCCGCCCCCCTGGGCCTCCCAGAGTGCTGGGATTACAGGCATGAGCCATTGAGCCCGGCCTATTTTTCCCAGTATTTCTGTTTTATGATTTTTGAAGCTATGTTATTAGGTACATACAACTGTAGAATGGATATATCTTTTTTTTTTTTTTTGAGATGGAGTCTCGCTCCGTTGCCCAGGCTGGAGTGCAGTGGCGTGATCTCGGCTCACTGCAAGCTCAGCCTCCCGGGTTCAAGCCTTTCTCCTGCCTTGGCCTCCCGAGTAGCTGGGACTACAGGCGCCCGCCACTATGCCCGGCTAATTGTTTTGTATTTTTAGTAGAGACGGGGTTTCACCGTGTTAGCCAGGATGGTCTCGATCTCTCCTACTAAAAAAATACAAAAATTAGCTGGGCATGGTGGCATGCGCCTGTAATCTCGATCTCCTGACCTTGTGGTCTGCCCACCTCAGCCTCCCAAAGTGCTGGGATTAGAGGCGTGAGCCACTGTGCCTGGCCTAGAATGGATATATCTTATTGATAGATTGAGGTAAGCAAGTATCCCTAGCATCTCTCTCTGCTGGGTAGATGTTTTTTCCATTACTATCGAAGGATATCACCTTTTGGGCACCCTTGACTTTTTCTTTCTTTCTTTTTAAAATTTTTTTTTGAGACAGGGTCTTGCTCTGTCACCCAGGCTGGAGTGTGGCGGCATGATCTTGGCTCACTCCAGCCTCTGTCTCCTGGGCTCACGTGATCCTCCCACCTCAGCCTCCTGAGTAGCTGGGACTACAGGTGTGTACCACCATGCCTGGCTAATTTTAAGTATTTTTTTGTAGAGATGGTGTCTCACCATGTTGCCCAGGCTGTTCTTGAACTCTTGGACTCAAGCGATCCTTCTGCCTCAGCCTCTCAAAGTGCTGGAATTACAGGCTTGAGCCACCACGCCTGGTTCACTCTTGACTTTTTTGAAGGGTACGTTATCTCTGATTTAATTTCCTCCTCTTTATGAGACCCCAGGCTTTGTCTTGTTCCTTTCTGGATTTGTGCCTTTGTGGAGTCTTGTTTTCTTGCTGGCTTAGCCTTGCATTGAAAATAACACACATGTCTGGGCGCAGTGGCTCACGCCTGTAATCCCAACACTTTGGGAGGCCGAGGTGGGTGGATCAGTTGAGGTCAGGAGTTTGAGACCAGCCTGGCCAACATGGTGAAACCCCGTCTGTACTAAAAATATAAAAATTAGCCAGGGATGGTGATGCACACCTGTAGTCCCAGCTACTCAAGGCTCAAGAGGCTGAAGCAAGAGAATTGCTTGAAGCCAGGAGGTGGAGGCTGCAGTGAGCCAAGATCACAACACTGCACTCCAGCCTGGGCAACACAGCAAGAGAAAGAAAGAGAGAAACAGAGAAACAGAGAGAGAGAGAAAGAGAGGAAGAGAGAAAGAGAGAGAAAGAAAGAGAGAGAAAGAGAGAAGGAAGGAGAGGGAGAGAGGGAGGGAAGGAAGGAAGCAAAGAAGCAAAGAAGGAAAGAAGGAAAGGAAGGAAGGAAGGAGACCCATATACATTTTTTTTAAATTTTTTATCTAGCATTTCTAGCTGTTTTGTACACAAGAGTTTTTCTGAACATATATAGTCCACCTTATTGCTGGAAATAAAAGTCTCTGCTAAGTGCTTTACATAAAATTGTATTGAACATTCAAAACAATTCAATAAAATCATGTCACCATTTTTTTTTTTTTTCAGAGAAGAAAACAGAGGCTCAGGGAGTTTATGACTGCATTCAGATCCTAGTTCTGACATTTACCAGCAATATGACATTGAATAAGTCAGTCACTCCAGAGGACACCGAGCTCAGTGAGCACATTGGCGAGGCCTGCCCTGCCGGGATGCTGTTTGCCTTACAGTAACACGTAGAATGCCTCAGTGTCTGGCACAGCACTGGTACTCAGAAGACGTCAGTGATGACTGCTGTCTAAAGGGAAGGGATATGTACCTGGGACATGTAGCCTGTACTCTCTTCACTGGGAAGCATTGACAAGGACAGGTCAGTAACTGACTGAATTACCTGGAGGACTTTAAAAGACACAGATCCCTGACCGTACTCCCCCCAGATTCTGATTGTGATACATGGCCGGGTTTGGGAGCCTGTGTCACTGGGGTATGGCTCATGCGGTCTTTGCTGGTCCACTCCCTGGGGCTGTCCTCTAGTGAGTTACATAGAAAGGATAGCGTTGGGTTGGGTGCAGTGGCTCACACCTGTAATCCCAGCACTTTGGGAGGCCGAGGTGGGCGGATCACAAGGTCAGGAGTTCGAGACCAGCCTGGCCAATATGGTGAAACCCCGTCTCTACTAAAAAAATACAAAAATTAGCCGGGCATGGTGGCATGCACCTGTAATCCCAGCTACTCAGGAGGCTGAGGCAGAAGAATTGCTTTAACCCAGGAGGCGGAGGTTGCAGTGAGCTGAGATCACACCACTGCACTCCAGTCTGGGCGACAGAACAAGGCTTTGTCTCAAAAAAAAAAAAAAAAAAAAGAAAGGATAACGTAGTGACTATCACGAGTTGCCAAGAAGAGGGAGAGAGCAGCCCTCGTGGTTAAATAGCAAGCAATTTGCTTTAATTTTAATTTACTTTTTTTTTTTTTGAGAGGGAGTCTCGCTTTGCCACCCAGGCTGGAGTGCAGTAGTACAATTTCGGCTCGCTGCAACCTCTGCCTCCCGGGTTCAAGTGATTCTTCTGCCTCAGCCTCTCTAGTAGCTGGGACTACAGGCACACACTGCCACACCCAGATAATTTTTGTATTTTTAGTAGAGATGGGGTTTTACCATGTTAGCCAGTCTGGTCTCGAACTCATGGCCTCAAGTGATCTGCCTGCCTCAGTCTCCCAAAGTGCTGGGATTACAGGTGTGAGCCTTGTGCCCAGCCACCTTTTCATTTTTTTGAGACATAGTCTCACTGTGTCGCACAGGCAGGAGAGCAGTGGCGCGATCTTGGCTCTCTGCAGCCTCAACTTCCCTGGCTCAAGTGACTTTCCCATCTCAGCCTCCCAAGTATCTGGGACTACAGGAGCGTGTCACCGTATATGGCTAATTTTTTTTTTTTTGAGACGGAGTCTTGCTCTGTTGCCCAGGCTGGAGTGTAGTGTAGTGGCGTGATCTTGACTCACTGTAGCCTCTGCCTCCCGGGCTCAAGCGATTCTCCTGTCTCAGCCTCCCAAGTAGTTGGGATTATAGGCACCTGCTGCCATTCCCAGCTAATTTTTGTATTTTTAGTAGAGATGAGGTTTCACCATGTTGGCCAGGCTGGTCTCGGACTCCTGACCTCAAGTGATCTGCCTGCCTCCGCCTCCCAAAGTGCTGGGATTACAGGTGTGAGCCACCGCACCTGGCTTATGGCTAATTTGTAAACTTTTTGTAGAAAGGAGGTCTCACTATATTGCCCAGGCTGGTCTCCAACTCCTGGGGTAAAGTGATCCTCCTACCTCAACCTCCCAAAGTACTGGGATTACGGGCATGAGCCACTGCACCTGACCTTAATTTAACTTTTTGAATAGGTAATATATGTACATGTTTCAACAACCAAAATGAAATATAAAGAAATTCACTGGAAAGCTCTGTTCCCACCCTGTCCTTGCCTACCCCCGCAACAGGATTCCCCAGCTCCCTATAGGTCACCCACTGTTATTGCTTTCCCTATGCAAATTCAAGCAAATATAAACATTTATTTTTATTTCCACCTCCCTTTCATTCATTGGCTACGATACTACCACTGTGCAAAGCTCTTTTCTTTTTTTTTTTGAGACAGGGTCTCACTCTGTCACTCCTGCTGTCTCCCTCTGTCACCCCTGCTGGAGTGCAGTGGTGCAATCTTGGCTCACTGCAGCCTTGACTTCCCCAGCTCAAGCAACCCTCCCACTTTAGCCTCCTGAGTAGCTGGGACTACAGGTGCGCACTACCACGTCCAACTAATTTTTGTATTTTGTGTAGAGATGGGGTTTCACCATGTTGTCCAGGCCGGTCTCACATTTCTGCAAGTGATCTGTCCCCCTTGGCCTCCCAAAGTGCTGGTATTACAGGCATGAGCCACCACATCCAGCCTCCTCTACCTGCCTTTCTTTTTCTTTTTTTTTTATTTTTTGAGACGGAATCTCGCTCTGTCTCCCAGGCTGAAGTACAGTGGCGCGATCTTGGCTCACTGCAAGCTCAGCCTCCCGGGTTTTACGCCATTCTCCTGCCTCAGCCTCCCGAGTAGCTGGGACTACAGGAGTGCACCACCTACGCCCGGCTAATTTTTTGTATTTTTAGTAGAGACAGGGTTTCACCGCGTTAGCCAGGATGGTCTCAATCTCCTGACCTCGTGATCCGCCCACCTCGGCCTCCCAAAGTGCTGGGATTACAGGTGTGAGCCACTGCGCCCGGCCTACCTGCCTTTCTTTCAAAAAAGATGACATACTATGTATACTGTTCTGAACCACATTTTTTTTTTTGAGACAGAGTTTCGCTCTTGTTACCCAGGCTGAAGTGCAATGGCACTATCTTGGCTCACCGCAACCTCCGCCTCCTGGGTTCAAGTGGTTCTTCTGCCTCAGTCTTCTGAGTAGCTGGGATTATAGGCATGTGCCACCACACCCAGCTAATTTTGTGTTTTTAGTAGAGATGAGGTTTCTCTATGTTGGTCAGGCTGGTCTTGAGCTCCCAACCTCAGGTGATCCACGGTCCTCGGCCTCCCAAAGTGCTGGGATTACATGTGTGAGCCATCGTGCCTGGCCTTTTTTTTTTTTTTTAGATGGGGTCTTGCTCTGTCACACAGGCTGGAGTGTGGTGGCACAATCACAGCTTACTGCAGCCTCAACTTCCCTGGCTCAAGCAATCCTCCCACCTCAGCTTCCTGAGTAGATGGGACTACATTCATATACCACCATGCTGTCTTTTTTTTTTTTTTCACTTTCTGTAGAGACGGAAGTCTCATTATGTTGACCAGGCTGGTCTTGAACCCCTGGACTCAAGTGATCCTCCTGCCTCGGCCTCTCACCTTGGCCTCCCAAAGTGCTGGGATTATTGGCGTGAGCCACTGCACACAGCCTGTACCACATTTTTGTTTCAAAATATATCCTGAAGATCTTTCCATTTTTCTTGGCATCCTTATTATTTTTTTTTTTTACAGCTGCATAGTTTTCCATTGTGGGGCTATATCATAATTTACTGAACCCTTCACTGTCCAATATGTAGCCACACATGGCTACTTAAATGGAAATTAATTAAAATTAAGTAACATTTATTTATTTCCTTAGTTGAACTAGCTACAGCTTGAATACTCGGTAGCTACGAGTGGCCAGTGGCTGCCATATTGGACAGGGCAGATAGAGAACATTTTCATCATTGCAGAAAGTTCTATAGGACAGTGGTTTAACTGATCCCCTAAAGCTGGACACCTAGTTTGTTTCCAGTTCTCAGGCAGCTTGGGGATGATGGGGCCCATCCCTGGAATGCAGCAGAGCTGGGTGAAAGCTGCACTGGGAGTTCTGGGCCTTCAACCTCAGACCTTGCAACCTGGGAGGCTCCTGCAAGAGGAAGGCTTTTGGATTTGGGGCAGAGGCTTGACCAGGGTCTGGAAGAGAAAGTGGCCCTAAAGAGCAGTCCTCCTTGGAGGTTGCAGTGAGCTGAGATCGCGCCACTGCACTCCAGCCTGGGCAACAGAGTGAGACTCCATCTCAAAAAAAAAAAAAAAAAGCAGGCCTCCTGTTCAAACCTAACCTTTTACCCTCTCCCTCCCAGCCTGCCAAAATGCAGCTCTGTTTCTTTCACTCAATATTTAGCAGACACTTCTTGAGTAACTCCCAAGGATGGTGTCAAGTCCTTCACTGGGGATGTAGGTATGAGAAAGACACAGTCCCTTCCTTGGAGAAACCCGCGGCCCAAAGAAAAAGACAGATCATCAACTGCTCTGTGAGCAGGACTTTTAAAGAGTCATCACCTAAGATCAAAAGGCCTGATATTAACCTGTTTGTGAGGATTTGGGGAAACAGGTGATCTCATCCGTTGTTGGGGATTGTAAATTGGTACAAAATTTTTGGAGGGCAATTCTGTGAAAACCTATAAAACATTTAAGAGCACATAATCTTTGACCCAGAATTGCCATACTTATAAATTTATTTCACACACACACATATGTCTGCAAATATATGTACCAAGATATTTCCTGTAATTAGCATTGTTTGTAGTAATAAAAGGCGGACATACATAAATATCCACTAGGAGGGGAATGGTAAATAAATTGTGACACACCATACGATGGAAAACTATGTTGACTATCTACAGGCAGGTATATTATGACATGAAAATAGCAGGTGCTGAACAGTGTAGAGCGTGTGCTATCATTTGTGTCACACACACACGCACATATACACAGCATATGCTCCAAATAGCTCTGCAAAGATACATTAGAACTGTTAAGAGGCCAGGCGCGGTGGCTCACACCTGTAATCCCAGCACTTTGGGAGGCCAAGGCGGGTGGATCACTTGAGGTCAGGAGTTCAAGACCAGCCTGGCCAACATGGTGAAACCCCGTCTCTACTAAAAATACAAAAATTAGCTGAACGTGGTGGCACACACCTGTAGTCCCAGCTACTCAGGAGGCTGAGGCAGGAGAATTGCTTGAATCTGGGAAGCGGAGGTCGCAGTGAGCTGAGATCACACCACTGCACTCCAGCCGCCTGGGCAACAGAGTGAGACTCTGTCTAAAAAAAAACAAAAACAAAAACAAAAAAACTGTTAAGAGTGGTTGCCTCTGGGGAGGGAATGGGAAACAGGGCAACAGGGAGGCTGATTGGCAAGAGATCTTTCCTTTCTTTCCCCTTCCTTCCTTCCTTCCTTCCTTCCTTCCTTCCTTCCTTCCTTCCTTCCTTCCTTCCTTCGAGATGGAGTCTTGCTCTGTTGCCCAGGCTAGAGTGCACTGGCGTGATCTTGGCTCGCGGCACCCTCCGCCTCCCAAGTTCAAGTGATTCTCCTGCCTCAGCCTCCCGAGTACCTGGGATTACAGGCACCCGCCACTACGCCAAGCTAATTTTTATATTTTTAGTAGAGACGGGGTTTCACCATGTTGGCCAGGCTGGTCTCAAACTCCAGACCTCAAATGATCTACCCACTTCAGCCTCCCAGGGTGTTGAGATTACAGGCTTGAGCCATCGCACTTGGCCAGGAGGGACTTTACTTTCTTTGCACATGCTTTTGCACTTTGTTTCTCTTTTGAACTGTGTAATAACCTTTTTCCTTTTTTTTTTTTTTTTTTGAGGCAGGGTCTTGCTCTGTTACCCAGGCTAGAGTGCAGTGATGCGATCTTGGCTCACTGCAGCCTTGACCTCTCAGGCTCAAATAATCCTCCCACCTCAGCCTCCCGAGTAGCTGGGACTACAGGTGCGCACCATCATGCCCAGCTGTTTTTTTTTTTGTTTTTGTTTTTTTTTTTTTTGCATTTTTTGTAGAGATGGGGTCTCACCATGTTGCCCAGGCTGGTCTTGAACTCCTGGGTTTTAGCGATCTTCCCTCCTCAGCCTCCCAAAGTGCTGGGATTACAGGTGCCTGGCCCCTTTTTCTTTTTTTTTTTTTTTTCCCTCAAGACGGAGTCTTGCTCTGTCGCCCAGGCTGGAGTGCAATGGCGTGATCTCGGCTCACTGCAACCTCGGCCTCCTGGGTTCAAGCGATTCTCCTGCCTCGGCCTCCCGAGTAGCTAGGATTACAGGCATGCGCCACCACACCCGGCTAATTTTTTGTATTTTTAGTAGAGATGGGGTTTCACCATGTTGGCCACACTAGTCTCAAATTCCTGACCTCGTGATCTGCCCGCCTTGGTCTCCCAAAGTGCTAGGATTATAGACGTGAGCCACCGCGCCCGGCCCCTTTTTCCTTTTTTTTTTTTTTTTTTTGAGATGGAGTCTCAGTCGGCCAGGCTGGAGTGCAGTGGCGCCATCTCAGCTCACTGCAACCTCCTCTGCCTCCCGGGTTCAAGCGATTCTCCTGCCTCAGCCTCCTGAGTAGCTGGAACTACAGGCGCGTGCCACCACGCCCGGCTAATTTTTTGTATTTTAAGTAGAGACGGGGTTGTGTTAGCCAGGATGGTCTCGATCTCCTGACCTCGTGATCCGCCCGCCTCCGCCTCCCAAAGTGCTGGGATTACAGGCGTGAGCCACCGCGCCCGGCCTCTCGTTTTCCGTTTTTAAGGAAGCTCCTACTGAGTAATGGTGAAGGGGAGAGAAGAGATCCCTGGGAAAACCTTATCAATCACCTGGGTTCTGAATATTCCCAGTGACTGCACTGAAGGTGACAACAGTCCAGAAATGTCGCCGCTGCGGTGAATCCATCCATCGCCCCTCGAAGCCTTGCCCTATCTTGGCTGTCATACCGTCTACGGCCAGCAGGGGGTAGCACAGATCCACCAATGTGTTAGTCCCAAGCTTCAGTCATCCCTTCTAGGATTTCCTCCTCTGTGGGCCAAGATGGGAAAGATACCTCCTGCCAAGCAAATGAAATTTACTACGTAATAATTGATTCCATCTTCTCATTTTTTTTGTAACTCACAGTTCTGATCAGCATGAGAGAGAGGGAGAATGAATATAGGCTTGCAGAAACAATAATTTTCCACAGAAGAGGTGTTACTTAGCCCAGCTTTATTCCACCAGGCCTTGGGTGAAGAGTGGCTGGCAATGGCTTGAGAAGCCCCCAGGATTGAAGATACAGTCTGATAACTACTGCATTCGTGGCTCCCCGCCTGGCTTGGGTTTCCAGCTGCAGGGCACGCTCCTACCCTTCTCTTTTCCTCTCACAGAAGTAGTTCTGGGCAAGAGGAAGCATGAACAGCTGGTCCCATAGGATGACTTGAAGCAGCCACTCTCCTAGAGAGGTTAAAAGTCTGTCCCTCGCTAGGCTGCAAGCAGCCCAAGGACCAAGGCATTTCTCATCTGCCACAGAATCTGCAGGACCAAGCACAGTGATGGGCATGTAGCTGATGCTAAGTAAAGGTTTATTGTTCAATTGAAAGAGACAGCCATTGAGGAATCAGGGAATCCATTCTTTAAAAAAATGTGTTTTTATTCATTAAAAAAAAAAGTCTTCCAGGCTGGACGGGGTGCCTCATGCCTGTAATCCCAGCACTTTGGGAGGCCGAGGCAGGCGGATCACTTGAGGTCAGGAGTTCGAGACCAGCTTGGTCAACATAGCAAAACCCCGTCTCTACTAAAAATACAAAAATGAGCTGGGTGTGGTGGCACGCACCTGTGGTCCCAGCTACTGAGGAGGCTGAGACTGGATAATTGCTTGGACCTGGGAGGTGGAGGTTGCAGTGAGCTGAGACCGAGCCACTGCACTCCAGCCTGGGCAACAGCGAGAGACTCCATCTTAAAAGAAAAAAAAAAGTCTTCCACGACAGTTATCTTATAGAGACAAGAAGAAGAAGAAAGAAGGAGAAGAAGAGGAGGAGGTCCTAGCTAATCTCAAGGGCAAGGACCCAAGGGCAAGGCTCTGGTCTGTCTGAGAAGGAGAATATGGCAGTGTGCAGGGAATGGATCATTTTCCCTGCATGCCCAAGGAGAATTCTGCTTTGACTCACCTTGGAGGTCCTTGGTCAGGCCACGAAACCAGTGATCACATCTCTCACCCATCTGGGGTGCTGGTGACCTTGGCAGAAGAAAGGCTTAAACCAGGTCAGCCTGGGGGAAGGGGCTGGCTCCTTCCAGGGTCTTCCTCCAGATTAGATGTTAACTCTCCGTCTCTTGCTTAAAGTCTTGTCAGTGGCTCTGAATGTGAGGGCAGAAGGAGGAGGATGCTGTCAGGGGAGGGGACACTAATGGCTCCTGACCTGGCCTAGAGATAATTCGGGGCTCCTTCAGCGGGCCCTCCCTCCTCAGTGCCCTGGAAGTGTAGGGAGGGGTCAGTTGGGGATCCCCACAAATTAAATGGGGAATGAGAGGAGCAACTGAAAGTCTCAAATTCAGGCTATAGATGGGACCCCAGCCCCCCATACTCTCCCGTCCTACATGAGATGGGCAGTGGAGGGCCAGGACAGCAACTCCAAGCCAGTGTAGGTTTTGGAGGTAGACAGTGAGGAGGCTTGCTTCTGTCCTTTGTTAGCTGAGTGCCCTTGGACAGCTTACTTACCTACTCTCAGCCTCAGTTTCCCCATCTCTAAAATAAGGCTACCAATACCTACCTTCTCTGGCCATTGTCAGGATGAATGAAAGAGCTCTGAAAGTATTTCTGTAATTAGCAGACATCAGAGATTGTTATTCTCCAAGGTAAGAGGCCCCCCTAGATCCCTGGCGGTGACAGTGTCAAGATTCTTTTTCCCTCCTCTGCGGTGCCCACTCCTTTTCCAGCCTTGTGGCTGGCTCTCATCCTCCTTTCCGCAACCCCCCACTCCTCCTTGGGACCACCTTGGCGGGCCCAGCTTCTCGCAGCCTGCCATATTCCATAGGTGCCCCCATTCTAAAACCTGTAGGGGTGCCCTGCACAGGCGCACGGTTGGTCGAGGTGGGACAGGTGGCGGGGGTCTCCACTGGCCTGCGTCCGCGCCCCCCACCCTGTTTAGGAGTTCCTGTTTGGAGATGGCTCCCCCTCGTCCTCAGCTCGTCTCTGGGCTAAGCAGGGGAGGAGAGAAATAAAAGGTGGGGGGCCTGGAAGGGGGTTCCCACCTTCTCAGTCCGGGACGCGAGACGGGAACGCAGCCCTGGCGCCCCAACGCTGCACCACCGTGGGTCTCCGAGCCGTGCTCGCAGTCGCTGAGATCCTCGGTGCGGAGAAGATGTGCCCCTCCAATCCCCAGGCCGTGATCCCCTTCACCCAGACCCGGCCAATCCCTCGCCCGAGGCGAGCGGGAGGATGCGGTTCTAGGACCCGGAGGCGCCGCCGAGCGCGCCGCCGCCTCGGCCTCGCCTCGGTGGCCTCCCGCTCCGGCAGGTGAAGCGGCGCCGGCCGCCCCCTCTGCGGCAGGTGAAGCGGCTCGGCAGCCCACTCCCCGCCCGCCATGGTTGCGGGGGTCCCCCGGCCAGCGCCCGCCCCCTCCCTCCAGCCCGCCCCCCTGGGGCTGGGTGCCCGGCGGCGGCGGCGGCGAACTGCGGTTTGCGCGCACGGGGAGCGACAGCAGAAGTTCGAAAATCGCCGAGGGGGGAGCCAGCGCCGCAGCTTCCTGCCCCCGGCCCAGCCCTCTGGCCCCGGCGGCCTGCAGCCTGACTTCCTCCCCCAACCCTGCAGCTCGCCGCCCGGTCCCACGGACGGGGCCGCCCCGATGGGACGCCGCGCTCCGGCCCCTGCGCGCCGCTGAGCCGAGCGCCCCCCGCTGCCGAGACCCCCGCCGCCACCGCCAGCCGCTGCCCCCTCGCCCCCGCCCGGGCCGGGAGCCTCGTCCCCGTCCCCCGGAAAGCTGGATTTCCGAGGCTGGAGGCGCCTGGCCGGCTGGGTGGGGACCACCATGGGCAACGCGGCCGGCAGCGCCGAGCAGCCCGCGGGCCCCGCCGCGCCGCCCCCCAAGCAGCCCGCGCCTCCCAAGCAGCCGATGCCCGCGGCCGGAGAGCTGGAGGAGAGGTTCAACCGCGCCCTGGTGAGTGCGACCCGGAGGCGGGTCGGGCGCGGGCGGGGGGCGGCAGGGGCGCGGCAGGGGCTGGGCGCGCGTCCCCGCCCCCGGGGACTCAGGTGCCGCTTGGAGATCCCCGGTCCGGCAGCTGCCCCCTCCAGGAGGTGGGAGCGACAGTGGCCTTTTTTTCAGAGTGACTTAGCACTCTCCCCCCAAAACTTTCTTCAGTTATCGCCCGGTCTCCCTCCCTAAGACGCCTCCACCCCAGCTGGGTCTTAAGGTCTAAACAAGTATGTCCTGTGAAGAAGTTGGGAGCGGGGCACGCACAGGGGTCCCGGGTCGCCCCCTTCCCCACTGCACGCAGGCCCAGCCACCGGGCGCGGGTCTGGGGCATCTGCCTTTCTGTGTCTGGAGTCAAAGATGAAAGGGTTACAACCTCCCGGGAGCGGGAGACCTGCTGGAGGTGTTGGGTCCTGATTTGTTGGGCGCCTGGGCTGCGGGGAATGGGGTTGTCGGATCATGGCCAGGAGGTATCTGTGTTTCTACCCCGCCATATGTCAGAGCCAGGGTGCCTGTGGGTCTTTATCTTGGGGCATCCTTTCCAAGCCACTGAAGGGAGTAAGATGAGGGAGGGTGGGGTCAGGACGGGTGGGTCGCCCAGGCTAGGGGTGGAGCAAAATCTGGAACCACCCCCCTCTGTGCCTACCTGGGGAATTGGAGCGGGGTCGCTGGGGAATAGGTCTCTGGGAGGGAACCAGCAGCTCAGGCCGAGCCTGGAAACAGTCAACATGTTCAGTGGGGTGGGGGCTCCAGAGCAGACTCAGGGGTCTCCAAGACCCTGCATAAGGCAGAAGTAGGGAGAGGAAGAGCTGCTCACTCTCACTCTCCCCACCCCCGACGCCCTGGCCCTGGCTCCCTCCTCTAACTAATTGCCTGGTGGCCTGCCTGCTGTCAGCCTTCCCTTGCTGGACGCTGGGTGACAGGCAAAATGAGGCTGTGCCTTCTCCCAGATGCATTTCCCAGTCCCTGCAGGTCTGAGGGTGGGGGCTCAACGGAGACACAGGCCGCAGAGGGTTCTGGCTCAGTTGGTGGCCCTCCATCTCCTTGACATCATTTCCCCTCGCCTGGCTGGTCATTAGGCCATACGTGCTAGATCCTCAGCATGGCTCCAGAGGGTCACCTCCTAACAGTTCCTGAAAATGTTGGCTTCTGTCCTCTCCCAAGAGAAGGCTGGGGGGAGTTTGGAGGAGCTATGGGGTGGCGAGGGATCCATCCTTGTGAAGACACCTTGCTTGATTAGAGGAGGGCAGGGACACTGAGGGACGCCTCACACCAGGCTGGCCCCTGACTTCTCCATCTCTCCACCTGCCCTGCTCCCCGCTCCCCAAGCATAGGACTTCACAAAGCTGAGCTGAGCTGAGCAGATGGGGGAGGGGGGAGAATGAGGAGACACAGTCTCTGGGGGCCATCTGGAGAGCCTGCATTGGTGGTGGGTCCTTGGACCCCTGCCAACCTGGTTGGAGGGACATGGGTCTGTCTTTCCGCCAAGTGTGTGTCTATGGTCGCGGGTGTGGGCTCTTGGGGTGAGGTCCTGACCCCAATCTTCTGTTTAGCACGCTGATGGGGAGGAGCCCTGTGAATAATTCAGACCAGGGGAAAATCCACAAGTCAAATGGTGAGGTTCTGATGTGTGTGTAGGACTTGTTTGCCCTGCTTGGATTTGTGGCTGTGATTGGCTGAGTCTGACACTAAATGCCACTGGGAGTCCCTGAGTACCAGGATGTGGAGGGGGGACACCCACAGGTGGGTCAGAGAGGGTGTGCTGGTGGAGAAAGTGGAGGTGCCTAGCAGAAATTTAGGGTAGCAGCACCCACCAGGGCTTACCCCCTACCAGGTGCCCAGGAACCCCAGTGTGTTTATACCTTCTTCCCGGGGTGGCTCAGCCTGTCTTATATCCTGTTGTGGGCAGGTTAAACCCAATCTAAGGACACTTGGCTAAGACCCTGGTTCCTCTCATTCCCCACCAGCAGGGGCATGAGGCTTGCCCCAGGGTGACAACCTTGACCTCTGCCTGAGGCTGCCCAGGGCTAAAGAGTTGGTTCAACCCTCAGGTCTGGCAGTGTGTATCGCAGAGTTGGTCGCTATGTGAACCCCCACCCGAACCACCATGGCCAGAGCTGAGTCCTGTCCTCGGTCAGTGTCTAAGAGGAGAAGAACCTTAGATTGCTGAGGGGAGGGGCCCACCGCCATCAGTGGTCCCCAGTCTCAATGGGAGAAGCACAGTCCTGCCCTCAGGGATGTAGTCCAGCGGCCCCAGGGAACCTCTTCCTTCCCCTTTTGTCCCTGGTGGGGCATAGGATCCTGATACCCCAAACTCTCCTTCCTCTCCTGGCTGTAGGACCTCTCTTGTGGGTGAGGGGTGTCCCCACTTACAGCCAGACAGGAGGTGCAGGGAGCCCTTCTCCCATGCAAGGGTGGGTGGTGGGGGGCTACCTTTCCAAGAAAGCTGTGAAAGAAAGGGGTGCCCCCTGCTTAAAATGGGGGTGGAGAGAAAGAGCAGGTTGAGCCAGGGTTTCCGGCTGCTGCCTTAGCAACAGCAGAGGAGCGATGGCTGCCCAGCCCCACGGGCCTGCTGTGATGGTGGGAACACCAGCCAGCGGGGCGCCAAGCTCTCGCCTCTCCTACGCCCATGCCCAAGGCTGGGTGTCTTCCAGCCCCTTCATGCCTTCCCCTGGGAGGCACGCAGGGTCAGGGACTGGGATGACAAGGCGACCTTTCCAGGCCTGCCAGAAGAGCCACACTTACACCTGGGCCTGGGACACCCCTGATCTGCCGGGCAGGGAGAATCCCATAACCTTGGGGCAGAGGGATCAAGGGAAGGTGTCAGGGGTGGTGTACGTGAGGCCAAAAGCCATGCTGGCATCCAGTAGCAGTGGAGAGGAATTTGCCTGATGGGTGCTCTTGGCTTGTGCCCAGAGGCCTGGGTGCCTGGCCAGGCTGTGTGGGGAGGTCAGGATGGCCCCATGTTGGGTGTGGGCCTGGAGTCCTGCTTGCAGCTGGGGCCCTTCCCTTCTGGGGCTGGCAGTAAAGGGCAGGAGGGACTGCAACTGAGGCACTGCCCCCTGGCCACTCCCACCTCCGGGACAGGGCAGATGAAGTGTGGGGACCTGGAGCCATGGGGTCGCTCAGGCCTTATGCCTGCCATTTGCAGGACAGAGGATCTCCGGGGGGATGTGGCCATGTGGTCTGATGTTGGGCTGGGCAGAGGGGAGGGGTGACATTCCCAGCAGGCAGGGCTGGCACATACTAACCCTGGAAAGCCACGGATGTGGTGGGCATGATTCACAGTGACATCTGGGGCTGACTGGCAGAGAGCTGGGTGAGACGGGTAGAAGCAGGTGCTCTCAGGGCTACCTCTGCCTTTTTCCTGGGAACATGGAGCCCTGGAAGGTGGCTTGGGGGGCCTTTGAGGGGACAGGGGTTACTTATGGGAAAGGCAGGGACGTTTCCTGAGCTTTGGGGTCATGATGTTTGGGGGTTGAGATTCATTTTTGTCACTACCTGCATGGCCCTGGACAAGTTACTTAACTTCTCTGAGCTGTAGTTTCCCTCACCTGTAAAAAGAGAATAATAATGGCATCTGCTGGCCTCCTAGGATTGTCGAGAGGGTGAAATAGAGGACTTCGCACAGTGCCTGACACAGAGCAGATGCTCAGTAACCCCCCTCCACTGTGAGAAAGGGGATAAAGCTGGAGCTGATCTGGTCCTCTCCATCTCAGGGCCCATTTAGCGGAGGGAGCCCAGACCCTGCCTGTCCCCTCCCTCCACCTCCACTACCAAGAGCACCCAAGGTTACTGTGCACTCCCCAGGAGCCCCAGATCCTTAGCTAGTGAGGGCCAGGCAACCTCCCCACCGTTATGCAGGTCACCAGCAGTGGGGCCCAGACCGAAAACTGCCTGGTGGCCGGAAACCGCTGGAGGGAGGGCCTACCTCTCCTGGAGGGTGGGGCAGCGATGGTGCTAACGGTAGCAGTGTGCACATGGGAGGGGGAGGGGAGGCCTCCACTTCCCCCTGAGAGAGGGTGTGCTGGTGGGGGGGTTCCCCAGTGAGTAAGAGCTCTGTGTGGGCAACAACAGGAAGCGTGGGGCGCTGGGTGGCAGGAAGTGGAGCTGGCTGTTCCTGGTTCCTCAGATGGGGGATCTGGGCCAGGCTGTCTGCAGAAGACCCCTGGGGGCCAGGACCCACATTTCCCATTCCCCGGCTGCTCCTTCTTTGGAGGAAGCCGGGTCTTCCTTGCTAGCTTGCCACCGAGGCCACCCTGGGCAAGCACCTTAACCTCCTTGAGTCTCAGTTTCCCATTTGTGAAATAGGGATTATAACAGTATCTATTTTGTAGGCTTGTTGAGGTTTAAATGAGTTTTGATGTAAAGTGCTTAGAACGGCACCTAGCACCCAGTGTTTGGGATTGAGAGATTAATTCTGAGTGAAAAAAAGTGTCTGGGGAGCGTTTGTTATTGTTACTGTTGTCGGTGTTGTTTTCCTCCTACCAGCCTGGATGATATAGGTAGTGGCTTCCACCCTGCTTGCCCTTGTCCCAGCTGTGGGGACCCTTGAACTCTGATGGGAGAAGCTGTTAGCTCTTTGGGTCCTCAGCACCTGATCCTGGGGCTGGGTCTCCTCATAGATCTCCTGTAAGCCTGGAATTGCTTATAAGAGCCCCAGAAAATCTATATGCCAAAGTTTAAAAAAGGAGGTAAAATTGATTGTGTTTGGATATGTGCCGAGAACACTACAACTAAGGTTGAGACCATATAGAGGTGGGCAGGTGGCAGGGAGATGGATGGGGGAGTGGGGGCTGGGGGACAGGCTCAGCTTCTGGGCCCATCGGGCTGAGGAAAGCCTGTGGGGCTGGCCTGAGACTGGGATTGATGTCCAAGTTCAGGGGTACCCTGGGGCTTGAAGGGCTAGGCCATAGGGAGAGATGGGCAGGTGGACTGAGACGTAGGCTCCGCTCAAACTGAAAGTGAAACCCTAGGGTGTGGCTGTGTCCAGATGTGGACGCAGCCCCTTCAGCCTCCTGGGACACTGTCTCAGAAGTAAGCACTGGTGTGGGGGAGGTGGGGGAAGGGCTCTTAGCAGTGTCTTTTGGGGGCTGGTCTTAGGTGAGCAGATGCTGGGGGTCCCCTCTCACACTCAGGGCAGGGAGGGAGGAGAATGGTCCCCACACATTCTAATAGAAAGATGTGGGGAATCAGTTCCTTTTCTCGGCCACACCCTAAAAGATGAATCCTGTCTCTTTCCTCATCTGGCCCAAAGCACTAAAGGCAGCAGGGAAAGTAGGCTGAGGCTAGTTAAGGTTTGGCCAAAGCCTTGGAGACAAGTCTGTGTTTCTGGATGTTTTCACAAACTTCTGCTCACCCTACCATCCCCTACCCTGGGGTCTTCCATGGACCCCTGCCCCTCCACCTCTTCTGCCTCTGTGAAGTGCTTCTTCATAGTGTTAGGCCACTGAAGAGCTTTGTTAAATCCAAACTCAGCTTCTCACTGAGTGTTCCAGGAGCTCCGTGAGTGTGAGGCTCCGGTGAGGGAGTGCGCCCATTTTATGGAGGAGGAAGCTGAGGTCCAAGGGGGCAAAGAAGCTGTAGGGCTAGTTGGGCCCAGAGCCTGGGTCTTTTGAAGCCAGCTCCAGGTCCTCCATGTGGCAGCTCATAGCTGTCCCTCCCTGCCCCCCTCAGGAGGCAGGTATCCCGCCCACCTGGACTGCCAGCCCCTCCCCTCCTACTTGAGCACTGTCAGCCAACTCTCCGTGTGTCCCCCAGCCCCCCATCCCATGGTGCTGCTGCCTCGCTGAAGGCCCTGGTCTGGGGGTCTGTTCCTGTTTTCAGGGTGGCCTCACTCCACCCCGAGTGAGTGGCATCTGATGGCCCCTCTCCTACTCCCTGGAGTGCCTGGCTCCTCGGTGGGCACAGCCACAGCTGAGGAGCAGCTGCTAATTAGTGTTCGGCGCTGTCAGAGCTATTTCTGATTTCTGAGCCTAAATTTAGCCTGTCTGGCAGGCTGGCATGTGGGCCTGGGGGCCTGAGAAGGCCCAGGTGGGGAAGGGGCATGGGCACCCTGCCCTCCACCACTGTTCAGACAGGTGCTCCAGGCCCCAGCAGAGGCCTCCCCTCGGCAGTAACAACCAGGGGGCTGTCCTGGGGGAGTGGACCCAGGTGGTGGCTCAGAGTCAGCTCCAGGCTCAAAGCCAGCCCAGCTCTCCTCTTACTGGCTTCGTAACCTTGGGCAGGTCACTAAACTAATCTGTGCCTGCACCTGTGAGGTGGGAATGTTAACGGTGCCAGTGACGGCAGTGAGGGTGGAAGGCAGTCGTCGGCGCGCAGGGCTCGGAGCAGTGCCTTGCACAGTAGGCATTCTGGTGGAGCTGGCCACCTGACTGTTGGAGATGTCATTATGACTAGTTACTGCCCCTAGAAATGCCGCTGGGGCCATTCCAGAACCATAAAGTTCCCTGGGTGGGTGAGGGCCTGGGAGGATTCATGTCGGGAAGCAGCTGTCCCCTCTGTGGCTCTGTGCTGGGCTCAGCCATCCCCTTACTCCCTGGCCACCGTCTTTTGTGCCGGCCACGGCTCCAGTTTCCCTGGCACTGCTGGCCCTGTCTCTCCTCTTTGTCCCTTTTCTCCACCTTGCTCCCACCTTAGCCCTGCCCCACCCTTTGTCTCTGTGGGGTGGGGGTGACTGAGAGACATCATCGAGAGAGACAGACAGATGGACAGGGACAGAGAGACAGAGAATGACCTCGCCTCCTTTGTACTCCTGGGCGGTTCCCCCACCCCCTGCCCCTGTGGTAGCAGGAGCTGTCCTGGCCCTTGGAGGGCTGGGGGAGGGCGGCTGATGAGACAGCGGTGGTTTCCTCAATCCAGGCTCACTTTCGCAATAGGGGAGAGGAATGACGTATTCCACCCCCTTCAGCCGCTGGGGGCGGGGGGCCTGGCGGAGGGGCAGTTTCACCTCTCCAGCAGGGCCTGGCCGGAAAGCTTAGGCAATGGAGGCTGAGCGCACCCAGCTTCCTGTTGTCTGGGCCTGACCCAAGGCAGTGATTTTGGGGGTAAGGTCTGGCTGGAGCCCCAGAACTAGGCCCAGCACCCTGGAGGGGAAGCTGGCTGGGGAGTCTCAGGTGGGTGTGGCCCTCTGACTGCTCCAGCTGTGGCGTCTCTGCAGAGCCACATGACTGAGGGTGTGGAGCGTGAACCACCATGGCTGGTGAGCCCCTCAGGGTCTCCCACATCCCCGATGGAGACTCTTACTCAACTCAGATCTCCTTGAGGGCAGGAACTGTCTTTTTGGGCCAGACATATAGAAGGCTCTCAATAACCTGGGGTTTACTAAATTGAAGGGAACTGGCCTCATCTTTTGGGTCTGTCAGGGAGACAAGCCAAGTCTGGGGGTCCAGAAAGCCCCTGGTGCTATTGACACCTGGTTGATTCGGCAGCCCTGGGCTGGCGCTAACCTGCTCCGTGGTGGCAGGGGCACCGTACCCTTGTCATCTGTGGCCAGGGGAGGAGGACCCAGGCAGAGCTCTGTTGACCTTTCTCAGCTCCTGGGGGAGTCCCAGCTGGGCGGCCCCCACCACAGACCCAGGGCACTGGCTCTTCTCCCCAGTGCTGTGGCCGAGTGACCTTCCCCGCAAATCTCCCCGCCCCTGCAGCTGTGATCTGGAACTCCCTGCCTGCTGACATGGCCGCCCTCAGCTCCCCCAGCCCTCTCCTTCCTTTCTCAGCCTTCTCCTCCAAGTGGGAGGGGGCTGGAGAGGGATGAGGAGAAGGCTGCTGTCCACTCTCCTTGCAAGAGATTTCCTGGTGTTCGTGAGGCACTGGTGCCCTGGGCCTGGTCTGTGTACACGTGGGATCTGGTGGCACGTGGAGGTGGGACACTGGCCACTGGCCACTGGCCACACTTTGGCCTGACTGGTGATGGCTCCCCTGTTAGCTTCCCACCAGAATGGGGGAAGAGATGATGCCCCAACAGGAAAACTGGGGCCCAGAAGTGTCTCAGGTCCCCAGAGAGGTAGGCTGACAACCCACGCTCCTGCCTGCACACCAGGCAGGCCAGGGAGGCGGTGTGGGGGGTGACACAGCGCAGGCAGACTCGGATTCAAATCCTGCTCTCCCTTCTAGCTGGTGTGCCCCGGGAAAGGTGCTCTGTCTCTCTTGGCCTTGGTCTTCTCATTGGATAACACTACGTATCTCCTAGGGTCAGAGGATTCATGGGGGTGATGCACCTCCTAGGGAGCCAAGTGGGTTTCCCCCAAATGCCCATTCTCCCCTCTCCCCTTGTTGGGGCCCCAGGCTCAGGGGTCTTTGTCCTCCCTGTCCCCAGAACTGCATGAACTTGCCCCCAGACAAGGTCCAGCTGCTGAGCCAGTATGACAACGAGAAGAAGTGGGAGCTCATCTGTGATCAGGTAGGTGCCAGCACTGCCCAGCCACCCCTTCCCTCCCACTGTCAGTACCCCACCCTGACCAGGCTGGGGCTATGGGGAGAGGGGCACCGCCATACTGCCCATGGAGCCAAGACTCTGCTCAGTGGCCAATGTAGCACCTGGGGAGGGTGCTGGGGTCTGCAGGACTCCCAAATCCCTTTCTCTTGAACTCCCCAAAAGACCTTGTGAGTCACTAGCAGGGCTGGGTCAGCTTCAGAGGAGCTGGCAGAGCTGGTTCAGGCTGGGGCAGCTGGGGCCTCGCACTGTCACTGTCCTCCTGCTGAGCTTCCTGAGAAACCTCTCTGGACTGGGGAAGGGAGAGGGCGACCCTGGGGTTGGACATCTTCACCTGACCCCATGGGAGGGAGGGAGGAAGGGGCGGGAATTCCTGCCCTTTTGCCTTGGGTCCAGAGGAGCTGCAGTTGACCAGCAACTCCCCAAGGCCAGCCACTTTGGACCCCTGCTTTGGTGCTCCGTCCAGGTGCCTGGACTCACGGGTCACTCAGCTGTCCCCACCCCTCCAGCTTCAAGGGCTGCGGTCGGCCATGGGCCGACCCTCTCCCAGCGCTGGGCTGGGTGGGGCTCGGCTGCCGCAGGGATTCTGTGAAGGAGGGAGGCTGCAGAGGCTGGGGGTGGGGAGTTGGGAGCTGAGAGCCTCCCCTGGGAGCCAAGGCTGGGCCTTTGCCTCCTGCTAATGAAGCAGATGGCCTGAGCCGGCTGGGCAGCAGTCCAGGGGTAAGGGCTGGGAAGTGGGAAGAGGGTGGAGAGCTGCCCCTGGAGTCTCTGGTAGGGGTCCCCTTGGAGCAGCTCAGCCTGACATCTCAGAGGTTGGGGGCTCAAAGGGCTGGAAGAAGTGAAAGTCTGAGGGGTGGCTCGGCGAATCTGAGGGGTTTGGGTTGGAAGGGTGGGGGCCCCTCTGGGGAGGGGTCTTTGCCGTGGTCCCTGCCTCTTTGTGTGAGTGGCCGCTGGAGCCTGCAGTGGGGTGGGGGGATTAGGAATTGCATCACTGAGCACAGGAGAGGAGCACGCAGGTTCCTGCCAACGCAGATGTGCAGGGCGGCTGGGTCCGAGTCCTACCCAGGTGCTGGGTCCCCTTCACGAGGCACCTCCAGCCGTCCTTCCCCGCCGTATGCCAGCTCTGGTCCAGGGAGGGCACCACCTGCTGGCTAGACTGAGTTCCTTCCCACCCCAGGGCGGGGCCTACGGCAGGACTGACCCCTGCATAGTCCACCCCAAAGCTGTGTCAGGGCTGTGGCCTGGGAGCCCATACAGGAAGGGCAGGCTAGGCCTAGGCCAGGGGTTTTTAAAGTGGCCCGATGCTAGCTGGGCGTGGTGGTGCACACCCGTAGTCCCAGCTACCTGGGAGGCTGAGGTAGGAGGATCGCTTGAGCCCGGGAGTAGGAGGCTCCAGTGAACTATGTTCGTGCCACAGCACTCCAGCCTGGGCCACAGGGCAAGAAAAGAGAAAGATAAAAGAAAAGAAAAAAAAAGAAAGTGGCTTGGTGGACTGTTTGGGTTTATACCTTTGGTATTTCAGAGGCGTCTTAAGAAAGCCTGGGACCTCAGATCGGAGCTGAGAATGGGACACTGGGACGAGAACTGGTCATTTGCCCTGGGGTAGCTCTGGCTGGTTTTCTGTACACCCCATTCCATCTCCCCAGGAGCGGTTTCAAGTCAAGAATCCCCCCGCAGCCTACATCCAGAAGCTGAAGAGCTATGTGGATACTGGTGGGGTCAGCCGAAAGGTAGCAGCTGATTGGATGTCCAACCTGGGGGTACATGTCTCCCCTCTTTACTCTGTCCCTTTCCCCCACATTTTCCAAGCTCTGGGCAGCTGGAGTAACTGTGTGTACAGACTTTTCTATGTGCGTGTGTGGGTGCATGTATGAGTGTGTGTGTGTGTTTGTGTGTCTGTGTATTTATAGGGGAATGAGAGTGCCCTGGGTGTGCACTTTAGATATTCCTCTGTACATCCTGTGTGTGCTTACATGGACACATTCTGTGTACTTATACTGTGTGTATACACATGTGCAGCCCATATGTCCATACATAGGTGTGTGTGTATACTATGTGTGTACTTTGTCCACTTATGGATGTGTGTGTGTACCATTGAGTCCATATCTAGGAGAGAGAGAGAATGTGTGTGTGTGTGTGTCCATGTATGGATGTGTGGATATTCTATGTCTGTATTTAGAGTGCAGGTATATGGATGTTCATGTGCTGTGTGTGTGTGTGCGCACACACACTCTGCCTCTTTGTGTGTGTGCATGTGTATACCTTGTGTGCCCATGTATCGGGGGTGTGTGTACCCTGCTTGTCTATGTATGGGGGAGCACATGTAGCCTGTGAGTTCTTATTCTGCTGGGCAGGTGTGTGGAGGTGGTGGGGGAGGCTGAGCATGAAAGGCCACTTGTGCCAGTTGGAGGAGGGTGGGCGCTGCTGCCTGCTGCCTCAGGACTTGGTGGGCCTGTGGGAGGCCGGGCTCCACCCACCAGCCTTCCCTGTTCTCGGTCCCCAGTTTAAGAGGCGAGTTCAGGAGTCCACGCAGGTGCTACGGGAGCTGGAGACCTCCCTGAGGACCAACCACATTGGGTGAGTGAGGGCTCAGATCTTCCTCTCTGGGCCTAGGAAGGCTCTGCTTCCAGGCAGCTCCTGGAGCTTCCCCTTCCTACTCCCCCTGCCCCCTGCACAAGGCTGTGCTTGTGGACCACCTCCTGGAGGTGTCCAGGACAGCTTCCCCTCCCCTTCCTGCCCATGCTCTGACTGGCACCTTGAGGCATGGCTGGGCTGTGGGACCCACCTGAGTCTCCCAGAATCCTTTGGTATCATTGGGTCTTTGGGGGTTGAAAGGGCACCCCAGGGGTCCTTGCTGTCCCTGTTCTGTGCCCATGTGGGGCAGGACCTCCTTTCTGGCTGGAGCTCAGGGAGCCCTGTGCCCACAGGTGGGTGCAGGAGTTCCTCAATGAAGAGAACCGTGGCCTGGATGTGCTGCTCGAGTACCTGGCCTTTGCCCAGTGCTCTGTCACGTAAGCCCCCTGCTCCCAGCCCTCATGCCGCTCCTCAGAGCTTTGATCCCCGTCTCCCTGCATCTCACCCACTCCCCTGGCCAGTTTCAAGCCAGGCAGCCCGAGCCTACCCTGGAACCCTCCACTTGGCCTTGAGCGATGCTCCTTCCAGAAGGCCTGCCCCCGACAGGGAGGGGTGGCCTCTCTTCCACCACTATGTTCAGCACAGTGCCAAGAACACAGCCTCCTCCTCCTGCTCCTTAGTCTCACCTGCAGGTCTGTCTCTCCTTGCGTTTCCTCTGCCCCCTCTTAAGTGGCCCCTGCAGTGTTGGCCTCCAGCCCCATTGCATCCTGTCCCCAGGTATGACATGGAGAGCACAGACAACGGGGCTTCCAACTCAGAGAAAAACAAGCCCCTGGAGCAGTCTGTGGAAGACCTCAGCAAGGGTCCACCCTCCTCCGTGCCCAAAAGCCGCCACCTGACCATCAAGTATGTGGGCCACAAAGTGGGGTGGTGGGAGAACAGAGAATTCAGCCCCCACACTGCTGCATCTAGCCAGCCCACCCCGGGCCCTTGGGGTTGGCGAGAGGGGTAGCCATGCATTAGGGGTCCGAGTAAGGGACTCATACAGAGTTTGGGACACCAGTATGTTAAGAAGCCATCAGGGGTGGGGCTGGGTGCTGTGGCTCATGCCTGTAATCCCAGCACTTTGGGAGACTGAGGTGGGCAGATCATTTGAGGACATGAGTTTGAGACCAGCCTGGCTAACATGGTGAAACCCCATCTCTACTAAAATACAAAAATTAGCCGGGTGTGGTGGTGCACGCCTGTAATCCTAGCTACTCAGGAAGCTGAGGTGGGAGAATCGCTGGAGCCCAGGGGATGGAGGTTGCAGTGAGCTGAGATCGCACCACTGCACTGCAGCCTGGGTGACAGAGTGAGACCCTGTCTCAAAAAAAAAAAAAAAAAAAAAAAAGAAAAGAAAAGAAAAAAGAAGCCATCGGGGTGGGCACCTAGAAGTTGGAGTCTGGATGGGTCTGGGATAAGAAGGGAGTTTCTGGGTTGGTGGGACCCCTCTTGTATGCATCTAATCCCCTGTTTTCTCCCATGCGGCCTCCAGGTGTCCCCCTTCTCCCCGGTACGTAGCCATCTAGGGGCAGGTGCATGCCTGGCTGACTCCCTCCCAGGGTGGTGGTGGGTTAGGATGAGGTATTCAACTGATGTCCCTGGGTTCAGTGCTGTGGCTGGGTTCCTCCATCCTAACACGGGCATCTTGCTGGGAGGCAGGAAGCAGGCAGTAGATGGACCCTAGAGCATCTTGTGAATCCCTAGCTTCCTGCTTTGGGTCTAGAGGATTGATTGCATATTAAGCCTCAAACTTTCACAATATGTTATTTGTCCATTCATGCAATTATGCATTCAGCAAACATTTTTTTAACACTTAGTATGTATTAGGTATATGGCAGGTGCCCAGGAGACAGGTCACCCTGCCCTCAGGGGCCCACAGTCTAAGTGGGGGACAATTTAGTGTGACAGGCTGTCATGGAAGTGTGCCTGGGAGCTCTGAGAAGGGAGGTGGCCACCACTTGGGACATCAGGAAGGCTTCCCAGAAAAGGTGACGCTGGAACTGTGTCTTACAGACAGATACAGGCTTTACAGGCAGCCATGGGAACAGGGAAGAGCATTCCAGGCAGAAGGAACAGCATGAACAAAAACTCTGACATATTAGCACAATGACAAGAAAGGGTGATGTGGCAGGAGGGGGTGAAGGCGGGGCCTCCTGGTATTACTGGGAATGTGATAGAATCATCAGAGAGACTGACATGTGGAAGTCCCGGTCGGCAGTTCTGCAACAATGAAAACATCACACATTTGTTGGCGAAGAATAAGGGAGTACAGTCATATAGCACTTACTATGTGCCAGGCACTGTTCTAAGCCTATTCCATAGTCCCAACAACCCTGACAGGAAGCTACTATTATTAGCATTCCTATTCTAGAAGCGAGGAAAGTGAGGGATAGGGAGATTAAGTGACTTATCCAGTAAATGGTGAGCTGGGATGCGCCTGAACCCTGGCAGTGTGAATTCAGATCTGCGTCTTACATTGGAAGATGAGCCCAAGTGGCCATGAGCGCCACCTTGTGGTGATCCTTCCCATGTCTCTTCCTTCTATAGACCCTCACCCTACCAAGTCCCTGGGAAGTGTCTTTGCTTCTGTGTCCCCCCTCCTCCAAGCATGCCAGACCCCAGGTCTAAGGACTGAGGAAGCCTGCCTGCCCTCAGCCAGCCTCTTTGGTTGGGTAGATGGGATGTGGTGCCGTCAGGTTCCAGATGTGCCTCCTCTTACCCCAGAGGCTGAGTGGTGGGGAAACAGGAAGCTGGGGCTCACTCTGACTCCTGCTGCCTCCTCCACACCCCGCCCAGGCTGACCCCAGCCCACAGCAGGAAGGCCCTGCGGAATTCCCGCATCGTCAGCCAGAAGGACGACGTCCACGTCTGTATTATGTGCCTACGCGCCATCATGAACTACCAGGTCAGCCGAGGGGCATGGGACTGGCGACTAGGGAGCCCAGCCTGTCCTCACTGGGGGCTACACAAGCTGCCGAGGCTCTGGGATCCACTGTCCCTTTACCCTGTGCTGTGCTGGGGAACTTGCGCATCTGGGCTGTTGGCTCAGGCTTTTAAGGCTGATGAGTCTTGAGGGGAAGCCCATGTTTTTGCTGCCTCTGTCAGGTTCTCTGAGTACCCCTGCCCATGGCTGGGCATGAAGGAGCCTCACATAGGGACTGGGCTCACCTACCAAGAAGGGCTGGCCGGAGGGCCAGGGGAGAACAGCCTCGGGTCGATTCATTTGGAGGGCTGATGGGTGAAGCTGGGTCCTCCTTTACTTAGCCCGCCTTTAAGCCAGCTTCACGGTTTCCAAGGTGCCTGATGCTGGCTTTTGGAAACACAAAGGTTTTTAAAAAGAGGCCAGGTGCAGTGGCTCATGCCTATAATCCCAGCACTTTGGGAGGCCGAAGCGGGAGGATTGCTTGAACCCAGAATTTGAGATCAGCCTGGGCAACATACTGAAACCCCATCTCTATGAAAATAAAAAAATAAAAAATAAATAAAGAGAGGCCAGGCGTGGTGGCTCATATCTGTAATCCCAGCACTTTGGGAGGCCAAGGTGGGCAGATCACCTGAGGTCAGGAGTTTGAGACCAGCCTGGCCAATATGGCGAAACCCCGTCTCTACTGAAAAAAATACAAAAAAAATCAGTTGAGTGTGGTGGCAGGTGCCTGTAATCCCAGCTACATGGGAAGCTGAGTCAGGAGAATCACTTGAACCCGGGAGGCAGAGACTGCGGTGAGCTGAGATGGCGCCACTGCGCTCCAGCCTGGGTGACAGAGGGAAACTCCATCTTGAAAAAAAAAATAGAAACAAGGCCAGGTTTTGGTGGCCACAGAAGTTGCGGTTGGATACAAAGAACTTCCTAAACTCGAGGGCAGTTAAAGATCCACGTGGCGTGGGTGCCTGAAGTCCTGGGGGGCCCTTCCTGGAGACACTGACCTCTCCTCTCTCCCCAGTCTGGCTTCAGCCTTGTCATGAACCACCCAGCCTGTGTCAATGAGATTGCTCTGAGCCTCAACAACAAGAACCCCAGGTGAGGTCCAGGCCCCAAACCTTTCTCCGTATCTAGAGTCTTCTCCTACTTAGCCCCTTGCTTACTCTGTCCTCCAGGTCTCAGAGGCTCATTCTGCACCCACTATGCTCCTCCTAGCCAGGCCTGTGCCCACCCTTGCCGCGGGTCCTGCCTGTTCTCAAGGGACAACCTGCCCCTTCTCTCTCCAGAACCAAGGCTCTGGTGCTGGAGCTGCTGGCGGCCGTGTGCTTGGTGCGGGGAGGACATGACATCATCCTTGCAGCCTTTGACAACTTCAAGGAGGTACCGGAGTCCCTCACCCAAACATGCATTTCCCCCTATGGTGTTGCTTGGAGTCTTGTTGTTGGCAGTTGTGGCCTTTGCTGGAGGCAGCTGGGGACATTGGGTGGGCATTTGGGGAACGCCCAAAAGTTGAAGTTGAGCCACATCACTGGCTCAGCAATCTGGGATGGGGAAGTTCTGAATGGAAGGTACAGGGTCAGGTAAGGGCACCACCTGGGTGGGGGTAGGGACAACTACAGGGACCTGCTGAACCTCTGACTCAGCCTTGCCAGATCCAAACTAGCCTTGGTTCATACCTCCAGGAGTTGCGGACTCTGGCTAACAGGCTTGCAAGAAGTAGATGTGTGGGGCTGCATAAGATGCATAAGACAAGATATCTTCATTCATTCATTCCTTTAATGAATATTTATTGAGTGCCTACTATGTGTCAGGAACAGGGCACTTGGGCACATCAGTGAACAAAGGAAACCATATAGGGAAAGACAGAAACGATATAATAAACAAGCAAATTACATAGTATGTTAGGAAATGATAAATGCTGTGAGAAAAAAGCCAGCAATGTTGCAGAGGGAGGGGGAATTGGTTGCAGGGTGGTCAGGGAAGGCCTCACTGAGCAAGTGAGATTTCAGCAAAGCTGTGAAGGAAGCAAGGGACTTGGTGTGGGAGTGAGGGCACTCCAGGGAGTTGGAACAGTAAGTGCAAAGGCCCTGGGGTGGGAATGTGCCAGGATGCCAGTGTGGCCAGAGTGGAAAAAGTGAGGGAGAGTGGGAGATTGAGAGGGAGTGGAGGTTTTGAGCAGAAGAGTGACGTGGCTCAACTTAGAATTAACTGGAGAGGAGCCTGTTGAAGCACAGGTGTGGCAGCCAGAAGGTAGCTTAGGACGTGTGTCACTGGGCCTCAGTGAGAGCCATTCCCCTTACCCAGGTGTGTGGGGAGCAGCACCGCTTTGAAAAGCTGATGGAATATTTCCGGAATGAGGACAGCAACATCGACTTCATGGTGAGCTCAGGAGCCCAGCAGCCTGAGGCCTGGGCCAGGCCCTCTTGGGTGCAGGGAGCAGCTAGGGTCCTGGGTGCTGGGCAATGGGCTCTGCCCCCGCAAAGCGTAAGGACTGAGTGGTCAGTAGGGGAAGGGTGGATGTTGGCAGGGGGCTGGATTGAGGGAACATGGAGGTGAAATGTTGGGCAGGCCAAGGCTGGGAGTTAGTGGAGTGAGAACTGTGGAGAAGGAGGGAGGCTTGGGGTAAGTGGAGGTGGAAGGCATTGAGCAACCCCACCTAGAGGATCATAGATCTCCCCATGTCCCTGGCTCCCAGGTGGCCTGCATGCAGTTCATCAACATTGTGGTACATTCGGTGGAGAACATGAACTTCCGTGTCTTCCTGCAATATGAGTTCACCCACTTGGGCCTGGACCTGTACTTGGAGGTAAGCCCTGTACTGCCCCCCAGACTGAACTGCCTGCCCACGGCAGAGTATGGCTGAGTGGTTAGCAGCATGAGTGCTGGGGTCAGGTAGACCTGGGTTTAAATCCTGGCTCTGCCGTTGCCTGCCGTGTGACCTTGGATAGGCCTCTTCCTCTCTCTCAGTGTCAGTTTTGCCATCTGTGAAATAGGAGAATCATAGAAGATAATCTTGACTCTAAATGCATAGACCAGTGCCTGGCACATACCAGGCCCCCAGTCTATGGAACTGTTTTTGCAGGCACCAGAACAGGTCAAGGTAGCCCAGAGTCTGGCTCTGGGAGCACCAGCCTCAGACAGGTGCTCTGACTCCAGCATATAATGGGGAACCCAGAGATACAGGGTAGAAGCAGGAGTTGGCTCATGCTGGATGGGCCCAGGACATGGAGGAGTTCCCTGCCCTGGGGAAGGTGGGCAGAGCTGCTTGGTGCTTCCTGGCCCAGGCTGAGCAGAGAAGCTGCAGCTCCTTCTCTGCTTCCTTTGGGAGGTTTCCTGGAGGAGCGGGGCTTTCGGGGTTGGATTTTTGAAAGCCAGGATTAACAAAAGGTAGAGAGCAGGCTGGCGGGGGGGTCTATCTGTGCAATGGAGTATTATTCAGCCACAAGAAGGAATGAAGTATTGACACATGGTACAACATGGGTGAGCCTTGAAAACATGCTAAGTGAAAGAAGCCAGACACAAAAGGTCACGTACTCTATGATTGCTTTTTTTTTGAGATGGAGTCTTGCTCTGTTGCCCAGGCTAGAGTGCAGTGACACGATCTTGGCTCACTGCAACCTCTGCCTCCCGGGTTCAAGTGATTTTCCAGCCTCCCCAGTAGTTGGGATTATAGGTGCCCACCACCACACTCGGTTAATTTTTGTATTTTTGGTAGAGACGGGGGTTTCACCACGTTGGCCAGGTTGGTCTTGAACTCCTGACCTTAGGTGATCCGTCTGCCTCAGCCTCCCACAGTGCTGGGATTACAGGCATGAGCCACCTCGCCCAGCTATCTATGATTGCTTTATATGAAATGTCCAGAATGGGTAAATCCATAAAGATGGAAAGTAGATTAGTGGTTGCCAGGGACTGGGGGAGGAGAGAATGGCAAGTGACTGCTGACGCCTGTGGGGTTTCTTTTTGGGCTGATGACAATGTTCTGGAATTAGATAATGGTGATGGTTGCACAACCTTGTGGCTATACTAAGAATGACTGAATTGTACACTTTAAAATGGATTTTATGATTTGTGAATTATATATTAAAAAATAAAGAAAAAGTAGGCTAGGGCTCAGGCCCCTTCCTCTGGATGGCAGTGGTGGCAGGGGGGTGGTTTGGAAAGACTCCCCCCCACACACACACCAGGCCTCACCCCACTCCTTCCATCTGGGGGACAGAGGCTTCGGCTCACCGAGAGTGACAAGCTGCAGGTGCAGATCCAGGCGTACCTGGACAATATTTTTGATGTGGGGGCGCTGCTGGAGGACACAGAGACCAAGAACGCTGTGCTGGAGCACATGGAGGAACTGCAGGAGCAAGTGGCGCTGGTGAGAGTGGGTCCTGACCCCAGCCCAGCACATCATAGGCCCACAGGGCACACGGGCCACAGGGCCACGCAAGCATGGGCACTGGGCAGCAGACAGTGTTATAATTGTGCATTGGAGGTGCTGCCTGCCTGGCCCCAGAGCCTGGCCTGAATCCAAAGCCTGAATCTGTTGGGTGTCTTTCTCAATGAGTGTGGGTGAGCACCCTCACTGACAGGCCCCTCCTCTACCCAGGCTCAGACCCCAGGTGAACTGAAATGGGTGCCTGGGGCCCCTCCCAGCTCAGTCTCCTCCTCTCCCTCCACCTCCCGCATCACTGGTACCTTGGTTTCCTCTCCTTATTTGCTTGGGTTCGAGTGCCAGGCTCGGCCCACCCTTGGCACCTGGGCTGAGCGGATCTGGGAGCCTCCCCCAGTCTTCCAGGCAGGCATGCCTGATGCCGCCCCCTCACCGGCGGTGCCAGTGCCGGGCTGCGGGTCGGGGCTCACCATGTGCTGGTGCTACAGCTGACAGAGCGGCTTCGGGACGCGGAGAACGAATCCATGGCCAAGATTGCAGAACTGGAAAAACAGCTAAGCCAGGCGCGCAAGGAGTTGGAGACCCTGCGGGTGAGGCTGGGGCGGGTGGTAGGCCAGGCGCCCAAGAACAGGCCAGCTGAGGCTTCTAGGCTTGACATCTCCCTCCACCCCGGGAAGAAGATGGAGGCTTGGTGCCAAGGAGCCTGCTGGTGGGCACTGACCCCTCCCGTGGGGTTCGTAGGAGCGCTTCAGCGAATCGACCGCCATGGGGCCCTCCAGGCGTCCCCCAGAGCCTGAGAAAGCGCCTCCCGCTGCCCCGACGCGGCCCTCGGCCCTGGAGCTGAAGGTGGAGGAGCTGGAGGAGAAGGGGTTAATCCGTATTCTGCGGGGGCCGGGGGATGCTGTCTCCATCGAGATCCTCCCCGTCGCTGTGGCAACTCCGAGCGGCGGTGATGCTCCGACTCCGGGGGTGCCGACCGGCTCCCCCAGCCCAGGTGCGCAGGAGCTTCAGGCTGGCGGGGATGCGGGGCAGGGTCTGGAGGGGAGCCCAGGGGCATCTGTGGCGGGCAGAGTTGGGCGAGGGAGGTTTGGATTGTAGGCTCGGCTCAGGTAGGAGCGCATGCGTAGAGCGGAGAGGCGGAGAGGGGCCCACCCAAGTCAAGGAGCTGACTCGCGCCTCCCCCACGCCGCGCCCTCGCTGGCTCAGATCTCGCACCTGCAGCAGAGCCGGCTCCCGGAGCAGCGCCACCGCCGCCGCCCCCACTGCCCGGCCTCCCCTCCCCGCAGGAAGCCCCGCCCTCTGCGCCCCCACAGGCCCCGCCTCTCCCTGGCAGCCCGGAGCCCCCGCCTGCGCCGCCGCTGCCCGGAGACCTGCCGCCCCCACCCCCGCCACCGCCACCACCTCCGGGCACTGACGGGCCGGTGCCTCCGCCGCCGCCGCCGCCGCCGCCGCCTCCCGGAGGTCCTCCTGATGCCCTAGGAAGACGCGACTCAGAATTGGGCCCAGGTGAGTGGAGTGGACCACCTTGGGCCCGGGGCTGGGGGGAGATGGAGGGAGGGGCCTGGGCCTCAGTGTCCTCCAGGGTCCTCTGCCTGGGGGCCTCCTGCTGCCTCCTGGCTGCCCCATCAGCCCTCCCTGGGCCCAGGTTCCCTCCAGTAGTACCCCCAGTGCTCACCACTGCCCCCAAACCCCCGTCCCAGGAGTGAAGGCCAAGAAGCCCATCCAGACTAAGTTCCGAATGCCACTCTTGAACTGGGTGGCACTGAAACCCAGCCAGATCACCGGCACTGTCTTCACAGAGCTCAATGATGAGAAGGTGCTGCAGGTGAGTGGCCCTGCCTGGCTCCCCATGTGGGCACCGGAGGAAGAGGGGAGTTGCCTGGATCAGGCTGGGCCCTGGGGGTAGTCATTTTCTCCAAGCCATTTCACAGATGAGGAGGGGGAGGCCCAGGGATGGGCATTAAGCCAGACTGGACCAATACCTCTAACAGGCAGAATCCTGCTTTCCCAAACGCCTTCCCCTCCATCCCTGCAGAGGGGTGCCTCCCCTCACCCCACTTCTTCTGCCTCCAGGCCTCTTTCCTTCCACTTTCCCACAGGCAGCCAAGGCTTCAGCCCTCCTGATTCCACTTCCAGTTTTCCAAAAGGATGTATTCTCTTGCCTCTAGGCCATTGTTCCATTCTGTTTCCTCTGCCTGGAATGTCTTTTCCTTTCTCCTTTTTACCGCTGGCCAGTTCAGCTCTTCCTTTAGCTCTTGTGGCCCCAAGTCTGGATCCCCCGGGTTAGGCGGCCCTCCTCCTCCAGGCTCCCTGTGCTTCCCCTGTGCCTCCCATCAGGGCCTGTGGTCAGGCTGGGTTACTGGTTCTCTGCTGGTGGCCTGGTCAGGGCCAGATGGATGGCTCTAGCACTGTGCTCAGCCAGGAGAGTGCCAGACCCCAGCCCCACCCAGCTCCGCCTCCTCACCCTGTACCTTCAGGAGCTAGACATGAGTGATTTTGAGGAACAGTTCAAGACCAAGTCCCAAGGCCCCAGCCTGGACCTCAGCGCTCTCAAGAGTAAGGCAGCCCAGAAGGCCCCCAGCAAGGCGACACTCATTGAGGCCAACCGGGCCAAGAACTTGGCCATCACCCTGCGGAAGGGCAACCTGGGGGCCGAGCGCATCTGCCAAGCCATTGAGGCGTGAGTGTCCCTGTCCTGGGTTTGTGGGCAGTCCGGCCCCTTTGCTAGGCTGGGGTTGTCAGGCAGATCCTAGTAAAAGAGCCTCAATGGTGAGCTCTTTCATCAGGCTTCATACCAACCCTGGTCCAGGAAACTTGTCCCCATTTTAAGGTGGAGAAAACTCAGTCCATGCCTAAATTAGGATGTCCCACTTCCTCCCTGCCTCTTTGCCTAGCTGTGAGCACCCAGGCTGTGGGATTTACAGCCGGGCGTCCGCCGCTGACGTACGATGGGGACCCTGGCTGCCCAGTTCCCAGTTTCTCTGGATTCCCAGTTCCCAGTTTCTCTGGATTCCTACCTCTTGCTCTCTGAAGCTGTTGGCAAATAGAAAATACTGAAATTCATTTATTCAATCAAGGCAGGGGTAGCCCTGCTCCCAGGGACTGGTGGGTATGGATGATGCCCAATCTCCCCTCTCCTCCCTCTCACAGGTACGACCTGCAGGCTCTGGGCCTGGACTTCCTGGAGCTGCTGATGCGCTTCCTGCCCACAGAGTATGAGCGCAGCCTCATCACCCGCTTTGAGCGGGAGCAGCGGCCAATGGAGGAGCTGTCAGAGGAGGACCGCTTCATGCTATGCTTCAGCCGCATCCCGCGCCTGCCGGAGCGCATGACCACACTCACCTTCCTGGGCAACTTCCCGGACACAGCCCAGCTGCTCATGCCGGTGTGGGCGGAGCGGGCAGGGCGGTGTGACTTGGGAGGGGATGGGCAGGAGGCAACTCCCAGCCTGGGCTGCGGCAGGGAACCTGGGAGTACTTGAGCCTCCAGATGGAGGAGGCTCCAACTTATCTTACCTCCCCCATCCCACCCCCAGCAACTGAATGCCATCATTGCAGCCTCAATGTCCATCAAGTCCTCTGACAAACTCCGCCAGATCCTGGAGGTGAGGGGCCAGGAGGTGGGGCCCACCCTTGCCTGTTCTGGATAGTGTGAGAGGGAGACCCAGGCCCTGCTCACCTGCAATGCAACAAAGATAACATTCCCACTTCTCATGTACATGCTGAGAAGGACAAATCTAAGGGTGGTGGCGAGTGGGAAGGGGTACAGCAGCCGTGTCTGTAGCAGCTCACCTGGGACCCTGCCGGAGGGCTCAGTCCCCTTTAGCGTTGCTCTGTGAGCAACCTCACCTGCTCAGTGGAGGGCCCGGGAACCAGTAGAAATGGCTGGTGGACAGGCAGTGACCACACAGACTAGGAGGGGATGCTGGCAACAAGTTGTGGGTTGGACTAGCAGAGGACAAAATTTGGTGTGCCCATGGTGTTAACCGTGCACATGTGTGAGACCTGTGTGTACACACATGTACATGTGCTGTGGATCTGAGGGGCCTGTGCAGGAGTACAGTAGGGGCTGAGTGTGTGGGGCCTGCTCCTTGCCACCTCTTCTCCTCCTTGTGCAATATGCTTAAGCGGTGTCCTCAGCTCTGGCATTCTGCTGAGCCTTTCTCCTGCCTCTCCCAGATTGTCCTGGCCTTTGGCAACTACATGAACAGTAGCAAGCGTGGGGCAGCCTATGGCTTCCGGCTCCAGAGCCTGGATGCGGTGAGGAGGGGCCCCTGGCTTGGGGACTGGGGCTGGGGACTGGCTGGTGGCCTGTGGCTTACAATGGGTCCTTGTGCAGCTGTTGGAGATGAAGTCGACTGATCGCAAGCAGACGCTGCTGCACTACCTGGTGAAGGTCATTGCTGAGAAGTACCCGCAACTCACAGGCTTCCACAGCGACCTGCACTTCCTGGACAAGGCGGGCTCAGGTAGGAGACACACAGATCCTTGGGTGTGGGGAGGGGCCGTGGGCTGGGGTAGGTTGGGAGAAAGCTAGGGGGCCACAGTATATAATTGGTGGGAGGGCTGCCTCTCCGATTCACTGACCTGATACTGCCCCATCCCTGGCCCAGTGTCCCTGGACAGTGTCCTGGCGGACGTGCGCTCCCTGCAGCGAGGCCTAGAGTTGACACAGAGAGAGTTTGTGCGGCAGGATGACTGCATGGTGCTCAAGGAGTTCCTGAGGGCCAACTCGCCCACCATGGACAAGCTGCTGGCAGACAGCAAGACGGCTCAGGTGCGCCAGGGCTGGCCTCACCTGGAGGTGGGGCATGTAGGAGCACTAGATAGCACAGCCTGGAGGGGTGTGGCCGTAGCTGGGACCCCTTGGGGGGATGCAGCAGGAATGAGGGGCCACCCTGCCTGGGAGGAGCTCAGATCAGGTGGCCAGTGTCCTGAGGGGTACAGGCTGTGAGAGGTCTAAGCTGGGGGGCTGACAGGCTGTGCCCACAGGAGGCCTTTGAGTCTGTGGTGGAGTACTTCGGAGAGAACCCCAAGACCACATCCCCAGGCCTGTTCTTCTCCCTCTTTAGCCGCTTCATTAAGGCCTACAAGGTATTCGGGTCTGGGGCAGGCTGGGAGCCCTGTAGGGCACTGAAGCCTTTCTACTGGGCAGCGGAGGGGTGGGGCTGCTTCTGTTTAGGGGGTGGGTAGGGCAGTAGGGAGGGCCACCCTCATGGAGACTGCCTTGGCCCACAGAAAGCTGAGCAGGAGGTGGAACAGTGGAAAAAAGAAGCCGCTGCCCAGGAGGCAGGCGCTGATACCCCGGGCAAAGGGGAGCCCCCAGCACCCAAGGTAGGCAACTGCTCCTGGGCTTGGTACTGGGCTGCAGGGATGCATGGCATCTCATCACCCTCTGGTGCCACCCCCACACCCTCACTGTTACAGACTGACCCTGCCCCAGGAGCCTGGGATGGGAAAGGGTTCTTTCTGCTCAAGCCAGCTGTCCTTGCTGTGGGGGACCAGGCAGATATTCCAGGGTTTTGGTGATGGGGAGGCATCCTGGAGCTGGAGCTATAAATTCCCCCTAGTCACCGCCAAAGGCCCGGCGGCCACAGATGGACCTCATCTCTGAGCTGAAACGGAGGCAGCAGAAGGAGCCACTCATTTATGAGAGCGACCGTGATGGGGCCATTGAAGACATCATCACAGGTAAGGGCTTGGCCAGGCCTTGGTCTTATCCTCAGTCTGTCCTTCTATGCTTTCTTCTGACCCAATGCGCTATCCTCTGGGGGACTGGCTGCCACACTGCTTCTTGCTACCTTTTCTGTTTTTCTTTCCTTTTTCCTTTCTCTACTCCCCTTCACCTGCCCCACCCCCACTCAGTGATCAAGACGGTGCCCTTCACGGCCCGCACCGGCAAGCGGACATCCCGGCTCCTCTGTGAGGCCAGCCTGGGAGAAGAGATGCCCCTCTAGCCCCTCAGGTACCCAGATGACCTGGCCTCTGATACCACGCTGCCCACAGCCCCTGGGACCCTTGGGAGAACTGAGGCATGCTGCCTTCTCCTGGGCCAGTGGATGGCTGGGATGTGATTTGTGGGGTGGAGGGGTCTGGCAAACATAAACGGTACCCCTGCCATGTGCACACAATCTGAGTCCTTAGGAGGCTAAGCTTTGTGCCCTGGAGCCATGCTCCCAGCTCTGGGCGGACTCCTGAATGGTAAATGTGTCTCCTTCGGCTGCCAGATCTGCGGAACCAGCCCTACATCCGCGCAGACACAGGCCGCCGCAGTGCCCGTCGGCGTCCCCCGGGCCCCCCACTGCAGGTCACCTCCGACCTCTCGCTGTAGCCGCTATTTCTGCAGGTGGATTCTGCAGGGGTGTGGGGCCGTGGACAGGCTGAGGCTCAAGGAAGGTGGTCCTCAGCTCGGCTGGCCGGGCAGCCCCTCCTCCGCTGTGGCCCGCCTCAAACGGGCTGGTGCATCCTCCTCTTGGCCACAGAGGGCAGCATCGCCCGCCCCTTCCCCCAAATGCTGCTTGCAGCACCCACCCTAAAGCCCCCTCCAAATAGCCATACTTAGCCTCAGCAGGAGCCTGGCCTGTAACTTATAAAGTGCACCTCGCCCCCGCAAGCCCCAGCCCCGAGGACCGTCCATGGACCTTATTTTTATATGAGATTAATAAAGATGTTTGCAAAAGATCCGCGTCGGCTCCATGCCTGCCGCAGCCACCCGCAGCCTGTTTCCGCTCAGCAAACGCTTTACTTGCACAAGCTCTTCATAGCAGGCCTCTGCAAACCAGCGGGCGCCGGGGAGAAGGGCTGCTTCTTCACTAGAGTTGGCGGCGAGGGAGCCCGCTTCGAGGGGGCGGAGGCTTTCGTGGCTGGCCCAGTATCCCTGCGGGAGGCCGGAGGGGGCGAGCGGGCAGCTGGGGTTAGACACGCCGGGCCAGCCCCGCAGCAGTTCTCCTTCCGGCTGCCCCGCCCCATTTGCGCCAGTCCTGCCTCCCACCCGGGCATCTGGCCCCTTTTCCTTTCGCCCTACCCAGTACTTAGTGACGCCATAAGTGACCTCGCCTTACATCTCCGCGCGTGCCGCCTCCGTCACCGCCTGCCGGGTCCCCATTTCTTCCGGGCCTGCCCCCGCTCCTCGCCTGCCCCTCCCCTCCACCAGCCAGTGTCGCCCCATCTGTCTGTCCTCCGGGCACTTGTCCCGCCCCTCACTGCGTGTCCCTCCCCCGCCCGCCGGCTCTCACCTAGGCCGAGACACGCCCCGGGCTGGGCGGGATCTTGGGGCGGCCGGGCTAGTAGGGCTGGATCAGGCGGAAGCCGGGGCCCGGGGCTGGGCTTCGTGTCCTGCGTTCCGGGAGCGCCAACCCCTCCAGGTTAGGAATCTGAGAGTACGGGCTGCGCGCACCTGGGGCGGGTGCCTGGGAGGAGGTGGAGGAGGAGACGGTCCTCAGAACGGGTCCTGGGGGTCGGAGGCGAGGGCGGGGGTTGTAAGTGGCCGGGAGAGGTCCCTCCCGCGGGTCCCGGCGCCCCCCGCCCCGTCGGGGACGCACCTACTTCGTGCAGTTTGTGCAGCGAGCGCGCCAGCTCCTAGTTGGAGAGGTCGCTGATGCGCGCCGCGTGGCAGAAGGCGAGCCCCGCGTGGGAGCGCCCCCCAACCCCCGCAGCCTGGGCTGAGCCGCAGAGCCCGCTGCTTCTTGAAGTAGTAGCTTGGAGAAGAGAGGCGGGGCGGCCGCCTCAGACACTCCCAGCCCTCTCTGTCTCACAGGTGCGGAAGCCAAAGCAGGGCCGGAAGCCGCTGCTTTGTCTTTGTCCTGGGGCGACTTGGGGCCCAGGAAACAGACTCAGAATTCAGGGCTCCCGTCTCTAGGGCAGGAATATCAGGGGTCCCTGCGGGGGGCAGGGTTTGCTCCTCCCATTGTGGGCCCAGGAGCTGGTATGGTTGTGCCCACCTCATCACCCCCCGTGCCAACTTGGAGGGCACAAAGCCCCGGCCCAGCAGCTTGAACAGCATTTCCAAGAACAGGGTCTGCAGTCCCTGGGGGTACAGAGCTGGCTGTTCCTCACCCGGCTTGGGGGCAAAAAAGGTGAAGGAGGGTGAGGAGGGGGCACCCCCTAAGCCAGGCCCACCCCTCCTCCACCAGCCTTGCCCCTCACCCATGCACTGAGCCAAGCGGTGGTTGTCATCGAAGACACCCAGGAAGTCAATGAAGCTTACGATTCCATCACCTGGGGAGAGAGGAGAGGGGGTGCTGTGGGTGCCTGCCCCCTGCAGAAGGCCTGCCTTGCACATGCCTGCTGGCAGTTCCAGGTGTTAGAGAATCTAGTCCTGCCTCTAGCCAAGGGCAGACCCCAGTTTCAATGGGGGAGAAACGGCCCATGCCTTGGGGGTTCCCAAATCAGGATTAGGATGAACACAGCAGCAACGTTTACAGGCCATGAGATAGGTGTGTTGGTCAGGGCAGGCTTCCTGGAAGAGGGAACTTTAAAATAGGACCAGGCCAGGATTTTGTGGGAAGGGGAGGCATTCTTTAAAAGAATGCCTGGAGGTGGGAGGGGACAAGAAGACAGGGTTGGGGCACCCACCATCCAAGTCTGCCTGCCGCAGAGCCTCGAACGTCTCCTGTGGACTCAGCTGGATACCCACATTGCCCAGGGCAACTTTCATGCTGTGCATGTCCACGGTGCCTGTTGGGCTGGAGCTGAAGAGTTTGAAGATATCCTGGAAGGCTGAGGGTAGAGGGGACAGGTGGCAAGACGAACCACCCACACAAGAACCCTGAGAGCTGCCCACTCTAACTCAGGTGGAACTGACGACTTGGCTCATTCCAACTCCCTCCTGGGTGTTTTAAATTTTTATTTATTTATTTATTTATTTTTGAGACAGAGTCTCACTCTTTGCCCAGGCTGGAGTGCAGTGGCGAGATCTCGGCTCACTGCAGCCTCAACCTCCCAAGGCTCAAACGATCCTCTCGCCTCAGCCTTCTGAGTAGCTGGGATCACAGGTACGTGCCACCACGCCTGGCTTATTGTTTAATTTGTTGTAGAGATGGGGTTTCGCCATGTTACTCAGGCTGGTCTCAAAGTCCTGGGCTCAAGTAATCCTCCCGCCTTGGCCTCCCAAACTGTTGGGATTACAGACATCAACCTCCACACCTGGCCTATAACTTTTAATATAAAGAGTAGCAGTGGCTGTTGTGTGTTGGTACATGTTATGTGCCCATCCAGTCCTCATGTCCAAAACTCATGTTTGAAAAACATTCAAAACTCATGTCCAAGGTCACATCTGGCAGTCTGGCTCTGAAGCTACAGTGTCTTGGAGCCCTGCTGGTGCCTGGCATGTAGTAGGCACTGACCATTGTTGATGATGAATAAAGTGATTCTGCTTTGAGGGGCCCTTGCCAATATCAGGACATGTTGTTTGGGGGAGCACTGGGGCTGTAGTTTCTTTTGCCTTTACCCCTATGGTCCTAGACCCCATGAGGCAGGGGAACTCAGATTTTTCCCCCCATTTTTTCTCCTTCTTTACCTTCTCCCTTCTTTTCCATCCTGTTCATCATCCATCTATCCATCCATCTAAATACCTGCATTCACCTATCTACCAATCCACTGAGTTTTCTTTTCCTTTCCTACACACACACACACACACACACACACACACACACACACACACACAAGACTGTGAGCCCTAGGGTTGTAGAGATGAGCAAATCAGACAAGCATGGAGGGATGGTTGCAAACACTGGCTTCTTGCAGTGACCCCAGCTTCAGGGCAGGCAATCCTTTGTAGTTTTTCCCTGAGCACCCCCTAATTTTCTTCTCTACTCCCAGTCCTGGGGCCCTCACCTGCCAGCTGCTGGGGTGTCTTGCCTGTCAAGCTGCCCCAGGAGAAAGAAAGAGGTTGGAAAGGTCTTTGCATCTGTTGCATAGAAATGCCAGGGCTAGCCAGGCTTTACCCCAAACCCAGCACCCGAGGCCTGGCCTCCGGTCCCTGCCTTCACCTCTGAGACCCAGCATCTGGACCTGACTCGGCTGGATGGGCAGCTTCACAAGGCCCTGGGTTTCTCTTGCCCTCCTCATGGTGTGTGCAGCCTTTGTGGCCATGGCTGCTGCTGGCTCCATCTGGGTCAGCCAGGCAGTATGCAGCTGCAGCCTCCCTTTCTGCATCCTGCCAGCCTGCTCCTTTGCTGGATCTCATGTGAGCAGCCTTTGAGGGTGCTGTGGAGGCCTCAGAGGCAGGAAGGAGAGAGGGCAGAGGGACCCAGCCCACTCAGGTACTCAGACTCCAGGGGACCTGGGACCAGGCCTGTGGGTATACAGTTCCACCTCCTCCCAGGATCCTCCATAGGAAGCTGTACCACAGCCCTCTATGCAGGGGATTCTGGGGAAAGGGGTAGGGCAGTGATTCCCCCCACCCTGGGTGAGGGAAAAGGACCCTCCTCCAGCCCTGGTCACCTGTTTGTTTTCTGTGATGACTCGGATCTCTTGGTCTTCTGCCCTCTGCAAATTACTCCTAAAACTCAACAGTAAGGCCAGGCATGGTGCTCAGGACTGTAATCCCGGCACTTTGGATGGCCGAGGAGGGAGGATTGCTTGAGCCTAGAAGTTCAAGGCTGCAGTGAGCCATGATGGCACCATTGTACTCCAGCCTGGGTGATGGAGAAAGAACTTGTCTCAAAAAAACAAAAAAATAAAACCCCTCAACAGTAAGAAAATGAACAGCCCGATTTAAAAAAAAATGGGCAAAGCCAAGTGTGGTGGCTTACATCTTTAATCCCAGCACTTTGGGAAGCTGAGGTGGGAGGATCACTTGAGGCCAGGAGTTTGAGATCAGCCTGGGCAACATAGAAAGATCCCATCTCTACAAAAAATAAAAAGCTTAGCCAGGCATGGTGGTGCACACCTTTAGTCCCAGCTTTTTGGGAAGCTGAGACAGGAGGATCACTTGAGCCCAGGAGTTCAAGGCTGCAATTAGCCATGATCGAGCCACTGCACTCTGCCTGGGTGATAGAATGAAGCCTTGTCTAAAAAAAAAAAAAAAAAAAAAAAATCTAATCTAAACAAGCACCTCACCAAAGAATATATACAAATGAAAGTAAGCATATGAAAAAATGTTCAACATCATATCTTATCAGCAAATTGCAAATTAAAACAATGAGATACTATTATGCAGCTATTCAGATACCAAAATCCAAAACACTACCACCACCACCAAATGCTGGTGAGGATGTGGAACAATAGGAACTGATTAATCGCTGGTGGGAATGCAAAATGGTGCAGCCAATCTGGAAGAGAGTTTGGCAGTTTCTTACAAAACTAAACGCACCCTTATCACATGATCCAGCAATCGTGCTCCTTGGTATTTATCCAAATGTTTTGAAAACTCATATCCACACAAAAACCTGCACATGGATGTTTATGGCAGCTTTATTCATAATTGCCAAAACTTGGCGGCAACCCGGATGTCCTTCCGTAGGTGAATGGATAAATAAACAGTGATACACCCAGACAATGCAATAGTATTCACCACTAAAAATAAATGCGCTATCAAGCCAGGAAAAGACAGGAGGAACCTTAAACATGTATTACCAGGTGAAAGAAGCCAACCCAAACAAACTGCATACCGTATGATTCCAAATCATTCTGGAAAAAGCAAAACAGTGGCAACAGTAAAAGGACCAGTTGTTGACAGGAGTTGGAGGGGCCAGGTAGAGCACAGAATTTTTAGGGCAATGAAACGACTCTGTATCATACTACAATCAAAACCCATAGAACGGGCCGGGTGTGGTGGCTCGCGTCTGTAATCCCAGCACTTTGGGAGGCCAAGGCGGGTGGATCACCTAGAGTCAGGAGTTCAAGACCAGCCTGGCCAACATGGTGAAACCCCGTCTCTACAAAAATACAAAAATTAGATGGGCATGGTGGCGGGTGCCTGTAGTCCCAGCTACTTGGGAGGCTGAGGCAGGAGAATTGCTCGAACCCAGGAGGTGAACAGAGGTTGCAGTGAGCTGAGACCACGCCATTGCACTCCAGCCTGGGTGACAGGGCACAACTCCGTCTCAAAAACAGCAACAAACCCCCATAGAATGTAGAACACCAATAGTGAACCCCATTGTGAACTGTGGCCTTTTGGTGATGATGATGAGTCAGTGTAGGTTTATCAGTTGTAACAAATGTACCACTGCAGGATGTCCATGGCGGGGGAGGTTGTATGTGGGTGGGGACAGGGGTACATGGGAACTCTTTGTACTTTCCACTCAGTTTTGCTGCAAACCTAAAACTGCTCTAAAAAATAAAGTCTATTAATTTAAAAAAACCTAAGGAAAGATGAGTCCTGAGAGTCCAGTGATGCTTCTGGCTCAGTCCCCCACCGCCCCCAAGACACCTACCTCTGCAGCTCCTCCTTGTCCCTCCTTCCAGTCTCCTTCCCGCTTCTCCTGCTGGCCCTGGCCCATTCTGAACTGCTCACCCCTTCCTAATCCCACCCTCCAGGCCCTGGGCATCTCTCTCCTTGGCCCGTTCGAAAGCTGGGCAGGCTCTTGAAGATCCACAAGGCTGGGCTTTTGCTTAGCAGGGAACCTGAGGCCAGGCCATGGCGCGGCCTCCCATTCTCCCTCCCCCAGGCTTCCCTGTCCACATCCCTGTCCATCCGCATACTCCGAATCCCCTTCCTTCCTTTGCTGCCGTCTCTACTCTCCCAGAAGCCAGTCTATACTGCCTGCCTTCTGGGCCTCCAAGGCCAAACCCTGGGTGGGAGGAGTGTGCATTTGTGTGCATGTGTGTTTTTTTTTTCTTCTTTGAGAGTCTTGCTCTGTTGCCCAGGCTGGAGTGCAGTGGTGCAATCTCAGCTCACTATAACCTCTGCCTCCCGGACCCCAGAGATCCTCCTGCCTCAGCCTCCCCAGTAGCTGGGACTACAGATGCATGTCACCACGCCCAACTAATTTTTGTATTTTTAGTAGAGACGGAGTTTCACCATGTTAGCCAGACTGGTCTCGAACTCCTGACCTCAAGTGATCTGCTGGCCTCTGCCTCCCAAAGTGCTGGGATTACAGGCGTGAGACACCACACCCGGCTTTGTGTGCATGTTTGGTACATGCGACTGTCACAGGCACATGTGTACATGGGCATGTGTGGCATGTGCTGCTTCCTCTGTGTGTGGGTGCTGTATGTGTGATGTGCCGGGCAGCTGGTGGTGTCTGTGTGCACATGTCTGGGTGATCTATGGCTCTCCTGCATTTGGAGGTACGTCTAGCTCCAGCCTGTGACCCTCTGGAGGACCAGTTCTTCGGCCTCATTTTCCTCCCCTTCAAGCTCCTGGACACCATCCCTTCCCCATGCCAGCTCTTCCCCATGAAGAGCGCAGGAAGAACCCCCTCAGACCCACTTTCTCACCTGCCCAGTCCACGCCCAGAAGGCCATCTCCTCAGATGATCCCAACACATCCCTGGCCTCAGGCCAAGAGGAAGCCTCATTTCACAGTCTAAGAAATGGAAGCCTCACAGGACACCGAGGTCTCCCCAAGACCAGCCACAAGTCTTTCTGCTGGCCTAGAGGGCTGGCCAGGAGGGAGTGAAGGGAATTGACCCTGGGGAGTGGGCAGGTGAGAGATGGGTGGCCAGGACAAGGGTGGCATTGCCCTCTGGGGGCAGGTGGAGCTGGGGCAGCTAAAAAATGGGGTGGCATCCCTAAAAAACAGACGAGGACACAGCAGCCAGGAGGGCTCCCTGGCCCAGGGGCATTTGCACAAAAGTCTAAGCCGACGGCCAGCACTGGAGGCTTTATTGGTTCTGTCTAGTCATTTCTCTGGGATTGTGGGGGCTGACAGCTTAAAATGGATTTTCACCAATAATGGATTCTCTTTCTCTTTTCCTGGCGGCACTGAGCTGCAACACAAAAGAGAGAGTGTCACTTGGGCCCCAGAGGGTGGTTGAAGGAGAGGGGTGAGCCCAGAGGCCCCTCTGAAGAGGTCGCTGGGGGTAAGGGGTCTTCTGCTGCTGCCCGCGTCTGGGCAGCTGAGATTACATTCTGTGTCCATTCACTACCAGAAAGCAAGGTGTACTGGAGAGCCCTGCACCCTCATTCTCCCCTCAAGAAAAGTGTCCTGGACCCCAGGGTTGGGGCCAACAGGCTTTCAACAGGGCAGACCCCAGCCTGAGCATTCCCAACCTTGGTGAGGCCCGACCCCCAGGGTGGAAAGCCGCCTAATGCCAGTGTGGTCCTTCCCATTTTGAACCCAGGCCCCTGTGCCCACCCTCCTTGGTCCCCAGGCCTCCTCCAGCCCTCGCCTTGGCTCTGCGCCTCAGTCCACTGGAACCTCGTTCCAACAGCCTTTATGAGGTCACTGAGGTGGAGGCGTCACAGCCCACCACATCCTGCTCCCAGGCCCTCATTCCACTGTTCCCCACCCCTACCCAGCTGTGTGAGGACCCCTGCCACGTTCTAGCACAGCCCCTCTATGGGAGCTGCGGGGCTGGCCTCACTCACTCTTCCTTGCTTCCCTGCAGCAGAGGGGACGTGGCTGGTGGCTGGAGAAGCTGGATTTGCCCTTTGATGGTGGCCCTCTTGATCCCCGGCTTGCTGAAGTCAAAGTAAGATTGAGCGAAGTTCTTGTCTTCCTGACTCCAAGATTTCAGTGGTGCTCTGGCTTCGCGTGGTTTCTCTGGCAGGGTCTCTGCGTGATTTTCTGGCTCTCGCTCCTCCACAGTGGTCAGGAGGGGCTCTGTGGAAGGCTCCAGAGCCTCCTGGGGTGGAGCTTTCATCATGTGTTCCAAACTGGGCAGGTCCATCCTGCTGGAGGAGGCCATGGCCAGGGAAGATGCAAAGGTGATTAGCTCTGTCAGGTCAATGGGTGGCGGGAGATCTGAGGACAGGAGGGGGCTTGGTGCCTGGGAGCTTGTGGTTGGAGGAGCTGAGTGGGCATCAGGGATCTGGAGCTGCTCCTCGGAGCACAGGGCGTTGGTGGGGATGGCCTCCCGGAGCGGGGATCTGATGGGCTGGCCTGCGCTGCCATTGTTGAGCTGCATGTTGATGGCCCGCTGCAGGCTGTGCTCTGAGGCCTGGATGAGCTTGTTTGCCCAGAAGAGGTGCTTGGAGGTCTGCGCACTGATGGAGTGATGGCAGGCAGACACGTGGTTCTCCTCCGTGAAACTCCGGCAGTTTGAATTCAGACTCCACGGTCTGAAGGTCTGTGGCGTGGGCAGCCCCATGTTGGAGTGGACGGACTCTATCTTGCATACCAGCTGCATGGGTTCTTCAAAGTCAGACTCCTCGTTCGAGTTGGCTTCCGTGTCCAGCTCAGCTTCAAGCTTGAGGGCTGGGTATAGCTCTGACTCCAGTAAAGCCGGCACCTGTCCGATCTCCAGTTCTGGGTCTGGGTCTGGGTCTGGGTCCAGGTCCAGGTCCACTTGGAGTTGGGGCTTCTGCTCTAGCATGTCTGCCTCCAGCTGAAATGTTTCAACTCAAAGCTGAGGAGGCAGGAGCGGGAGGTCCTGCCCCTGAGGCCCTCCCTGGCACCGAGTCCCTGCCCCACCCCTGCCCTGGGTCCTGCTGTCTTCCCCCCGCCCCCTAACCCCATGCCTGCCTCCTCTCAGAGACCTGCCCGGTGAGGGGGTGTGTGTGTGGGTGTACCCACACCGGCCTGGTACTAGGGTCCCAGGATTGTCAAGGGTAGGGGCTGGTGGGGACTTAGGGAAGAGCCCTGCCGCTTGCCTACCACCTCCCCGTAAGAGGACACTCCCATTTTTACCTCCTGTTCCTCTTGTATCTGGTGTTGACTTAAGTCATCTCTAAGACAGAAGAAGACAGAGTGGGTGATGGGGATCTGTGGGGCTTCAGCGGGAAGGGGGTTTCTGGGGCCCTCAAAGCCCTCTGCCTTGTAACAGAAGCTGGCACGATGCACCTCCCGCCGACCACCCCGCCACCAGCTCATCCACTCCCCTGCTGTCCCACTCCACTGCCACCAGGAAGTCTGCGGTTGTATTCTGAAACTTTAGTGAGTTTAGGAAGCTGCTTGCCAACTCATGCCCCACCCCCAAAGAGGAATCCAGTTGGTTGGAGGTAAGGCCCAGGAATCTCATTTTTATCAAGCACTGCAGGTGAGCTGGGGCAACTCACTTCGAGGATTAGTGCCCAGAACACTAGTCCCCAGCAGGGGAGCCCCAGAGCAATGTCCTCCCACCCACCTGCCCACTCTTTCTTCAAGTGCCTGCCCACCCCCGCCTTGAGCAGCTCTGTCCTCAGCAAGCCAGGCAGCTCTGAGGGGTCAGGTCCTATCCTGTCCCTGGGTGTGCCCCACCACCCCTCAGTCTTCCTCTCATGCCAGGGGCTGAGGGCATAAACAGAAGTGGGAGGATAGGCGCCCCACGCCCTCCCCAGCCTTTTGGCCTGGACACTGGCCCCGGGGAGGTTTTGGAAATGGCAGAAGGGAGGGAGATCCTAGGCTGGGGGATCCTAGGCTGGGGGTGAGGTCGGAGGTCCTGGAGGGCTCGGGGGAGGCCCTACGTTGATTGAGGATGGTTCTCACCGCATCTCTGCAACCTCCACTGACCCTTTGCCGCAGCATGGAAATCCATGGGCACCTGACAGGGGAAAGGAGGTGAGGGCAGGGAGCTGCAGGGTAGAGGACAGTCCCAGAGGGATTCCGGAGCCAGCCCCCTTTTCCTGCCCTTCTTTTCTCTCTTCCCGGCTGCTATTCCCCCTCACCGTCCTGCCCCGCTCTCCTTGTTCCCGAGCCGGTCGCCATTCCTATCCTCCAGTCCTGCTCCCTCCACTCTCCGTCTGTGCCTTGCCTCCTCGGAGGCTCCCGGTTCCATCTCCATCCCCCAAAACCGTGACTGCTAACAGTACCCTGAACATGACAGAGCGCTTCCATAGCCTGGTCACTTTACCTGCTTTATCTCACTGATTCAACACAAAAAATTAGGACAGGTCCATTTGCCCAAGGTCCCCCAGCTGAACATAGCTGAAGTGATGACTTGAATGCAGGCTTGACTCAGGAAACTCTTAACTCCCTGCCCCCACCGGCTACTCCCAGGACCCTGTAACTGCGTGGAGTCCCAATAACGCCCCATGTGAACCTCCCCCATCTCCCCATTCCTGCTCCTCTGCCGGCTTCCTCTCCTCTCTCTGGGTCATCCATCACTGACTCCAGGCCAAGGCCTGCACCCCAGGTGTGTAATCTGAGGTGGTGCTAGCACCTATCCGACGATTTATGAGCTCAGATCACCCTCTGCAGGGGAGACTGACTCCTTGGGAACGTCCGCAACCCCAAACCCCTCCCTGGAGGCTTGTATCTTTTACTGCAGAAGCTGTTTCTTCACCCTGTGGGAGTGGGAAGCACCAGGCTGCCCTGTTCTCTGCTACCCAGGGCCATGCATAGGGGTTGATGGTGGGGCCATCATGACAACCCTGCCATCATGCAAGGTGGGTCCCCATCAGCCTGGGGTATGGCAGGAAGTGACAGCCCTGGCTCTGGCTGGGAAGAATCGCTCCCAGGATCATATTGGAAGGATGAGAATGTACTGCGGTCTCTTCCTAGAGATGTAGTGGCTGGAGGGAGGGGTCCTTGCATGGCTGGTCTTGGGATTGGGACCATCTGCTTCAGCCTGGTCTTGGGGGATGTATCAGCAGAGTGGCCGGCTCAATGATCTCTTCAGAACCCTCCACCTCCTTGACCACTATGCTTCCCTGGCTTCCTCACGTGTCTCTCTTCTCCCTCTCCAACTCCCCCTGTCCCAGGTCCTGCTGTTCCCCCAGGCTTCTGACCTCAGGGCCTTTGCTCCCTTTACAGAATTTCCCTGGGCAGTTTAATCAACACCCACAGCCTCAACCCCTCCATAAACGGCAGCTGGGTATGGACAGGAGAAGAAATTACTGTTGTGTGAGCCTCTTAACAGCACTGGGGGCTGGGAGAAAAAGTCAGACATTGACTCAGCTTGGGACCTCGTTGCCTGACTTGAGAATGTTCTATTAGGGATTCAAGTGATATTCTGCAGTATATGAAATAATTGAAATAATTTTTTTTGAGGCAGGGTCTCACTCTGTCACCCACGCTGGAGTGTAGTGGTGTGATCTCGGCTCACTGTAACCTCCGCCTCCTGAGATCAAGCGATTCTCCTGACTCAGCCTCCTGAGCAGCTGGGATTATAGGCATGCGCCACGACGCCCAGCTCACTTTTTGTATTTTTAGTAGAGATGGGGTTTCACCATTTTGGCCAGGCTGATCTCAAACTCCTGGCCTCAAATGATCTGCCTGCCTCGGCCTCCCAAAGTGCTGGGATTACAGGCATGAGCCACCGTGCCTGGCCGAAATAATTTCAATTTCCAGTGGTTTGTTGCTAGTATACAGAAATATATCCATCTTTTGTATCCTGCAACTATACTAAAATCTTATTTGTTCTCATAGCTTTTTTTTTCTTTTAGATTCTATCGGATTTTCTACATAGACAATAATGTGTGTGAGTCAAGACACTTTTACTTCTTCCCTCCCAATCTGGTTCCTCTTATTTTCTTTACTTGCCTAATTGCACTGGGGACAATCTCCATACAATGTTGAGTAGGAGTGCGTGTGTACATCCTCGCTTCGTTCTGAGCTTAGGGGAAAGTGTTTAGCCTTTCACCATTAAGGATGATGCTAGCTGTAGGTTTCTTCATGATGCCTTTCATTAGCTTGGGCATCTTTGTGAAGTTTCGTCTCTTAGATTGCTTAGTTTTAATTAGGAATGGATGCTGGATTTTGCCTAATGCTTTTTCTGCATTTATTGAGATGATCATATGGTTTTTCTTTAATATGATATTATATATGTTATACATAACATACGTTATAATACATTAACATATGAGTAATGTTATATTATTTGAGTGATAATTCTTTTATATTTTTATATTCTGTTTATGGTAAAATACATTGTTTTTTTTGAGACAGGGTCTCACTCTGTTGCCCAGGCTGGAGTTCAGTGGCGCAATTTCAGCAACCTCAACCTCCCTGTCTCAAGTGATCCTTCCACCTCACCTCTGGAGTAGCTGGGACTACACGTGTTCACCACCACCCCCAGCTAATTTTTGTATTTTTTGTAGAGATGGGTCTTGTTATATTGCCCAGGCTGGTCTTGAACTCCTGGGCTCAAGCTATCCACCTGCCGTGGCCTCCCAAAGTGCTAGATTATAGGTGTGAGCTACCATGCCCAGCTATAAATTTATTTTTTAAAATGTTAAATCAGCCTTGCGTTACTGGGATAAACCTCATTTGGTTGTGATATATTACCCTTTTTCTATGTTGTTGAATCTGATTGGCTTTTTTTCAGAATTTTCACATGCATATTCATGAGGGATATCGGTGTATAATTTTCTTTTCTTGTAATGTCTTTGTTAGGTTTTGATAGGGAGGATGGCTTCGGCCCGGGAGGCAGACGTTGCAGTGAGCCGAGATGGTGCCATTGCACTCCAGCCTGGGTGACAGAGCAAGACTCTGTCTCAAAAAAAAAAAAAAAAGGAGATGAGGTCTCAGTATGTTGCCCAGGCTGGTCTCAAACTCCTGAGCTCAAGCGATCTTCCCATCTTGGCCTCCCAGAGTGTTGGGATTACAGGCGTGAGCCACCATGCCTGGCCTAATTTCTTACCTCAAATTCATATCTTGTATGTCCAGACTCTTAAGTGTGGCTGCCACGGTTCTGCCTGTCTGACCCCTGTCTCCCTTTCTAGTCTGTCATCTCTCCATACCCCACTCTCCTCGCCCTATTCATCCTTCATCCTTTCACCCAAATGAGAAACCTGGGTCATTTGTGACTCCTCCTCCCTCCGCAGCTACTGCCCTCCTACCCCTGATGCTGTCCTCATCTCCCAGTACCAGAGCCAGCACACACCCATGACTTCCTACCCTTTGGCACTTGGTGCTGAGTGCTTTGCACATTCAGTCTTCATACCTACCCTATGCCCAGTTGGCCACGGCTCTCCTCTCACAGATGAGGAAACGTGTATGAGGTCATGCAGCTATTAAGAGCAGCACACGACCCAAAGGCAGGTCTGGCTGGCTCCAAACTCTGGGATGCTACTCACTGCACTGTCTTAAATCTCTTTAGTCTTCCAGTGGGACCACTGCAACTATGTCCCCCTCCAACCTGGATTTTCAATGACCTCAGAGTGAGCCTGCTACATCTCACTTGTCTCCGGTTACCCCCAGACTCCATGTGGCCTCTTGGTCTGATCTCTACCTTCATTTTTCATCTCTTGGCATCCAGCTTCCTGTCCCTCACCCTAAGCCGAAGCTACCCCCAGAGTACCGCAGGCCTTTCTGCACCCAGTGCCTTTGCAAATGCTATTTCTTATACCTGGAAAGCCTTCTTCTGGCAAAGTCCTACTCATGCCTGAAAGCCCAATTCAAATAATCAGTGTAATCCTCTCCATGACAGACCTGGCTGTCTAATCTACGTTTTACCTTACAGGCGTGAGCCACTGCACCCGACCTCTGGTTTTTTTTTTTTTTTTTTTGACAGGGTCTTGCTCTGTGGCCCAGGCTGGAGTGGCAGCATCATAGCTCACTGCAACTCCTGGGCTCCAGTGAGCCTCCCAGCTCAGCCTCCCAAGTAGCTGGGACTACAGGCTCATGCCGCCACACCTGTCTAATTTTAAACATTTCCTGTAGAGGACAAAGTCTCGCTATGTTGCCTAGGCTGATCTTGAACTCCTGGCCTCATGTGATCCTCCCACCTCTGCCTCCCGAAGTGTTGGGATTGCAGGCGTTGAGCCATCATGCCCACCTAATTTTTGACCGTTTTTAATGCTGGCCCATGCCCTTCTGGGAGAGAGGATCCCCAAAAGAAAGCCACCATTTCAGTGGGGGATCTGACGCCCCTATGGGAAGGGGAGACACAGGGCACTGGGGGCAAACATCTTTGCTCATTGGTTCAGAGAAGAGTACAAGGCATCAACGAAGCGCTCCGTAAAAATGTGCTGAAGACTGCCGCTCCTCCCTGCAAAGCCTCAAGCATCAAGGAGGGACAACTGGATGTGATTTTTTGGATCTGCAGTTCAGGATAATTCATGAGTCGTTTCCTGTGCACAAGGCCATTGCTCCTTCTGTGGTCTCAGAACCCCTTCAAGAACCACTGACTCTGCAGTCCCTACTCCAAGGCGCGCATGCGTGTCCGTGAGAGCACATGGGTGTGCACCGCGCAGGGGCTGAGGCTGGGAGCCGTAGTCAGGGGCACCGGGTGGGCTTTGGCGGCGGGTCGACCTGCCTTTCAGGTGCCGGGGGTTTGGGAGCAGGGGAACGGGCCCTGGGCGGATTCCTGACCGCCCCCTTCGCGCCCCTCCCCCTCTCACTTTCGCTTTCCCCGCCTGCCCCAACCCTCGCCCCCGGGCGCTCGGCCGCTCCCACCTGTCACCCCCATGCAGACCGAGGCTCTGTCCTGGAGGCGGGGAGCGGGCTGGTGGATGCTGCCTCTCCGCCTCCAGTGTGCTCTTTGGCTGAGGGACTGGTGGGCGCTGGAAATATTAGAGGCGCCGGTGCCTGTGATGTCGCCGCCTCTGTGACGTCCCCGCCGCGACCCCACAGGCAGGGAGCCGCATTTAGGTTTCGGGCGGGCGGACGGGGGACGGCCCGAGTGAGGCGTCCTCCGAAGGCTGCGGGCCCGAAGCCAGAACTCCTTCCTCTCCGAAGACCTCGGGGGTGGGGCTCGCGCTTCCGCAGCGGGCCTAGAGCGAGAGGCAGGCGGCAGGTAAGCCTGGCTGTGCTGGACAGGACTTGCACCCGCTCTGCACGCCAGCGGCTCAGGGCTGCCGCCCTTTTCGTGGTCCCAGGGCCCTTCCAAGAACCGGCTAAACCAACCCAAGCCGCGCGCACACACACTTGTGCACACAGGGAGTGTGGAGCCAGATTCGATAAGGCACCCCGTGTGCCCCAGCTCCATGACCAAGGAACTCAGCACCCCGTGTGCCCCAGCTCCATGACCAAGGAACTCAGCACCCCGTGTGCCCCAGCTCCATGACCAAGGAACTCAGCCCACAAAGGCATCCCTGGCCCCATGCAGGGCTCAGGAGGCAGCGGAAAGGGTTAAGAGTCCAGGCCTCAAGGACAGGAGGGGAGGGTGGAGGGCCTGTGGTGTGCATCCGGCATCCCTGGATGGTCAGGGCCCAGAACCCATCCCTATTTCCCTTCTGGTGGTAGGGGGCTGCCTAACTTGGGCAGTGGCACAAAGCATGCAGGCTTTGTTGTCCTCCTCCTCCACCCCTCAGCCTGGCATATTTTGGCGAGGGACTTCCCTGATGCCACCGGGCAAGGTATCTTGCCTAACTGGTCTGAATGACTAGCCCAGCGTTGGGACTAGAAGCAGCCACTGGGAGGAGTGGTGGGAAAGCAGCCCCACTCAAGGGCTGAAACAGTCCTTGTCCAAAACAAGGGGGACTTGAAAAGATCTCAGCAAGAAGGCAAAGAGAGGCAGCTGTTAGGGTCGTGAGGTTCAGCAGGCCGGCAGGCAAGAGAGAGGACACCGATGGCCTGGAAACATTTGTCATCACCCCAAACTTTATTGCTTACAAAGAGTTCTCTACAACCCAGACTCTGCAGTACCAAGGCTGCAGTTCTTTATGTGCTGGGGGCCGGGGCTCTCTCCCCGGGAGCAGTCTGACTCAATGTGGACAGCTGGACAAAGGCTGTCTTGGCAAGATGTGGGAATGAGCTTCTCCCACGGAGTCTCGGCGTCCCCTGCCCCAGGAGGTTGAGGCTAGCAGACACCCCCTGACGATTCACAGCTGATTTAATGCTACGTGAGTCCTGAGTAGCTCCCCTGGGAGAAGAGGCTAAGCTGGGGCAATGGGGAAGGGGGTGCTATTCTTAGAGAAATCTGGAAGAGGTTTGAGGAGTCACATGCATGTGGACAGCTCAAGACTGTGTCCCTTCACCCCATCTCCTGGCTTGCTATGCTCCTACAGTGTCACTGCCCTGCCCTGCCCTGCCAGAGGGCAGCCATGAAAGTGCTTTGAGGTCATCAGAGTGCAAAGTGCCGTCGGCAGTACCCTCTGGCCAGGGGCAGGGCAGGGTGAGTGTCAGTGTGATGCTGAGCTGTGCTCTGGGGAACCAGCACGCTGGACACTGATAGTGGGGCTGGGGCGCCGGAGCGTCTCTCTCTGCTGCTTTCCTTAGCACTGATCATGTCCATCCACAGACTGTTCCTGTCAGGCATATCCTGCATCACCCTTCACCTTTACAGATGAGGGAACTGAGTGCCAGCGAGTCTGGGGCAGTGCTGGGCCTGAAGGGGCTCGGGGCCTGCTGCTCTGGGGAAGAGTGGTAGCCAGCAGCAAAGGGGCACATGTCTGGGGACTGAGAACCACTTCACTTACACACCTTCTTTGGTCCTTGGCTGAACCAGAGGTCAACTCAGGACCTGTGTTGCAACAACCTGAAAAGTGTGGTGTATTCTACCAGGGAGCCTTCCCAGGGTCAGGCATTCTTTTCCCCTACACCCAAAAGGGGTGAGCTGGCCAGGTGAGGCCAGGCAAGGGGTTTAGAGGGCCCCCTTAACCTACGGGCGGGCATACCTGCTGACCTGGTTCTGCACTGAACCTGAGTTTGGGCCCTTACACACTTGACACTCTCACAGCAGCCTGGAGGGTGAGGGGCCGAGGGGCTCGCCCACCCCTTCTGACCCAGGCTGGAAGCTGCTCTCCCCTGTCTGCCAGCAAATGGTCACTGATCCAAGCGGGTCAGGCCAACTCGACTGGAGCAGGGCAGAGAAGATCCTGTTTGTTTCCCGAGGTAACTCCTGCCATCCTCCTCTGTCTCTTCACGTGGCGGAGTGTTTTCTCAGCAGGGTGGGGCAGGGCTCAGGTGTGAAATCCTGGGAGGCATTCTGCTTGCCCCCACCTTGCTGCTGCGAGGCCCTGGTCCCACTGCTGAGCCGGGGGCTGGCAGATCCCTGGGAACGGCTGAGCCTGTGTTTCAGGGCAGCATCGTGCACCGAGCAGGAAGGCTGCTTCCGGCAGTGTGGAGCCGGCGGTGGAGGGCAGGGTTAGGGCCTGTTCTCCAGCTGGCCATGCTTGACCCTCCAGCTCCAGGCGAAGCTGCCATCAGGGGCCAGTGTGCACTGCAGGTCGATGCCCGAGTCTGGCACCTCCATGTCGTAGCGAACAGGCTGCCCGTCTTTGGTGACCAAGCTGAAGGCTGCAGCTGGGATCTAAGGGTGGAGCAAACCAGTGGGCTGAGATCATGGCATAGGGCTCAAGCCATGTAGAAAGGTAAAGACATCTCCTTCCAGCCAGACCGGCAGCCCTAAGGGCACTGCCTGTCTGTCATTCCACGGGACTCAGAGAATCCCACCCGGCTCAAGTGTAGGTCTGGAGGACCTCTTTGTCACCACTGCCAGCCTTGCTTTGAGGCCCTGGGAAATGCTTTGAGGTCCTGGGGGACGTTGAAGGCCAATTCCAAGTATTCCCTAGAGTGCCATTCTACTTCTTTGAAAGCTTTCCTCCTGGAGGGTGGGGCCAGCTGCATTGGCTTCTGGGACTCTGCCCGTCAGAGTGTACCTGCCCCCCTTACCTGGCTGCTGATGCCAGTGGCGATGTCTCCCACTTTGACCCGGTGGAACTCCCGGATGTGCAGGTGTTCACCATTAAGAGACTGTATTTGGACTTTCACACCTAGAAGGCGGACAAGGTGATAGTCAGGAGAGCGGCTGCTGGCTCCCCAAGGACCAGGGTCCTGGCAGGGGCTGGGGGAACGTTTTTGTTAAAAGTCACTCTGCCCTATGTAGGGGGAGCAGGTCTGGCTGTGATGGAGCAGCAGAGATAAAATTTAGGCTGGTCTAAGCACAGCTGCATTTTTTTGTTTTTGAGACAGAGTCTCACTGTGTCGCCCTGGCTGGAGTGCAGTGGCGTGATCTCAGTTCACTGCAACCTTTACCTCCCGGGTTCAAGTGATTCTCCTGCCTCAGCCTCTCAAGTAGCTGGGATTACAGGCATGCGCCACTATACCCAGCTAATTTTTGTATTTTTAGTAGAGACGGGGTTTCACCATGTTGGCCAGGCTGGTCTCGAACCCCTGACCTCATGTAATCCACCTGCCTTGGCCTCCCAAAGTGCTGGGATTACAGGTGTGGGCCACCACACCTGGTCACAAAGCTGCATTTTTATAAGAAAAAAAAAATTCAGGCTGGAACAGCCCTCATATTATATACACCTGCTAGTTCTTCCTGGCCGTCAGCACCTGGGATTTGGCCTGTGCATTGCTAAGAGCTGGGGCTGGCTCCTATGGGGAAGTAGTATTTCAACTTGGATGCAAAGCAGAAAGGAACTGAACACAAGGATTCTTAAATTAGATTATGGGCAATTTAGATTGTTGCCTGAGTTGAAGTGGCCTTTGGCCAGCCATGGGGCCCTGATGCCATGAGTCACACTTGCCCTGGAGAGGGCCAGGGAACTCCAAGCTGATGATGCCCTTGTTGTAGCAAAGCCACATCATAACCTATGCAATCAAGCTTGAAAACGAAGGAATTTTATGTTGTCTTTCTCATCTGACCTCAAATCCCAGAGGGGGATTCCTTTTGCTGAGTTTTTGATTAAAATGCTCATGGGTCCTGTTCCTTTTCCCTTTAGAAGAGATTAATTGCTCATTTTCCTGACTCCAGGTCAAGAGACTGCTCTCCTCCCCAAGCTAGGGGAACCTTCTGGGACTCCATCAACTGACAATGAGGGGATAATGGTCCCTCACTGCCCCATCAGGAAAGGCTCATGGGTGATTGGGACCTTTGCTTGAAACCCAACTTACTGGCCAGGAACCTCAAGTTCTGGGACCAGGCGCCTTCCTCCCTCCCACTGTGCCAGAGGAGGGGAGACAAAATCCCTCAATGGCTGTCTAGCTCCAGGCAGATCAGCTGCCACGGGGACTGCTGAGCAGGTGGGAATTGGACTGTACCATTGAAATAGCTTGGGGTGTCGGTGGGCCGCCCCCGGGCCAGCACCATGTTCCAGCTGGAGCTTCGAGCCTCGGCCTGGCTGCTCCAGGAGTGTACGCCTGAGCTCAGGGTGTCCCGCGAGCTTTGAGAGGCCTTTGATGGGTTCTGAAACAACAGGATTGGGTACGGGCTCAGGGCCCTGGGCTCCAGGATCCATCTCCGGCTTGGGTCTCATTTGGGGAAAAGGGGCACTGCTCATGCCCTCAGCTGGAGGAGGGTAAGGGTTGCCTCCATGGGGGACGAAGGCCTGCCTCCCCATTATCTCTGGTGGCAAAACACATTCCCTAATCCCAGAAGGGTAGATTCCCATGGTTTCTCTGACTCTGAACCATGACCACCTCCCCCAACCTAGTGAGGACCCCCACCAGAAGGAAGGGGTGACCCCCATCACCCTCCCTTTACCCACTACTTGCACAGTGTCCATTCACTAGCTGGACGCAAAGCTACTTGCTCTGTGCCAGGGCCGGGAAAACCACACCCCTGGAGCCATGGCTCCGGGGCCACAACCGACTCACCTTCTCACTGTCATCCGACAGGGAGAGGCTGTCGATGCTGAGGCACGAGAGAATTTGCTCCTGCTCCTCCAGAGAAAATGGCTGGGACAGGCTGTTGAGGAATAATTCTGCAGGGAAAAGTGGAAGATGGCTGTGAAAGACTGGGAGGAGGCTGGCTGTGTTTTCAGGGGTTCTTCCTGCACAGTCGGTAGAAGCTGAGCTGCTGGGGAAGGGGCTGGAAGAAAGCCCACACCGCAGGTAAAGAGAAACACCGGCCTCCGCGGGTGGCCCAGGGCCAGTGCTCAGGGCCCCACTGCAGCCACGGCTGCCCGTACCTATTTCCAGCTGCTGCAGTTCCTGCTCCGGGACGGTTGCTTTCCGCTCTGGTGAGCTGGGGTTTCTGGCAGGGGCTGGCTCCAGGGAGGACAGAGGTAAGGGTTCCCACATCCCAGACTCCTCCTTGCTCAAAGTCAAGGGAGGAGACTTGTTTGGCTCTGGGGGCTCTGGTGGGAGAGGAGGCTGGAGCTTAGGGGCTCTGCCTGTTGTCTCCTCAGCTGGCCGGGGCCCTGGGGCCCTTGGCGAAAGCTCTCTCGGCTGGGCATGGAGGGTCTGGTGGTAATTGGCTTGATTTGGCGGTGGATGTCTTGGTTCTTTATATTCTCCCCTCCAAGGGCTCTTCAGACCTCCCACTAGAAAACAGAGAGTACAATGGTGAGGGGAAGCGTGCTGTGCACAGACAGCGGTCCAGGCAGGAGCGGCCTCTCCTGAGTGCAGAAGGGCTAGAGGCAAACAAAGGGGAGGACACTGCCCCGGGCCACCATGGGAGGTGGCTCCAGAGGGCAGCATGGTGGTCTCCACAGGAGACTTCCTCAATAAAATGGTCCCAATATGACAGGGATAGGACTGGATTTCTGTCTTTGATTCTGTTTTTCTTCTAGGTATCAGTAGCAAATTCAAAAACTACAGAATCAGCTCCAGAGGACTTTGTTAACAAGAAAGAGAAGATTGAAAACAGCCCTGGGGCTACACCAACTCAAGAGCTCCCAGGCAAAGTGGCATCCTGGACCCACCATCTCTCCTACCCCATCCTCAGTCGGTACTTCCCCAGGCACCGTTTGTTCTGGCATGGGGCTAGTTCAGCCCTGGGACCACCCTCATCCTTATAACTACCAGCTGTCTTTGGTGAGGTGCAAGATCTCTCTGGTTTTCTTTATTTCATTTTCATTCCTATAATCACAGCCTTTTTTGTGCCCATCCCTCAGGTGACATTCTATTATGTTTGATGTGTCATTTTTGATTTGGTTGTGTCCTTGCAAAATGTGCGTTGTTTTATTTATCAATTTATTTTTATTTTTATTTTTTTAAAGAGATGAGGTCTCATCATGTTGCCCAGGCTGGACTCCAACTCCTGGGCTCAAGCGATCCTTCCACCTCAATCTTCTGAGTGGCTGGGACTACAGATGTGCGCCACCATACCTGGCTATTGATCAATTTTTAGTTTACCAAACAGGCATTATGTTCTGGGTCCCATTCTGTGTCGGGTTCTCTTTTCACTCGGCACCATGGCTTTAGGATCCATCCATGCTGCTCTGTGAACGCCGAGTTGCTTTAACTGCTTGGTGCTCCATGAGGCATCCCCTTTTGTGTCTCTGTCCTCCCAGTGAGGGACCCCATCGTACCCTACTCCCCTCCCACAAAGGAAGCTGTAGTGCGCGTCCTCAGGCGTGTCCCCATATGGATCTGCTGGCATTCGTTTGTCAGTGCACCCAGGGGTAGAAGTCCTTGGTCTCAGTCTGCAGACGTCTGCCTGAGTGCAGCCAGGTGCCCCCCCAGAGTGGGTAGCCTTGTCCACATGCCCATCAGCAGCACCTGAGGGGTCCCAACAGCCCTACATCCCACCAACTTTCTGCTTTTTTCCAGTCAAATGGCTCTTGAGTGTTACCTGGCTTTATTTATTTATTTATTTTTTGAGTCGGGTCTCTGTTGCGCAGGCTGGAGTGCAGTGGTGCAATCATGGCTCACTGCAGCCTCGACCTTCCAGGCTCAAACAATCCTCTCACCTCCTGAGTAGCTAGGACTACACGCATGTGCCACCATGCCTGGCTAATTTTTAAATTTTTTTGCAGAGAAAGGGTCTTGCTATGTTGCCCAGGCTGATCTTGAACTCCTGGCCTCAAGCGATCCTCCTGCCCCAGCCTCCCAAAGTGCTGGGATTACAGGTGTGAGCCACTGCTCCCGGCCTGTCTTTATTTTGTATTCTTGGATTCCTAGTGAGTTTGAGCCCCCTCTATACATCATAACCCTTATGATACTAGTAAACATATATTTTATCTTTAACCCCATTTCTGGCACAGAACTCCTAAAAGCCTTACTCTCCAAAATGATCTCTTTCTGTGTACTAATGGATTGACTGAAGGCTGGCAGCCCCTAGGTAGCTTCAAGATGGGGGCTGGTCATCAGAGAGACATAGGCAGGATTAGAGGGTTGGGACTTTCATCCCACCATCCCACGTACTGGGAGGGAAGGGGGCTAAAGGTTAAGCGGTTCGCCAATGGCCAGTGATTTATTCAATCATGCCTACGTAATGAAGCCTACACAAAAACCCAAGAAGACCGGGTTCAGAGAACTTCTGGTAGCTGGGCACATGGAGGTTCCTGGAGGGTGCCAAGCCCTGGAAGCTCTGTGCTCCCTCCCACATGCCTTGCCCTATGCATCTCTTCATTTGTATCCTTTGTAATATCCTTTCTAATAAACTGGTAAATGTAAGGAAGTGTTTCTCTGAGTTCTGTGAGCCACTCCAGCAAATTAATCAATCCCAAGGAGGGGGTCATGGGGTCCCTGACTTATAGCCAGTTGGTCAGAAGCACAGGTAAACACGTGGGCCTGAGACTGGCATGGCTAGGGGGTGCAGTCTTGGGGATCGAGCCCTCCTGCTGTGGGATCTGATGCTACCTCCAGGTAGATAGTGTTGGAACAGAACTGAATTAGAGGACACCAAGCTAGTGTCTGCTGCAGAACTGATTGCTGGCTTGGTGGGGTGGAAATCCCCACACATGTGGTCACAGGAGTCTTCTGGGTTGATTGTAGTTGAGTGGGAGAATGGAAAAAGCACTTCGAGTTTGCGTGTGAGTTTTCTCTTTCCCATCTCCTGAGCGCTGCCTCTGGGTCCAGGCGTGGCACTGTCGCAATCTCCCAACAACCCTGAGGCTGCTGCACCCCCATAATCCAGAGGGGGAAACTAAGGCTCTGAGGGGTGCCTTGCTCTGGACCTGCGCCCACCTGCCTCCTCTGTCCACCTCTGTCTTCTGCCCCCCGGGTCAGCCAGCGTGGGGCTCTTCCTACCTTGCTGTAGTGCCCGGTTCACCTTCCCTCCCAGCTCCGCTGCAGACACGCGGTGGATGGGCTCTTTCCTCAGCCCCTCTTGGATGGCCTGGGCTGTGAGAGGGGCGCAGGAGGGTGGGATCTCCCTCACAGGCGGAGGCTCGCTGGCAATCTGGGGGGCAAAAGACAACAGGTGAGGCCTGCCTTCCCTCATTTCCTGATACCCGGCTGTTATTGCTCTTTGCGCAACTCCCGCCGGCCCCTGTTCCCGCTGTGCTGGGGTCTACCACAAGGAATGGAGGGGTCTGGGCTACAGTGAGGGCACTTTTCCCAGGAAAGGGACAAATGGAGCCAGTAAAACAGGCCAGAGCCAGGCAGCAAGACGCCCACAGCCTCCAGGCCCGGCCCGTTAGGAGGCAGGTGGATGGGGCCCAGGGTATGGACAGAAGAGAGTTCTCACCTGCCATGAACTTGGTGAGCCTCCGCAGCTGGATCTCCCCTTGTACCCCCAGATTTGGGTGGCAAGTATTTGAATTAGGATCCCACATGGATGACCAGGCCTCCCCTTGCTCCATCTGCCACCGCAGAGCAGCCCCTCCAGCCTGCAGCCTGGGCCCCAGGGCCCTGCAGCTCCCCCTGTTGGCCATGCTGGGTGCCGTCACCGACCTTGAGGCAGAGCGGCCCTCGGAAGAACTGAGTCCAGGGGTGGCAGCCGTTGAGCATGTGCAGCATCATACAGCAGCTGCTCCAGACATCCACCTTGGCGTCGCAGCTCCTGCCCAGCACCACCTCCGGAGCCATGTGGGTCTCTGTGCCAGGGATGTAGTCCCCTGAGAAGGGGGATGAGACATAAAGTTACCTGGAATGCTGATGGGCAGGAGCCTAGGCAATGGCCACCCTGGTTAATCCTCGGGGTATCTTACATTTGTCACTGTTAAAGTACTTTTTATTTTATTATCTTTTTAGTTCTTTGAGATGGAGTCTTGCTCTGTCACCCAGGCTGGAGTACAATGGCGCGATCTTGGCTCACTGCAACCTCCACCTCCCGGGTTCAAGAGATTCTCCTGCCTCAGCCTCCCAAGTAGCTGGAATTACAGGCATGAGCCACCATGCCCAGCTAATTTTTATGTTTTTGTAGAGATGGGGTTTCACCCATGTTGGCCAGGCTGGTCTCGAACTCCTGACCTCAGGTGATCCACCCACCTCGGCCTCCCAAAGTGCTGAGATTACAGGCATGAGCCACTGTGCCCGGACATGTTAAAATACTTTAAATATAGAAATAAAGTCTCCAAGTCAGACTTGTAGGGAGGAGCTAGGCGGGGACTCTGCTGGGAACTTGTACAAAGTAACAGAGCATCCATGATGTGGACTCTGCCCTTTGGACCAAACCCTTAAAGTGTTTTTTAAAAATGGGGCAGGGGCTGGACATTACAAATTAGGTTGTAGAAGGCTAGTAAGTAATACCAGTAAGTAATACTTCTTACTAGTAAGAAATACTAGTAAGTGAAATTTAAAAATTGTAATAGAAAACTTATATGCGTAAAAGACTGAAAGGATAGATGGCAGATGTGAACAGTGGTTTTTTTCCTGGTGATTTGTATTTGTAATTTTTGCTTAGCTCTACTTTCTTCAACAGATATTAGAAAAAAGGGTCAGGCAGTGGCTCATGCCTGTAATCCCAGCACTTTGGGAGACTGAGGTGGGAGGAATGCTTAAATCCAGGAATTTAAGACCAGCCTGGGCAACATACTGAGACCCCATGTATATCTACAAAAAACATAAAAATTGAGCCGGACATGGTGGTACATGCTGTGGTCCCAGCTACTCAGGAGGCTGAGGTGGGAGGATCGCTTGAACCAAGGAGCTTGAGGCTGCAGTGAGCTATGAGTGAGCTACTGCACTCCAGCCTGGGTGACAGAGCAAGACTCTGTCTCTAAAAAATAAAAGTTAAAAAGAATCAGAAAAGATACATTTTTTTTTGTAACAAGAAAAAGCCCACTACAGTTATTTTAAAAGGGCTTAAAACAACACGGGTGGAGGTCAAGTGTCCACATTCAATTTACATCTTCAGAATTGCCAACATAGTCCTTTAACAACACACAATCATATACTTCCAAAGATTCTTTTTCCGTTGGTCAAAATGAAATCATTTTATCCTTAAGGCTATACATGAAAAACGCAGGGCACAAAATTGTGTTATAATGGCCCTAACTAGGCACAGGGAAAACAACAGCCTGGAAGGAGTTATTTAAAATATTCATGATTCGGCCGGGCACGGAGGCTCATGCCTGTAATTCCAGCACTTTGGGAGGCTGAGTGGGGCGGATCACCTAAGGTCTGGAGTTTGAGACTGGCCTGGCCAATATGGCAAAACCCCGTCCCTACTAAAAATACAAAAATTAGCTGGGCATGGTGGAAGGCGCCTGTAATCCCAGCTACTCAGGAGGCTGAGGCAGGAGAATTACTTGAACCCGGGAGGAGGAGGTTGCAGTGAGCTGAGATTGTGCCACTGCACTCCAGCCTGGGTGACAGAGTGAGACTCTGTCTCAATGAAAACAACAAAAAAATTTGTGATTCTCTCTCTGGGTAAGAGACATGGTGAGAATTCTGTTCTCTGCCTCTTTTATATGCTTAACTCTATACTTCACAGTGGGCATGGATTATTTCAATAATCAGAGGAGTTAAAGAAAGATATTTCACTGACTTTAGAGCCCAGGCCCCTTGGTCAGCCTGCCCACTGTGCTTCCAGCCAACCGTGCTCAGAGGCGCAGGAGAGCTGGGGTCACAGGCTGGCAGTGCACTCCCCTGCAAAGGCCAGACAAGAGGTAGGAGCCACGGGGACTCCAAGGCAGAAGGCCTGGGACCTACGGAGAGTCAACCAGCCTTTCCCTTCTCTTCCCTGTGTACAGGAGCATCGACAATGAGCACCTGACATCTATTATCACATTTACGCGTAACAAAGAAACCCCTGATAATCATCCAGGCTGGTTGCGGGGCTTAAACACACAGGTGGACCTAAGTGTTCACACCTCAATTCCCATTCTGGAAAGCATGGAAGGCATTTGGCGAATGAATGCATTGGGGGGCACGGCAGTTGGTGGGGGGCCTTACCTGTGAGCAAGGACTTTCCCAGGCCATCAGGTTGAAGACACACAGCATGGCCAAAGTCACAGAGGGCTGCGTGGCTCCCATCGCTGGACAGGAGCACGTTGTCAGCTGCCAGGCCGCCCCGGGGAGGAAGAGGAACAGGTGAGTCATGCCGGGTCCCAGCCCACCCTGGCTCGGTTTGGCCTGCCCTCCAGTGATGTAATTTTCTGGCTGACCCTACGTGGCAGCTGCTGCTTCTGATTAGTTTCATTAATCGTGGAGGAAGGGAGGAGGGTATCAATTCAGGCTAGAGGTAGGCAGGATCTCTGAGGGCAAAGGGACAGGAGCAGGGTTTACTCGGGAACGCTGCCACTCTGCTCGCCTGCGCCGACCCCATACCAGGGGTCACCAGTGGGTGGGAGCTTGACCTTCGGTTCTCTGTGGCCACCGTCTACCAGAAACTACAGTGCTTGGCTAAGGGGTTGGAGAACATCATTCCCCTTCCTACAGGCACAGTCCTGTCAGCCTGACTCAGGGCCTGCTACTGGGGATGACCAGGCTAGCCCAGAACTGAGAGGAGATCAGACAGGATGGTGTGAGAGAAGAGCCTGCTGGGGATCAGGGCCGTGGGGCCTGGGCCTTACCTTTGACGTCCCCATGCAGAATCCTTCGTGAGTGGAGGTATTCCAGACCCTCCAGGGCCTGGCCCAGGTAGTACAGGGCCCGGTCCTCTGGGAGACAGCCCTGCTCCTTGACCAGCTGGCCCAGGGAGCCACCTAGGAGACCAAAGGCCAGGCTATACATGGGACTTGCCCGAGCCTCCATGCCAGCCAAGGGCAAGAGCACAGGGCAGGCAGTGGAAAGCAGGGTCACAGGGTCAAGAGGTTAACAATGGATAGATCAGTGACCAAGGCCAACTTGGGCAAGACTCAGGGGGGAACTCTTGGCCCTGAATTTGGAGAAAGAGTGGGACCTGGCTCCTTACCTTCCAGCAGCTCCATGAAGATGTTGACCCAAGGCCCTTCTCTCACAGCTCCATACAAAGGGACAATTCTGGGTGAGGTCAATCCTGCACATGCCATCAGCTCCTCTGCCCGAAATACTTCCAGCCGCACCTGCAAGGGCCCAGAGGCAGCTGTTAAGACAGGGTGAGGGGACCAGAGCTGGGTCCCTGGCATCCTGTCAGCACCCTAGTGCTCCACACACAGAGGCTGCTGCTGTTTCCAGTGGTGATGCAGGGGCCTGGGGGGCCTGCTGGACCCTCAGAGGCTAAATTGTGTATCCCGTGCCCTTGGTATCAGGAGCAACTTCTTGTACTTAATTAAAGTTCTGGAGTGCTGCCTGTGTGCAAAAACAGCCACATAAAAACTACATCCGCACCGGGCGCAGTGGCTCATGCCTATAATCCCAGCACTTTGGGAGGCCGAGGCGGGTGGATCACGAGGTCAGGAGATCGAGACCATCCTGGCTAACACAGTGAAACCCCGTCTCTACTAAAAAATACAAAAAAATTAGCTGGGCGTGGCGGCGGGTGCCTGTAGTCCCAGCTACTCGGGAGGCTGAGGCAGGAGAATGGCGTGAACCCAGGAGGCGGAGCTTGCAGTGAGCTGAGATTGCGCCAGTGCACTCCAGCCTGGGCAACAAAGTGAGACTCCGTCTCAAAAAAAAAAAATTAAAAAAACAAAACAAAACACTACATTCCAGCCGGGCGCGGTGGCTCATGGCTGTAATCTCAGCACTTTGGGAGGCTGAGGCGGGTGGATCAAGGAGATCGAGGTCGGGAGATCAAGACCATCTTGGCCAACATGGCGAAACCCTGTCTCTACTAAAAATACAAAAATTAGCTGGGTGTGGTGGCACGTGGCTGTAATCCCAGCTACTTGGGAGGCTGAGGCAGGAGAATCACTTGAACCTGGGAGTCGGAGGTTGCAATGAGCCAAGGTCGCAATAAGCCGAGGTCGCACCACTGCGCTCCAGTCTGGCGACAGAGTGAGACTCCATCTCAAAAAAAAAAAACAAAAAAAAACCCACAAAAAAACAAACAAAAAAACAAAAAACCCCCTACATTCGTCATCCTGGCTGCTGGCACGCTGTCCGCCCTCAAATCTGCCAAACGCAGAACATTTTTTCCTCCAGCTAAATTTCTGGGCAATTTCTAGGATGTGGGACCTTTTGCTTATCAACATCCATGTCTACTCTCAGAAGCTGGGTTTTTGACTTATCTGACTGTCAAGAACCAAGATTTGGACTCCATCGGGTGCATTTTTTTTTCTTTTCTTTTCTTTTTTTTTTTTTTTTTTGAGACAGAGGTCTTGCTCTGTCGCCCAGGCTGGAGTACAGTGACGTGATCTCTATTCATTGCAACCTCTGCCTCCCGGGTTCAAGCAATTCTCCTGCCTCAGCCTCCCGAGTAGCTGGGACTACAAGTGTGCGCCACCAGGCCCAGATAATTTTTGTATTTTTTAGTAGAGACGGGGTTTCACCATGCTGGCCAGGCTGGTCTCAAACTCCTAACCTTGTGATTTGCCTGCGTTGGCCTCCCAAAGTGCTAGGATTACAGGCGTGAGCCACCATGCCCGGCCTCAACACTTTTCTTTCCCGGAGGACTAAAACATCCACATAGACAGAGCAGTGTTTATTCTGTTTGCAGCTGTCTCCCAGCATCTGGGAACTTAAGGAGGCTTCTGAGGAGGCTTCTGGGGAGTGGCCAAGGCCACTCCCACTGCCAAATGGCAGGTCCGGGATCATCCACTCCTTTCTGCAGGGACCAGCAACTTGGTGGGAGGAAATAGGCCTTGGATATAAACATCTTGGGCTTAGATCCTGGCTCCGCCTTTTAAAACAAGGCAGCAGACTTCCCATCCACATATTTCCACATGCAAACAGCAGGGACGGTGGTATCTGCTCCTGGGTAGAGCAAGGATTTGGAAGGATGGTAACTGACACCAGGCCTGGCAACCAGTGGGCACTCAGGAAGTGCTAGCTCCCCAATTCCTCCAGCTCACATCAGAGAAGCTGATACTTAGACTGACTTAGACCTTTTTTTTTTTTGAGACAGAGTCTCGCTGTGTCGCCCAGGCTGGAGTGCAGTGGCGCAATCTCAGCTAATTACAACCTCCGCCTCCTGGGTTCAAGCAATTCTCCTGCCTCAGCCTCCCCAGTAGCTGGGATTACAGGCACCTGCCACTATGCACAGCTAATTTTTCATATTTTTAGTAGAGGCAGGGTTTCACCATGTTGGTCAGGCTGGTCTTAAACTCCTGACCTCAGGTGATCCGCCTACCTTGGCCTCCCAAAGTGCTGGGATTACAGGCGTGAGCCACTGTGCCCGGCCTCTTAGACTTCTTTTTTTTTTTTTTTTTTTTTTTGAGACAGAGTCTCGCTCTGTCACCAGGCTGGAGTGCAGTGGTGTGATATCTCAGCTCACTGCAACCTCCGCCTCCTGGGTTCAAGCGATTCTTGTGCCTCAGCCTCCTGAGTAGCTGGGATTACAGGCACGTGCCACCACATCCAGCTAATTTTTGTATTTTTAGTAGAGACAGAGTTTCACCACGTTGGCCAGGCTGGTCTTGAACTCCTGGCCTCATGATCCGCCCACCTCAGCCTCCCAAAGTGCTGGGATTACAGGCGTGAGCCACTGCGCACGGCCTCTTAGGCTTCTTCTTCTTTTTTTTAATTTTATTTATTATTATACTTTAAGTTTTAGGGTACATGTGCACAATGTGCAGGTTTGTTACATATGTATACATGTGCCATGTTGGTGTGCTGCACCCATTAACTTGTCATTTAGCATTAGGTATATCTCCTAATGCTATTCCTCCCCCCTCCCCGCTTAGTAGACTTGTCCTCCTTCCTAGCTGCTGATGGTTCTCAAGTAAGCCTTGAGTAGCATCGCCAGGGGGCGCTGGCAGTAACAGAACCAGCTTGGAAGCGATCTTCACAGACTTGCTGACTTGGCAAACAGCCCTGACACTGTGGGGTTTTTGGACTTTTGCCTATCAGTGGAAAATGTCGCCCTTCTGGTTCCCTAATATCTGGTTTGGTTAATCACCTCCCATGAACTTTGACTCTGCCAGTGTTTCCAGCTCTAAAAAGCCTCTGAACCTGAGTTGGAACTAATTCAACAACAGGACTTGTTAGCAAATGTCTTCAGCCTAACCACCCCCAAACTGAGCTGAGGCACCCCGGGGCACTGCAGATAACTCAGAAGGGCGCCAAATGGATATCTGACATTTGAGGGAAACGGCCACCGCAGTATCTGCAGGACACCGCGTGAACTACTCGCTCGAGACAGTTCAGCTTCAAAGTACGATCACGCACGTGACATTCCCTTTGATAATGTATCTCTATGAAGCTATGTTTTTGCAGGTCACTGTGATTAAAAGTACTTCAAGGAGAAAATGTGGGATATGAAGGTGGTGGTGTCCTATCTGATTTCAAGGGTTGAGATGTGCAACAAGGCATACATCCCGTTAATAATCTGGCGGTTTGGAAATGGAAGGACCCTTTTTCTTTCAACTTATGTCACGCTTTTCAAATGGCTACTAAGTTGTTAGGATAAAGACTTATTATTCGACCTCACTGCTTCATAAACAGAACTGTTGGGTATTTGTTTTGGCCTGGGTTGCCCTGAAACAATGACTGAGATATTAACAGGGCTGTGATCCAAAAGAGTTGGGGAAACTTGGCTTTAACTTTGCAGAAATCTGTAAGTCCTCTTAGAGTGTCCCGTCCATGCTAAAAATATTTCCAACCACCCAGACCAAAGAGGTGGGAGGAGATACTTCAAAATACAAGGTGCTTTAGAAGTCGGTGCCAGAGGAGAAAGCAGCCCAGCCTTCCAGGCCAAGCTGGCTGCCCGTCTGGCCACCCCTCCTCTCTGAACTTCCGTGTTCCTCATCCGTAAAATGAGGGGGCTGGACTGCGATGAGGATATTCATGAGAACTAAGATCTAATGCCCACTTATCATTTCCCAGGCACCGGTAAAGCCCTTTCTAAGCATTAGTTATTCAGATCTTACAATAGCCTGTAAGCTGGTGGGATCATTATCCCCATTTTATAGATGAAGAAGCTGAAGCCTGGGCAAGTAATTTGCCCAAGGTCACTGGGTATAAGAGATCACAGCAGCGCTTTTACTCGGGCAAGCCTGACTCCAGAGCTGCCAGCTACTCTGCCTCCTGAAGGCCTTTCCATGCTGAACTTTTTTTTTTTTTTTTTGAGACAAGGTCTCCCTTGGTTGGCCAGGCTGGAGTGCAGTGGCACAATCACAGCTCACTGCAGCCTCGACCTTCCCGGGCTCAAGCGATCCTCCCATCTCAGCCTCCCAAGTAGCTGAGACTATAGGTGCCATGCCCAGCTAATTTTTGTAGAGATGGGGTTTCGCCATATTGCCCAGGCTAGTCTTGAACTCCTAGGCTCAAGTGATTCTCCCACCTCGGCCTCCAACATGTTGAGATTACAAGTGTGAGCCACTGTGCCTGGCATCCATGCTAATGTTTTAAAATACACTTAGGACTGAGCATCCCCAGGTGGAAGCACTGTCAGCAATGAGCCTACTGCCTGATACAGAAGCCACTTCCTTCCCCTCAATTGCCTGCACACTGAACACTGGGGATCACTTTTTCCTCCTTGAACTTCCCTCTTGTTTTCTTTGGTATTCTTTTTTTTGAAACGGAGTTTCGCTCTTGTTGCCCGGGCTGGAGTGCAATGGCGTGATCTCGGCTCACCGCAACCTCCGCCTCCTGGGTTCAAGCGATTCTCCTGCTTCAGCCTCCTGAGTAGCTGAGATTACAGGCATGCGCCACCACGCCCGGCTTTTTGTATTTTTAATAGAGATGGGGTTTCTCCATGTTGGTCAGGCTGGTCTCGAACTCCCGACCTCAGGTGATTCACCCGCCTCGGCCTCTCAAAGTGCTGGGATTACAGGCGTGAGCCACCACACCCAGCCTTCTTTGGTATTCTTTTTTTTTTTGAGACGGAGTCTCATTCTGTCGCCCAGGCTGGAGTGCAGTGGCATGATCTTGGCTCACTGCAACCTCTGCCTCCCAGGTTCAAGCGATTCTCCTGCCTCGGCCTCCCGAGTAGCTGGTGGCGCCATCATGCCTGGCTAATTTTTTGGTATTTTTAGTAGATACGGGGTTTCACTGTGTTAGCCAGGATGGTCTCGCTCTCCTGACCTCATGATCTGCCCACCTCGGCCTCCCAAAGTGCTGGGATTACAGACGTGAGCCACCGCACCCAGCCTCTTCTTTGGTATTCTTATCTGTTTTATTCCATCAATAAAAAAAGGCGTAAGAGCAATTCTATAAATTCTTTTGAAGATTCCAGGAATGTAAACTATGTGAAAGGGGCTACCACAGTACTGTGCACAGATGTCCAATGAATATTAGAGGGTCCCGCCTTATTTTCTCACCTCTATCGAGGTATTTTCCTCTGATCCTTGTGCTATTTTCCTTCTAAACACGTGTCCAGGACTGAAGGCTGCTCACCTTTACCCCAATATAAATGTCTATCCCCCATTACAACTCGGGTTCCTTCAGGTCAGGCCTGTGGATTTCACATCTCTGTCCCCAGCCCCTGCACATTGTCTGGCACAGAGCAGGTGTTTGGTGACAGCTGGGTTGACTTGGCCAGGGCCACATTATCCCAGATCAGCAGCAGAGCCAAAGCAAAGCTCCCAGAACTCCACACTTGAGCCAGATGTTCTAAAAGGAGTGATTCTTAACCCTTTTTGGGCTACAGACCCCTATGAGGATCTGGGAAATGATATGAATTATTCTTTAAAAATGTGTGATTGCCCATACATGCAACACAGAAACACTTTTTTTTTTTTTTTTTTTTTTGAGACAGAGTCTTGCTCTGTCGCCCAGGCTGGACTGCAGTGGCATGATCTTGGCTCACCGCAACCTCCGCCTCCTGGGTTCAAGCGATTCTCCTGCTTCAGCCTCCTGAGTAGCTGAGATTACAGGCATGCGCCACCACGCCTGGCTAACTTTTTGTATTTTTAATAGAGACAGGGTTTCTCCATGTTGGTCAGGCTGGTCTCGAACTCCCGACCTCAGGTGATTCACCCGCCTCGGCCTCTCAAAGTGCTGGGATTACAGGCGTGAGCCACCACACCCGGCCTTCTTTGGTATTCTTTTATTTTTGAGACGGAGTCTCATTCTGTTGCCCAGGCTGGAGTGCAGTGGTGTGATCTTGGCTCACTGCAACCTCTGCCTCCCAGGTTCAAGTGATTCTCCTGCCTCAGCCTCCCGAGTAGTTAGTATTACAGGCATGCGCTACCACACCCAGCTAATTTTTTATATTTTTGGTAGAGACGGGGTTTCACCATGTTGGCCAGGCTGGTCTCGAACTCCTGACCTCAAGTGATCTGCCCGCTTTGGCCTTCCAAAGTGCTGGGATTACAGGCGTGAGCTACTGCGCCTGGCCGACAAACACTCTTTTGAATAAATTTCCTAGAATTCATGGATCCTATCAATCCATCCACTGACTAGGATAAGAACTTCTACATGGCCGTTAAAAAGCATAAGAGAGTTGTATATATGCCAATAAGGAAATCTGTCATATTATTGCATGAAAAAAACATGGTACAGAATAGTCCCTAGAGTAGGATCCCATTTCTTGTGGGGTTGGGGGACAGGGTCTCACTCTGTTGTCCAGGCTGGAGTGCAGTGGTACGATCTTGGCTCACTGCAGCCTCTACTTCCTGGGCTCAAGCGATCCTCCCACCTCAGTCTCCCGAGTAGCTAGGACCACAGGTGTATGCCACCATGCCTGGCTAATTTTTTTTCTTTGTAGAGATGGGGTCTCTACAAAGAAGTGCTAGGATTATAGGTATAAGTGCCGCACCGCCTGATCTTTCTTTTTTTTTTTTTTTTTGAGGCAGAGTCTCACTCTGGTGTTGCCAGGCTGGAGTGCAGTGGCACAATCTCGGCTCACTGCAACCTCTGCCTCCTGGGTTCAAGCAATTCTGCCTCAGCCTCCCAAGTACCTGGGACTACAGGCACCCGCCACCACACCTGGCTAATTTTTGTATTTTTAGTAGAGATGGGGTTTCACTGTGTTGGCCAGATCTCCTGACCTTGTGATCCACCACCCTTGGTCTCCCAAAGTGCTGGGATTACAGGCATGAGCCACAGGCCTGGCCTGATCTTACTTCTTTTTTTTTTTTTTTTTTTTTTGAGACTGAGTCTTGCTCTGTCACCCAGGCTGGAGTGCTGTGGCGTGATCTTGGCTCACTGCAACCTCCGCCTCCCAGGTTCAAGCAATTCTCTGCCTCAGCCTCCTGAGTAGCTGGGATTACAGGCACCTGCCACCACACCCGGCTAATATTTGTATTTTTAGTAGAGATGGGGTTTCACCATCTTGGCCAGAGGCTGGTCTTGAACTCCTAACCTTGTGATCCACCTGCCTCAGCCTCCCAAAGTGCTGGGATTACAGGTGTGAGCCACCGTGCTCGGCCCTGATCTTACTTTTAATTGCAAACAAATATAGGCTCATTATAAAAGAATGCAAATGATACCAAAAAAAGCAAAAGTCTCCATTCCCCAGTCCTATTCTCAGAGGTAACTGCCCTTTGACAGATATCTTTTTAGACTTTTGAAATTTCTTTTTTATTTCTATTTTTTACTCTTTTGTAGACATGCGATCTCGCTATGTTGCCCAGGCTGGTCTCCACCTCTTGGCCTCAAGCAATCCTCCCACCTCAGCCTCCCAAAGTACTGGGATTACAAGCGTGAGCCACTGTACCCAGCCTGGACTTTTTATGCGTGTATAAACAAGTAGTTGTTTCTTCTATTAAAATGGGATCCTGGTGGGGCACAGTGGCTCACACCTGTAATCCCAGCACTTTGGGAGGTTGCCCAGGAGTTTGAGTCCAGCCTGGGCAACATAGTGAGATCCTGTTTCTACAAAAAATAAAAAATTAGCTGGGTGTGGTGGTGCGTGCCTAAAGTCCCAGCTATGTGGGAAGCTGAGGCAACAGGGTTGTTTGGGTCTGTGGGGCTGAGGCTGCAGTGAGCTGTGATCATGCCACTGCATACTAGCCTGGACAACAGAGCGAGATCCTGTCTCAAAAAAAAAAAAAAAAGAAAGAAAAGAAAAAAGATCAAACAAAACCTTAAAAATAAAAACAACTGCATCAAACCCTGGACCTATGGCCAATCAGCATCTAGATCAGGAGGATGAAGGGAGTGCTGGCACTGCCACGTGACACCTTACACACTGGATTCTCCCCAAGGAGCATCAGGGGGGCACAGACTTGCTCTGATCCGATGTGCAGCCTGACCTCTGATGCCTGATCCACCTCCCGGTCCCCATCTCCTAATCAGGGAACTGTTTCTCCTGCTCTTCCAGCTGAAAACCCTAAAGGACACCACTGCCTTGAGGGAAAGCAGGGGCTGTCTGCCCAACCAATGGCAGCTGTGCAGGCTGCCAAAGAGCCATCCCCACTGCATTCTCCGGGGTGGGAAGGAAGTGGTTCTGTGAGTGGCAGCTCTGGTGGGCTTGAGCTGCAGCTCTGGTGCTGAGAAGTCCATGCCTTGTGCTTGGAGCTTTTCCAACTGCCTTGCAGTGGATGCGAGGGGCGAGACATGGAGTATTTATCCTCTTCCACTATATTAGGGTTGTTTACCTTGTTGCCTGGGAGGACTCTTGAGGCCCTCAGCAGGGGAACAGCTGAGAAGCCCAGTGACTAAGCTCCCAGCACTGGGTGCGCGTCTCTTCACACTCTCACACTCTCCTCCCACCACCTCTCAAGAGGGACAGCTGAGCCTTCTCCGGTAGCCTGGGGAGGGGAATTGCAGCTGAGCAGGTCAGGCACGTGGCCTTGGCCTCCCCCAGTGGAAGACGATGATCCACACTGGCAAGAACTCGGCAAGAACTCAGCACGCACTCAGCACGTGTTGCCAGTCAGGGGTGGTGAGGGCGGAGTTTTCGTATTCGACACAGTGTGTCTGAAGTTTGGGGTGGTACCTGCAGATAGTCCCCTCACTGGTCTCACCATCCAGCCCAAGTACACACCAGGGAAGCCGGGTTTATTCACATCCCAGCTGTCTCCTCTCCCCTTAAGGCCACAGGCACCCTGGACGGTGGTGGCAGCGTCTGCTCTGAATGGAGCCAGCGTGTGCCAGGCTTTTGTGCTCTGGCTACAGTGAGCATTTCCTGTGTCAGGTTGGTGCTCCAAAAGTTTTGGATTTTGGAGCACTTCAGATTTTGGGTTTTCAGATTGCGGATGCTCTACCTGTATTTGTTGCTTTTCTTTCGGGGATTGGAGTGTCTCTGACATAAGCCACTTGAAACAAGGTATATCTCAGAGCTTACTTCACCCTGCCCAGAGGGCCAAGGGGATGGTCCACAGAAACGCGCCTTAGGTCCTGGTGCTGGCTTTGAGGCCGAGAGCTTTGACTGGGGACAAGGTGGCTTCCAATCAAGATGATCTGAGAGTTGGGGGTGGGGGAAAGGTTGGTGACAGGGAGAAGGACCGACACCTGTAAGGTCTGTCGGTCTGCAGCCGCCACCGATGCTCCCTCTGGGCCCGGATAGTGTGATCTGACAGGAGGAGGCCTCAGCTCCAGGCCCAGCATGCCACACTGTCCTCTCTGCTCTCCACTTCTAACATCAGTGAGATGAAGGGGTGGGAGGGGTGATTCCTGTCTTCTGTCTCTACTCAAAACTCTAGGACAAGAAGTCTATCTTCTTCCCTCTTCTTCCTGAAGAGTGGTTGAAAGCCGAACTCTCAGGTCAGACAGACCTGGTCTGATTCAGGGCTCTTGCCACCCGGCCAGTGACTTCCTGTCTTGCCAAGCTTCATGTCCCCAACATGTCTGTCTTGCAGGACTGTGGCACGCCTGGCCAACAGGGGGCACAGCTCCGACTCTGGCAGATCTGCCCACTCCCACTGAGGCTGGCTTCCTCCTAGAAGCACCCCACAGGTGGAGGCTACTGCTTTCCTATCATCTGGCCCAGGTCAGGGGCGGCCTCCTATGTGGTTCAGGGGTTTTACCTCAGTGTGAATTTCATGACGCTCCAACCATCTTCCACGTTGGGACTTGCCCCTCAGGCCCTGGCTGTATTGAGACACCGAGGCCACGTGTGTCCTCTCACACTGCCTCTCACATACACACATGCCAGGGGCAGCAGCCAGGCCAGGACACGTGACAGGCTGCTCCCTTCCAGTTCCAGCCGACCTCAGGTGGCTAGTGATAGCCAAGTTCTGTTCACAAGTCAGACCCACGGCCACCCTGCGACTGTCCTGGACAGAAAGCAGAGGGAACACACCAGGCCCCCTTCCTGGCTTCCCTCTTCACTCAGCCCCTGAGCCCTGGCGTACCTTTTTGACAGCGCACTGGAAGCCAGTCTGCTTGTCCTCCATCCTGTGCACCTCTCCGAAGGAGCCTCTGCCCAGGCGGAGCTGGTGCGTGGCCCAGTGGACTTCTTCTCGGTACTCATAATCCACTGGCTTGAGTTTCTGGGGTTGGCAGGAGAGAGAGGACAGTTTCAGTGGCCAGGGCAGCAGAGGGCTACAGGGCTACAGTGAGGAAGACTCTCCAGCTGGTGACCTTGCCAGGGCTGCTGAGCTGAGCCCTCACAACCAGGCAGCCCTGGGGCGAAGGCAGGGATCTGAGCCGGGCAGCACCAGAGAGGGGGCAGAGGAATGAAGTGAAGGCGAGGGAAGGGTTCATGGGCTGCGGCCACTGATCCTTGTGATGAAAAACATCCCAGACTTGTGATGGTGAGACAGAAACAGAACTGCCAATCACCTTGACAATGAAAAAACAAAACTCAGGAGCTAGAAGGTGGAGGGAAGGGAGGAACAGTGAAGAGGGGCGGGGGTCAAGGATGATGTTAAAAGTGGATGGAGGGGCCAGGCATGGTGGCTCACGCCTGTAATCCCAGCACTTTGGGAGGCCAAGGTGGGCAGATCACTTGAGGTCAGGAGTTTGAGACCACCCTGGCCAACATGGTGAAACCCTGTCTCTACCAAAAAACACAAAATTAGCCAGGCATGGTAGTGCACACCTGTAGTCTCAGCTACTCGGGAGGCTGAGGTGGGAGAATCACTTGAACTTGGAAGGGGGAGGTTGCAGTGAGCTGTTATAGTGCCACTACACTCCAGCCTGGGCGACAGAGTAAGACTCTGTCTCAAAACAAAACAAAACAAAAAAATTAAAAAATTAAAAAGTGGATGGAATAAGACAGTGCAGTGGCTCACACCTATAATCCGAGCACTTTTGGAGGCCAATGTGTGAGGATTGCTTTAGCCCAGGAGTTTGAGACCAGCCTGGGCAACATAGCAAGACCTCATCTCTATTAAAAAAAATATAGCTGGGCGTGGTGGTACACGCTTGTAGTCCCAGCTACTCGGGGGGCTGAGGCAGGAGGATTGCTTGAACCCAGGAGACGGAGGCTGTAGTGAGCTATGATTGTACGACTGCACTCCAGCCTGGGTGACAGAGTGAGACTCTGTCTCAAAAAACACATTTATTAAAAAAAAAAAAAAAAAGTGGATGGATGGAATAAAACCCGGAAATCAAAGTTTGATAAAATCATTTAAAGTTATAAAATTATTTGGGAAGTTAACAAGAGGAAAAAGGGAAGGAGGTGGGTGGTGAAAACAGGTCCCATCCTCATCTTCCGTCTCTGGGGGCCATGATAACATCTCCAGTGGCTCCTGGCTGATTCCCCTTGTCCTCAGCATGTGTACTATTAATGCAGTGCCCACATTCAGCAAGCAGGAGGTGACCAACCAGAAGAACTCAGAACAGAAGACGCTAAAAAGGCTGTGAGAAGTGAGATTGGCGGAATAAGAGATGATACTTTTCATCCACAATGAGCACTGTCCTACTGTTTGATTTGTCACCACAGGCAAGAGTGACTCTGATAAAGAGAGAAAAGCATCCCCCAGGTTGCTGGTAGAGGGACATATACAGGTGCCGGGGGATTAGTTACCTCAGTGAGCAGGACACCCTCGTTGTCCTCAGTTTTGGGGCTGGGCTCCCGGGATCTGGAGCCCCTTGCTGCCCAGGTCTTGGCCAGGCTGGTCAGGCTGTGGGCCTGGCCTGAGCTCACGCTGCCTTGCAGAGCATGCACTAGGTATTCCTCCACAGAAAACTTCTCATGGGCACCACGAGACAGGCAGCTGGGCTCCAGGTGTGGGCCAGGCAGGGGCTTTGGACTGTCTACACAGGCCAGTTTGCTCAGGTGTGGGTCAGGCAAGGGTTTCTGGCTGTCTACACAGGCCAGTTTGCCCAGGAAGGACTCCAGAGGGTGAGGTTTCCAGGGCTGGAGAGGGTGGAATGGGAAGGGATGAGGCAGTCTGCTATAGGGGAAGGGGTGCGTGGGCAGGGGCAGGGGGCCTCCGTCCTGGGGGTGGTGCAGTTTCCACACGTGGTTCAGACATTGCAAGGGGCTGATCAGTTTGTGGAGTTCTGATCGAGGCAGAGCCGGCCGTAGGCCCTCGCCAAGCTGCTTAAAACAGAGTTGCCCAAGGCCTGGTTCCTTCAGAGGCTTGGTGAACTGCGGGGTGTTTCTAACATATGGGGCGCCGAGTGGAGACTCATCCTCCTGCGGGGGGAAACACAGCTATCAGCACAGAGGGCCAGGGCCCAGGGACAGGCTCCAATTTCAAGGCCCCATGAACCTGGGGTCTGGGCAGTGGGTGGAGGGTCTCACCTGCACTGGGATGGTGCAGCTCTCCTGCTCAGGGGTCCTGGGGAGGGGTTTGGCCAAGGCCACTCCTGCATGAGCCAGGGACTTTGAGCTCTTCTTCTTCCGTTTCTTCCGGGCTTTGCTGCGACGCTTTCCCTTCCAACACACACGGGCCATTTTGCCCTCTGTAGCATGGGCCACATTGTTGGGGATCTGATCAAGACTCTCGGACTGGCTGTCACAAAAGGGACAGATTTGCATATTGAGCACGAGGAAGCAGGAAGATGGACTGGTCCAGACACTTGTATCTGGACTCCTGCAGATCCAAGGTCAAATCCCAGGTTGCCATTCCTTGTGTGAATGCGGCAAGGTTTCTAAATCCCAAGGAACCTGTTTTCTCACTTATCTCACTTATAAAATGGGTTTGGTATTTTCTGCCATACAGGGTGGAAATGAAGTTTCAATAATTTAGTTCATTTAAAAAGCCCAGCTCAGTGTCTGGCCCCAAGGCAAGCTGCCGAGAAGCTGTGCTTGTTACTATGGTGATGGGGTACAGACTCAGCACTTCTTGGGGAGAGTCAGGGGAGCAGACACGGTTCGCTCACTGCTCTCCAAGGTGAGCTGCCCCTGGAGAGTTCCTAGGAGGGGGCCACGCTCATGGCAGGCCTCTCAGCTCTGACTGAGCAGAGCTTGTTTCTGTTGCCTCCGGATGGAGGAACAGGTAAGGCTGGTCACCTCCATTCTCACAGTTCCTGGGGGTCCCTGGCTGCTGTTGAAGGTGAACAGCCTGGGCTGCTGCCTGGTACTGGGGAGCCTGCCCTTCTCTGCTGGCCTCGGGGCTCATCACTGCCATGGCTCTAACTGGACTGGGATCCCTGCCAAGTATTAAAGGACCCGGCAACAGATGGGTTGCTGCAGAACAGCTGTGGAGCAGATCATGGCCTCAGCCACCCTCCCTTGGCCTCATCTTCTGCCCCCATGGAGAAGGCAGACTCATGGCAGTCCTGGGGACCACTGGAGGCCTACAGGCTTCTCTTGGACAGCTGAAAGAAGTGTGTCTATCAGAGGCTCCTACCCTGGGCCAAAAGGCACCCAGGACAGCAGAAGGAATCCCACCAAACTGAGCATTTCTTGGTTCCAAGGCAGCCAGCTGCCCTCCCCACAATCTTATCACTAGCAGGTTCCAAACTCCAATGATACAAAACCTGCCTGGTGATAGGGGAAGGAGCTGTTTCTAGCTTGAACTCTTGTTTTTTTTTTTTTTTTTGAGACAGAATCTTACTCTGTCACCAGGCTGGAGTGCAGTGGCACAATCTCGGCTCACTGCAACCTTCGACTCCTGGATTCAAGCGATTCTCCTGCCTCAGCCTCCTGAGTAGCTGAGGTTACAGGCATGCGCTACCATGCCCAGGGAATTTTTGTATTTTTAGCAGAGACGGGGTTTCACCATGTTGGCCAGGATGGTCTCGATCTCCTGACCTCGTGATCCACCTGCCTCGGCCTCAGAAAGTGCTGGGATTATAGGTGAGAGCCATTGTGCCCAGCACTTGAACTCTTGTTTCAAAAAATCATCTGTGGGGGAATGCAGAGCCTGGGAACAGACTCAGCCCCACCCTGGCTTCCTTTCTACCGGGCCACCAAGTCTATCTGTCCCCTCCTTTTCTACCGCCCGCATCCCTACTCGGTGCATCTCCCAGGAGAAAAGGCACCAGCAGGTTTCTCCCATAGAGGACAGTGGAAGGCCCCCCCCACCAACCCGGCCTGCGCTCACGGTCACGCAAGAGTGGGAAGCAGCTTCTGTTCCCAGCACCCTCCCTGTTGATGGGAAACGAGGGGGTGCATTAAGGACTCTGAGGAGAATAAAAATAAAATGTCAAGTTGATGTGGCCCAGAGGCAGTCAGCCACAAGCTGTGAAAAGCCTTTGAAAAGCTTATTTGGCTGAGAGAGCGGCTCAGCCAGGAAAGCCTGGGTGAGTTCCAGGAGCTGAACCACAGGTGCTGAGGGAGGGAGCCCGGGGTCAGCAGGAGCGGCCCAGGCAAGTGCTGGGGACGAGGGCGCTGGGTCCAGTCCCCACCTTCCCACTCAGGCTTGTCTCCCCTGCTTACCTGTACTGTTTGGACCCAGCGATGAAAATGCGTTCTGAAAAGGTGGGGCTGAACTCTTGGCTATTCTCACCTAAAGCAAAAGGAGTTGGATTAGCAGAGAGGAGAAAAAATAGGAATTTAGCACTTAGGGGAGAGACATTTTACAGAGATCCCCTCTGGCGCCTCTCCTTCCCCTCCTTTCCAGACAACCCCTGTCTGGCAGTCACCTCCCCACCAATGCCTCCTTCCCGCACTGTCTCTCCCCAGCTTCTCAGCTTACTGGTCAAGAGCAGACCACGGCCTCAGCCACCTGCTCTGAAATAGCCAAGCCTATATTATGGGGATCACAGGGCGCCCGCCTCACTTCCTATGAAGCTGAAGTGAGATGATCTACAGAAAATGCTCAACACAGTGCCTGGCTCATAGGAAAAACAGCTATTAGGTATTTATATATGTGTGTACATATAAGTGTGGATATATGTGTATTTTTTTAAAACAATTATTATGTCACTCTCTGTATTTTAGTTTTTATTCTCTCATCTCTCCTCAAAAACCAACCAGGAGGAAGTGGGAGACGAGGGCAGGATGTATGCGTGTGGAGAAATGACAGCATGGCTGTCCAGCTCTCCAGGTTCCACCCCAAGAAGCCTCCCGGGTTGAGGGAAGGCGTTGGAGAGAGAGGACTCCCGGCCCTACCCAGGCCTCGTGGGAGTTTCTGTCTCCAAGGGAAGCCACCATTACTAGTCATCATAAGGTATCATGAGTAGAAGAAGAAAGGACCAGACTAGGTCTCACCCTGCAGCAGCCTGCCGCCCCAGGACTGGCCCAGCAGGCTCAAGAGCACGGTGCTCATTCCTGGGGGTGGGGCCACCTCTAGGTGGAAGATGGTGAAGGCCCTACAGGCCCCAGTGGGGCTTTCCAGGAGACCTGGCCTTTCCTGTCTGGAGCCTCTCCAGACACTGGGGCTGCTCAAGGTCACAGCAGAAGGTTGATGGCCTGCTTGATGATTCTGCAGAGTCCCGAGTGCTCGTCTGTTACCTCTCTTCCCCTGCTCCAGTCACGATGGGCACAGTCTCCCCTTGCCACATCCACCATCTGTGCACTTTTACAACCCCACTTTCCATGATTCTCGGCACAGACCTCTGGTTGTGTCTCATGAGAATCTTATCTAGCAGTGACACAGACCTCTCTCCTCCATAGGGAACCCCTGGGCCCAGCTACCCACCTGCAGGCCCACCCACCTGCCCCGTGCCCACAACAACCCTAGGCCCCTACACTCAGCCTGGGCGATGATAGAGATGGCAGCTGGCCCTGCCTCGGAGCCTTCCTTGGCTGTGCCCTTGGTAATCACGTCATTCAGGATCTCCCACTTTCCGCAGAACACAGGGCTCTTCTCCACGGCCTCAAGCTTGTAGACGGAGCTCTGTTTCTTCCCCAGTGGCGGCGTCTTCTCCTTGGCTTTGGGGAGTTCCTTCTGCTGCCCCACTGCTGAGCCAGGGGCACCTGGGCAGGCCATTTCCATCACTGCCATCTCCCAGGCTTGTGCTCATCCTGAGAGAGACCAAACACAGAGCAGGTCACTTAGAATCCCAGACCTGGGAGAACACAGGTCAGCCTTGGGTTGGGGGAGAAAGGCAGGGGCAAAGGGTCTCTGCCTGTTTATGTGTGCCTCTGCCACACATACTCATCCTCCAAACATCCTCAATGGTAACAGAGTCCACCTCTCAACAGCTACACGTTCCACACGGCACAGTCCCCCGGTCCTCCCAGTACCACAACATAAACAGCCTCCTTCACTGTGTCCAGCAAGGATGCCAGCCCACTCCCTCTAGGAGAGCTGTGGCACAAATGTCTGGGTTGGCTCTTTCTTGCCTTTATGATGGCTCGATCTTTTTCTGTTGTTTTATGGCAAACTTTGTTTCCCCAGGACAGGGTGGTGAATCCCAGACTCCAAAACCATGGCCTCACTGACCCCACATAAGCCTTTGGAGAGGACCTGTTGGCACACACCATCCACAGCGACTTTTCTCCAAGTGGAGAGAAGCAAGGTTCTATTCTGTTCCCTAGTAGGAGGTAGATATCTGTGTGTGTGTGTGTGTGTGTGTGTCCTACAAAGTCTAAAACTCAGCATGCAAATGGTGCTCAGCACGTGGTTCCTTGCCCAATGCGTCTGTTTGTGGCTCTCCAGAAGGAACTAACATGCTTCCTCCTCTAATGTCCAAACTCATTGGCTGAAAACTTCTAGGTATCATTTTTCATTCAGGCAACATCAGGAGTAGAATTTATATTCAAGGCCCTAACACGAACCTATACCTCTAGAAATAAAGAATAAAGCATAAGAATTCACGTCTCTCTGGGTTCTGTCTTGCCCAGCCCTAGGAAGCTGCAAAGAAGAGCAACCCAGAGTTGCCAACAATCTGTGCAAACAGCCTGCAGACTGGAATTGGCAAAAAAGAGAAGAGCACTGATTTGAGACTGTTACCATTTGGAAACCTTTTTAAAGGCTGGGAGTTTTTAAAGGGCAGGGCCCCTCTCAGGCATGACTTGCTTTAGAAACAGCCTGAGAAGGTCCCAAATGCAGACAGATTTTTAATAACTGCTCTCTGATGGTAGGTTTGTCTTAAAGCTGCTACCAGCAGAAATCATCTTCCTTGCTATAACTCTGTGAACCCTGGATCACTTCTCTGCTTCTGGGGCAGACAGGTACACCATCTGAAGCTGAACTCTAAGGCCTCTGGCCTTTTGCCCTGTGAGGCCTGAGGACTGAATGAGATGGTGGGAAGCTGAGGTACTAGGTTGAAGCATTCCTCCTTCTGAATCTGCCTCACTGGTCTTCCCACCTCGATGGCTATGAAAGGCTCTGCCAGCTTGGCTGGCGGGTGTGGTGGGGTTTGTTGTTCACTATTGATTAGTTCCTTGCATCTCTGTCTTTAAGGGTCTCCTAGCTCTGAACTTGGAGCAGCTCCAGCTTCCTGCAAGGATGCCTGGATTTGGTACCAAACGCCAGATGCTGAGGAGGCTGAATGGGTGGCCTCACTGTTACCTGAGGATCTTAAGAAGTCTGAGGGGGCCGGACATGGTGGCCCATGCCTGTAATCCCACCACTTTGGGAGGCTGAGGCAGAAGGATTACTTGAGCCCAGGAGTTCAAGATCAGCCTGGGCAACATGGTGGAACCCTGTCTCTACAAAAAAATACAAAAAATTAGCTGGGGTAGCTGGCCTGTAGTCCCAGCTACTCTAGAGGCTGCGGTGGGAGGAATGCTTGAGCCCAGGAGGTTGAGGCTGCAGTGAGCTGAGATTGCACCATTGCATTCTCCAGCCTGAGTGACAGAATAAGACCCTGTCTCTAAAAGAAAAAAAAAGTCTAAGGGGTGTTCTGACATCCAATTAGGCAAAAGCCCTTCAAGGCTGGCTATGCTTCTTGTAACTGTACTTTCATCCCACCTCACACCTCCCCACCCCACTCTACCTCCAAAAAAGAAACTGACCTAAGCCCAGAGCCGATCCCACTGTTCTCAGCCTCTTTACCAGGGGAAATGAGATCTTAAGAACAGACCAAAAAGTCTCCAAACCTAACAGCAGTAGGGAATGCTCACAGGGAGCTCGATGTGAGCGTGACCTCCTCATTTCTATTTGAAGAAGCTGAGGCCTAATTCAGTGGAGACTTGCCCAAGGTCACCCAACCCACGTGTGACAGGACATGGCCAGGATCCAGACCCTAGGTTCTTTAGGCTATGATGCCCACTCCCCAAGCTCCTGGGTTACAGGCAAATGCAGGAGGGCACACTAAGGTCCTCCCTGGTCAACAGGCTCCTGAGGGAAGAGGTGGGGCCCTGCACACAGTGCCTCCCCAGTGTATAGCACAGGGGCCACAGACCACGCAACTGACGCTGGCTGAACGAGGGACTCAAAGGACAAAGATTGCTTTTCCATAACCTTTGGAGACAGGATGATCCCGAATGCTGAGGAGGAAGAGAGAGTCCTGCCTGATGAATGAGAAAAATGAGGCCAGGTGGTGCAGTTGCTGCTCTGAGGGGCACGTGGCTATTAGAGATCTGGCTGTGTGGGGGCTCTGATAGCCTGTCTCCGCCTGGCATGGCCCAACGGAGGCTTCTGGATAGGTCATCCTGAGCTAGAACTCCTCCAGAGGGGGTGCAGGGCATCCCGAGTCCCAGAGTTGTCCTTTCATATTGGTGTTAGGTAGGCAGCTGTCCAGCGCCCCTCTGTGAGCACACCAGGCTCCCCTCTTCCCAGAGAAGTGGAAGCTGAGGCTGAGGCAGCCACGCTCAGAGACTCCTTTGCAGTTCCCCGATGACTCATCCAACAGCCTGGCAGGCAGACAGTAACAAGGAGGCTGTTGAGAAGCTGACCCAGCAGATGGCAGCTGAACTTGTGAAGGACATGGGGAAAACAGGCTGACCCTCACCTCTCAGGGGCACAAATCACGGCCTGGGAGCTGTAAAGCTCCTCCTGTGGCTGGCTTTTCTGTGCCACATCACCATGACTCAGACCCTCACCGACAGCCTCCAAGTTCAAGAGGCTATTCTTGGGACACTTTGGCCTGACAGTGGCTCTCCCCAAACACCACCTCCCACACAGACACACATGCACACACACACATGCACACACAGACACACACACATACGGATGCACTTGCTCCCTCCCTCCTTTCCTAATTCTATCTGGACTCTGGTCTACAAAAATCATGGTTCTGTACTAAGTCCAGGACTACTGGCCAGGGGGCCTTCCCAGCCCTGGACTTTGGTCTCTGGCTGTCACCCCAGCTCATGGCCCTAACACTTTGCCCCTTCTCCCTCCTGCAGCGTGTGGGGAGGACGAAGTGGGAGCCAGTTATGTCTCTGCCTTTGAAGGCAAGTCAAACTCCTGATTCATTCCTCAGCCTAGACACTCTCCTCAGCTTATTCACGCCCCAAAGGCATTGGGCCCTCTACTCTCTGCATAAGAGTTGAGGACACGAGCAGTGGCAACAGCCAAACCCACATGGCTCACCCATAAGCCCAAGAAATCAGAAGAGGAAAGGAAAGGAGCAGAATTCACTCCATATTCTTTGAGGCCTGATGCACAGACACTGTTGGTTCTTTCTTCTGTGATGCCTCAGTGACCTCCTGGAGAAGCCTGGGGGATAGGAATGATCTGGACAGTACCAGATCAACCTCTGGGCATAGCTGTATGAGGAGTTCTTAATCTAGGTTCAAGGATGGATTCAGGGAGAAAAATGTAATTTGCATTTTTCCAGGGAAGACTTGGTCCATAGCTTTCAACAGATTCTCCAAGGATCTGCCATTCCCCAGAAGGTTCCTCTAGTCTCCCTAGAAAATCAGGGCCGGGCTAAATGCCTGATTCTGGCTCTATTCTTCCACTCCGAGGAAAAGCTCTCCAATGCAGCAGTTTCCAATCTGACCACAGATTAGAATAACCAGATAAGTTCTTTAAATGCATTCCTCCTAGGCCTGCTGAACCAGTCACTGGGCATTAGGCCCAGAATCTGTACTTTTGACAAGTTCTCTGGATGATTCTGATGCCAAAGGGCCAGAGACTGCCACCTGACCCCTGCTCTGTACTCAAGGCGACACTGTCCAAAATGGTAGCCACTAGCAACATGTGGCTATTTACATTTAATTAAAATGAGGTAAAATTTTAAAATCATTTCCTTGTTACACTAGCTACCATACTCAACAGTGCAGACAGAGAACATGTCCAGCATTGCAGAAAGTTCTATTGGACAGTGCTGTTCTGAGGTGATGAGAGCGGTGTTTTCTCTGACAGTAAAATTTCTGTTCCTAGGATTCTGGGGCAGGAATGGGGTTTACAGTAAACAAATTTTTGATTCACTGGAAGATACAAAAACAATGTTTTAAATGTTAATCTTCACAGATGATAACCTTTTTAGAATATATCATATTTCATTCAGTTCCCTGTTTTAGCAAGTACAACATAGTAAAAATTCCAGACTGGGAACCAGAAGCTATGGGTTCTAGCCTTAACAATTTTTTTTTTTTTAAGAAGAGCAGTGGGACCATTTTTGTCAAATGAAATCATACCTCATCTCCCAATAACTAAAAGAACCAGATGCATGCAACTGGCATGTAACTCACATTTGAACCCGCTGCCCTGGCTGAAGGAGCTCCACATGCTCAGTGTCCCTTCATCCACCGAGGACCTCTACAAAATCCCTAGTTCTCCAAGAAAAGAGTTTGGAAACCAGCGGCCTAGGAAATCTTTTGAGGTTCCTTCTAGTTCTGAGAATGTAGCCCATCTGTCAGGATTCTTTGAGGGCTGGACAACTCCAACTCAGAATACTAACTGTCGATACTTACAAAGTACCTACTGTCATCTCATTTTCAGACATGAAGATATGGCTTAGGGAAGTGTAGTAGCACACCAAAAGTTACGCAGTTGCAGGTTGCAGAGGTGGGGTTGAACCTAGACTGCTGCCTCCTAAGCCGACATCTAAACCTTGAGCTAGCCACTTCTTTTAACTTCTCTGAGTTTCTTCTCTTAGCTCCTTCAGAGCTGTTTTGAAGACCGAATGAAGACGAGTACATGAAATGCCAATCAGGTTGCCTGGCCAACAGAAGAGGCTAAATGAATGTTCATTCCCTTGTCTGTCACCAGGCTACTAAAAGCCATCACTGAGAAGATGGGACTTCTCTGTTTCAGCACCATATAGCCAAGGTATCTTGAGCCTTACCTAGTTCATGCAATGCTTGGAGCCTTGATTCTCCATACACGAAAGGGAAATAAAACTCTGTCTTACAGGGCCAGCTTGAAAATGTCTACAAGGGGCCAAGGCAAATCCCTCTCATGACTATTTCATCTGGAAGTAAAAACTTGTCCTTCTCTGAATGCCCAGAGGGGATAAATAGCAGAAGTAGAATGACTCAACTTCCTTAATAAGATATTGGTTGAAAACCAATCTTCTCCCAACTTCCTCTTTTAAGTCTTCAGCTTGCCTGGCCACCAGGCCACAATAGGCAAACCTCTGCCTACTCAAAGTGCGGGGCTGGGCTGGGTGCGGTGGCTCACGCCTGTAATCTCAGCACTTTGGGAGGCCAAGGCAGGAGGATCACTTGAGACCAGCAGTTTGACACCAGCCTGGACAACATAGTGAGACTTCATCTCTACAAAAAATTAAAAAATTAGCCAGGCATGGTGGCACACGCCTGTAGTCCTAGCTACTTGGGAGCCTGAAGCAGGAGGGTTGCTTGAGCCTGCAGTGAGCCATGACTGCACCACCGCACTCCAGTCTGGGCAACAGAGCAAGACCCCATCTCAAAAGGAAAAATAAAGAAAGAAAGAAAAGGAGGGGAAAAAAAAAGAGGGAACCAAGGGCAAGTATCAGGCAGAGCAAGCTGGCCTGGCAAAACAGCCATCTGGCGAGGCAGACTCAGAAGTCCCCATACATGCTCATCCTGACTCCCCTTTCTACCCTTTCTGCCCTTCCTACAGCCCTTCCCCCAGTTTGTTCCAGACTGATTCCTTCACTTGCCCGAGCAGGGCAGCACTGGGCAAGCCTCTGATTCTCTTCTTCTGCCCACCCTGTTCCTCCCATAGGGAGTGGCTGCTTGCCTTCCTCCCTTATCAATGTCTGCCCAGATCTCACCTATCCTTTAAGGCCTATCTACTCAATGAAGCCTTTTATGGTAGGCTTCTGCATCCACCCTATAAACATTCAATGAGTGTCTCCCAAGTGCCAGGGAATGTAATAGCCACTACCGTCCATAAATGTCTTCTGTGTATGGGGCACTGTGCCAGGAACTCTATCTGCCTTGTTAATGCATTCCACACCAACCCTGCAAGGTTGGCAATATTATCTCCAATTTTACAGATGAAGAAATTAAGGCTTAGAGAGGTACATTACCTACAGGAATAAATGAGGCTCAATTTATACAGTTAGAGCATCCAACATGGAGTTAGGGCTCAAGCCAGGACACTCTTGGCCCATTCTCTTAGGACCCAAGGATCTCTAGTTCCTTCCTAGAATAAAATCTGGTTGGCAGAGGCATCTAGAACATCCAGGAACTGAGCAGTATTACTACCCATGTGGATATTACTACCCCTAGCATCTGCCCATCTACTGTTGGTAATAATTCCTTAGCCCAGGTAGACAGGAAGCAGACGAAGATCCCTTACTGATGAGGGGTCTTGTCAAGTCAGGGCTGAATCAGCCATCAATTTGTCAGACTTTTAGTTCAGTTACGCCACTAAATCCTGTTATGTTATGTGTTATGACTTAACTTGATGGTTTTAACAGGTCGTTTCATTTTCTTGAAACAATCAAACAAATGCACATCTAATACACACATACACAAACAGGAGTTCTAGGTAAGGTGGCACTGCCTTCACTGAAAGAACCACTGAAGGATGTACTTTGCAAAGAAAAAAGTAAATAGGAAAAAGAAACAATGGTAGGCACAGGAACTCAAACAATATGTTGGTCAATTTAATTAACAGTTGAATATGAGAAATTGGTTTAAATCTTTTTTTTTTTTTTTTTTTTTGAGATGGAGTCTTGCTCTGTCGCCCAGGCTAGAGTGCAGTGGCACAATCTTGGCTCACTGCAACCTCAGCATTCTGGTTCAAGTGATTCTCCTGCCTCAGCCTCCTGAGTAGCTGGGATTACAGGCATGTGCCACCACATCTGGCTAATTTTTGTATTTTTAGTAGAGATGGGATTTCCCCATGTTGGCCAGGCTGGTCTCGAACTCCTGACCTCAGGTGATCTGCCTGCCTTGGCCTCCTAAAGTGCTGGGATTACAGGCATGAGCCACCATGTCTGGCCAGTTTAAATCGTTTTAAAACATGAAAATCTAGACACCAACAATAAGGAAGATGGGTGAAATGGGTTGTTCAATGGGTAAAAAGTAACATGATCCTTGCCTTTTTGGGGACTTTATGTACAACAACTTTTAAATTTTATTAGAAAAAATTACAGTTAGTATGTATGTTGATTTAAGAGTAATGACTAAAATAATAGAAATACAATTCAGACCAGAAGAATAAAGGAGGAAAAATAGAAAATGCTGTCAATCTGATACAAGGCAAGGCAAGGAGGAAAAAAGAAGCAAAAAGGACAATAAATATAAAATAAAAACACAAGATGGCAGAAATAAGGCAAAATATTAGCATGTCATTAACCACAGTACATGTGAGTAGATTACAAAACAGCAAACCAGATTGGATTTTAAAAGATCCAGCTAGATGCTGACTAAAAGAAACAAAACAAAATTATCCAGAAAAGTTGGAAATAAAGACATAGAAAGAGATGTGCCAGGCCAATATTAACCACAAAGAAGTAATATTCGTATCAGACAAAATACTTAAGACAAAAAGATATAATCACTTCTAGGCACCCGATAAAGAGCCTCCAAATCCAATGACTGGAGGCAGGCTGAGGCTTTATGTTGAGTAAGGTCTTGGCCCCAGAGTGTCCTGTCTAGCTGCAGAGCAAGGATCTTATGCGTGGCAGTTCCTGGGCATGTACTAGGTCTGCTGGGTGTTGGGCCCCGTGCTGAGTGCTGGCAGTACACTGAGGAAGAAGACACTGTCCCTTGAGGATCTTACAGTCTACTGGGGGAAACAGACAAGAAGTCAGAAGAGTTCAGTACAATACAGGGATGCAATGACAGAGATAGACACACAGCAGATGTGACGGGAACACAGAGCGACACCTAGTCCAGCCCAGGAGGTGATGCCTGAGCTGAGTCTGAAGCAGTGAGCAAGACCTGCCCAAGAAAAAGGAGAGGGTGTTCTGGGTAGAGGGGATGGCAAAAGGTAAGGCACAGAGGTGAGTCAATGCAGCAATCACCAGCAGCTTGAAGTTGTCAGTGAGTAAAGCGTAAGTCAGGCAGTCCCAGGAGAGGAGGCTGCAGATGAAGTTCAGCTATCAGACCATGGACACACGCTTGATCCTCATATACCCCCAGGGTTTAAATTCTCAGATGAGTGAGCGGGGTATAATTCCACATTCCTCCCAGACTCTTGGGGGTAAAGTTCCAGATGGCAGAAGCTGCAGAGTAGGGGCAGATGGCACTGGCCAGGCACAGTGCCTCATTCCTGTAATCCCAGCATTTTGGGAGGCTGAGGCAAGAGGATCACTTGAGCCTGGGAGTTTGAGATCAGCATGTATAACATAACAAGACTGTGTCTTTATGAAAATAAAAAAAAAGAAAAAAGAAAAGAAAATCCTGCCATTGGTACAGAACCCCCACCCTGGCCTGGGCTAACAATCTGACAAGTGACAGGCTTCTGAAAGGCTTGCTTCACTCTCTCCCTCAGGCGGAGAAGGAGAATGGCCATGTGATCCCTGGGACATAGAAACAGATGTCTGAGGAAGGAGGAAGGGGCCTTACTGGGGCCTGCACTCAGGCACTGTGAGTGAAACGCAGCTGGAGGAACCTCAGAACTGGACTCATTGGCCTGCTTGAGGCCTGCTTCCCAGGAGAGTAATTTCTGAATAAGCATTTCCCATTAAGGAGGATATGAAATGTGAAGGTACATTAATCATTAAAATCTTACAGATCAATTATTAAAAAGAAACAAATCTGACATGCCCTCAAAAACTCAGTCTCGGCCAGGCATGGTGGCTCACGCCTGTAATCCCAGCACTTTCGGAGGCCGAGGCAGGTGGATCAGTTGAGGTCAGGAGTTCAAGACCAGCCTGGGCAACATAGTGAAACCCTGTCTCTACTAAAAATACAAAAATTAGCCAGGCATGGTGGCGCGTGCCTGTAATCCCAGCTACTCAGGAGGCTGAGATGAGAGAATTGCTTGAACCTAGAGGTGGAGGTTGCAGTGAGCCGAGATCGCGCCACTGCACTCCAGCCTGGGCAACAGAGCGAGACTCCATCTCAAAAAAACAAAACTCAGTCTTGCTGCCAATCCCACAGGTCAAACTGCAGGGTAAATACAATTTATGGGGTAAAGTTTCTGACTGTCCTGCAATTACCACCACATGCCTGATGATGGCTGGCCGGCCCTAGCCGTGCAGAAACTACTGTCTATAAGGCCCCTTCAGATGTTTAGGGCAATTCCCTCGCATCTATTCTATTGGCATTGGTCTTACCCACTTCCAGCTTCTCTCTGACCTCCCACCCTGGCGCTGAGCTAATCTTGAAACATCGTGTACTTAAGACAACCTCAAGCTCAAAGACATCTGCTGGCTCTGCACTGCTTATGGGCTCAGTCTCAGCTCTGTGGTCCATAATCTTTTTGGCCATTGTTTCCCCAAACATAGGGTTTGGCTTTGGCCAGTCTGATCTCTCTACAACCCCTTGGCTACTCAACTCTCCAGGTCCCATGTGTGCCATGCTGTTGTGTGGGCCACCCCATACATCCTGCTTGTCCTTCAAAGGCAAGGCTCAGCCTCTACCCAGGAAGTTCCTCCCATCAGCTCCACTGTACAACGGCCTCCTTTTCTGCCTGCCCACAGCACCTTGTCTCCTCTATCCTCATCCTCCTCCTGGTCCTGACACCCCCACTCCCTTTTACTCATTCAATGAAACAATGTAGATGAAGGAACTCTGGGAACAATAAAGCATCATAGCAAGTGAAGATACCCACTTTTTGTGTGCACAACTCACAGAATTGCAATCTAAGTAGGGAACAAATTAAAAAAAACAGAAAAAAGCATAATCAAAAATGTTTAGGGCTGAGCATGGTGGCTTATGCCTGTAATACCAGCACTTTGGGAGGCCAAGGCAGGAGGATTGCTTGAGTCCAGGAGTTTGAGACCAGCCTGGGCAATATAGTGAGACCCCATCTTTACAAAAAAATACAAAACTTAGCTGAGCATAGTCACACGTGTCTGTAGTTCTAGCTACTCAGGAGGCTGAGGTGGAAGGATTGCTTTAGTCTAGGAGTGCAAGGTTGCAGTGAGCCATGATTACGCCACTGCACTCCAGCCTGGACAACAGAATGAGATCCTGTTTCAAAAAAAAAAAAAAAGCCGGGTGCCATGGCTCACGCCTGTAATCCCAACACTTTGGGAGGCCGAGGCAGGCAGATCACCTGAGGTCAGGAGTTTGAGACCAGCCTGACCAACACAGAGAAACCCCGTCTCTACTAAAAATACAAAATTAGCCAGGCATGGTGGCACATGCCTGTAATCCCAGCTACTCAGGAGACTGAGGCAGGAGAATCGCTTGAACCTGGGAGGCGGAGGTTGCAGTGAGCTAAGATCATGCCATTGCATTCCAGCCTGGGCAACAAGAGCGAAACTCCATCTCAAGAAAAAAAAAAAGTTCACAGTATTTCTATAACAGTAAAAAAACTGGAACAAAAAAGTCTAATTACAGGGGAAGGATAATTATTAAATAAATCATGGAACATCCATTAAAAATGTTTATAAATCATTTTAACAATATGGAAAAATGGGATATTAAATTAGTAGAAAGAGGATACAGAAGCATATCTAAAATACGACCCTATATACATGTGTCGGTATATTACAATGATATTTATAAAAATGCAGATACCTAGGACATATAGCAATGGTTCTCTTTTGGTGGTGGGCTTATGGATGATTTAATATTTCTTTTTATACCTTTCTAATTTTTCCACTTTTTCAGTGAGCACATATTAGTTTTCTCAGTTCTCTTTTTTTTTTTTTTTTTGAGATGCAGTCTCACTCTGTCACCTTGGCTGGACTGCAGTGACACGATCTCAGCTCACTGTAACCTCTGCCTCCCAGGCTTAAGTGATCCTCCCATTTCAGTCTCCCAAGTAGCTGGGACAGGTGCGTGCCACCACGCTTGGCTAATTTTTTGTATTTTTGGTAGAGACAGGGTTTTGCCATGGTGCCCAGGCTGGTCTTGAACTCTTGAGCTCATGAGATTCACCTGCTTCAGCCTCCCAGAGTGCTGGCATTACAGGCATGAGCCACTGCGCCCGACCTTGGTTCTCATTTTTAACAGATAATGTTTCTAAGTGGTTAAAAAAAAAAATACAGAAGGGGTGCCATTGAAAAGCATGAGTCCTTCCCTCCATTCCTATAAGGGGATCCCCGTTAACAGTTTCTTGTATCTCCCTCTACTGATTTTCTCTGTAGGTATTACTTTTATTCATTTTTATTATTGTTATTATTTTTATGAGATGGAGTCTCACTCTATTGCCCAGGCTGGAGTGCAACGGTGCGATCTTGGCTTACTGCAACTTCCGCCTCTTGGGTTCAAGAAATTCTCCTGCCTCAGCCTCCTGAGCAGCTGGGATTACAGGCGCCTGCCACCACACCCGGCTAATTTTTCTATTTTTAGTAGAGACCGGGTTTCACCATGTTGGCCAGGCTGGTCTCAAACTCCTGACCTCAAGTGATCTGCCTGCCTTGGCCTCCCAAAGTGCTGCGATTACAGGCATGAGCCACTGTGCCCGGCCAAGTATTACTTTTTAATCATGAAAACAACTAAAAAAGAATCTCTTGGCATGGGATGAGAATTTAGGAAGCATTAGGTCCACACTTGAGATTGGGGCTTTATAAATATGTGATGAGCTGGTTTCTCCAACCGTGTGCGCGCACATGCACACACATGCAAGCACAAACCCATGTGTGGGCAGGAAACTTCACCAGAAAGTCTGTGGCTCTTCTGTTCTGCTCACTGAGTTCTGGCAGCTGGGCCGCAAAACAGAAGGCTGGAGATGGGCAAGCTTGTCCTTCCTGGTTTTGGTTTTCATTTCATTCCCTCCCTTGTTCTCTGCTGAGGACTGAGAGTTTTATCAGTTGTGACTCAAGAAATAGGAAGGTGCTCAGAAGATGCGGACTGTTTCCTGCTTTGATTTATCGAATGGCAAATGCATGCGTGGTTACAGGCCCGTGCTAGTGCTGGATGGACCACATGCCCCTGGGCAAGAGTGGCCCCCCAGAGTGAAAAACAGCAGAAGTGGACCAGGGAGAAAAAAACCAGCCCTTCCTCCACTGCTTGCGCAAAGGGGTGGGAATCGCAGGGTTAGTCCTAGTCTGGGAAACCCAAGGGAGGACAGTTTTCCTAGCTAGCCTCTCCTGCCTTTCTTATATGTGATCTTTAACCTTGCTTAAAAATTTTTTTTCAGGCCAGGTGCAGTGGCTCATGACTGTAATCCCATCACCTTGGGAGGCCGAGGTGGGTGGATCACTTGAGGTCAGGAGTTCAAGACCAGCCTGGCCAACATGGGGAAATCTCGTCTCTACTAAAAATACAAAAATTAGCTGGGTGTGGTGGTGGGCACCTGTAATCCCAGCTACTTTGGAGGCTAACGCAGGAGAATCACTTGAGCCCAGGAGGTAGAGGTTGTAATGAGCCGAGATTGCACCACTGCACCCCAGCTTGGGCAACAGAGTGAGACTCCATCTCAAAAATTTTTTTCCAATACCAAAATAATTGTTCATTGTAAAAATGTAAACAAAACAAAATTGTATATAGAAAAAAAATCCCGGCACCGTCCCGTCCTCTCTGCAACATAAAAAACACTTAAGTTTCATGTAAATCCTTCTAGTTCCAATTACTATACATATATAAACATATAGTTTGGGACTTTTTTTTTTTTTTGTATTTTTAGTAGAGACGGGGTTTCACCGTGTTAGCTAGGATGGTCTTGATCTCCTGACCTCGTGATCCAGCCGCCTCGGCCTCCCAAAGTGCTGGGATTACAGGCGTGAGCCACCGTGCCTGGCCTAGTTTGGGACTATTTTTAAAAGAAACATGGATTATACACATGTAATGTCATACAAATTGTATCTTTCACTTAAGATACTATGAATACTATTCCATCTCAGCACATTTAGATTTATTTCTTTTCTTTTCTTTTTTTTTTTTTTTTTTTTGAGACGGAGTCTCGCTCTGTCGCCCAGGCTGGAGCGCAGCAGCCCATTCTTGGCTCACTGCAACCTCCGTCTCCCGAGTTCAAGTGATCCTCCTGCCTCAACCTTCCGAGTTACAGGCGTCAGCCACCACATCCGGCTAATTTTTGTATTTTTAGTAGAGACGGGGTTTCACCATGTTGGTCAGGCTGGTCTTGAACTCCTGACCTCAAACAATCCACCCGCCTTGGCCTCCCAAAGTACTGGGATTACAGGTGTGAGCCACCATGGTTGACCTCTAATTCATTCTTTTTAAGGCTTCATAAGATTGGAAGGTACAGATGTATCATCATTTTCCCACCTGGAAACTTTGTTTCCAATTTTTCACTTATACGTAATAATGGAAAAAACTCTACCCTTATTCACATTTATGTGTACATGTAGAAGGAATTCTAGGTGGTAAGCTCTTGGGATTGGAATTTCTGGGTGACTCTTTTGTTAATGGGTTATATCTTTTCTCCTGTTTCTATGTGTCAGAGAAGTAGATAGCATCAGATAGGTGGTTTCCAAACATTGTATTATTTATTTGCTGTGAAGATGCTATCCTTGCTTTCAACATGCCTATAGTCTAGATGGGGAAAAAATGGGTAGATGGATAAATAAATCATAAAGGAATAATCAAAGTGCTCTTAGGATCAGAAAGACCCTCAGAGGTAATTTCTTCCAACATATTACTTACTAATCCTGAGGAATGGCCATTCAGCTACATGACAGGATGGCCTTGGAGTCAGAAGATCTGAGTTTGAATCTTAGTTTCTCAATACTCTGGTGTGTGACCATGGGCAGGTCACATAATCTGAGACTCAGGAGTCTTATCTGTAATATAGGGATCCTCAAACCTACATGATAGAATTTTACACGGTGACTCAATGCAAGGAACAAAGTTTAAATTACATAGCACAGTGCCTGGCATGCAGTGGGCACTCTGGAAACATCAGTGGAACCTCCAGTGAGATGGAAGCCGCTACAAGATGAGCAGTCAGACCTTTGTATGACTGGAAGTGTAAGATTTTTTTTGGTTTTATGTTTTTTTATTTTTTTTATTTTTTGAGACGGAGTCTTGCTCTGTCGCCCAGGCTGGAGTGCAGTGACGCAATCTCGGCTCACTGCAAGCTCTGCCTGCCGGGTTTACACCATTCTCCAGCCTCAGCCTCCTGAGTAGCGGGACTACAGGCACCCGCCACCACGCTCAGCTAATTTTTTGTATTTTTAGTAGAGACAGGATTTCACCATGTTAGCCAGGATGGTCTCGATCTCCTGACCTCGTGATCCACCTGCCTCGGCCTCCCAAAGTGCTGGGATTACAGGCGTGAGCCACAGCGCCCGGCCGTTTTTTTTTTTTTTTTTGTGAGACAGAGTCTTGCTGTCACCCAGGCTGGAGTGCAGTGGTGTGATCTTGGCTCACTGCAACCTCCACCTCCCGAATTCAAGCGATTCTTATGCCTCAGCCACCCAAGTGGCTGGGATTACAGGCATGTACCACCACGCATGGCTAATTTCATTTATTTATTTTTTTGTAGAAATGGGATTGTGCCATCTTGGCCAGGCTGATCTCAAACTCCTGGCCTCAAGTGATCTGCCCACCTCAGCCTCCCAAAGTGCTAGGATTACAGATGTGAGTCATGGTCTATAAGTGTTAAGTTGCTTCAAAGTTGCTGCTATAAGGCACTGAAGCCTACCTCCCACAGCTTCTAGCCAGCAGCCCTAGCATCAGACAGAAAGTCTGGAACAGATGTGGTCAAAGCAGGAGGAGGACAATCCTGAAAGCAGAGGGACAGAGTGGTCGGCAAGAACCCATGAAGATGTTCTTTGAAGAGCATTCTGCACACCCCATCTGGCTTCTGTGTCCACTGGCAGTGCCTCAGCTCTGCGTGATGAACTGGGACCCACAATTCCTTGGCAGCTAAAGCTGAAATTAGTTGTCCTGTGGTCATCTTTGAGTGTTACAACAATCTGCTATTTGTATACACATAACTACATGCTGGTTGTTGGTAATCATACAAATGAATAATAATGACAGCTATTATTATCTGCCATGTATTAGGTAATGCGTGCATTTTTTTCTTGAATCCTCACAACTCTGTGAGCAAGGCACTAATGTTATCCGTTTACAAGGAGGAAGAAACTGGGCCTCAGTAGGCCAAGTAATTTGCCCAAGGCCACACAGCAGTGAAGTGGCAGCGGCAGGATTTGCACAAGAGACTTTTATGTCAAAGCCCATACTCTTAACCATGACACTCTTCCTACTCCCAAATGATCTAAGCTTTAAAAATTGGGACCGAGATGCAGAAGCTGTCACAAGTCAAAGGTTAGTGAGAAATTCAGGGACTGGCCTGGGAGGAAGCACCTTAATTAGGAAGCATGAACTACAGCCAGCCTATGTTCTGGAAAAAGCAACTTTAAAATGACAACAGGGAAGAAAGACTCCAAGCTGGACTTGTGGTGGGCCTGTGTTCCTCAGCCCACCCAGGCCTGACATAGCCAGGCCCATTCCAAGGAGAAATTCTATGACAAATGCAAATTTGCCATTCACTTTACAAAGCCTGGCTGCAGGCTTCTTGAACCTATTTACCATTCTTTTTATAACAAAGACTCGAGCATCATTTGCTATCTTCATAAATTTCATCAGTACTTTTGCCCCCAGGCCCTGATACAGGGCATTTTATAAGCTTTAAAAGAGAAGTATTACAATGGTATTTTCAATTCAACCTTCAAATCCTTTGCACAAGGAGAGCCAACAGCAAATAGAAAAGACGCCACAGGGGGCATCATGGATCCACAAAGACCCAATATGCAGGAGAACATGTCGGGCAAGGTAGTATTGAGATAAAAACCTGTCACACGTGTACTTAATTTTATACAATAAGCAACAAGGAATGTTTAATGTATATTGTATAAAAAATTTTTCAGGCCGGGAGTGGTGGCTCACACCTGTAATCCTAGCACATTGGGAGGCCCAGGCGGGCGGACTGCCTGAGGTTGTGAGATCGAGACCAGCCTGGCCAACATGGCAAAACGCTGCCTCCACTAGAAATACAAAAATTAGCTGGGTGTGGTGGTGGGTGCCTGTAATCCCAGCTACTCGGGAGGCTGAGGCACAAGAATCGCTTGAACCCGGGAGGTGGAGGTTGCAGTGAGCCGAGATTGTGCCACTGCACTCCAACCTAGGCAACAGAGTGAGACTCTGTCTCAAAAAATTAAAAAAAAAAATTAATTAATTAATTAATTAAAAAAATTTCAAGTGTCATCGAAATCAGCAACTTAGGGTATTTTGTGTAACTGAATATTCTGATTAAGTGGGGGCTGCCCTGTATGCCACTTAACATGACCAATTTCCAAAGATTAGATGGCCATAATTGCCCTTGACACTAAAATCATGTGAAACACAGCCAGTTTCTTTGATGACTCAAAACGTACTTTGTGATCTTGCCAAGCTTTGAGATCATCGTTACAAGCAGCATTTTGGTTGTGAAAAACAACTCTCCTTATTTAACCTTTTGGGGTGGATTCTGAGCAAGAAGTTCCCTAGGCTACGGTCAATCTCGCTGAAATACAACCACCCACCGCTCCTTTCTGGGTTTAGAAATCTGGTTTTCAGAGGTGGGAGTGGCTTCAAGCAGCGTCTACCTGTGTTCAGAAAAGATGAAGAAAGACAGGCTCAGGCTCCCTGTATAGGAGAATTCAAGTTCATTGTAGTCACTGGTGACTGGTTCTGAAATTGAGGAACTAGTTTGAGGAACTTCAGAATAAACAAGAAACCCAAAGAACTCAGCTTCCACAGAAGGCTTCCAATGCATGGAAGGAGGCACAGGTCCAGCTCCGCCCTGTGGCGGGGCAACCTTGACCCTGGCCTCATTTCAGATGCTGCCCCACATGCTCTTTGACAAGCTGGACCAAGTAACCAGCTTGAGGACATGAGTGGCAGAGGGGTCCCTTTATAATGAGGGGTCATATTCTTGTCCTCCCTTGGGAAGGTAAAAAAGGGCTTGGGACATGGGGCATGATGAGGAATATTCTCAGAGGATCTCACACGATTCTTTGGTAAAAGAGGGTAAATCATGAAACAGCCCACGGCTCTCTCGTCCTCCCCGAGGCCAGCAGGGCTTAGCGGGAGGAGTTTGGATTCAAGTCTTGTACTTTCACTCAACAGCAAATATTTAATCAGTGGCTACCATGTTTCAGGCACCGTGCTGGCCAGCAGGAATATGAGGATGACCAAGAGCCTTCTCTGTTGAAACCCTTGAAAGGCCTTCTTGGAATGCTGAACCCAGTTACCTAGAAGCACTGCCTTGATCTACCTGCCTACAACTCTCTAGTGGCACCAAGCCTATGGGATGTGCCAGTGTGGTCACTGCCCTCCCAATTCTCACTTGGAGGGGTGGGAGGTGGTCAGTTATGTGTTTATTAGCTGGCTACTCACTGTCTGATTCTACTTTGAACTATATTTTCTTTTTTGAGAAGAGGACTTGTTCTGTCACCCAGGCTGGAATGCAGTGGTACAACCATAGCTTACTACAGCCTCGAACTCCTGAGCTCAAGTGATCATCCCACCTCAGCCTCTGAAGTAGCTGGACTACAGGTAAGCACCACCATGCCCAGCTAATCTTTTTTTTTTTTTTTTGACAGAGTCTTGCTCTGTCGCCCAGGCTGGGGTGCAGTGGTGCGATCATGGCTCATTGCAACCTCTGCCTCCCAGGTTCAAGTGATTCTTGTGCCTCAGCCTCCCGAGTAGCTGGGATTACAAGTGCCCACCAACACACCTGGCTAATTTTTGTATTTTTAGTAGAGACGGGTCTCACCATGTTGGCCAGGCTGGTCTTGACCTCCTGGCCTCAAGTGGTCTGCCTGTCTTGGCCTCCCGAAGTGCTGGGATTACAGGTGTGAGCCACTGCGCCTGGCAATGTCCAGCTAGTTTAAAAAAATTTTTTTTTTGGAGGTGGATCTCACTATGTTGTCCAGGCTGGTCTCCAGTTCTTGGCCTAAAAGGCAATCCTCCTGCCTTAGCCTCCCAAGTCATTGGGATTACAGGCATGAGCCACTGTGCCCAAGCAACATTTGAGCAAATTTCTCCTGACTGTCCCTACGCTTCTGAAAATGCACTTCTTTCCCCCAGAGTGCTGAAGTTGCCCAACTGTTACCAAGCTCCCGCTCCAAGCTGACAAGTGGTACAAGACCCCAGGGTGAGAGAAATACCAAGGTGTTCCCACCCAGGCACCTGCAGAATCCGAGACGCTCTACGCCTGACAGTGCTGGCTCAGGCTGGAAAAGGAGGGCCACTGGGCTGCGCATGGTGGCCTCCTCGCTCCCTCCAGCTCCTATAGTCATGGCTCCTGACCAGCACCGGGGTTGACCTGTGAGATGTCTGCCTTCGTGCCCAGCTTACCCCTGTCTTGGTGAGGTCCTCCAGGGCGGTGCCTCAATTGTGTTTGGTTTTCTAGCACCTAGCAGACATGGCCCATTTGACACACTTGGCAAATGTTCCTGAGTGAAAGGACAGACACACTTCTGAGGAATAAATGAGTGCCACAGGCTCTGAGAGCCTGGCTGGACAGGGACACGTGTCCACACTGTCCAATCACCTGGCAGGCTGGAAGGGAGGGAGTCACAACTTGGTGGCTGTATTCTAACTGCACCCCAGCAAGCAGGTGTCCTGAAAGATGGCTGTGGAGCCTCTCCTGCCATCCCCTTTCCTAAATGCTGACCTAGAGACCCAATTACTTCTAATTGCTTGAGAAGATAACCCTTCTGAACTGGACAACACCCATCTGGGCTCGGATTTGCATATATTTGCAAGTATCTAATACATGCTAGAGGGAGGTGGTGCAGGACTCTGTCCTTCACATTGATCTATACAAAGCTATTCCTGCCTCTCCAGGCACAGCATCTGCCAGTGGAGACTGTTGGGCAGGACTCAAGGAGTCTGGTGGGTCCAATCAACTCCCTTGGCCAAAGGAGTCCATCTTTTTTTTTTTTTTTTTTTTTTTTGAGACGGAGTTTCGCTCTTGTCGCCCAGGCTGGAGTGCAATGGTGGATCTTGGCTCACTGCAACCTCCACCTCCCAGGTTCAAGTGATTCTCCTACCCCAGCCTCCCGAGTAGCTGGGATTACAGGCATGTGCCACCATGCCCAGCTAACTTTTTTGTATTTTTAGTAGAGATGGGGTTTCACCATGTTGGCCAGGATGGTCTCAATCTCTTGACCTTGTGATCCGCCCGCCTCAGCCTCCCAAAGCACTGGGATTACAGGCACGAGCCACCGTGCCCAGCCTCCATTTATAATCTTAACTGGCAACCACATCCTCATTGGAGGCTGGCTAAGCCTCCTTTTCCTCCCAACCCTCCTGGCTATCCCTAGTATGGACCAGAAACACCTACCTTTTAATTCTGGCCCAGTAAAAGGAAACTTTAATGTCAGTAGAAGGTGGGTGGTAGATTTTGGCTACAATAATTCTTTGCACTTACAGGGGCCACCATCCAGATATGACATCATGACATCATGCTTCACCCACAAGGAAGAGCCTCTCACTGAGAGGAGCCAGGCAGATCAGCTAGGATAACACCCAGAGTATGCATGCACCTCCTGCACAGAAGAAAGATGCAGAAGAGCTTCGTGCACTGTGGGTTTGGACCCCTGTAATCAATCATTGAAAGTTACTAAATACCCACTCTAGGTGAGATACTGCTTGGCTAGGTAGGAAAGTGCCCTAAAGGTGTGGGCAACCTTTGAGACTTCCTGGTAATTGTATTTTCTTATCAACCTTGACCTCCTTTTGATTACATGAACCTCATGGTATAAGACAGCGTCCAACAAATAGCTTTCTGTTTACTTTTTCTTAGACCCAGGGCAGCAGCTGCTGTGGCTCCACCCTTCCCAGGCCTGGCAGAGCTTGCAGAAAGGCTGAGAGTGATAGGGTTGTGGTAGGGGAATAAAAGGAGAAGCTAGTTTAAAAAAAAAAATCCTGCTTCAGGATTAGTTCCTTCGTTCCCTGGCAGCAGAGTACAGTGAAGAGTCTGGGTTTTATAGTTCAGGCTCTGCCATTAACTAGCTGTGTGGCCTTGGGCAACCCACTTGGCTTTCTTGGGCCACCATTTTCTCTTCTGCATTTTCTCACTGCAAAAAATGTGAATGATCATGTCCAGGCTATAATCCTAACAGCTCTTTCTGGACAGTGAGGTTAAGGTTATTTAGCCATGCCAGCAGGAGGTGACTACTGGTTGGTCCAGACTGATGGGGTATGGGTACAGGGGCTGGGTTGGTAGTCTGCCAGAGACAGGGAACGAGATTATTTGCAAGAGCTGCAGCTTCATTAAAGTCAAGCCCTCCTTGTAGTTGGTCCTGGACATTGCTTATAGATGTCCCTGACCATAATCGGTCAAGTTCAACACCAACTGCACTAGTCCAGAACAGTGTCTGAAGAAAATCTCTGCGTTAATGGACACCTGATAGTGGCTTTAGCAGAAAGAGCGTCAGGAGAAGCTGTAGTAACCAGAACCTGGGAGGGAGGGATGGCTCAGGAGTACCCCCTGCTGCTTCTTTCTTGGTACAAATCCTGGTCCTAGAAGTGTAGACAACTGAGATGGTGGCAGGCTTGGGATTCCTAAAGCTTTCTGAAATCCAGGGTTTAATCTAGCCTTTACAATCGCTGGAGCTCTGCAGAGACTCCAACTCAGGTGGCTGAAAAGGAGGCAGGTGGAAAAGCGTTCCTAAAAGGTTTTTCACACCAAAATAGGGCTTGTCTCTCTGCTCTCTGCCAAGGGATTTCCCAGCTCCCCAGGGCCAAAGCTCCCCTCCTGCTTCTTTGCTGACTGTCACTGGAAGCAGGCCATTTTCCACCCTCAGGGTGGCTGGACTTAGGAGTCAGTGACACTGCTGATCTGGGCTCTGTGCCCCGTCCACGATCCCCCCTCCGCTGTCAGCCCACTGGCCCCAGAAGCCTCCTGTTTACCTCCTGCCCCCTGCCTCCATAGCCCTGGGGCTGGGATGAGGCTGATTTGTGGCAGAGGGCTCCTCACGAAGGTCTGCTCAGGACTTTCTCTGCAACTGTGCTGGGGAATAAATCGCCTGTCACCTACACCCCTGCATGGGTGACTCACCTTCCAGAGAAAGTGCTCTGCTCACCTAAGCAAAGCTGCTTGGAAAATGACTAAGGCACCTATCAAATGCACTCTGTGGGGCCAACCAGTTATGGAGCAAGGTCCAGGCACACTCTGCCTCTCACCTCCAGCCTGAAGTCAAGTGCAGAGCTGCCACGCCAGGCCTGCTGGTTTCATTTTCATCTGAACCGAGCTCCACATGAGGCTTGACATCCGGTGATCTATTTTTTCTAAAAACTAGCTTCACTTTAGAAATGACTCTTCGGCCATCAAGTCAGCTTCCCCAAGAGAAAACAAAATGTTATTTAAAGGGAACAGTAGCCTGGTGAGAGCCTATATTTTTGTTTTGTATTAAGGTGAAAAAAGACTTTAAAATATAACATGAAACTTTTTTTTTCCCTTGTGAGATTAAAACAAACGTTTTTCTTTCAAGAGATGGGGTCTCGCTATGTTGCCCATAGCTACTTGACCTCCTGGGCTCAAGTGATCCTCCCGCCTCAGCCTCTCAAGTAGCTGGGACTAAAGAAACACACGTCACCATTCCAGGCTTCTTGTGAGATTTAAAGGGGAATCTGCAAGTCCTTGACTGCAGATCGTGGGCCCCCAGACAGAGTCTCAGAGAGAAGCTGACAAAGACATCTTTACGAGGGGGAAAGGGTGGTGAGCTGGGGATGCCATGTGGTAGTGGGAACCTCATCCCACAGAACCAAATGTTCCCTCCTGTTCCCCCAAAGAACAAGTCCTTGCTGATCTACATGCCATACAGTATTTTCCCTTTCCTCACCTCCAGGATTAATGCAGGAACCTACTTGATCACGTGTGGGACACAGGAAGCCCCTAGACAGGCCTAGCTGTGTCTCCAGCTCAGAGTTAGGATTGTCAACTGGGCAGAGCCTGGACCTTTGTAGCCTCATTTGGAGTATGGTGAGGGCAGTATATAGTGTAAGACAGGGAGAACCCGAGAGCTGAAGCTTTTAGACTGAAGGACTGTCCCCCTAAAGGTCCTACTGAGAAAATGACTCTGGCCTGTCAGGCAGTCTGACCCTTCTTGACATCATCTTACAGAAAACAGGTTTAGTCACAATGCAGTAATTGGCAACTACTACTGCTACTATTACTACTACTACTACTACTACTATTACTACCACCACCAAACACCACCAACAAGAACAACAACAACAACAACAACAGTTACAGCCTCTATGTTCTGTGCTGGGCACTGGGCTCAGCACTTTACATATCTCCTCTCATTTTCTACTCAAAACAGCCCCATGAAGTATTTCTGATCCCATTCACAGATGAGGCACCTGATGATTAGAGAAGTGAAGTGATTTGCTTGCGGGCACACAGGCAGGCCGTGGCAGACCTCGACCTGACCCAGGTCTCTCTGACCTGACAGCCTCAGCCACCACATGTGACACGGAGACACCAAGGACTTGTTCTGTTGCTCTGGACAAATCACGGGCTCTCTGCCTTTGTTTCTACATCTGGAAAATGGGCACAAGCACACCTGTCCAGGCAGCAGGCTATTCATCTTTTGGCCTTTTATTAATTAAAAATCAATATCAATTAATAATTGATTGGTACAATAAATAAATAAAGCTGCTACCCTGGTTTCGTTATGTTCAAAATTGACATGTTTGGGGGAAGAAAATCCTTATCGTTTCATGAGCAAGGTAGTAGAAAAAGCAGTGACCTAGATATCAAGAAAAGGGGGTTTAGATTCTGAGCAATCCTGTCTGTTTCTCCTTATGAGGCTTCACTTTTCTGATCTTTGTCCCTGCCCTTCTTCACATGAGTATGGTGTGAAAATACAAAGACTGGCCATAAAATTATTCTTGATGCCACATAATTTCAAGGGATTTCTATCAGGGAGCTGAGGGATTAAGACATGTAGAAAAGCAAGAAGGGAAGAGGCTCCTTTAAACTAGAATACAAAGAGCACACCGGCCACTGAAGAAAAATGACTTTTTCTGCATTGTCATTCAGGCAGTCATAAGCCCAGAACAAAAAAATCTCATACTTCAATGTCCTGCTCAGCTCAACAGAAATGCTCCCCTACAATTTGCCCTACGTCTGGCCTTCCCTTTTTGGGCTACTACTTTCAGCATTTTAGCCAGCATCACCGAGTAAATGCAAAACCTTCACACATGCATCACTTTGAATGCCCACCCAGCTCTTGCAGATGCTCAGCCCCATTCTGTTCCCTTACTAGGGAATCCTGGTGTGTGGAGACCAGAGGGGCTGACATCCTTAGAGCTCCCTAAATCCACTGACATGGAATTGTCCCCGGCCCACCAATTTCACACTGGTGCCATCAATAGTGCCCATAATGCTCAGATGTTTCCAGTTTAACTGAAATACTAAAATGGGGCAAACAGGAAGCATCAGACACAACTGTGGTAGTGACTTATTAATCACGAAAGCAGAATTTTAGTTGCATTTTAACCTTTTGCCAGGAAAAAAAAAAAAACAACCTTGAGATGATGGAAGCCATTAGTAGAAGTACGCTGCCTTTATGCGTATTGGGCTGACTTAGACTTTTTACTTAGGACTGACTTTGCTTTTAAGATTTCTGAACTTTCCCCCCAGAAAGAACATCTGTCAAACCAACCAATATGAATCTGTCAGCTCTTCATCGAGGCAGGCAGGCTTGTTAGGAAAGCCCATGTGCTGTCCATTGAGACAGGAAAAAAAATAGGAAGTTAAAAGTGCCTTCACAGGCCAAAGTGATACAACACTGTTCAGAGGGTGCCAACAACGAAGAAAACAACCCTGGATAAAGCTTTCATCTCTTTCACATCTCCGCAGATCTCTCACCAGACCCTAGCCAGGGATGAACTGTTATCAATCACCAAAAAAAAAAAAAAAATCACAACAGTTGCCGAGGGCTGGACAACCAATCAGCGCAAGCCATCTTCTCAGCAGTAAATGATATACACATATTCCAGGCAGATCACAAAGGAGTCAGTGTTCAACAGGAGAACCAAAATGAGGAACCAAACCTTCATCTGTTGAGGCGAAACAGCCCAACCAGACATTTTTGTTTAATAGAGGGAGACTGATTTGGCAGGGTCTCTGTGGTGCCGCTCCCACAAACTCTTAACAGACAATACCAATGACAAAAAACCCCCTTCAGAACTGCTTCTTATAATCAGAAAACACTCAGAAGATGGCCTGAAGCTTGGCAGCGTCTTGCTGTCTGATTTCACAAAGAGCTGGTACACATACCTGGGTACTTATCTCTAAAATTAGAGTCAGAGACGATTACTTTTATTTTGAGATCTTCTGAGAAGTTCTCCACACCCTTCAAAATAAATAAGGATGTCCGAAAGGTGTCTGAAAAATTCAGAGGTCTGGCATCGCTCCAAAGAAACTGATTGATATCACTTAAAAAACACCAAGAGTAAATCCAAACACAACCAAAGTAAGGCAAGCACTTTTTAAGTGTCCTCTCACATTAAGAGCATAAAAACCACACCAAAAACTTCTCCCTCCTTTCTGCATCTCAGTTCTATAATGTGGTCCTGATCTAGGATTCTGGGAAAGACCCATCCTTAGTCCCAGCTATGAGGCATCAGGCAAGATATATACCACCCCCACTCCCTCATACACACCTGCCTCAGGTGCCTCGCCCATAAAACAAGACACTACAATCTGTCTTACCACACAGCCATCTGAAGGAAAACGGAGCTCACAGGTATGAAGACACTAAGCAAAAAACACATCACTAATGTTAAGATACTGTCTCCTTCTAATCTTTCAGAAAGACCATGTTTCTAGTCAAGGGGTTTCCAACATTTTTCTTGGAATAAACTCCAGACTCCTATTTTATATCATGACCTCACTCTAATCATTTAATTTCATGTGCTTTTAAAGTCCTTAATTAAGTCATTGGTGTTCATTGTCTCCAGCGATCAAAAGTAGTTTTACCATTTACTTTGCTGATGTATGTACCTTTTCACCACTTATCCTCTCCCTCATTCATACCTCCAGTCCACCCTTTAGGGCCGAGAGCAACTTTTTAACCTCGACTAGGAAGGAAACACTTTTTCTGAAGCTACCCAGCACTAAGGAGGCTCCCGGGCAGGTGGGAAACGTACGTACAAGTGGCCCCTCTCTGCCTGGTGCCCAGTGGCTGCAAGATGCCAGGGCCACGATGGGTTTCCAAGATGGGAATGTTATATTTGAACCGACAGATAAAGTCCCGAGTTGGAGAGCCCAGAAGAATTACAGAGGAGGACTGGGGTCCGAGGGCGGAGGGAGGATGCTGCGGGCGGCCAGCACTGCCCCGCTGCATGCTGAGGACAGGCTTAGCTCCTGCTCCCCGCCTTGAGGTGTGACCTGAGAACTTCCCATGAAAGGCCGGGAGGGTTTCACGCCAGGGCAGATGCCAGGGCGCACTCCTGCAGGAGACACGTCCGCCCCGCGGCAGGCGAGCTCCATCCTGGGGGCACTGGGGCGCAGAGCAGGCGGGCGGGCCTGGCGGCGGCGCGGGGCACTAGTGAAGGGGAAGCAGGCGGCCCCTGCGCGCGCTCGGAGCCAGCGTGTGGCCAGCAGGAGTGCGCGGCCTGGAGGCCCGGGGCGAGCGCGGCACCGGCAGCGCGTGCGAGGGCGCGCCCGCGGACCGCTGCGAGTGGGTTGGACGGGGTACGTCGGACTGCGCTGGCCTGGCCGCCGACCCCACTGCTCCGGGGCGAGGGGCCAGGCCGCAGCCCAGCCCGGGGCTGAGAGGCGATCCATCCCAGCCGCTCCCTGGTCGCCTCGCACCGGGCCCCAGGGTCCCGCCCCGTCACCTACCGGCCAAGCGCCGATCTCCCCAACCAAGCGAGTGTTGCGCTCCGCTCGCCCGCGATCTCCCGCCGCCGGCCGCCGACCGCTGAGCTCCCGGCCCGTGGTCGCCCCGCCCCGGTCCCGGGCTCCGCCCCCTCGCCTTCTCGGCCGCCCCCGGGGCCACGCCTCCCCCGGAGGCTGTAACTTTGCCTCGCTTCGCGCCTCCTTTCTTTGGCCGCACCGCGACCCGTGGCCCCGCCCACTCCCCTACGCCAACCAATGAGACGGTCGTCCCGGCAAGCCCGTCTTCCCGCTCCCTAGCAACGATTGGTTAACGAGGCCTGGTTTCCAGAAATGGGCACTATTTCCGGACGATGTTTGTAGAAGGGAGATCGCTGGGCGGGCGGACTGACAGAAGGCGGAGGCGACTAGGGTGTTGGTGGAACCACACATGCGCCCTCGGCTTCTGGCAGTCTTACCAGCTGCGTTCTCGAGGTTACGGGAAGGAAGGGCGAGTGTGCGCATGCGTGGGCACTCCCTGCCACTGACTTCGGTTACCTTGGAGACAGCGAGGCGCTCTCCCTCGTGGGTCGCGCGCGTTCCGCTTCCTCTCTGCTGCCAAGCGGTGGCGGCTGAGGCGGGAGGTGGTGGGGGTAGAGACGTTTTTATTGAGCTCTTACCGTGTGCCTGGTCCTGTAGAATCCCTGGAATGAGTAAAGAAGGTTACAGTGCCTGCCCTCGAGAAGCTTGGGGAGCCAAGGGCTTACAGGGGCCCGACCTGTGGGTTGAAACCCAGGTACAAAGAGAGCATGTGGGTGCGTGGCGTGGTACGAGCGCTGAGCAAAGCATCTGCTCTCTGGGTTTGCAGACCACAGAGCCAGCAAGAGGATGAGAGCTTGATGTATGCAAAGAAAGGACCTGGAGTTCAGAATATGCATTGAAGTGTCAACAGTGCTTCTTTCTGAATGGGGGTCGGGGGTGGGGAGTAGGGAAGGTATAGAAACTTTTTCTAACTTTTGCCCCTCTGTATTATCTAGTGTTTCCACACTGAGCTTGTATTTTATTTGTAATAAATTCCAGGCCAGGCACGGTGGCTCACTCCTGTAATCCCAGCGCTTTTGGGAGGCAAAGGCAGGAGGATCGCTTGAGGCCAGGAGTTGGAGAACATCCTGGGCAATATAGCAAGGACCTCGTCCTTGCAAAAAAATAAAAGAATAGCCAGGCGTGGTAGTTTGCACTTGCAGTCCCAGCTAGAGGGGAGGCTGAGAGTCTGAGGTTACAGTGAGCCATGATCGTGCCACTGCACTCCAGCCTGGGTAACAGAGTGAGGCAGTCCTTTAAAAAAAAAATCCAAACTTTTTTTTTTATTGCAAAATAAAAGATGTACTCCTACCCTGGGCATCCCACTTCCATGAAGGGTCCATGGTAGGTGTGGTGAGTGGCTCTAGTCCGGGGATAGGCAGGCCCCACCCAAGGCTGTCTTGAAAAGTAAGGAACACCCCATCTCTGGAAGTGTTTGAGCAAAGACCACCATCTGCTTGAGACTACTTTGCAGACAGTCCGAAGCTGAACTCTTCTTTCTGGATATCTGTGCCAAACAGTCATCTCTGCTGGGGAATAGGGAAGACCATTTATTTAGGCAGTGGTCAAAAACTCACAACCTGAGGGCCTCATTCACTCACCCAGGCCAGAAATATGCTTTGTTTGGCTGGCCCAATATTTTTTTAAATTTGAATTTGAATGCCTTAGAGCAGAGCCTGCGGTTCCTTACAGTTCCCGCCACCCAACCATCTAACCTTATGTCACCTGTCTGGCCCCTGGAGCATTTGAGGTTGTGGCTCCCGTAGAGTCCGTGCTTTAGAGCCAAACAGTCTCTGGCGCCCACCCTGGCTCTGCCACTGACTAGCTGGGAGATGGCAGACAAGAAAGAAGCTGGACTGGTGGCCCCCAAATCTCTTTCCACCCCTAGGGTTTTGCATTTCAGTGACTCAGGGAAAGGCAGAGCTTGGCCAGATGTACAGGTTGGTATCGGCAATCTTGGATGCCCTTATTGCCTCTCCCACCACCTGTTTGCCTCTGGGCACACCACTTCTCAGGAAAGATGTGGGCACACCTCCAGAGTCTGCAGACACTCCCTGGCTTGCCTTTGCCTTCTCTCTCTTTCACTATTCCTTCTTTAAAACACCCAGTGTCTCTGTACTTTGCCCAGGTTCCCTTGACACCTCTGGTCCTGGGTCCCCTGTACACTCCCACCTACCCCATCAAGATGATCTGTCTTTAAGTCCGTCCCTGAACATTAATGTGTATTAATCAGAGACAGTGAACTGTGTTGACTCAAAACTGTAACTCTGGAGAAGGAATGTCACATCAGGTTGCAGGGGAGGAGCAAACCACTAAACACTGGTAAGGAAGATATTCGGGATAAGCAAGGCCTCTCCGTTTCAGCTACTTTTCTGAGGTCTTTCCAAGCCCCACTGTGTGTGGGTGAGGTGAGAAACAATACACCTACCCAGAGTGAGCAGTGTGGTGTCTCTGAGTCTTGAAATGCTTGCACCCTCTGGAAGGAGAGCTTCGGGACGAGATTACTTCCTCCAAGCTTAAGTCAAGACAACCTGGGAAAGCTTCTGGCCTTGAGTCACTTGTGCAGCCTCAGCTCTGCTTTAAATACAAGAAATTGACATTTACAGGATGACTCACACCTGGAGCAGTGAACTAGGTTCTCAGTACTCAAGGGTTCTCACACCCCATCCATTTCAGGTCTGGAAATAGCGTTAAGACTGTGCTATTCCGAAAGAATCGCAGCTTGTTTTCTGATACTTTACAAAAAGTAAGCCAGATAGACTTAGAGTACTTCATGTGCATAACCTCACTGAATGTTCCCTCTAGGCCAGGGTTTCTCAGCCTGGCACTATAGACATTTGGGGTTGGATAATTCATTGTTGGGGGACGGGGCTTGTATTCGCCTGTTTTCACGCTGCTGATAAAGACATAGCTGAGATGGGGTAATTTATAAAGGAAAGAGGTGTAATGGAGTCACAGTTCCATGTGGCTGGGGAGGCCTCACAATCATGGCAGAAGGCAAAAGGCATGTCTTACATGACAGCAGACAAGAGAGAATGATGAGAGCCAAGTGAAGGGGAAACCCTTACAAAAACATCAGATTTCATGAGACTTACGCACTACCATGAGAACAGTATGGGAGAAACTGCTCCAGTGATTCAATTATCTCCCACTGGGTCCCTTGCACAACACGGAATTGTGGGAGCTACAAGATGAGATTTTTTTTTTTTTTTTTTTTTTTTGAGATGGAGTCTCCCTGTGTCACCCAGGCTGGAGTGCAGTGGCGCGACCTCAGCTCACTGCATCCTCCTCCTCTTGGGTTCAAGTGATTCTCGTGCCTCAGCCTCCTGAGTAGCTGGGACTATAGGTGTGCACCACCATGCCCGGCTAATTTTTATATTTTTAGTAGAGATGGGGTTTTGCTACGTCAGCCAGGCAGGTCTTGAACTCAAGTGATCCACCCACCTCAACCTCCCAAAGTGCTGGAATTATAGGCATGAGCCACTGCGCCTGGCCTCAATGTGAGATTTGGGTGGGGCCACAGCCAAACCACATCAGGGCTGTCTTGTGCATTGCAGGATGTTTAAAAGCTTTCCTGGCCTCTGTCTACTACATACCTATAGCACTCCCTCATCCACCCAATGTGACAATAAATGTCTCTGGACATTGCTAGATGTCACCAAGGAAGCAAAATTGCCCCCGGTTGAAAACCCCTACAGTCTGACCCCATTGAATAGGTAGTATTACTGTCCCCATTTCACTGATGAGCAAACTGAAGCTCAGACAGAAGTAACTTTCCCAGTGTCACTTTGCTGTAACAGGAGACCCAGGATTCAAACCATGTCTGACTTCAGAGCCCCTGCCCTCCTGCATGCCGGACTCTGCAGAGAGACTTCAGGGTTCAGGGAGCCAATTGCCCATCAGTTCTCTAGGACAGTGCTGAAGAGTGAGTAAATCAGTGAAGGAATGCTATCCTTGGATCATTTTTCCTTTTCTGTTTGCCTTGGAAGAAAGGAAATTATATTCTGGTTTTTATTGCCTTAGTCAGCATGGTTTATGGTGCTGAGCCATGTCCAGTGAGAAAGTGGCTGATGAGTCATCTGAATGTGGATTTCAGGCCCCAAATTACTGTGAGATTCTGAAGTTACACTTGAGAATTCAGATGTGAGGCTGAGATAAGAGATGACTGGGGACTGTAGGGTGGATGTTCCTGGAGGAGAGCAGTTTTCCTTTCCCTGTCGGGACTGCCTGAAGTTGCAGCCACAGTGCTGTTGCTGCCCTCCCCAGCTTGGACCTGCCCTACTGCTGCTGTTAGCTGAGGTCTATGGAGAGGCCAGGGAGGCAGGAGGGGAAATGGATAAATGGATGCAGGCAAAGTGTGATCCATTCTCTCTAGCTATTTTGTGATCAGTGATCTCATATTGGTAGCTTGAAATTGGACATGTTGGGAGTATTTATACCATGGAAGTTGGCAAACAGTATAAATCAGGGCTACCCATCCTGAGTTGGTTGTTAAACACCTGCTGGCACACCACTGTGTGCTGGTTCTGGCCTGTGCCTGCTGCCCACCAAACCAACCCCACATAGGGAGATGGCAGGGGGCACCACAAACCACAGAGCTGCTGTAGAAGAGGAGGGGCCATGGCGATGTGGGTGAGGGGGAGAGGAGTGCCAATTTCAGCAAAGAATGGAGGTGAGGGCTGGTAGGGGACTCTGGAGGGTACTGGGCAAAGATGACCTTACAAGAACAGGTCCTGGGCACACCTTCCAGAGATCTAGCCTCCTCTCCCAACTTTGGAGCCTTCTTAGGGTGCCCTGGCTTGACACAAATTCTTCTCATTTCCTGATTTGGAGATTTTCCCCTCCAGACTCACCTGCTTACCTCTAGTCTCCTCTCCACACTATCCTCAAGCCTTCTGGTGAATTGAATCTTCCTAAGAGATCGCATAGGTCCTGTCATTCCACTCCCAATGTCCCAGCATCTCCTGCCCTTCGATATCTCCCTCCTTTCGCTTCTTCCTTTCAACCTACAAATGAGGTCAAGCCGAGGACACCCTAAAAACAACAAACAAACAAAACCTTGCTAGTTCTGGCTTTCCCCTGCACTGTTAGCCCAGCCTTCTTTCCCCCTTCACTCCCAAACTTCTTGAAAGTCTGCTTCATCTCCCACCCAAGTGGGCTCCTTACAGCCTGGTTTCTGCTCACCAGCCCTTCTCTCCATGAACTGCCTCCTAGTAGATGACCTTGTCTCAGTTTCTTATCTGCAGCCAGCCACAAATGTGATGCACTGAGCTCCTCTGTGTCAGGCTCTGGGTAGGAAGCATGGAACCTCCAGACCAGTCCCTGCCCTTAGGGAGCTTCCTTGAACAGGTAGCAACAGATGAGGACTTAAGCCACTGCAAGTGTGGCAAGAAGATGGGGAGACTGTATCATGTCAGGTAGGATCCAGCCAGGAAAACAGGACCCATTTTGAGGGTTTTTTTTTTTTTAATTTTGATAGAGGTAGGGGTCTCCCTGTGTTGCCCAGGCTGATCTTGATCTCCTGGCCTCAAACGATTCTCCCGCCTTGGCCTCCCAAAGCACTGGGATTACAGGCATGAGCCTCTAAGCCCAGCCTCATTCTGAATTTTTATTTTTATTTTATTTATTTATTTATTTTTGAGATGAAGTCTCACTCTGTCACCCACGCTGGAGTGCAGTGGCATGATCTTGACTCACTGCAACCTCCACCTCCCGGGTTCAAGCAATTCTCCTGTCTCAGCCTCCTGAGTAGCTGGGATTACAGGCGCCTGCCACCACACTCGGCTAATTCTTTTGTATTTTTAGTAGAGACGGGGTTTCACCATGTTGGCCAGGCTGGTCTTGAACTCTTGACCTCAGGTGATCCACCCGCCTCGGCCTCCCGAAGTGCTGGGATTATAGGTGTGAGCCACCTCGCCTGGCCTCTGAGTTTTTAAACAGAATAAACATAGAATTGAATGCAGGAAATTGGTTACATAGGGGATGAAAGGATGGAGAAGTTCTTCAGACAATGGGGGAAGTAACCAGGAATCCAGCTGCGACCCCTGGGTTGGAGGGACTGGACTGGGGCAGTGTAATCAAAGGCTGGGACTGGGGTCACTTGGAAGAAGTTGAAACCATAGAGAAGACACAACCACTTCCACAGATACCACTAAGACTGAGAGGGATGGGGAGAAATCCCTGCATTCTCCTTCCCTTCTACCTTTGGGTTTCCTGCCAGAGCCTCTTACTGGCCTGGGAGCCTAGAGGGGTCAGTCACTTGCAATGCAGAGCAGAGCAGGTGAGGGCTGGATGGGGGAGCACACAGCCCGGGACCAGCGCAGGGATTCCTTCTACCCTCCACATCTATCGTTACCATGTCCATCTCCCCTGTTGAGGCCAGGCCTCATGACTCATTCATCTCTCTCCGGCACCAGGGCCTAGTCAAGTGCCTGGCACCAAATAGGTGCTCAACTACTGTTTGTTGAATGATTCAATACAGCCAGTAGTGGATGAGGACTCCAAGGGAGAGAGTGTAGAGAAATGAGGGGCTTAGGCCTGAAACTTGGAGGGTCTCAATTGTTAAGAATTGGAGAGGGAGGCCAGGTGCAGTGGCTCATGCCTGTAATCCCAACACTTTGGGAGGCCAAGGCGGGCAGATCACTTGAGGTCAGGAGTTTGGGATCAGCCTGGCCAACATGGAGAAACCCCGTCTCTACTAAAAATACAAAAATTAGCCAGGCGTGGTGGCTGACGTGTGTAATCCCAGCTACTCAGGAGGCTGAGGCAGGAGAATCGCTTGACCTGGGAGGTGGAGGTTGAGGCTGCAGAGGTTGGGAGCCGCAGGAGAAGAGAGGATTCTGGAAGAAGAAGAGGAGCGCCAGCTTTGGACATAGTGTATCTGGGCTGCCCTGGCTCTCTCAATTGTCCTCTCTTTGCTGTTGACTGCCAGATTAACACCTTCAGTTCTGACCGTGATCCTGGGCTCCAAACCAGAGTTTCCAGGGGCCCATAGAGTATTTCCACCTTCTAGCCATCTGGCATCTCCAGCTTTGCACTGTTCCCCAAACCTGTTCCTTGGCCACCCCTCTCTGTTAATGACCTCACCGCCAACCCCGGGAGTCTCCATCACCCGCCTCTTCTTGCTGTCTCATGCCAAGCCATGTTGATGCTCTCTCCATTATACCTCTGTCTGTGGCTTCCCTTTGTCTCCCCTTTCTGATGATGCCCTTGTAGTATGTCAGCCTTTCCTCTTGCTTCCTGTCATTTATATTCCAATCCCTCCTACACTGTCTGTCACTCCCTTGCCCAAAACTTTCAATGGCTCCCCATTGCCTACTGATGAAGTACAAGCTTGTTATCTGGCTCACAAGGGCCTCACAGTCTAGCCCCAACTCACCTCTTTTGGTCTTACTTTTCACAGCTTCCCTGTGGGCACCCTCTGTACTACTTACCATTGACCCAAACCACCTGTCTGTACATCCTGACCCAAGGCTGCCCTGTGGACTGAAATGCACCCCTCTGCCTCTGCCTGTCAAATCATACCCATCCATCAAGTTCCTGATGAAACGCCTCCTCTCCAAGCACCACTTAGCCCAGCTATGTATCTGCCTACTTTATCTCTCTTAACAGACAGTATGCACCTTGATGGCAGCTTGTAATCACCAAATGGTGAGTTGGTATTTGGTAAATGTATGTTGACCTGAAGTGGCTCCAAAACCATTCTTCAGATCAAGAACCTCCTGTGGGCTGGGCACAGTGGTTCACCCCTGTAATCCCAGCACTTTGGGAGGCTGAGGCGGGCAGATCACTTGAGGTCAGGAGTTCGAGACCAGTCTGGCCAACATGGTGAAACCCCATCTCTGCTAAAAATACAAAAATTAGCCAGGCGTGGTGGTGGGCGCCTGTAATCCTAGCTACCTGGGAGGCTGAGGCGGGAGAATTGCTTGAACCTGGGAGGCAGAGGTTGCAGTGAGCCAAGATCGTGCCACTGCACTCCAGCCTGGGTGACAGAGCAAGACTCTGTCTCAAAAAATAAAAAATACAAATAGAACCTTCTGTGGCTCCTTGTTGACCACTTCAGAAGCCTGTTCCATCTTAGTATCTAACCTTACTCCCCCACTGTTGCCTCCAAATATGTCTCATGTTCAGTTTCAACCCTTCAGTAGAAGCGTGAAAGATATAAACATGAAAAAAGGCATTACTGCCCTCCAGAAGTATGCATTCTCCTAGGGTGGATTAGCCATGCATACTAACAGCTAATAGAATTGGTTTAAAATAATATCTTAGCTGGGTGCAGTGGCTTATGCCTGTAATCCCAGCACTTTGGGCGGCCGAGGCAGGTGGATCACTTGAGGTCCAGAGTTGGAGACCAGCCTGGCCAACATGGTGAAACCCCGTCTCTACTAAAAATACAAAATTAGCTGGGCGTGGTGGCATGCACCTGTAATCCCAGCTGCTTGGGAGGCTGAGGCAGGAGAATCGCTTGAACCCGGGAGGCGGAGGTTGCAGTGAGCCAAGATCGTGCCATTGCACTCCAGCCCGGGCGACAGAGAAAGACTCCATCTCAAAAAAAATAAAATAAAACAATAAAATAACATAATATCTTTTGCTCAGAGGGGGATATCCAATCTCTCCTTTTTTGATTGGAACCCGGATTTTATTCATAGTGGTGACCTGCCCAGTGTGAAATGCTTCCCCGACTCTCTTACAGCTAGGGTGGTTATTTGATGTAATTCTGGCCAGTGAGATGTACATGGAAGTCTCTGGATGGAGCTTCTGGGAAAGCTGGGGGACAGACCTAGCTGGCACAAGCCCTTTTGTCTGTTGCCCTTGGCCTTATCCCCTTTCTTTAGTTTGGAATGCACACCCAGTGCTTGGAGGTGTAGCAGCCAGTGTTTGAGCATAAGAATTCTACGATGGCAGAGCAGAAAGCTAGGCTCTGAGTCCCCAATAGACTCATGGAACCGTCATGCAGCCAGGGACTGCCCACCTCCTGGGGACTGCTGACCTTCAGCTTCTGGCATGTGATGAAGCCACTGCAGCTGGGTTTCTGTGACATGCAATACTGACTGGTACAGTTAAGAGTTGTAAAATTTAGCCAGCTTGAGAATTCCCAACAGCGAAAAGTAGCCCCAGGATGAAATTACACTGCGGCAAAAGCCTTAAATGTAATAAGCTGGCCAGGTGCAGTGGCTCACACCTGTAATCCCAGCACTTTGGGAGGCCGAGGCGGGCGGATCACGAGGTCAAGAGATCGAGACCATCCTGGCCAACATGTTGAAACACCGTCTCTACTAAAAATACAAAAATTAGCTGGGTATGGTGGCGCATGCCTGTAATCCTAGCTACTCGGGAGGCTGAGGCAGGAGAATCGCTTGAACCCGGGAGATGGAGGTTGCAGTGAGCCGAGATCACAAGCTACTACACTCCAGCCTGGGCGACAGAGTGAGACTCCATCTCAAAAAAAAAAATGTAATAAGCTTATGCTCATTAGGGATTGTGTAACACATGGAAACAGTAAAGAAGGTCTGTAGCCTACATGAGTAGAGAGAGCTACTCCTGTTTTCTGAGAAAGGGAATCTCACCTGGGAAAGCTGTGGAAGGAGATGAGTGACTTCATGGGCTAGAGAGGATGCCGGAAATGTCAGTCAAGGATTACGTGACTCCTTGTGCTAATCACAAGAAGTCTTGATCAGGACCAAGATATATTTCACCCGATTCAGATAAAGGATGCTCAAATTAGGTAGAGGGAAAACCCAGGTGTTAAGATGCAGAGATTAGAGCAGATGTCTGTCTGTAGAGACAAGAATGCTTTCACGCAATCCGTGCCATCTGGACAGAGCTTTACTATAAATCACAGTTCCCCAAAGGGAGGCATGTGGTTCCCGAGGGGTGCACTAGATGATGTGTGGTGGCCCACAGCTCTAAGAAACATTGGATCTCATGCTGAGCTAGTTATTCTCTAATTCTTTTTTAGATTTGTCTATTTCTTGAATAATTGATGCATGCGGTTTGTACAAATTCCAAAAGAGCATGCTTCTCCCACCTCTGGCCCCAGGCTCTTTTTTTCTTTTTCTTTTCTTTTCTTTTCTTTTTTTTTTTTTTTTGAGATGGAGTCTTGCTCTGTTGCCCAGGCTGGAGTGCAGTGGCTCAGTCTTGGCTCACTGCAACCTCTGCCTCCCGGGTTCAAGTGCTTCTCCTGCCTCAGCCTCCCAAGTAGCTGAGATTACAGGCATCCACCACCAGGCCCAGCTAATTTTTGTATTTTTAGTAGAGATGGGGTTTCACCGTGTTGGCCATGCTGGTCTTGAACTCCTGACTTCTGGTGATCCGCCCATCTCGGCCTCCCAGAGTGCTGGGATTACAGGCATGAGCCACTGTGCTTGGCCCCCAGGCTCTTTTGAAGCAACCATTCTCCCATCCAGGTACCAACCAGGCCTGACCCTGCTTAGCTTCCAAGATCAGATGAGATCGGGCGTGTTCAGGGTGGTATGGCAGTAGACGAAGCAATCATTCTTACCAGTTCCTTGTGTATTTTTCCAGATGTACTTCAGCATGTGCAAACGATACATTCCTATAGCCTCTTTCTAAAAAGTTAATGGAAGCATACTATCCACAACTGCCCTGTACCTTGCCTATCTCACTTATCAGTGGGTTCCACATCATACATATAGAACTGCCTCCTTCTTTTATAAAGACTCATGCTATTCAACTGTATGACTGGTATATAATTTACCCAGTTCACTGTTGATAGACTTGTTTCCAACCATTTCCAACCATTATAAGAATTGTTGCAATAAATATCCTTATATGTATTTCATTTTGCATATTAGTTAATCCATGCGTTCCACAAATATTTTCCGAACACCTACTATGCACCAGGTCAGGTCTAGGCACCAGAGGCAGAGCAGTGAACACAATAGATGGAGTCCCTGCATCATGGAGCTGCCATTCTGTAGTGGAGAATAGCCATAGGATTAACTACTAGAAGTGGGTCACACTTTCAATTCTTCTAATTAAGTCAAGTAGAAAGTCTCACTTTGGTGCCAATGTGTCTTTTTTTTTTTTTTTTTTTTTTTTTTTTGAGACTGAGTCTCGCTCTGTTGTCCAGGCTGGAGTGCAGTGGTGCAATCTCGGCTCACTACAACCTCCACCTTCCCGGGTTCAAGTGATTTTCCTGCCTCTGCCTCCCGAGTAGCTGGGATTACAGGTGTGTGTGCCACCAAGCCCAGCTAATTTTTGTATTTTTGGTAGAGATGGGGTTTCACCATTTTGGACAGGCTGGTCTCGAACTCCTGACCTCAAGTGATCCACCGGCCTCGGCCTCCCAAAGTACTGGGATTACAGGCATGAGCCACCGCACCTCGCTGAGTGCCGATATGTCTTTAATGTATCTCTCTCTGACACTTGTAAATTTCTTTAAGACAGAAAGTGCTGGCCTTAGGTTTAGAGTGTATGACAGACCACAGAGCCTAGCTAGAGTTGAATAACAATGTTTGGTTGTTACTGGATTTATTTCTATATAGCAAATGTTATTGATTTTCCATCTATAGTCAAAATATGAAGGTTCCCTTTAAAATACGCAGGTTCCTTTCAAAATAATTTTTTAAACTTATTTTTTATTTTATTTTATTTTTTTGAGGCAAGGTCTCTCTCTGTCACCCAAGCTGGAGTGCAGTGGCACCATCATGCCTCACTGCAGCCTCAACTTCCTGGGCTCAAACAATCCTCCCATCTCAGCCTCCCAAGTAGCTGGGACTACAGGCATGCACCACCATGCCTGGCTAATTTTGTTTATTTTTTGTAGAGACAGGGTCTCACTATGTTGCCCAGGCTGGTCTCCAACAACTGGATTCAAGCAATCCTCCCACCTCAGCCTCCCAAAGTGCTGGGATTACAGGCATGAACCACCGTGCCCAGCCTCAAAATAATTTAAGTAAAAAAAAAATGAGTCAATATAGAGAAGAATGTTAAGTAAATTAATAACATAGGTGGAATTCAGATGTGGAAAAAACCCACAAAGGTGATAGTCAAATGAGTGAGGTTAGGAAATCATCAAATTAAACAAAGCAAGGAGAAAAGGCTAGGCTTATTATATTGTATTTTATGTTTATTTTTGTATCTTCACTCATCTTTCATGTTGAAACATTCTCACCTCCATAATTCTTCCTAGGCAGCTGATTTGCTTATCATTTATTATTGTTTACTACTTATTTGGTGATTCTTATACTTAGATTTCCTGGAGTTCCTGGTCATGAAAATTTTGCTTTGTGGGTTTTTTTTTTTTTTTTTTGAGATGGAGTCTCGCTCTGCCACCAGGCTGGAGTGCAGTGGCGTGATCTCGGCTCACCACAACCTCTGTCTCCCAGGTTCAAGTGATTCTCCTGCCTGAGACTCCCGAGTAGCTGGGATTACAGGTGCATGCCACCAAGCCTTGCTAATTTTTGTATTTTTAGTAGAGATGGGGTTTCGCCATGTTGACCAGGCTAGTCTCGAACTCCTAACCTTGTGATCCGTCCGCCTTGGGCTCCCAAAGTGTTGGGATTACAGGCGTGAGCCACCGCGCCGGGCGCTTTGTTTTGCTTTCATGAACTGTCACCAATTTGCATTCTCTTAGAAGATCTCTTTCACTTTGAATCCCCCAAAGGCCCCGCTCTCTTTGTCATTGCTGGCTCTGGAGGGGGTTGGAGATGCTCCTGCTGGGGACCTTGATGCAACACCCTTAGTCAGATTTTCGTAATCTGGCTGAGGCTTGCCCTGTAATTCTCTAAAAATATAATATGATGAAACAACCAAGACCAAGTAAGCCTTCGAGGAGATCTCAAAGCCAGAAGCTTCTGAACAGTGCCCATAACCACAAGTGGGGCTGTAATCACCCACAACTTGTTAGCTAAAGACACAAACAATTAGCTTGGTGGTTGGAAAGGTAAACAAGGGGCATTTCACAAATGTGTTCTTTAGGTCAAGTAGGTGGTAGTAAGTCTCTAGCTGTGGTTGTTGGCTTTCTCTGCGGCACAGGTCGGAGAGTGGGTGATACCTCTGGGCCCTGGGCAGAGTACATTTGAGGTGGGCAGTAAGAGGGACCGCAGCTGAATGGAGAGGGAGTAGGTGGGAGCACGCAGGGCTCCAAGGCAACTGAAGGAGCACCTGGGAGCCTGAGAAATAAGAGACAACAAAAAGTAAGGCCATCCATTAGAGGGCAAGTCCTTGAGTTTTGAAATCTAGTGGAGCTCTCAATTAATGACTGAGGACCTACCATGTACCAGGCCCTGACTTAAACTTTTTTTTTTTTTTTTGAGATGGAATCTCGCTCCGTTGCCCAGCCTGGAGTGCTGTGGCACAGTCTTGGCTCACTGCAACCTCCGCCTCTTGGGTTCAAGCGATTCTCCTGCCTCAGGCTTCCGAGTAGCTGGGATTACAGGCACCTGCCACAATGCCCAGCTAATTTTTTGTATTTTTAGTAGAGGTGGGGTTTCACCATGTTGGCCAGGCTGGTCTTGAACTCCTGACCTCATGATCTGCCCGCCTCAGCCTCCCAAAGGGCTGGGATTACAGGCATGAGCCACCTTGCCCGGCCTGACTTAAACATTTTTATAAGTACCAGCTCAGCGGTTCTCAAGCTTTTTGGCTTGTTCATAAATTTTTTTGAGGACTCCAAAGAGCTTTTGTTTTTATAGATGATATCCGATGGTGTGATGGTACATGTTTAACAATTGGTTCTCTGCTGAAAAGTCCTAATTTGTAGCACTTACCAATTTCCATAGTGTAAATACTTCCACCATGGCCAATTTCTTTTTCTTTCTTTCTTTTTTGTTTTTGTTTTTTTTTTTTTTTGAGACGGAATCTTGTTCTGTTGCCCAGGCTGGAGTGCAGTGGTGCAATCTTGGCTCACTGCAACCTCTGCCTCCCGGGTTCAAGAGATTCTCCTGCCTCAGGCTTCTGAGTAGCTGGAACTACAGGCATCTTGAACCCCAGACCTCAGGTGATCCACCCGCCTCGGCCTCCCAAAGTGCTGGGATTACAGGCGTGAGCCACCGTGCCTGGCCCACCGTGGCCGATTTCAAGATACCAACCTAACATCACTGAATGTGAAATGGGAAGAGATATGTACAGTCAACTTTCCCAAGCCAGTGCAAGCAGACTGTGCACCGCTGGAATTTTTATTGATATTTACAGTACTGGAAATTAAAACTCATAAATTTAAAAAAATGCCTTCACTAAAAATACTAATAACCCATTACATATGAATATAAACATTCTTTTTGAAAATAACTATTTAGAAAAATAAAAAATAATTACTGAAGACAGTGGCATTGTTTTATATTTTGCAAATCCCTTTAATCTAGCTTAATGGAAGACAGCGGCATTCATAGATCTCCATTCAATCAGTTGTGATGTCCTATATCACGTGGTCTTTGGAAAACTCCACAAAAGAGCACTAAAGGTAAATAATGTCTTAGCATTACTATGGAAATAGTTTTGACCTCATGGACCCCCTGAAAGAGTCCTGGGGACTTCCAGGGGGTCCCAGGACCATACTTTGAGAATAGCTGTACTAATGCATTTACTTTTTCCAAGGAGCCCAGTGAGGCAGGTTTTCTTATATCCCCATTTTGCAAATGAGGAAATTGAGGTACAGAGTACTTACCCAAGGGCACTAAGCTAGAAATTGGCAAAGTCAGCCAGACATGGTGCCTCGCACCTGTTATCCCAACACTTTGGGAGGCCAAGGCGAGAGGATTGCTTGAGCCCAGGAGTTCAAGACCAGCCTGGGCAATAGAGTGAGACCTCGTCTCTGCAAAAAATTTAAAATAAAATAAATCAAAAAAGAAAATGGTGGCTGGGCATGGTGGTTCACGCCTGTAATCCCAGCACTTTGGAAGGCTGAGATGGGTGGATCACTTGAGGCCAGGAGTTCAATACCAGCCTGGGCAACATGGTGAAACCCTGTCTCTACTAATAATACAAAAATTAGCCAGGCTCGGTGGTGCGTGCCTGTAATCACAGCTACTTGGGAGGCTGAGGTGGGAGAATCTCTTGAACCTGGGAGGGGAAGGTTGCAGTGAACCAAGATGACACCATTGCACTCCAGCCTGGGTGACTCTGTCTCAAAAAAAAATAAAAAGAAAAGAAAATGGCAAAGTCAAGATTCCAACCCAGTCAGTCTATACAGATGGGCAGTTGAGTTGGTGACTATCACTTATTAGATATGTGATCTTGGTGATAATTAACCTCTCTGAGCCTGAGGTACTGTCATTTGACCAACCCATTGTCATCCCCTAGGTTAGGCAGGACTCGACTTTCTCCCTTGTACCCAGCTCTCACTGATGGGGCATCATCTGTGCTCCCTTAGAACCTTCTTTTTTTCTCTGCTCACCTGACACTTTATCCCACACTACATGGCATTAATTGTCTCCATCAGACTGTGTGCACCCCATGAGGACAGACACCACATCTATCTTGATTACATTTGTGCCATCAGTGTCTGCAGCAGGTCTTCAAACGTCTTTGCTGAAGAAATAAGTGAAGAAATAAATGGATAGACATTTTGCAAGAAGGCAGGACACAGTCCATCCTACCTAGGGCTCTTCTCTGTGGCTCGAGGGAGAGGAGTGGCAGTGGGGGAGTGGAAAGGGGATAAAGTGATCCTGCTCCCAAATGGCACTTACATACACTTGCCCAAGCCTGCTGCGTCATCCTAATTACGGGACAAATTCTTGCCTGGAGTCTCCTCCACTCAATGTTCCCATTACTTGGCACTCAGACGCTTGAGTTAGCAGCCCCTCCAGGTATACCTTCATTCTTCTAGAAACTTCTGTATCCTCTGTGCACTAGAGGTCCACGTAGTACATATAGAGCTGCCTTATTCCTTGCAAAGACTGCATACTACCCCATTGTATAATTGGCATATAATTTGCAGATGGCGGGCTCTGCTTTTTCCCTTCATATCCTGGGCTATGTGATGAGTTACTGGCATCCACCCCCACTACCCTTTTGTAAGGCAGTTAAATCTTTTTATGTCATCACCTACAGAAAGGGTCCAGGGACAAAAGAGTGGCCCACACCACTTGGGGCCCAATTAATGACTACACTTGTGGAGGCTGGGGACTCTGGCAGGTGGGAGCGGTTAGATAGAGGCTCTCCTTAGGGCCTCGCAGCTTCCTCTTTTGCTATCTATACGGTCCTTTCCAGCGGTGACCTTCTAGGAGTCTCAGAAGCCCCAAGAAGGGAGAAGTGTAATTGTGGGGGAGGGAGGGAGCAGTGCAGAGACAACCAGCCAGGGTTCTGCCTGGAAGGTCAGGGGGCTGAGCTCTGGCACCAGAGACCTTTAAGAAGCAAAAAGGAACTGAGAAAGCAGCCAGGAGTCTGCTCAGCCTGGAGTTCCTGGAATTCTGCTTTGTGGGTGAGCTTCCTGTGGCAGCCAAGGCCCCTTCTGACTAACAGGAGATGAGAATGGGAGGTGAGGAGGGTGGGTAGAGAGGTGGCTGGGCCTGCCAGCTCTCCTGGGCACTGCCAGCTCCCCAAACTGGCTCCAGATTTCCTCCAGGAACTGAGCTGAGATTCCTGGGAATCTCACCCACTTGGGTGACTTGCTGCCTGCCTGCTGAGCAGAGGTTGGGCAAGTCTACAAGTCAGGTTCTCTTCCCACCCAGCATCAAGCTGTCTGCCCACTTGGTCTGGAGTAGGCAACAAAACCAAGGCCATGATCTCTGGAAAGCCATCTCTAAAACATGAACTTTACATAGGAGGGAACAACTGGCCCCACAGCCATTTTTATTAATATGATTAGGTGGTTGCCACCTTGGAAAGCACTGTGAGCCTGGCCTGGGCTGCAGGACTGATGAATTTCAGTAGAAGGGAGGAGAAGAAGGAATCAGGAGCAGGAGGCGGGAGCCAGGGAACACCAGCAGGGGTGGGATTCTTACCGACTTGGGGTTGGAACCACTCCTGAGGTTGCAGACAAATCCAGGGATCCCATTTCCTCCCTCCACCCACTGTCAGTGCAGGTGAAATCTTGCTAAAATAAAAATCAAGGGTAGCCTTGGCATACTGTTGACTTCTCATACTATGTCATAATTGTTGTTCGCACACGTGCCTCCCCTTCTAAACTGTGAGGTTCTGGAGGATGGAGGCCTGGGTTGGATTCACCTCTGGACACCAGCCTCCTGCACTGGGCTTGGCACATGGAAAGGGCTCAATAGATATTACATGAATGAGTGAAGGAGCCTGACTGAGCCCTCCCCATATGCCAGGCCCACCAAGGGGGAGCTACAAGCAAGGGCAGTTGATTGGGATGGAGGTGTGGACGCACCTGTCTGGCAGCTGCTTGCTTTGTTTTCACTGCTTATAGCTTCCTCCTCCTCCTCCTCTCCCTGGAGCTGCCCTGGTCTCTAAATGCTTAGATAAGGTGGTTTATTCATCCATTCAACAAATGTTTATTGAGCACCTGCTGTGACAGGCCCTGGGTTCTGCATGATTGGGAATGAAACCTACACATTTCCTGCCTCCTCCAGCTCCTAGTCTAGTGTCATTAAATAAGTAATTACAGTGAGTAGTAACAAACACTGTGACTTGGTAGGTCTCATAGAGCTAGGGTGATGGTATAACTTGTTATCCTAACTGGGACACCTTTTGGGAGTAAAAGTGATGGTTGCCGGTTGAGTTCCCCAGGAAGCAGATTCTGAAATGGAGATTAGTGTGCAGAAAGTTGATTAGGAGGCCGTGAGGATCAACACCTGTGAAAAGGAAGGGACCAAAGCAAGATTGAGCAGAGGGAGATGTTGGGATGTGATGGAGTCTCAACGAAGGCCTCAGCCAATCCCACAGGGCACCTTCGGCTGAGATGGCCCTTCAGCTTCATCTCCAGTTGGAGTGAGGAGGCCTGGCCTTCATACCATTATGTTGATAAGTCACTGGATACTGGCTACCTCTGGAAGGAGGTATGACCTTGGGCGAGGCTGTTCTCAGTTGAGACAGTCTTCAAAGAAGGCTGACAGCTGAAGGCATCTTCCCATTGCCAATAGCCAAGGATTTGGGTGGCACTTCCCAGCATCTGCCACAGAAGCACTGTTGATAATTATGTCCAGATAATAGGCGTTTGCAGGGCTGGCCCAAGTACCCACAGCAAGAGCACCTGGCTGGGAGTTTCAGCTGGGATCCTGCACAAATGTGGTGTGGCAGAAAGCTCCCAGCAATAGGAACAAGCCCGGGGCTTGCTCAACCTGCATTCTCTTCATGGCTATCTCTCCTTTCTCTCACCTGTTTCCTTTCCTTTTTTTTTTTTTTTTTAGACAGGTTCTCGCTCTGTTGCCCAGGCTGGAGTGCAGTGGTGCCATCATGGCTCGCTGCAGCCTCAAACTCCTGAGTTCAAGGGATCCTCCCACCTCAGCCTCCCGAGTAGCTGGGACTACAGGTGTGTATCACCATGCCCAGCTAGTTTTTTGATTTTTTTGTAGAGGCGGGGTCTCACTATGTTGCCCAGGCTGGTCTCAAACTCCTGGGCTCAAGTGATCTTCCTGCCTCAGCTTCCCAAAGTGCTGGGATTATAGGTGTGCACCACCATGCCTGGCTTCTTTGCTTTATAGAACCAGTCATGGCTGTCACATGCTACATCACCTACTTCGTATCATTCTATCACTCATTTTCCATGCATTCTATTCTTTAATTTGTGGTGAGGTGGGTGTCATTATTATTCTCACCCCATGGATCCAAACTATCAGGCAGTCCTTTCCCTATTACTTCCAAAACAGAGCCCAACCATTCCCTTTCTCTGTCTTCAACACCTCCGTCTTGGTGCAAACCACCACCATCTCTCCCCTAACTGCTGACATTGTTTTGATTTTGAGCCCAGGTAGCCAACAGCATGGATCTGCTGAGAAGGCAGATGACAGCAGTAAAACAACAGCAGAAACAGACCACGGACAGAGGCCCAGGTAGAGCACGTACACTGAGAAAACTCCAGGAAAGCCAAAAGCATGGTATCTGAACCGAGAGATAAGCACATGAGCTGAAAGCTCAGGATATTCCCTCTTCAGAACAAAATTGAGAGCAGGGGAGCACAGGGGTTAACAGCATGGCTTCTGGGCCAGAACGCCTGGGTTTCTGTAACCTTGGACCAGCTTCTTGATGTCTCTATGCCTCAGTTTCCTTGTCTGTAAAACAGGGGTGATGATAATAGAACCATCATAAGGGGTTTTAGGTGAAGTAATCAGTCACCATGGGTAAGGTATTTAGAGCAGTGCTCTGCCAGGGTTAGCTGCAGGTATTACCCTGGGAGCTACCATCTTGGTCCACATTCAGTGTGGCCAATGTGGCTGTTAGCACTCCTTGTCTGCTCCCATCTCCAACACCTTACCCCCATGTGGAGTCATTTATTCATTCAACAAGTATTTCTTGAGCGCCTACTCACGTATCAGGCATTGAACTCTTGTGTTATTTTCCTATATCCCAAAAGTCACTGAGCTGAAGGGCAGGCTGACCTAGGCTTGCTTTCTGCTGCACAGGGGAGGCTCCATTCCCCATCATTTCTTGTTCATGCTCAAGGTCATCCAGATGAAAAGCCAGCTTCTGTGTGGCTCAGCTGCCTATTGTTCTCCCTTTTGGATCTCTGTCTGCTGGGTCTGAGTCCTTGGGCTTAGAGTGAGCATGAGAATGACCCTTAGGCCCTGCTTTCAGACCCCAGAGGGCTCAGCGGGAAAGGAGGCTGAGCGGTTTACTTGGGCCCTTTGCAGGGTGGGGCCCTGCCCTGTCTCGTGGGTGCCTCCTCCACATGGATCCTCCCTTGGCCATGGCCTCGTGTACTCCTGGCCTGAGTCTCCTTTTTCTGGGTGGCCGCTCTCCATCTCAGGAAAGGGCCTGGAAGGGATGAGGGAGGAGTTCACAGGAGAGAGAAGAGGGCAGAGGCAAGTGGAAGAAAAGAGAGAGGCCAAGTCAGGCAAGAGGGGTTGAGAGGGAGGAGGAGGAGAGGATGCTGATGATGACATCTGACATGATTGATTAATGCATGCCTTAATTCCTAGGAGGTCAGAGCTGTTATTATCCCCACTCTACGGTGGAGGCTGAGGCAAAGTGGGCTATGAAACTTGCCCAAAGCCTTGGAGCTGGTAACTGGCAGAGCTAGAATTTGAACTTGAATAGTTTGACTCCGCCACCCCAGAAGGGTGCAGAATTCTCAAAAGACATCCCAAGGTGTGCAATGAATCGTGTTGAATGGACGGTGGGTTGTGTGTGTGTGTGTGTGTGTGTATGTGTGTGTGTGTGTGTGTGTTGGGGGGGCGGGGGGAGGCTGAAGGCTGTGAGTTGGCTCTTTTTTTTTCTTAAGAGTCAGTGTCATGGCTGGGCATGGTGGCTCACGCCTGTAATCCCAGCACTTTGAGAAGCCAAGGCAGGCAGATCACTTGAGGTCAGGAGTTTGAAACCAGCCTGGCCAACATGGTGAAACCCCGTCTCTACTAAAATAAAAAAATTAGCCGGGTGTGGTAGCGCAGGCCTGTAGTCCCAGCTACTCGGGAGGCTGAGGCAGGAGAATCACTTGAACCTGGGAGGCAGAGGTTGCAGTGAGCCGAGATTGTACCACTGCACTCCAGCAGCCTGGGCGACAGAGTGAGACTCCGTTTAAAAAAATAAAATAAAATAAAATAAAAAAGAGTCACGGTCTTGCTCTGTCACCCAGGCGGGAGTGTAGTGGTGTGATCATAGCTCACTGCAGCCTTGAACTCCTGGCCTCAAGTGATCCTCCCACCTCAGCCTCCCCAGTTGCTGGGATTACAGATGTAATCCCTGGTGTCTTTTGGCCCTGTCTGGTGAAGCGTCTTATCTTCCCCATGTAGTAACATCTCATGTACTCGGGTCAGGATCCTATGATCCTCCCACCAGAGGGAAACCTATATTCACCAGGTTCTGAGACAGCACTGTCCACAGCAGCAGTGTGAGGAGGGAGGTGGCTGTGGTGTGGGCACAGGCCTGATATCGGTCATTTCCTATCCCTGTGATCATAGGTGAGGCATTTAGCCTCATTTTCCTAAGTCACAAAATAGAAATAAGAAGTCGATCCTCATAAGGCCATGTGAAGCTGAAACTGCACAGGGGGAGGGCCTGGCACAGGGCGGGGGTGCGGTAAACGGGCGCAGTTGTGATTCCTGCAGCTCCCGTCACCAGCCTCACTGCTCGGTGGCTGGCAGAGCCCTTCCCACCCCACTCTCAGTCTGGCCTAGGTCCCCGGAGCAGGTAGGCAGGCACTTGCAGAAGCCCCCTCACTGTGTCACAGATGAGCAAATTGAAGCTCAGGAGGTCAGAGAGAACAAGGAGACCTTGCAGAGGTGTGTGGGGATCTGCCGGAGTCTGCGGGGGTATCAGGAAGAGAGGGCCCTCTGGGTGGATAGTAGGGGGCCCAGGGGCCCAGTGCAGCTCCCCCACTCCTCCCCCAGCCACTGAGTCCATCCACACGGCTGGGATCTATTGGCCCACAAATGGCCCCCATGTCCCTTTCCAGCAGCCTGACCTCATCCACTTGGAGAAAAACAGGAAGCTGGGCATTGCCAGGAATCGGAACACTCCCTTCCTCAGCTCTGGGCTGCAAGGATGCTGGGATGGCAGGGGGCTCTGGGAGAAGAACCTGGGACAGGGTGTGGGGTGGGGGCTCCACAGGCTAAGCCGGGGTGACCTGGGCTGCCCTTGGGGCTTTGGCTTTGGCTCAGTCGGCCGGACTTGGTCTGGCCTGGCATTGCTGAGCCAGACCAGGGGCTGGGAGGAAGCAGTGAGGTGGGGAGAGGGAGAAGGAGCTCCTGACTTTTCTCTCCCATGTCGAGACAGAGCCCTGGGGCACCAGGGCCACATCTGCCTTTTGCGTTCATGGGTCCCTTCCTCCACAGAAAAATATTACAAAGTATATTATACAACTGTGTTGGTATAAAGATGAATATAACCCAAGCTGGATTCATGATTATCTATTGATTATTATTTTGTTCAACATTTCTTCTGATTATAAAATAAAATTAAAACATTTTCAGCCAGGCCTGTAATTCCAGCACTTTGGGAGGCCGAGGCGGGTGGATTGCTTGAGCCCAGGAATTCAAGACCAGCCTGGGCAACATGGCAAAACCCCATCTCTATAAGAAAATGCAAAACTTAGCCAGGTGTGGTGGCACACTCCTGTAGTCCCAGACTCAGGAGCCTGAGGTGGGAGGATCACCGGAGCCCAGGGTGTTGGAGGGTGCACCGAGCTGCAATTGCACTGCTCCACTCCAGCCTGGGTGACAAAATGAGATCCTGTCTCAAAAAAAAACCACCACCACCAACATTTTCACGGGGCCCCAAAAGCGTCAGTGTGCCTCCTGTGTCTAATGGAGAATTTGGCCCCGTGGGGGAAGCTTCTAACGCTTTCCTGTCCTGCAGAATCCATGTACCCCCTACACAGCCATACAGCATAGCCATTAGCACCCAGGGGAATGCCAGCCCAGCCTAAAAACTGAACCTCCCCAAGCCCCAGTTTCCTCTTCTGTAGAATGGGAAAACCAAAATGCTTGCCTCCTGGTGCTTTTTTTTGTTTTGTTTTGTTTTGTTTTGAGACGTAGTCTCCCTCTGTTGCTCCAGGCTGGAGTGCATGGGATGATCTTGGCTCACTGCAACCTCCACCTCCCAAGTTTAAGCGATTCTCCTGCCTCAGGCTCCTGAGTAGCTGAGACTACAGGGACATGCCACCATGCCCGGCTAAATTTTGTATTTTTAGTAGAGATGGGGTTTCACCATGTTGGCCAGGCTGGTCTTGAACTCCTGACCCCAAGTGAGGCTCCTGCTGCTTGGCCTCCCGAAGTGCTGGGATTACAGACATGAGTCACCATGTCCAGCCCTCGTGCTCTTTTGAGATGATCCCATGAAAAGTGTCAGGTCCAGGACCTGACCCAGATAACCCCCGACTGTTTTCACCATGTATGTTCACCTCAGACCCTGGCAGAGACCCCAACAGCAGCAAGGTGCCTAGCTTTGGGGCTTAGGGACATTTCCAGGGCTGCCACACCTTTCACTTCTTTCTCCTCTCCTGCCTGTCCCTCTTGGACTCCTGCTCAGGGTCAGACCTAAGGCAACCATGAATCTAATACGTCGTGTTAGTCCAGTTCACAAGCCACTTTGGCTCCATGACTCCATCGGTCCTCAGAACTACCCCATGAGGGTTGTCTTGTGTGAGTCTTCACCCCATTCTCCCAGAGAGGATACCAACCATCAGAGAGGTTAGGTACCTGTCCAAGGTCACACAGCTAGAAAGGGCAAAGTTGGGACAAGCATTTAGATCTGTCAAGCCTACCCTCAGTTGGCACTGTTACATCTGACACCCCAAAATGTTCATGCCAGTCAGTATGTATGTGTGTGTGTGTGTGATGGTTCTTGTGACAAGGTAGGTGAGAAGGACTGGAGTGACTCTGGAGTCCTCAGGACCTTTCTGGGATGTGCTGACGGGTGGTTCACAGGGGTCCCTGGGCATCTGGGCTCCTGTCTTTGCCCTGCTTAAGGCTGGGGTGGGACCTGGTCCCTGTCTCCTTGGCTGTGCTGCAGTTGCACCCTCCTTCCTGTGCCCCTGCTCCTCCTCACTGGCTGTCTCAGTGCCAACAGAACCAAAGGAGCAAAGTGGCTTAAGATAACCCTGCCATTTTACATCAAAGCTCTAGGGTCATCTTTAATTTTTACTTTTTTTTTTTTTTTTTTGAGACAAGAGTCTCACTCTGTCACCCCGGCTGGAGTGGAGTAGTGTGATCTCAGCTCACTGTAACCTCGGCCTCCTGGGTTCAAGCGATTCTCCTGCCTCAGTCTACCCATTAGCTGTGATTACAGGCGCACACCACCATGCCCAGGTAATTTTTTTTGTATTTTTAGTAGAGACAGGGTTTTACCATGTTGGCCAGGCTGGTCTGGAACTCCTGACCTCAAATGATCCACCTGCCTTGGCCCCCCAAAGTGCTGGATTGTAGGTGTGAGCCACAAAATTTTTAAGTTGTTTGTTTGTTTGTTTGTTTGTTTGAGACAGGGTCTCATTCTGTTTCCCAGGCTGGAGTGTAATGGCCCGATCATAGCTCACTGCAGCCTTGACCTCTTGGGCTCAAGCGATCCTCCCACCTCAGTCTCTTGAGTAGATGGGACTACAGGTGTGTGCCACCATGCCCGGATTTTTTAATTTTTAAAACTTTTAGTAGAGAAGGGGTTTTGCCATGTTGCCCAGGCTGGTCTCAAACTCCTGGCCTCAAGCCATCCTCCTGCCTCAGCCTCCCAAAGTGCTGGGATTACAGATGTGAGTCACTGCGACTGGTGTAATTTTTAAGTTTGTATTGGAAAACAATTTACCATCTTCAAATATATATTATCTCACAAATAGAAATATAGTGAGAAGCTGGTATTCATGTTAGATTCCAGTAAAGAAGATTTAGGCTTAGGGTGAAGAAGGATTCACAGCCCATGAGTATTATTTAAGCACAGAAACTGATGACTGTGTACTGTGCAGTGCATGGAGAACCCTTTATAAAGAACTTCCAGGAGAGACTGAATTTATCTGGCAGGGATGGTTTGGGTTAAGGTTTTAACTTCTGTGCTGTTTTTGATTAAAATCTGCCAGCGCCTCTGACTGAGTTAGACCTCTCTGATCTCTTGTTACTTTGTTATTTCCTAAGAATCTGAGCTGGAGCTGGATGACAAATACGGTCCTCTGCCCCGTCAGCCATGGACCTGGGGGATGACCTCTCCTTTGCCAGAGGAGGATGGGAGCTGGTGGGTGCTGAGACTGACAGTGGATCCACCCAGGCGGAGAGTCTCTTAATGACTCGACTTGGATCCTGTCAGGGCTCTGCCTGCTCTCTTGCTCTTGGGGCATCCTGTGGCTCTCCCAGTAGGGGAGGAGGGGGCGTGGCTGGACGCTTGCTCGAGGCCCTCCCCATACCAGCAAAGTCCTGCCCCCTTGACTCCTGAAGGTAGGCTGGCTCCTTCTCCAGGCCTCCCTTCCTCACTTCCTGCCACTCTGCTGAAACAGGCTCCACGGTTCCTGCTGGCTCCAGCCTCCCGCTGGCCTCTTCCACGGCCCTCTGCATCTGAAGCTGCACCGCATCCGGGTGTGAGTCTTCAAATCGAGTCCATTGGCCCAGTTGGTTCTAAGTTCCCTGAAGGCTGAGACTCACCCTGCTCTGCTCACCATGCTATGCCCAGCTCAGCCAGCCCACGAGAGGAACCCAGGAAATATTTGTTGAACCCATTATTGTATGGATTAATATTGTAATGTAATAAAATGATGGATTCCACAAATATTTCCTGGAAGACGGGTGTGGAAGTCACACGGACCTGGGTTCATGTTCCATCTCAGCAAGCTGCTCAGCCTGAGTCCCTCAGGCTTGTTACCTTCAAAGTGGGGGTAATCATTCCACCGGGCTCATGGGGCAGCTGTGGGGAAACTGAGGCGTGCACATGCAACAATTAGCAGAATGCCGGGTGGGGCAGAGTACACACTGAAGGGATAGGAGCCACTATGATGAGACTCCCTCTTGTGCTGGGATGGTGAGGGCGAGGGCCCAGGATCCATCGTACAGGCGGATGCATGGTGAGCAGAACACGTGTGAGGCGGGGGGCCCGATGTGCCTTGGGATGGTAGGAAAGAATTCATCCCTGCCGTTGACACTGGCTAATATCATGTCAGATGGGCCAGAGAATATACCCTAGTGGTTGCCTATGGAGGTCGGCGAGAGAGGAGACGCGGCTAGCACAGGAAGAGGGGAGAGAAGGAAAGGGGGCACCAGCCAGGCAGACCAGGCAGGGTAGGTAAATCAAGCAATCCTCCCATCTTGGTCTCTCAAAGTGCTGGGATTATAGTTGTAAGCCACTGTGCCCAGCCTTCTCAGATTCTTTCCTGCCTTGCTAGGAGGGTGGGGAGCAGAGCAGAGGGGCTAGGCCCTGGGGGTGGGTAGGGAAAGAGAGACAGGCTCTGGCATCTACACCCAGATCCTAACCCCAGCTTTGCCACTGTGTGAATATGGACAAATCACCCTCTTTCTCACCCTAGGTCTCAGCTCCCCCTCTGTGCAGACACACTGACAGCCACATGTGGACTTCTCCCCCAGCTGCAGCTGGGAATCGGCCTCCAGTCAGAAGCAGGACAGGGAACAAGCATGGTGGTTTTGGTGTCATGGATTCAAATCCCAGCTGGATGACTCTGCTCACCTCACCTGCCTTTCAGTTTCCATGAGCTGCTATATAGCAGAGTGGTCAGGAGCACAGACTCTAGAGCCCGACCCAAGGTTAATCCCTGTTCTGCCACTGACTATGGGAACACAGACAAGGCACTTCACTCTGGGCCTCAGTTTACCAGTCTCTTAAATGGGGATGGATATAATCATCCTCTTCTCTAGGGATATTGTGAGAGTTAAAGGAGGTAATTAACATAAAACCCTTAGAACAGTGCTTAGCGCAGGTGAGGGTCATGTCGCTGAATATAAGACACTGTCTATGCATTACACTTTTAAAGATGTTAAAATGCAAAAATGTGCACCCCTATAATTGAGGAGGTAAGGTATAATTTCGAGATACTGCATAGAAAACATCACTGTAAACTCTAAAATAATAGGCAAAACCTAAAGTTCCTGGGTGTTTTCTGTGTGCCAGGCACTGTGCCAAGGACTTACAAGCATTGTCCCATTCAACCCTATAATAACCCTATGAGGAAGGTTATAGAATCATCTTCACTTTACAGATGAGGAAACAGAGACCCCAAGACATTAAGTGATTTGTCCAAGATCACACAGCTTTGTCCACATAAATGTTGGGCATTCATCACCACAACCGCAACTGTCCCACCCCTTTTTGGCTTCATCTGGTTTAGAAATTTTTTGTTTGTTTGTTTTTTTGTTTGTTTGAGACGGAGTCTCACTCTGTTGCCCAGGCTGGAGTGCAGTGGAGTGATCTTGGCTCACTGCAACCTCTGCCTCCCGGGTTCAAGCGATTCTCCTGCCTCAGCCTCCCAAGTAGCTAGGACTACAAGCACACGCCACCACACCCGGCTAATTTTTGTGTTTTTAGTAGAGAAGGGGGTTTCAGCATGTTGGCTAGGCTGGTCTTGATCTCCTGACCTCCTGATCTGCCCACCTTGGCCTCCCAGAGTGCTGGAATTACAGGCAAGAGCCACTGTGCCTGATCTAGAATGGTTTTACTCCATGGTTCTGGAACTTGGCTGCTTGTTGGAATCACTAGGGAGCTTTAAGAAATCCTGAGACTGGGCAAGATAGTGAGACCCCATCTCAAAAAAAAAAAAAAAAGCAACAACAAATTAGCCAGGTGTGGTGGCTTGTGCCTGTAGTCCTAGCTACTCAGGAGGCTAAGATGGGAGGATCTCTTAAGCCCAGGAAGTCAAGGCTGCAGTGAACTATGATAGTGCCACTGCCCTCCAGCCTGAAGTCTGGGGCTCCCCCTCAGAGATTTATATGTAATTGGTCTGGGATGTGGTCTGCACATTTGGGATTTTAAAAATGACCCCCCTTTCGGCCGGGCGTGGTGGCTCATGCCTGTAATCTCAGCACTTTGGGAGGCTGAAGTGGGTGGATCACGAGGTCAGGAGATTGAGACCATCCTGGCGAACACGGTGAAATCCCATCTCTACTAAAAATACAAAAAAATTAGCCAGGTGTGGTGGCGGGCGCCTGTAGTCCCAGCTACTCGGGAGGCTGAGGCGGGAGAATGGCGTGAACCCAGGAGGCGGAGCTTGCAGTCAGCCGAGATCATGCCACTGCACTCCAGCCTGGGCGACAGAGCGAGACTCCGTCTCAAAAAAAAAAAAAAAAAAAAAGACCCCCCTTTCAACAGCAGACAGGTGCTTCACACACACACACACACACACACACACGGAAAAAAATGACCCCCAGTGATTCTACTGTGCAGTCTGGGGTGAGAACTTCTGTTTTACTCCAGGTATGACTTCAGCAGCCTCCTAACTTCTCACCAGTTGCTCCCTCCCTGCCTGAAATCCATTTGACACAACCCAAAGACTTTCATAGCACAATAAAGATAAATGACTTAAAATGCAGAGACTGATTGAGGAGAGAAAATGGCTGACTCTCATTCCTACACATGTTCCATTGGGCAGCTGTAAGAGTCTTTCCTTTTTTTTTCTATTTTTTTTTAATAGAGATGGGGTCTCGCTATGTTGACAAGGCTGGTCTTGAACTCCTGGCCTCAAGTGATCCTCCCATCTTGGCCCCTCAAAGTGCTGGGATTATAGGTGTGAGCCACTGCGCCCAGTCTTGTCAGATTCTTTCCTGCCCTCCTAGGAGGGTGGGGAGCAGAGTGGAGGTGCTGGATCCTGGGGGTCGGTAGGGAAAGAGAGAGGATCTGGCAACAACACCCAGATCCTAACCCCAGCTTTGCCACTGTGTGAATATGGACCAATCACCCCCTCTCTCACCCTAGGTCTCAGGTCCTGCTCTGTGAAATGACATTTGTTTGAGGGCCAGCATCCTAGAGCTAGGGACACAGTCTCTAAGAACCTGCCTTCCAGCAACCCTCAAGGCCACACATCCGGGTAGCTTCCCTGGGGTCTAGCTTGCCCTGCCTTCTGAAGTTTATTTGTTTAACACAATCAAGTTATTACAAAGCTTAATTCCCAGAAGATATCACTGTACTTTTGAGCTTATGAAGCAACTCAAAGTAAATTTATGAGGTGTTGACAAGTAGAGGCCGTGGGGAACCAGCTTTTTGTTGCATAGAGAGTAATCTTCTATAGTCAGCTGGAGGCTTATCTTCAGTTAGATGTCGTCTAAGAGAAAACATTTCCTCTTTTGAGCAGATCAGCGTGGAGCCTCTGTAATAACTCTTTTGCACACTTAGTTAAAGGGAACCCTGTTCTGATTCCTGTGGTTAGCAATTAATTGATGAGGCTTTTATAGTTCTTGGAATAAAGAAGAAATGGAAATTCCAAAGAAGAGACAGACCTATAAAGCCCTTTTAATGAGATACATGAGTGGGTAGTGGTGGAGTAAGGGAGTGTCCTGGAACCAGCCTGAAGGGTGGGCCCAGGAAGCTGTTCCTACTCTTGGCTTTCAGAGTTTTGTGTTTTTTTCTTTTCTTTTTTTTTCCCCAAAGTCATGGCTGAAGGCCTTCCAGCTGTGGAGCTTAATCAGACCCCAGTGATTGCATAAATCACAAACATCTAGCACTAGCCCAATCAGGCCCAAACCCAACTCTTTTGAATGTTAGAACTTGCACATTTGAGGTCAAGTTCTGTTGGACACAGAGAGGAAGGGTATTCGGAAAAGGACAGACTTTTTCCAGAAACTCTTTGGCACCCAGCCTCCCTCCCCCCGAGTCAGATTTGGGAGCACATCCAAAGCAAGGCACCCACACAAAGACCAGGGACGCTTTCCAGATGAGATCCAGCCCCTTGTCTGCCCACAGGCATTGACTGAGTCTCCTTGTGCTCAGTGGGTTAGATACTTGAGCAGGAGCTGGGAGGTAAGTCAACTTGGCATCATCTCTGTCTCTAAGGGAGTTGAATAATCCTGTGTTCCATGTATTGTGCCTGGGATGGGAGTCAAGAGGTGAGAGAGGGCTGCCCCTCCTTTGGAGCAGTTTCTACAGGAGAGACAGGCCAGATGCCTGGCCTGACTGCCCTGCTGCCCCACCGAGATAGACCCCGGCTCTCGGTTCCACTCACGGTGAGTATTAAGCACCCCCTACGCTACACCATTGTATCCCTTCCTTACTCCACTGGCTGCCAATGCGCTGTCTTGTTGACCCAGCCTCCAAATAATAATTTTTCTTGATTATGGAGTTTTGGCACCTCCTGAAATTTTGCTCTCGAGGCAAGCGCCTAAATCAGCTAATCCTAATGGAGGCCCCGGCAAACATCTGACTGATGGTGACACATACAAAAGCAGCTTCAAGCCACAGTGCGTTAGTGCTTAGAAAAAAAGCCCCATGAGATTCCAAAGAGACATTTGCATAATTCTGGGTCAGTGCTTCCCAAAGTATATGCTGTGAAACATCAATCCTATGAGGTGCTTATCCAAAAGATAAGAGATTTTTGTGGACAAATAATTTTGGGAAATAATGCATACTCTAACTTCTGCCTTAGATATTCATTATGGACACGAACACGCTAAAAGCTCAGACTCCTGGGTGAAGAAACATCACTTTTCTAGCCCATCCTCTTTGGCTGCTTAGCTGGGTCAGCTTGGGCAACTCTATCAATGTTTCTTAAAGGGAAATGAGAGGGTGCTCATCTGAGAATCTCTTAAGGGTGCTTGTTAGAGAGTACTGGCCGGTCATGGTGGCTCACGCCTATAATCCCAGCACTTTGGGAGGCTGAGGTGGGTGGATCATCTGAGGTCAGGAGTTTGAGACCAGCCCAGCCAACACAGCAAAACCCCATCTCTATTAAAAATACAAAAATTAGCTGGGCATGGTGATACTCAGGAGGCTGAGGCAGGAGAATCGCTTGAACCTGGGAGGCGGAGATTGCGGTGAGCCAAGATTGTGCCATTGCACTCTAGCCTGGACGACAGAGTGAGGCTCCGTCTCAAAAAAAAAAAAAAAAAAAAAAAGGAAATAGAGAGTACCCAGCCCTGCTGCAGACTTTGCAAATCAGAGTCTCCGGAGCTCAGGAACCAGGAATTTGCTTTGAACAGTGCCCAGTTGATGGTGATGTATGTTCCACTTGAGAATACCAGATAAACTTTGCAGGGCCTTGGCTTTTCCTGAGTGTTGTAAATATCAAGATATAAGTTTGACCAACAGTTTAGTCAAAAAGAAACTTAGGCACTTCCCAACTCATTCTTTGAGGCCTGATACCAAAACCAGGCAAAGATAACACAAAAAAGAGAAAATTACAGACCAATACATATTATGAATATAGATGCATTCTCTGGTACAGAATGAGGCTTTGTCAAATTAAAAATAAGAAAAATTTATACTGGAAGTCCTAGGCAGAGAGATCAGGCAAGAGAAACAAAGGGCGTCCAAATTGGAAAAGAGAAAGTCAAACTATCCCTGTTTTCTGGTGATATGATCGTATACCTAGAAAACCCTAAAGACTCATCGAAAAGGCTCTTAGATCTGATAAATGAATTCAGTAAAGTCTCAGGTTACAGAATCAATGTGCACAAATTAGTAGCACTGCTATACACTAACAACGACCAAGCTGAGAATCAAATCAAGAAATCAATCCCTTTTTCAACAGCTGCAATAAATAAATAAATAAATAAAATACAATACCTAGGAACAGACTTAACCAAGGAGGTGAAAGATCTCTACAAGGAAAACTACAGAACATTGCTGAAAGAAATCACAGATGACACAAACAAATGGAAACACATCTTATGCTCATGGATGGGAAGAATCAGTATTGTGAAAATGTCCATACTACCCAAAGCAATCTACAGATTCAATGTAATTCCCATCAAAACATCATCATCATTTTTCACAGAACTAGAAAAAACAATCCTAAAATTCATATGGAACCAAAAAAGAGCCCAAATAGCTAAAGCAATGCTAAGCAAAAACAATCTGGAAGCATCACATTACTGGACTTCAAATTATACTACAAGGTTATAGTTACCAAAACAGCATAGTACTGGTATAAAAATAGGCACTTAGACCAATGGAACAGATAGAGAACCCAGGCATAAAACTAAATACAGCCAACTGATCTTCAACAAAGCATACAAAAACATAAACTGGGGAAAGGACACCCTATTCAATAAATAGTGCTGGGAAAACTGGCAAGCCACATGTAGAATAATGAAACTGGATCCTCATCTCTCACCTTATAGAAAAATCAACTCAAGATGGATCAAAGACTTAAATCTGAGACCTAAAACTATAAAAATTTTAGAAGATAACATTGGAAAAACTCTGCTAGACGTTGGCCTAGGCAAAGAATTCGTGACTAAGACTCCAAAAGCAAATGCAACAAAAACAAAAATAAATAAATGGAACCTAATTAAACTAAAAAGCTTCTACACAGCAAAGGAAATAATCAGCAGAGTGAACAGACAACCCACAGAATGGGGGAAATATTTGCAAACTGTGCATCCAACAAAGGACTAATATCCAGAATCAACAAGGAACTCAAATCAGCAAGAAAAAAAATAAAATAATTCCATCAAAAATTGGGCAATGGACATGAATCGACATTTCTCAAAAGAAGATATACAAACGGCCAACGAACATGTGAAAAAATGCTCAACATCAGTGGGAAATGCAAATTAAAACCACAATAAGGTACCACTTTACTCCAGCAAGAATGGTCATAATTAAAAAGTCAAAAAACAAAAGATATTGGTGTGGATGTGATGAAAAGGAAACACTTTGACATTGCTGGTGGGAATGTAATTAGTACAACTTCTATAGAGAACAGTATGGAGATTCCTTAAAGAACTAAAAGTAGATCTACCTTTTGATCCAGCAATCCCACTACTGGTTATCTACCCAAAGGAAAAGAAATCATTGTATGAAAAAGACACATACATATGCCTGTTTATAGCAGCACGATTCACAGTTGCAAACATATGGAACCAGCCTAAGTGCTTATCGACCAATGAGTGGATAAAGAAAATGTGGTATATATACACAATGGAATACTACTACAAAAAAGTACTAATATTTTTTGCTCCATAAAAAGGAACAAAATAATATGTTTTGCAGTAATTTGGATGGAGCTGGAGGCCATTATTCTAAGTGAAGTAATTCAGGAAGTAATTCAGTAATTCAGGTTCTCATTTATAAGTGGGAGCTAAGCTATGAGGATGCAAAGACATACAAAATGATATAATGGACCTTGGGAACTCAGGAGGCAGAGATTGGGAGAAGGGTGAGGGATAAAAGACTACATATTGGGTACAGTGTACACTACCTGGCTGTACACTAGCGTACACTACCTGGCTGTACACTAGCGTACACTACCTGGCTGTACACTAGCGTACACTACCTGGCTGTACACTAGCGTACACTACCTGGCTGTACACTAGCGTACACTACCTGGCTGTACACTAGCGTACACTACCTGGCTGTACACTAGCGTACACTACCTGGCTGTACACTAGCGTACACTACCTGGCTGTACACTAGTGTACACTTAGTGATGGGTACACTAAAATCTCAGAATTCACTACTATAGAAGTCATCCATGTAACCACTTGTACCATAAAAGCTATTGAAACACTTGTACCGTAAAAGCTATTGAAATTTTTTTAAAAATAAGAAAAATTTAAAATATAAAAATAAAAACAAAATGCCAACCACCAATTCCAACAGCATATCAAAGGATTATACGCCATGACAGAGTGGGATTTATTTTAGGAATGCAAAGTTGGTTGAATAAAAAAAATGAATGTAATACATTGTGTCAATAGAATAAAAGACAAACATCATATATCAATCCACACAGAAAAAGCATTTAACAAAATCCAACACCCCTTTATGATAAAAATAATCAACAAACTAAGACTAGTAAAGAACTCAGTTTGATAAAGGGCATAGACAAAAAACTCACAGTTAGCATCATATTTAATAGTGAAAGACTGGATGCTTTTCCCCTAAGATCAGGAACAAAACAAGGATATTCACTCTTGCTGCTTCTATTCACCATTGTGCTGAAGGTTCTAGCCAGGGCAATTAGGGAAGAAAATGCAATAAAAGGCATCCAGATTGGAAAGGAATAAGTAAAACTGTCAATATTCTCAAATGACATGGTCTTTTATATAGAAAATCCATTTTAAAAAAACTATTAGAACTAATAAGCAAGTTCAGCAAAGTTGTAGGATAAAAAAAATCAGTTGTATATCTATACACTTGCATTGAATAATCTGAAAATGAAATTTAAAAATGATCCTATTTGTAGGAATATCAAAAATAATAAAGTACTTAGGAATAAATTTAATAAAAAGGTACAAACCTTATACTTTTGAAAAATACAAAATGTTGTTGATAGAAATTAAGATCTAAATAAATGCAAAGACATCCCATATTTGTGGATTGGAAGACTTAATGTTGTTAAGATGACAATACTTCCAAAATGTATCTATACATTCAATGTAGTCCATATCAAAATCTCAGCTCGCCTCTTTCCGGGAATCAATAAACTGATTATGAAATTCATATGAAGATTCAAGGGATCCAGAATAGGCAAAACAATTTTGAAAAAGAAGAACAAAATTGAAGAACTCACACTTGCCAATTTCAAAACTTACTACAAAGCTACAGTAATCTAGACAGTATGGTACTGGCATAAGGATAGACATATTGATCAGTGAAATAGAATCAAGAATTCGGAAATACTCTCACCTTTATGATCAGCTAATTTTTGGCATGGATGCCAAAACAATTCAATGGGGAAAGAATTTCAAGAAATGGTGTTGGGATAACTGAGTAGCCACAAACACAAAAAAATTAAGTTGCCTCTCTACCTCACATTATATTAAAAAAAGTTACAAGTGGATGAAAGACCTAAAACTATAAAACTCTTTAGAAGAAAACATGGGGTTAAACTTTATGACCTTGGATTAGGCAATGGTTTGTTAGATATGATAATAAAAGCACAAGCAACAGTGACAACAAATAGATAAGATAGACTTCATCAAAATTGAAAACTTAAGTGCTTCAAAGGACACCATCAAGAAAGTGAAAGGCAATCCACAGAATAGGAGAAAATGTTTACAAATCATGTATCTGATAAGGGTCTGATATATAAAGAACTCTTACAACTAAATAAAAAATAACCTGATTTAAAAATGAGTAAAGGATCTAAATAGACATTTCCCCAAAGAAGACATGCAAAGGGCCAATAAACATGTGAAAAGATGCTCACTATTATTAGCCATCAAGGAAATGTAAATTAAAACCATAATGAAATATCATTTCACACCTACTAGGATGGCTGAGATTAAAAAGACCAAAACAGGCAATAACAATTGTTGGCAAGGATGTGGGGGAGAAAACATGATGATAGGAATATAGAACAGTGCAACTGCTTTGGGAAACAGACTGGCAGCTCCTCAAAAGGTTAAGCACAGAGTTGTATGATCCAGCAATTCCGCTCCAAGTTAGGTACCTACCCAAGATAACTACAAATATACAGACACAAGAACGCTTGCATGTGAATGTTCATAGCAGTATTATTCATAATAGCCAAAGAAGGTGGAAACAACCCAAATGCCCATCAACTGATGAATGGATGAATAACATGTGATATATCTATACAAGGCTATTATTTTAGTCTTGCAAAGGAATGAAGTTTTGATGCATGCTATGACCTGGGTTAACCTTGAAAACAGCATGCTGAGTGAAAGAAGTCAGGCACAAAAGGCCATGTACTGTATAATCCCATTTATTTGAAATGTTCAGAAGGAGTAAAAATCCATAGAGATGTAAAGTAGATTAATGATTGCTTAGGATTAAAATGAGGGTTGGGGAAGTGGGGGATGACTGCTAACCGGTATGGGGTTTCATTTTCAGGTGATAAAAATGTTCTAAAACTGATTGTAGCAATGGTTGCCCAACTCTGTGAATATACTAAAAATCATTAAATTGTACACCTTATTATTTTATTTTTGATTTAATTTTAATTTTTTGTGGGGGAGATCTTGTTTTATTGCCCAAGTTGGAGTGCAGTGGGGTGATCATGACTCACTGCAGCTTCAACCTCCTAGGCTCAAGCAATTCTCCCACCTCAGTCTCCCAAGTAGCTGGGACTACAGGCATGTGCCACCACACCAGGCTAATGTTTTAAATGGTTTTTTTTTTTGAGATAGAGTCTCGCTCTGTCGCCCAGCCTGGAGTGCAGTGGCACAATCTCGGCTCACTGCAACCTCCGCCTCCTGGGTTCAAGCGATTCTCCTGCCTCACCTTCCCGAGTAGCTGGGACTACAGGTGCCCCCCACCACGCCCAGCTCATTTTTGTATTTTTAGTAGAGATGGGGTTTCACCATATTGGCCAGGCTGGTCTTGAACTCCTGAGCTCAAGTGATCCACCCACCTCGGCCTCCCAAAGTGCTGGGATTACAGGCATGAGCCACCATGCCCAGCCGAATTGTACACTGTAGATGGGTGAATTGTATGGTATGTGAATTATAATCTCAATAAAACTGTAAGAAAAGAAACCTAGGGATGGAACTCCAGTTGCACCCCCTGACCAATAAGGCTCATCAGCCTCCTCACACCCAGGAGGAGACCAAGCATGACTCATTACCTCCACCTCTCGCTTCCTCTTCCCTCCTCAGTGTGTTTCCCCTTGGCTTCCCCATCCCACACGTGACCACACTTATCCACAGAACAAAGGAATCCTGGCCACTAACCTTAGGCTGGTGCTCAGCGTGGGTCCTCCATCTTCTAGGGTGATGCGTCTGGCTAATTTTCAAGATCTCATTCACCCCAACAAGCATTTACTTAGAACCTATGTTCTTAAAAGCACTTGAAGCAAATAAGTACAGCCATTGCCCTCAATTGCTTTCAGCCTAGTAGGAGCGATAAGATCTATCACTGAAGATTCAGTTGACCAGTTGACGTAAGAGCAAACCCCAAATAGCAATGGCTTAAATGAGATAGAACTTATTTCACTTACACAAAATAGAAGCCTGGAAGTAGGTAGTCCTGGGCTGGTTCTGTATTTCCTTGGCATCACTGGGTATTCAGGCTCTTTATGTCTCTCTGTGTCGTCCTAGCATGTGATTTTCCTGGGCCGAGATGGCTGTTGAAGTGGGTTGAAGAATGAATGGGGGCTGGGCATGGTGGCTCACGCCTGTAATCCCAGCACTTTGGGAGACCAAGGTGGGCAGATCACGAGGTCAGGAGTTTGACACCAGCCTGGCCAACATGGTGAAACCCCATCTCTACTAAAAACAAACAAACAAACAAACAAACAAAAATTTAGCCAGGGGTGGTGGCGCGCACCTGTAGTCCCAGCTACTCAGGAGGCTGAGGCAGGAGAACTGCTTGAACCTGGGAGGCAGAGGTTGCAGTGAACTGAGATCATGCCACTGCACTGCAGCCTGGGAGACAGAGTAATAAATAAATAAATAAATAATGATAATAATGAATGGAAATTGAGGCAGAGGGAGCAAAGCAATGGCACAGTAGTTGCATGTGCACATGCGTCAGGAGAGGAATTTTAAAAGATGGAAGATAGTAGAGGCAAATGAAATCTTTTTTTTTTTTTTTTTTGACGGGGTTTCACTCTATCACCCAGGCTGGAGTGCAGTGGTGCAATCTCAGCTCACTGAAACCTCCGCCTCCCAGGCTCAAGCAATTCTCCTGCCTCAGCTTCCCAGGTAACTGGGATTACAGGCGTGCTTCACCACGCCCGGCTCATTTTTATTTATTTTTTATTTTTTTGTATTTTTTAGTAGAGACAAGGTTTCACCATGTTGGCCAAGCTGGTCTGGAACTCCTGAGCTGAAATAATCCACCCGCCTCGGCCTCCCAAAGTGCTGGGATTACAGGCATGATCCACCACGCCCAGCTGAAAGGATCTAATTCAGAGACAGAGGCTGGTGATGGCAGAGGAGGGAGAATGTCTTACGAGTCCAATCAGTTATTAAGGAGGTGAGAGGAGACAGCGTCTACTGCACTTGTGGAGCAAATGGCCTTGGAGAGGAGCAGGGATACGCTTCCAATTGTCACAAGGAGGAGAGCATGGCACTGATGGAGAGGTGGGAAGGAAAGGACATTCCTGAGGAGGGACAGGTTCTGTTTTTTAAATAAAGGTGGCCTTCCTGCTTTCCCTCCTGCCTGCCTGCCTTCCTGCCTTCCTGCCTTCTTGCCTTCCTGCTTTCCTGCCTGCCTGCCTTCCTGCCTTCCCTCTCTCACTCTTTCCTTCAACAAGCATTTATTAAGCACCTACTGCATGCCACGGCACTGCTCTAGACACTGAGACTATAGCAGCAAATAAACAGACAAAATCCGCTATCTTCCTGGAGCACACATTCTATTGGGTGGAGAGTGTCAACTAATAAAATGAATAAGTCAGTTTTATCGATGTTAGAAGATGGCCAACGCTACAGAGAAAAGTAAAGCAAGCAAGAAGGTAGGGCATTTTGATGGGAAGAAGAGAACAAGAGAAGGATTGTGGAGGAAAAGTGGTGGGGTGGCGGGATTGCAGCTCTCCTCACTCAGAACACTGGTGCAGTGGGGAATGAGAGCCAGAGGGCCAGAGGGGTGGGTGATGGTGTCTAAGTGTGGGATCCTGAAATCAGGATGTTGGAGGTGGGACAAGGTCTAGAGTGTGCTATGCAAACGGGTGGCAGAGTTGGAGTGGAGCAAAAGGTCTTTGGAGGTGAGGAGTTCAAGTGACTGAGAAGCCAGGGTATTGAAGTTCACACATGTGGATGGTGAGGTCACAAGAATGTTGACAGGGCTGGAGTGGAGACAGTGCCTGGAGCTAAAGTCCACAATGAACAAGGAGGTTGGGCAGGAGACAGATGGATGCACTGGAGAGAGGTACAGAGTGGTTTAGCCAGTTAGTGTGCACTTCAAAGGAACTAGGGTTTTTTTGTTTTTGTTTTTGTTTTTTTGAGACAGAGTCCCGCTCTGTCACCCAGCCTGCCTGGTGAGCTGTGGCATGATCTCGGCTCTCTGAAACCTCCGACTCCCGGGTTCAAGCAATTCTCGTGCCTCAACCTCCCGAGTAGCTAAGATTACAGGTGTGCGCCACCCTGCCCGGCTAATTTTTGTATTTTTAGCAGAGATGGGGGTTTCACCATGTTGGCCAGCAGTCTCAAACTCCTGACCTCAAGTGATCCACCCGCCTGTGCCTCCCAAAGTGTTGGGATTACAGGTGTGAGCCACTGTGCCTGGCCAGAACTAGGGTTTTTGAAGGAGGAAGGAAGAGAAAGGACTTGGAAAGAGTAGTAGGGAGTAAGAAAAACACGTGTCCCTCTCACCTCCTGGCTCTGAGGATCCTGGAATAGGAGAGAAACAATAGCTTCCTCTGAGCCAGGAGGAAGTATATCTCAGGGACTTGCTTGGTTTCCATTAGGGCCAGGAAGTAGGGGGAAACTTCCAGAAGAGGTTGAGAGTAGGGTAGAGTGGGAGTTCCAGAAGAGGTTGAGAGTAGGGTAGAGTGGGAGTTCCAGAGAGCTCAGCGGGAGGGCTTGGGAAGATGAGAAGAAGGCTTGGCCAGCCTGGGATGAGTGTCTGGTAATGGTGGATCAATGGTGGCTTCTTCTGGTGAACAAGGATGCAGGCCTGATGGGGTAGTTTTCAGTGTTTTGTTTTTGTTGTTGTTGTTCGTTTGTTGTTTTTTTGTTTCGTTTTGCTTTTTTTTTTTTTTTTTGAGACAGAGTCTCGCTGTGTTGCCCAGGCTGGAGTGCAGTGGCACGATCTTGGCTCACTGCAACCTCTGCCTCCCAGGTTCAAGTGATTCTCCTGCCTCAGCCTCCCGAGTAGCTGGGATTACAGGTGCGCGCCACCTTGCCCAGCTAATTTTTTTTTTTTTTTTGTATTTTTAGTAGAGACGGGGTTTCACCATATTGGTCAGGCTGGTCTCGAACTCCTGACCTCGTGATCTGCCCGCCTTGGTCTCCCAAAGTGCTGGGATTACAGGCGTGAGCCACTGCGCCCAACCCAGTGGTCTCTTAAGAGGAGAAAAAATGGTCCAGACTGTGCTGCCCAAGATTTGATTTGCCTTTTTTCCAAAACATTTTATTATGAAAAATTTCAAACAGACAGAAAACTGGAAAGAATTATACAGTGGGCATTCATATAACTACCACATAGATTCTACAATTAACGTTTTACTCTATTTGCTTAATCACATATCTGTACATCTCTCTCTCCATCTATCCATCCGTCCATCTGTCCATCTGTCCATCCATCATTCCATCCACCCATCCGTCTACCCACCCATCCACCCATCCGTCTACCCACCCATCCACCCATCCTTCTGCCTTTTTATTTATTTTTTGAATCATTTCAAAGAAAGTTGCAGACATCAGTATATTTTACCCCTAAACACTTCAGGATGAATATAATTAACTAGAGTTCAATATTTGTTTGCCTTTTTTAAGTAAAATTTACACACAGGAAATGCACAGATCTTAAATATGAGTGAGTTTAAGGTGAGTTTTGACAAATGCCTGTACCTGTGTCACTCAAACCCCTATCAAGATATCAACAGCAGGGATTACAGGCATGAGCCACCCGAGGTGGGTGGATCACTTGAGGTCAGAAGTTCGAGACCAGCCTGACCAACATGGATAAACCCCTTCTCTACTAAAAATACAAAATTAGCTGGGTGTGGTGGCACATGCCTGTAATCCCAGCTACTCAGGAGGCTGAGGTAGGATAACTGCTTGAACCTGGGAGGCAGAGGTTGCAGTGAGCCGACATCGCACCATTGCACTCCAGCCTGGGCAACAAGAACGAAACTCTGTCTCAAAAAAAAAAAAAAAAAAGATATCAAGAACATTATCATCACCTGAGGAAGTCCCCTCATGCAACTTCTCAGTCATTCTTATTTTTGTCACCATAGATTAGTTTTCGCCTATTTTAGGACTTGCATTATGAGTCCCAGTTGTAAATACTCTTTTGGATCTAGCTAGTTTCACAGCTAGCAGTGGGAGATTCATCCATGTTGTTGTTGCACATATTGGTAGTTAATATCCTTTGTTGCTCAGCGATATTGTATTAGGCGATTATAACAGAAGAATTATTTGTTCGTCTGTTGATAGTCACTGGAGCTGTTTCTAGTTTTTAGCAATTATGAATAAAGCAGCTGTGAAAATTCTTTTATGAGTCTTTCTGTGACATATGCTTTCAGTTCTCTTAGGTAAATACCTAAACATGAAATTGCTGGGTCATAGATAGGTTTCATTTTATAAGAAACTACCAGCTTTTTACCCAAGGTGGTTGCATCATTTTACATTCTCACTAATAATGTATGAGAGTTCCAGTTGTTCTACATCCTTGCCAACATTTGATGTTGTCAATCTTTAATTTTAGCTTTCCTGGTGGGTGTATGTTGGTGTCTCATTATGGTTTTATTTTATATTGTCTTGATGACTAATGATGTTGAGCACTTTTTCATGTGTTTCTTGGCCATCTGTGTCTTCTTTTGTGAAGTGTCTATTCAAATATTTTGCCTATTTTAAAAATTGAGGTATTTATCTTTTTATTATTGAGTTGTAGGTATCCTTTATATATTCTGCATATAAATCCATTGTCAGATATGTTTTGCAAATATTTTCTCCCTGAGGCTTGCATATAATTTTGTTAATACTGTCTTTTGATGAACAGAAATTTTTAATTTTGATTAAGTCAATTTATCAATCTTAAAAAAAATTGCTTTCTGTGATCTATTTTAAGATACCTTACCTATTCCCCAGTCCCAAAGATATTCTCCTGTTTGCTTCTAGAAATTTTAACATTTTAACCCAAAAAATAACTTTAGCTTTTGATTGATTTCTATGATCTATTTAAAATCAATTTTTATGAATAGTGTGAGGGAGGAGGGGTTGAAGTTTATTTTTTTCCAGGCCGGGCACAGTGGCTCACACCTGTAATCCTAGCACTTTGGGAGGCTGCAGCAGCTTGATCCCAGGAGTTCGAGACAAGCCTGAGCAACATGGCAAAACCCTGTCTCTTCAAAAAATACAAAAATTAGCCAGGTGTGCTGGTGAGCGCCTGTGGTCCCATCTACTCAAAAGGCTTAGGTGGGAGAATTGCTTGAGTCTGGGAGGTAGAGGCTGCAGTGAGCTGAGATCACGCCACTGCACTCCAACCTGGGTGACAGAGTGAGACCCTGTCTCAAAAAAAAAAAGTTTTTTTTTTTCCATATGGATATTCAATTGTTCTGGCACCATTTGTGAAATAGACTTTACATTGGACTGCTTTGATGACTTTATACAATAATCAAATGACTGTTTAATTGTGGGTCTATTTCTGAGGTCTTCATTCCATTTATCTATTTGTTTAACCGTATGTTACTACCACGATGTTCTGATTACTATAGCTTTATAATTAATAAGTCATGAAGGCTGGGCACAGTGGCTCACACCTGTAATCCTAGTGTTTTGGGAGACTGAGGTGGGAGGATGGCTTGAGGCTAGGAGTTCAAGACCAGCCTATGCAACATAGGGAGATCCCATCTCTACAAAAATTTTAACTATTAGCTAGGTGTCATGTGAACCTGTAATCCTAGCTACTCAGGAGGCTCAGGCAGGAGGATTCCTTGAGTCTGGGAGGTCCAGGCTGCCGTGAGCTATCGTTGCACCACTGCACTCCTGTTTGGGTGACAGAGCAAGACCCTATCTCAAAAAAAAAAAAAAAAAAGTCATAAAAGTCATGAAGTCAGACGGGATAAATCCTCTAATTTTGTTTGTTTTCAAGGCGGTTTGGATATTCTAGGTCCTTTGCATTTCCATAAAAATTTTAGAATCAACACATTCAATTTTTTTTTAATTTTATTATTATTAAAGTTTTAGGATACATGTGCACAATGTGCAGGTTAGTTACATATGTATACATGTGCCATGTTGGTGTGCTGCACCCATTAACTCGTCATTTAGCATTAGGTATATCTCCTAATGCTATCCCTGCCCCCTCCCCCCACCCCACAACAGTCCCCAAAATGTGATGTTCCCCTTCATGTGTCCACAGAATCAACACATTCAATTTTGACAAGAGTCTACTAGAATTATGACTGAAATTGAGTTGAATCTAGAGATCATTTTGGAAAGAATAGTCATCCCAGCAATCTTGAGTCTTCCAATCCATGAACATTTATTTAGGTCTTGAATTTCTCTCAATAATATTTTGTAATCTTCAACGTAGAGGTCTTACATATCTTTTGTGAAATGTATTCCTAAGTATTTCATGGTTTTAAAAAGAGCTATTAAAGATGGAATTTTAAAAACATTATTTTTGGCCGGGCGCGGTGGCTCATGCCTGTAATCCCAGCACTTTGGGAGGCCAAGGTGGGCGGATCATGAGGTCAGAAGATCGAGACCATCCTGGCTAACACGGTGAAACCCCGTCTCTTCTAAAAATACAAAAAATTAGCCGGGCGTGGTGGCGGGTGCCTGTAGTCCCAGCTACTCTGGAGGCTGAGGCAGGCGAATGGCGTGAACCCAGGAGGCAGAGCTTGCAGTGAGCCGAGATAGCGCCACTGCACTCCAGCCTGGGCGAAAGAGCGAGACTCCGTCTCAAAAAAAAAAAAAAAAAAAAAATTTAAATTTTTTGTAAAGATGAAGCCTTGCTATGTTGCCTAGGCTGGTCTCAAACTCCTGGGTCCAAGCGATCCTCCTGCCTCCACCTCCCAAAGTGCTGGGATTATAGGCATGAGCCACTGTGCCCAGCAGGAATTTTTTTTTTTTTTTTTTTTTTTGAGATGGAGTTTTGCTGGTCGCCCGGGTTGGAGTGCGGTGGCACGATCTCGGCTCACGGCTCACTGCAATCTCCACCTCCCAGGTTCAAGCGATTCTCCTGCCTCAGCCTCCCGAGTAGCTAGGATTACAGGTGCCCACCACCACACCCGGCTAATTTTTTTTATTTTTATTAGAGACAGGGTTTCGCCATGTTGGGCAGGTTGGACCTCAGGTGATCCCCCTGCCTCTGCCTTCCAAAGTGCTGTGATTGCAGGCATGAGCCACCGCGCCCGGCCAGGAAATTTTTAAAATTTCATTTTCTATTGACAGCAGCAGAGGTGAGCACCAGAAAAGACAGTCCATCAGGTTATCCTAGGTGTGGGGAAGTGGGGTGGAGGAACACCACTTATTTGCAGATGGCTGTGCAAGATCTGGGAGGGTGGAAAAGAAAGGTGGCCATGTGATGGGGGGAAGTCGGATGCATAGCACTTCGGGGAAGACCGTCTTCCTTTCTCTGCCCTGTTACTAAGAAGGAATGTTCTTCCTCAACACTGTCCTGGGAGGTGAAGGCAGGACAATGCCAAGGAGCCTTGGGAAGGTGTTCCTGTTCCCCCAAGCCTTCTGAGCTGCATCATGCAGCCACCCCTCTGTGGGGGCTGTTGCCACCATGGCCTGAGATGAGCATGGTCCTCTGGGGACAGATGAGCTGGCCTCAGTGGTACAGGTGGTATACTCTCCCCTCTCCAGGAGAAGCCACAATGGGCCCTGATCCTTGCTTAGCTGGCTCAGCCTGCAGGGAGGAGATGGGGTCTGAAACACCTGGACTTCCCTTTACTCAAAATATCATAGCCAGGACAGATGCAGTAGCTCACACCTGTAATCCCAGCAATTTGGAAGGCCAAGATGGGTGGATCACTTGAGGTCGGTAGTTCGAGACCAGCCTGGCCAACCCTGGCGAAACCCTGTCTCTACTAAAAATACAAAAATTAGCTGGTCGTGGTGGCAGGTGCCTGCAATCCCAGCTACTTGGGAGGCTGAGGCAGGAGAATCGCTTAAACTGGGGAGGCGGATATTGCAGTGAGTGCAGATTGTACCACTGGATTCCCGCCTGGGCAACAGTGCGAGACTCCGTCTCAAAAAAAAAAAAAAATCACATCCAAGCTCCTGGCCTGGCTTTCCTTTCCGCTCCCTTCCATTGACTGCCTCCCTTGGTGGTCTCTCCATCTCGTTTTCCCATGTTGCCCCACCCAGTTATAGAGTCAGCTGGTCACATCTCTCAAAAGTGCCAAAACTTCCAACTCATGCTCTGAGGAAGGATTCTTAAGAAATAAGAATGTCCAAACTGGATGTCCAAAACTCCACCCATGCTGGGTCCTGTCCCTGTCTTGTTGGGAAGAATGTGGGTGGAGAAGGAAGGAAGGAGAGCAAGAGAGCTTCCCCCTTGTGAAGCAAGAGGACCATTGGGGGAGGAGCAGTGGCAGTGCCAAAGGGGGCTTTCATCCCTCCGTACCCCTCACAGTGCCCCAGAAGCCCCTTCAAAGAAAGATGTACTCACCATGCTTCAAGACAATGCTAGTTGCTACAACAAATAAACCCCCAAATATATTTTGTTTATTTCCCACTTATTTACCAGTTCATTGCAGATGTTCTTGGTTTGCAGGTGACCTTCCCCCATGCAGTGATTTAGAGACCAGGCTTTTTCCATTTTGAGGCCCTACCACCGCCTGGTCTAACTATCATCTTCTACACTCATTTAATAGGAGGGGAAAGAGACCCCATGAAAGGCATAACCACTCCTCAAAAGCCTTGGCCTGGAAGTGACACACGTTACTTCTGCTCCCATTCCATTGGCAAGAACGTGGCATGGGGCCAAGGGGGCCTGGGAAATGTGGTCCCTGGCTCGGCAACTGCTTCCCAGTGACAGCAACACTGGAAAGGAGAGTTCAGATGTTGCTCTCCCTGCCACTGAGCTCTGTTGAGTTTTCACCAGTCAGGTGGCCTTACTTTTAAACTGTGCAGAGCTCTCTGGATGTGAAGAGTTATCTCCCACTCCATCACCAGCATGGTTTCTTACTGTCTCCTCCATTGCTGAGGTTGTTACAGGCTCTTTTCCAGCCCCTCCCTCCTCCCTCAGCCACCCGGGGTCCCCCTCCTTCTAGTCGCTTGCCTAAACCTGACCTCCTCCAAGACACTTTTCAAGGATCTCAGCATCTTCCATTCTCTGGGCACCCTGTTTGCCATAAACACAAGTAGGAGCACTGTTTGGAGAACATATGTGCCCCTCTCTCATCTGCTTGCTAATGTTTGGTATTCTTCAACAGAGCACCAAGGTTTTCTCCCCACGATCAACACCAAGACTTCAGATGCGTGTACCCAACACTAAGACTTCAGATACATGCACCCTGGGGGAGAGGGCAGATCTTCTCGCACACAGGGGAGTGGTTGACTGGGGGATCCTTATAAGTCCTTGCAGAGGGGAGGGAAGGAGAGCAAGGGGACCCTGGGCAGGGGCAGACAAGGGAGCCAGCTATTGAAAGGGAGGCTTTGGCTATATTTTTCAATTAGCTCTATTTTTCAGTCATATGTTGAGCATCTTCAACTTTTTCTAAACAGACTAATCAAATAGTGTCCACTTATTAAATGCTGATATGGTTTGGCTGTGTCCCCAACCAAATCTCATTTTGATTTGTAGCTTCCATAATTCCCACGTGTTTTGGGAGGGACCCGGTGGGAGATCATTGAATCACGGGGGCGGTTTCTCCCATACTGTTCAAATGACAGTGAATAAGTCTCATGAGAGCTGATGGTTGTACAAGGGGAAACCCCTTTCACTTGCTTCCCTCATTCTCTTTTTGCCTGCCACCATGTAAGACATGCCTTTTGCCTTCCATCATGATTGTGAGGCCTCCCCAGCCACGTAGAATTGTGAGTCCATTAAACCTCTTTTTCTTTATAAATTACCCAGTCTTGGATATGTCTTTATTAGCAGCGTGAAAGCAGACTAATACAAATGCCAACCTTGTGCTGGGCACCACTAGCTCTTTTTATAAGCATGGTCTGATTTATCTTCCCAACAACCTCGTGAGGTAGGAACTCTTATTTTATCCCCGTTTGGCACAGGAGAAAAGCAAGACTCAGAGACATTTAGTAATTTTCCCAAGGTCACATAGCTTCTAGTCATTCTAGAAGAGCTTGGGTTTGAACCTAGATATCCAGCCTCAAAGTCCTCCAGTCCTCTGTGCCTGTGTCTCCTCTTCCCCTGGGATACCCAGCATGGCAGAGGCACTCAATGCTCATTGACTACTCATGTCCTCCTCCACACTTCCCAGCCTTCCGTGCAGTCAGGGTGGGGTCATGAGGCAAACTCTGACCAACAGGCTGTGAATGGAAGTGACAGGTGTCATTTCTGGACCGAAACACTGAAGTGCTGCTGTCCAACCCTCCTGTTCTCTCTTGGCCTTTAGTGGCAACCACAGATGCCATGGTTTGAAATGGTAGAGCCACTAGAAGGAAGTAGCCTGTACAAGGGACAGCTAACCTGGACAGTTACCCAACCTGCAGCAGTTTTGTGTGAACGAGAAAAATACACCTTTGTTGCATCAAGAAGCCGCTAAGATTTGGAGGTCAATGTTTACCTCAGCACACTATAGCCTCTCCTGACCAATACACCAGAACAGGACACTAGATAGAGTAGGGTTCCACTCAGTTGGTTACTAACAAGGTGGTGCTCTCAGACATTTTGTTTTATAAACTTTACAGTGCTCCAGAGTAAGGATGGAACTGAAGGACTTTCTAAAACACAAGTTCCCAGCTGGGCGCAGTGGCTCACGTCTGTAATCCCAGCACTTTGGGAGGCCAAGGTGGGCGGATCACTTGAGGTCAGGAGTTCGAGACCAGCCTGGCCAATATGGTGAAACCCCATCTCTACTAAAAATATAAAAATTAGCTGGGCGTGGTGGCGGGCGCTATAATCCCAGCTACTCAGGAGGCTGAGGCAGGAGAATCACTTGAACCTGGGAGGTGGAGGTTTTAGTGAGCCAAGATTGCACCACTGCATTCCAGCCTGGGCGACAAAGTGAGACTCAGTCCAGTCTCAAAACAAAACAAAACACCAAAACACAACAACAAAAACACCACAAGCTCCCAGAGGCAGGTGGGAGAACACCAAGGGTCTTCATCAGCCCCCTGGGGAGCAGGAGCCCCTTGCCCAGCCTCCCATCCCAGGTTCCCCTCTGCCCTGCATCAAACTTCTCCCTGTTGCTGGTTTCTAGAGCTGTTCCCTCTCTGGCACAGCCCCTCTGTCTCCACCCCGCAGCAGCCGGCTTCCAGAAGCTAAAGCTCAGACACCACTGGCCCCTCCCCAGATGCAACCAAGTACCTGGAAGTCTCCCCACGCCTCACATTGTCTTTGCTTCACATTGTCTTTCAGATGAGTCCCTGGGGATGCGGAGCTCTTGCGATTCTGCCATCTGATCCTGCAATACAGGAAATCACCACTTTCTGGCCTCTGCTGACTGGAGAGCCAGTGTGGCAGGCAGGAAGCTCCAGTCTGGGCTGTCCACTGCCAGGTCAGGTCTGGGGAGAAGGTGGAGAGTCCCAGGCCCGAGATGGGCTCCTGGTTGGGGTGGGGAGGGCCAGGACAGCCAGCGTGTTCACTCCTCCCACAGACGGTTCTACAAACCCTCGTGGAAACTTTCTGTGCGGCTGGCCCTGTGCTTGGTGCTGTGGGAGCACAAAGGCAAGAGATCATGGCACCTGACTTCCAGGAGCCTCCATCCTGCAGGTCCAAGTAGGACATTAGCTGCAGAGAAACAGAGCAAAGGAATAAATAGCAGTCAGGGATTTTTCACTTGCAAGTGACGTGAACCCAGGGCCAGAGTAAGATCTATAGAGAGGCTGGGCGCGGTGGCTCACGTCTGTAATCCCAGCACTTTGAGAGGCTGAGGTGGGCGGATCACTTGAGGTCAGGAGTTTGAGACCAGCCTGGCCAACATGGTGAAACCCTGTCTCTATTAAAAATACAAAAATTAGCTGGGTGTGGTGGCATGCGCCTGTAATCCCAGCTACCCAGGACGCTGAGGCAGGAAAATCACCTGAACCTGGGAGGCGGAGGTTGCAGTGAGATCACACCACTGTACTCCAGCCTGGGCGACAGAGGGTGACTCTGTCTCAAAAAACAACAACAAAACAAAAAAAAAAAAAAAAAGGGAAAGAAAGAAAGAAAGAAAGAATGAACCAGCATGGCACATGTATACATATGTAACTAACCTGCACATTGTGCACATGTACCCTAAAACTTAAAGTATAATAATAATAAATAAATTAAAAAAAGAAAGAAAGAAAGAAGAAAGAAAGAGAGAGAAAGAAAGGAAGAAAGAAAGAAGGAAAGAAAGAAAGAAAGGAAGAAAGAAAGAAAGAAAGGAAGGAAGGAAGGAAGGAAGGAAGAAAGAAAGAAAGAAAGAAAGAAAGAAAGAAAGAAAGAAAGAAAGAAAGAAAGAAAGAGGAAAAAAGCCCTGATATAGCTCTGGCTGTGACTGAGTCACAGCCCCATACCTGAACTGATCCCATAGCAAGCACAGGGTTCAGAAGTGGAGGGGGTAGGAGAAAAGATGGGCTACTCCGACTTCGAGGCCTGGGCCTTATGAGCCTCTCTGGATCCTGGGAGTGGAATCAGCTTCTTCTGGACCACATGTCTGAAGGTGGGCGACAGATATTTCTCATGGAATATTGGAGTGTTTTGATCAGAAGGAGGAAGGATGCTGGGTAGGGTCACAACCAAGGTCTGCTGCTGGTGGGAGAATGGAATACGCCCTCAGAGAAGTATGAACCAAGGGCTGTGGGAATTCAGAAGAGGGAGATGTCATGTCCAGCTGAGGGGGTCAAGGAAGGCTTCATGGAGGAGGAGGCATCTGGGCTGGGCCTTGAAGGATGACCAGAGTTTGGGCATTGGATCTCTTAGGATGGGAGGAAAGGGCATTGTGGGCATAGGGAACAATGTGAGCAGAAACCTGGATGTAAGCCAGAGAGAAGCAGGGGCTGAAGCCAGATGAAGGAAAGGCCTCGAATGCCAAGCTAAGGGGCATGGATTGAATTTGTGGAGCCAAGGATGGGATCATCAGATCTGAGCCCCTGGAAACGCATACTACCCACTCAGGGGCCCGGCTCCCCACCCCCACCCCTGGCCTGCTCTGGGTGCCCACAGATCCCTTTTCCTTTCGTTGAGCTCAGACAAGTCTGGAGTTTTCCAATAGAAATGCTTACTCAGAAATGGAAGAAAAGTGAAAACAGAAAGTGTGATTACAGACCTTAGCTTTCTCCTGCCAAAGTAGACAAGCTTGGTACCTGTGACAGTCCCTCTTCTCTGGGCTGAACCTGCCCTCTCCCCTCTGCCTGCTGAGCCCCAGGAGAGGCGGGGGCTGTGCTGGGGGTAGACAGCGTGCTCTCCCTGTGGGACCCTCAGGCTCTCCAGGGTCCATTCCTGCCCTGCCCTGAATAGTACTTTCTCTGCAGCTGCCCTGGCTCAGGGCAAGGGGGGGCACCCCCAATTCTCACCCCCTAAATTCCTCCCCGACCCTGGAGCCACACTGCTCTTATTATGTCACCAGGAGGTTTTTCCAAGACGTCTGCTAAGAATCAGGTGAAAATCAGCTGAAGGCTGAGTCTGCGCCAGTTCTCAGCCCCTGAAGGGTGGGTAGGGCCATGTCCCAGTCAAAGGTGTGGACTGTGGATTCCACCTCTGTTGCTAAGATGGGACAGAGAAGTCCCATAGCCTCCCGGAGCCTCAGTTTTCTCTTCTGCAATAGAGAACTAATAAGCTCCAGCTCGTAGGATTTGTTGGAGGATTAAACAGTATCCCAGAAGTCACTTACAGGCATGGGACATGTCTGCAGTACGTGGTGACAATGAGGATGATGAAGAAGAAGATAATGGAGATGAAGGAACCACCAGGAGGGGAGACATGGACCAGCAGGGTCTTTTACTTTGGATTGCTCTGAGGTGACACCAGGTGTGTGTGAGTCCACATTGACAGGCTGGGCAGATGGATGGGCGGGGGGTCAGGACGCAGCATGGGGGCTGAGGGCAGCACCATCCCGAACCACACTCCTGGGCTCTGAGCTCGCCTCACGCTGCTGGACTCAGGAGAACCTCAGCATGAACACTCATCATGTCCTCTAGCCTGGAGCTTCCCAAATTAAGGAAGGGGTGGCCTCTGGGTCATTCCAGAAAGCCCTGTGATTCAGACCGTGCCGATGTTACCCTGGGTGGACTCCCTCAGCCTCAGCCTCCCTCATCAGTTAGGGGATCCCAATCAGACTTTTTGGAGGTCAGAGGCTGCCAGGAAAGAGGGCTTTTAACAAGGTTTCTACAAACCTTGAGATTGCTAGAAAGGGCCTGATGGACGGGGTGGGGCAGGCGGGGAGAGGGGGGAGGGGGAGGAAGGCTCAGGTCAGGGGTCACCAGGCCTTAATGATCCCTCTCAGCAAACTAACTTGAGGATGTATTCCAATTGTATTTGCTTATTTATGTCAGGAACATAAACTATTGCATTAATATATTATGCCTATTATAAAAATACGTATAAAACGAAAATTTTAAGAGATATCAATAGGAAACAAGTTAAACAAATGACGTCCCATGCATACAATCAACTATGACTGACCTATTTTTTAAAATGATGTCTTATAACTCGATAATAAGAAGACAAACAACTAAATGTAAAGATGGACAAAACAACCCAGGCGTGGTGGCTCATGTCTGTAATCCCAGCACTTTGGGAGGCCGAGACAAGTGGATTGCTTGAGGCTAGGAGTTTGAGACCAGCCTGGGCAACATGGTGAAACCCCATCTCTACTAAAATTACAAAAACTAGCCAGGTGTGCTGGCAGGCGCCTGTAATCCCAGCTACTTAGGAGGCTGATGCAGGAGAATCGCTTGAACCCAGGTGGCAGAGGTTGTGGTGAGTCAAGGTTGTGCCACTACCCTCCAGCCTGGGCAACAGAGCAAGACTCCCCCACCGCCACCACAAAACTCCCGCTGCAAAAAAAAAAAAAAGATGAAAGACTCTAATAGACATTTTTTTCAAAGAAAATATATGGGCTGGCATGGCTCAGGATATTGTGACACATGCCTGTAATCCCAGCACTTCAGGAGCCGAGGCAGGAGGATTGCTTGAGGCCAGGAGTTTGAGACCAGCCTGGTCAACATAGCAAAACCCCATCTCTACAAAAAAAAAAAAAAATTAGCCGATATAGTGGTGTGTATCTATAGTCCCAGCTACTCAGGAGGCTGAGGCAGGAGGATCTTTTGGGCTCAGAAGCTCAAGGCTGCAGTGAGCTATGATTGTGCCACTGCACTCCAGCCTGGGTGACAGAGGAAAACCCTCTCTCTCCTAACAATAATAAAAAAGAATGGTTAATAAGCACACAAAAATGTTCAATTTCAATTTGTTATTTGAAAAATGCAAATTAAAACCACAATGAGATACCATTTCAAACCCACCAGGATGGCTATAATCAAAAAGACAGATAATAATAACAAGTGTGGTGGAGAATGTAGAGAAAGTGGAAGCCTCATACATTGCTGTTGGGAATGTAACATGATGCAGCCACTTTGGAAAACAGCTTGGCAGTTGCTTAAAAAGTTAAACAGAAACTACCCAAGAGAAGTAAAAATGTGGCCACACAAAGACCTGAATGCTCATAGCAGCATTGTACATTTTAAAAACCCTGTAAATCATCCAAATATGCAAAAGCTGGTAACTGGATAAACAAAATGTGAAATATCCATTCAGTGTAATACTACTCAGCAATAAAAAGGAACAAACTGGCCGAGCGCAGTGGCTCACATTCGTAATCTCAGCACTTCGGGAGGTCGAGGCAGGTGAATCACCTGAGGCCAGGAGTTTGAGACTAGCCTGGCCAACATGGTGAAACACCATCTCTACTAAAAATACAAAAATTAGCCGGGAGTGGTGGCGCACGCCTGTCGTCCCAACTACTCAGGAGGCTGAGGCACAAGAATCGATTGAACCTGGGAGGTGGAGGTTACAGTGAGCCGAGATCGCACCACTGCACTCCAGCCTTGGCGACAGAGTGAGACTCGGTATCAAAAAAACAAAAAACAAAAAGCAAAAAAGGAACAAACTTCTTAAATGAGCTACGACATAGATGAACTTCAAAAATATTATGCTCAGTAAAAGAAGCTAGACACAAAAGACCACATATTGTGTGCTTCCATTTATATGAAATTTCCAGAAAACACAAATCTGTAGAGAAAGCAAATCTGTCATTGCTGGAGCTGGGATGGCTGTGAGGATTCACTGCAGATGGATCCAACAGGACTTTGGGGGATGATGGCAATGTTATAAAACTGGCTTGTGGTGATAGCTGCCCAACTCTATACATTTAAAAAAAAACTGTTGAATAGTACATTTACAATGGATGTGTTTTATGTAAATTATATCATATCTCAATGAAGTTGTTAAAAAAAAAATGAGGAAGCTTGTTAGGTACTGGTTTAGAAAGGTCTCCAAGATTTTTTTTTTCTTTTTGAGACAGAGTGTTGCTCTGTCACCCAGGCTGGAGTGCAGTGGCATGAACTCTGCTTACTGCAACCTCTGCCTCCCAGGTTCAAGAAGCGATTATCCTGCCTTAGCCTCCCCAGTAGCTGGGATTACAGGCATCTGCCACCATGCCCAGCTAACTTTTGTATTTTTAGTAGAGACGGGGTTTCAACATGTTTGTCAGGCTGGTCTCGAACTCCTGACCTCAGGTGATCCACCTGTTTCGGCCTTCCAAAGTGTTAGGATTACAGGTGTGAGCCACCACGCTTGGCCTCCAAGGTGTATTTTTAAATGGAAAAACAAAGCACAGAATACGCTACCATTGGTTTTTTTTTTTTTTTTGGTGTTTTTTTTGTTTGTTTGTTTTTGTTTTTTTTGTGATGGAGTTTCGCTCTTTTGCCCAGGCTGGAGTGAAGTGGCACAATCTCGGCTCACTGCAACCTCCACCTCCCAGTTCAAGCGATTCTCCTGCCTCAGCCTCCGGAGTAGCTGGTATTATCGGTGCCTGCCACCACGCCCGGCTAATTTTTCTTTTTCTTTTTCTTTTTTTTTTTTGTGAGACAGAGTCTTACTCTGTCACCCATGCTGGAGTGCAGTGGCGCTATCTGCTCACTGCAAGCTCCGCCTCCCGGGTTCATGCCATTCTCCTGCCTCAGCCTCCTGAATAGCTGGGACTACAGGCACCTGCCACCACGCCCAGCTAATTTTTTTGTATTTTTTAGTAGAGACAGGGTTTCGCCATGTTGGCCAGGCTGGTCTCGAACTCCTGACCTCAAGTGATCTGCCTGCCTCGGCCTCCCAAAGTGCTGGGATTACAGGTGTGAGCCACCGTGCCCAGCCCCACTGTTTTTTTTTAAAGAGGAACAGGTGTGTATATATAGACTATTATGCAGATTTATATTTATATGTTTATACTTACACATGCCTATATGGATTTGCACAGACGCTCTGGAAGGATACACGAAAACTGGTGAGACTAGGTGTTTTGGGTGAAGGAAGTGGATGGCTTGCAGGCCAGGACTGGGAGAGTGACTTTTGTACCTTTAAATTTTTTCTTTTTAATTTTGGTAAAACACACATAACAAAGTTTACCATCTTAGCTATTTTTTAAGTGTACAGTTGAGTGGTGCTAAGTACATTCGCCTTTTGGTACAACCATCACCACCATCCATTTCCAGAGCTCTTTTCATCTTGCGAAACTGAAACTCTGTACCCGTAAAAGAACTCCACTTCCCCTCTCCCTAGGTTCCTGGCACCCCCGTTTCTCTGTGAAGAAGCCTGCTCCAGACACCTCATATAGTGGAATCACACAGTATTCGTATTTCTGTGACAAGCTGATTTCACGGAGCACAATGTCCTCAAGGTTCACCCATGTTGTAGCATGTGACAGAAGCGCCTTCCCTTTTAAGGCTGAATAATATATGCGTGGGCCACATTTTGTTTATCCATTCATCTCTCCATAGATATTTGGGTTGCTTCCACCTTTTGGCCAATGTGAATAATGCTGCTATGAACATGGGTGTACAAATATCTCTTCCAGATCTTTATATCTTTATTTTATTTTATTTGTCGAGACGGGGGGTCTCCCTCTGTCGCCCAGACTGCCCTCCAACTCCTGGTCTCAGGCAATCCTCCTGCCTCAGCCTCCCAGCGTGCCGGGGTTACAGGCGTGTGAGGCACCGCTCCCGGCCGCTTTACATTTTTAAAGCATATGAAGGTACTACCTATTTGAAAATAAATTTAAACGTAAAAGGAAGAAATACAAATAAATACAAATGGAAGGTGTACAGTTTCTTCCCATATCCCCTACCAAGGTCCCAGCGGGTGGGTCCCCCGCAGGGCAGCAGCCGGCTCGCCCGCGCAGGGGGTCCCTGCTGAGTCACGCGCAGCGGCTCAGCCCGGAGGTGCCCTCGCCTGCCCGCCGCCCACCCGCTCCCCGCCGATTGGCGAGGCCGCATTCCTGCGCGCTGCCCGCGGCCGTCCGGGTGACTCACGGTGCAGGCAGCTCAGGAACGCCCGCTCGCGGGATGAGGCTGCGGCTCGCCCGGCCACGTCCTGAGGCCTGCAGCCGCTGGTTTTCCTATTTGGAAACTCCTTAGACGTCTCCGCTTCCAACAAGCTGGTCTCCTCCCTGGCCCCCAGCAGGCAGGGAAGCCTGCGGAGGAAGCGCCCTCTCTCTCTGTGCGGGGATTCTCAGGCCTGATCTCCTAAGGAACCACGTTCTCCTCTCCTCAATTCCAGATTCCCCAAATGCCTGAAAACCGAGCTTACAGGATGGCGAAATCTGACCTGAACCAACCTGAGATTAAGTTGCAGTTTCACTTATCTGGCTGCACGTGAATACTTACATGTTTGCTGATGGAAAAAAAAAGAAAAAGAAAAAAAAAGTACATGTTTGATTACAAGAATGCGGTCCCAGGTACCCTGAGGGTGCCATTCTATACACGCACCAAATTGTTTCTAAAATCTAAAGAATTCTGAATTCCAAAGCACATCTGGCCCCAAGGTTTTAAGTAAGAAACTGTGGGTCTGTGTTATACCCATTTTACAGAGCAGCCCGGGCTCAGAGAGGTCAAGTCACAGCCGGAAACAAGCCAGTGGGTCTAAGCCCGAGTTCCTGTCTTCCTCACGGGGCTGCACACAAGGCTCTGCCTACCCTGTCTGTCCCACTCCCTCTCCTGTCCTTCCTCTGGGAAGCTCTCCTTGTCCACTACAGCCAAAGACATCATCCTTCTTGGCAAACGACCTTTCCCCTCCTGGGTCACAGAGCCAATGCCTACCACTTACAGGCAGTTGTTGGGAGACAAGAAATCTCAAGTGACTAAGCCCAGACTCAGGGCTCCAGCTCCCCAGGCCCTAGCCTTGGTTTGGCCACTTTTCAGCTGTGTGACCTTGGGTAGGTTACCTAGCCCTTCTGTGCCTCAGTTCCCGCATCCATAAAGGGGCATAATAATGATACCCCCAGCCAGGCGTGGTGGCTCACGCTTGTAATCCCAACATTTTGGGAGGCCAAGGCGGGAGGATCACTTGAGGTCAGGAGTTTGAGACCAGCCTGGCCAACATGGTGAAACTCCGTCTCTACTAAAAATACAAAAATTAGCCGGGTATGGTGGTGCGTGCCTGTAATCCCAGCTACTCTGGAGGCTGAGACAGGAGAATCACTTGAACCTGGGAGGCAGAGGTTCCAGTGAGCCAAGACTGTGACATTGCACTCCAGCCTGGGCGACAGAGTGAGACTCCGTCTCAAAAAAAAAAAAAAAAAAAAAATGAAGGAGGCCTCAGCCCACCCCAAGCCACCCACATTCTCTCCCCATTTCGCTAGTGAATGGAGCAAGTTGGGAGGTGGTAGGTCTAGCTGCGGTGAGGCCCAGACAGGTCATGGTGGATCCGGGCTGACCCTACCCTCATCTTTAAGAACACCTCCTGGGCATTCGTCCGGCCAGCCGACTGCTTTTGGGAGCTAAGAGAAAGAGCTTGAGGTGAATAATCTTTCTGGTGATGCTGGGAGAGCAGAGGACCTTCAAGATCACCTGACCTGACATTTGGTGGATGAGAAAACTGAGTACTCAGGAGGGAAGTGACCTATGAAAGTCACAAAAATCTTTCCTGGTGCAGCGGCTACCAAAAGCCAGTCCAGAGTCCCTGCCCCACCCCCACCCCTACCCCCTGGGTATGGTGTTAGAGGAGAAGGACCCAGTGAATTCAGGACCTGGGAGTTCACAGCCCTCCCCTTACCCAGCTGGGAATCCCCACTGGGAGCGGGGGTCATCTGGGAGGCCTCCTTTCTCCCACATCCCCCACGCAAGTTTCAGTGTGTTTCAGGCCCTGGGCTGGGGCCACCAGGCCTCTGTCTGCCTCCCTGAACAGGAGAGCCACTGAACGTCAACCTCAAACGAATGAGAAAGCTGGCCTTGAACAAGTTTCACTTCCCAAGGGCTGTGGTGGCTACAATCTGGGCAGCGGCATCCCCAGTGCTCTCTTGCCAGCTCCTTGCAAAACCCCGCCCGGCTCACTGAATGCAGGACCCTCCTTCTCCCTTCTCCCTGGCCCCAGGGACTGATCCAGGCCCCCAGCAGGGGAGAAGGGGCCTCCTGAGCATGTACCTCTCCAGCCCATAGAGCCCCCCTTCCAACCCAGCAGTTCCCCAGCCTCTGCCTGCGCAAGCTGGGGTGTCCATGCCAGATAGGACAACACTTTGACCTTCCCAGCATGTCTCCTCTCTGTTCCATCCCCATCCACACATCCACCGCCTTAGCAGAGACCCTCTCCTCTCTTTCCCTGCAGCCTGGCAGCGTGTGGAGTCCTAGTGTGTAGACTTTGTCATCAGACACCCCACGTTCACCTTCTGATGCCACCACTCCTAGCTGTTTGGCAGTTCTAAATGTCTGCAAATTATCTGGCACTCCTCCCGTCAAGAACTGAAGTCTGGCCAGGCACAGTGCTCACTCCTGTAATCCCAGCACTTTGGGAGGCCGAGGCGGGCAGATCACTTGAGGTCAGGAGTTTGAGACCAGCCTGGCCAACATGTCGAAACCCCATCTCAACTAAAAATACAAAAACCAGCTGGGTGTGGTAGCGTGTGCCTGTAATCCCAGCTACTTGGGAGGCTGAGGTAGGAGAATCACTTGAACCTGGGAGGCGGAGATTGCAGTGAGCCAAGATCACGCCATTCTACTCCAGCCTGGGTAACAGTGAGACTTCGTCTCAAAAAAAAAAAAAAAAAAGAAAAGAAACTGAAGTCTGTGTCTTTTCTCCTCAAAGCCGGCACAAGACCTTTTCTCCTGGGTCTCTCTGGCTCTTCAATCCCAAACCCTTTGCTTTTTATAAGCCCTCAGACTCCCTCAGGGCGGTCAGCATTTGTGGAGTCATCTTATTTATTTATTTTGTGGATTTGGCAGTTACATGGGAGTTGTATTTCTATTTTAGTCAGTATCTTTAGATATTTCATTTTAGGAAGACATTTATTTATTTATTCATTTATATTATTTATTGATTGATTTTTCTTTTTGTTGTTGTTTTCGTTTTTGTTTTTTGAGACAGTCTCGCTCTGTTGCCCAGGCTGGAGTGCAGTGGTACGATCTCGGCTCACTGCAACCCCTGCCTCCTGGGTTCAAGCAATTCTCCTGCCTCAGCCTCCTGAGTAGCTGGGATTACAGGTGTGCACCACCACGACTGGCTAATTTTTGTACTTTTGAGAGATGGGGTTTTGCTACTTTGGCCAGGCTGGCCTTGAACTCCTGACTTCAAGTGATCTGCCCACCTTGGCCTCCCAAAGTGCTGGGGTTATAGGGGTGAGCCACTGTGCCTGGCCTATTTATATTTATTTTGAGACAGGGTCTTGTTCTGTTACCCAGGCTAGAGTGCAGTAGCAGGATCACAGCTCACTGCAGCCTGGAACTCCTGGGCTCAAGCGATCCTCCCATCTCAGCCTCTGGAGTTGCTGGGACTACAGGTGTATGTAACCATATCCAGCTAATTTTTTAAATTTTTTTTGTAGAGATTGGGGGGTGTCTCACTATGTTACCCAGGCTGGTCTTGAACTTCTGAACTCAAGTGATCCTCTTGCCTCAGCCTCCCAAAGTGCTGGGATTACAGGCGAGAGCCACTGCGCCTGGTGGTCTGTGATGTTAAACCACGTCAGCTCTTTTTACTATTTAGCTCTCTCCCCTATCCCCCCCCATTAGAGTGTGAGCTCCATGAAGGCAGGGAGGTTTCTTTGCATTGTAATCTGCTGCATCCTCAATGCCTACAACAGTGCCTAGCACATAATAGGTGCTTAATAAACATTCCTTGAATGCATAAGTGAATGGATGCATAACGTGCCCACTACTGTGGGGCCAAAACCAGCTGTAGACTGGGCACTGCTCTCTCCTCTGTGAAATGGAAGCTGTGGCACTGCCTACCCATCAGGGGTGTGGTGAGGTCACTGGAAAGGGTGACCTAATACGTTGCTAATGCTCAGATGGGGATTGCTGGGAGTGTTGCCTTTCTCAGTTGTCACAGGGCCACTAGGCGAGTCCCTCCATCTGGAAAGACAAATCCAGGCTTCCTGTTGCCCCTGGCCCAGACTCCATGAAGACACAAAACCTGTGAGCTTCCTTAGAGATCCCATACTCCCTCCCTGTTTGTACTCCAATTCCAGCTCTGGCCCACTGATCACTTGTTGAAATCCTGGAGTTTCAGGACCAGGCTTCATCCCCTTTATCCCAGGGTCTATCCCCCCTCCTGCCCAGCGCTGGAGAATGGACAATGAGTTGTTCAGAGCGTCCATTGAGATCACCTGATGAAAGAAAGAAAGAAAGGAAGGAAAGAAAGGACAGGAAAGGAAAAGAAAAAGAAAAAGCCAAGACGATGGATCACACAGCCAATGTCTTCCCATTTCCTGCCCAGAAGGTAGGAATCTCATGCTGAGCCTATCAGGACAAAGGAAATGCTGACGTTAAACAGGCCCCACCTGCACACACAGACAAGGTAGCGGTGGCCCTCTGGGAGGCACCTGCTTTCTCTTCAAACAGAGCAGAGAATGAGGGGGTCCTGGTGGCTAATACAGAGCCCCAGGCTCCCCCAACCCTCCTGACGGTTGAAGAGCAGTTTCTGTGCCGTTAGGTGGCACCTCTCTGGTGCCTGCAGAGATTATCTACAAAGGAGCAGGGCTGAAGGGATGGGGCCTGCCCCCTGTGCCTTTCAGCTGTTTACACCTGGCTCTGCCCCAGAGTGTAGAGGAAGGGAGTGAACTGGGGGAGACTAGTGTTGTTGGCCTGGAAAGACCTAGGCAAAACTCAATTTGAGCAGTTTAGGGGTTAAAGGCCGTCCTAGAAAAGCTAGCCTCTGCTAACAGCTAGTTAACTTTGCACCCTCCTTGGGACCCTCCCTCCCTCCAGTGTTATCCTCCCACCATCCCCACATCCTTATCTTACCCCCACCTCTCACTCCTGGCCCTGGGGGGAAGCGTCCCAGCAGCCCTGTTCAGAGGAAGCACCTCGTTGCCAGGACGTGGAGGTAGGCCAATTCCAAACCCTTCTTCCTTCAACCCTTGGCTGCTGCTGCTTTTTTTTTTTTTTTTTTTTTAGAGGCAGGGTCTTGTTCTGTCACCCAGGCTGGAGTGCAGTGGGGTGATCAAAGCTCACTGCAGCCTTGAACTCCTGGGCTCAAGCAATCCTCCTACCTCAGCCTCCTGCATAGCTAGGACTACAGGCACATGCCACCAGACTCACCTAATTTTTTTCTTGAGGTGGAGTCTCGCCGTGTCGCCCAGGCTGGCGTGCAATGGTACAATCTTGGCTCACTGCAACCTCCACCTCCCGGATTCAAGCGATTCTCCTGCCTCAGCCTCCCGAGTAGCTGGGACTACAGGCGTGTGTCACCATGCCTGGCTAATTTTTGTATTCTTAGTAGAGACAGGGTTTCACCGTGTTAGCCAGGATGGTCCTGATCTCCTAATCTCGTGATCCGCCCGCCTCAGCCTCCCAAAGTGCTGGGATTACAGGCGGGAGCCACCACGCCCGGCTACAGCTAATTTTTAAACCATGTGTAGAGACGGGGTTCTTACTATGTTGCTAAGGCTGGTCTTCAACTTCTGCCTCAAGGGATCTTTCCACCTCCGCCTCTCAAAGTGCCTGGATTACAGGTGTAAGCCACCTCGCCCAGCCCCTCGGTTCCTCTGAACACACCAACCACCCATGCCCCTGCCAGTGCTGGTGCCCCCCACCTCCCAGCCACTCCCCCTCACTGGGGCACCTTTAGCTCCTGGCTCACTGCCTGTGGTCCACCCAGCCTCATTCAAAATGACTCTAACATCCACACGGTGCCTCGTCTGCATCCTGACCTCCTCGCCTCCAGACATTACTTTCTCCACTGCACCCAGCTGTCCACTCCCACCGTCACATCCTACACCTTGTCCTCTTTTCTCACAGCACCATCCCTGAATTTTTACCCTGACCACACCTCTTATCCTTCCAGTTCTCTTTCTCTGGGGCAGGTTCCTTCTAAAGTTCTACTTTCTCTCCGGCCATCCAACCCCCCCTTCTTTCCCTCCTTTTCCACCTTGGGGTCCCTGGTCTACCATGTTGATTATTGTCTTGCAACAGCCCCAGCTCTTGTTTCTTGCTCCCCTTGTCGTCTTCAGCTGGCAGAACCTCACTGTGGCAAAGCCAACTGTGCACTTTTCCCCCGGCTGCACCAGGGAAGCCGAAGTTGCTGAGCCTATCTCATAGCCAGGCTGCCTGATGGTGCACATTAACCTGAAATGCACGCATGGCACTGCCTGGAAGCTGTTCCACTTTCTTGCCGGACACTGTCAGAGCTGATCGAATGTAAGAGGTGAAAGAGAGAAGGGATGCAGAAATTAGAAATTTCTGGCTGGGGCAATAGAGTTCTAGTAGTACCATTTTCTGAAATGATGGGGAGAAAGCGGTTTGGAAGAGAAATAATGGCTTCCGCAGTTGGTTCCACAGTTTTACCTCCTACATAGACCCTAAGCTAATGCCAGTCTTTCTGCATCCTCTAACTCTAGCTTGGCCCCATGATCTTGTTAAAATGTCAACCAGAATGCATCCCTCACCTTTGTAGAGGCTTTCTGTGGATTTGCATCTCACTGCAGAATTAATCCAGATGTCTACAAGCCTTTCCCAGTCTGGCTGCTGGCTCCTACCTCAAACCTTCCACTTCCCACTTCACCCCCATCAAACATTCCCATTCTCCGTAGACACCGACCACCTTCCTCTCCTCCTCCAGTGCCTGAGCACTGTCCCACCCAGGACCTTTGTACCTGCCGTGTTCCCTGCCTGTCAATGATTGCACAAATAAAGGGATGTGTGGATGGATGGATCCCTTTCTCTAGGGATGCTGGTACTGGATGGAAAATCACTCTGGAAACTGCCTCATGCTGCACATGGTAGGTGTTTTGCCCTGGCACCACACCTGACACACAGTAAGTGCTAAATAAGTGCTGATAAATGAACTTGTGTCACACGAGGCGGGATTTAGGGTGTGTAGGAAGTGTACACAAAGAGCCAGGGGCAGTGGGGTCTCAGAATAGGAAGGGGGTGAGGGAGGGTGAGGGCTCCCACTGCCCGGCCCTGCCCTGCCTGCTGGGCACTCCATCCTCCGACTGTCTACTCCAACTGCATCCCATCCCCCTCACACATCCTGCTGGTTCCCTGTGCCAGGCCTCTGCTCACCAAGGACCTCCATCCTAGAATGCCTTCAGAAGGGCCAGCTTTCACGGAGCCCTCCCAAGCTAGCTCAGCAATTGCCTGATTCCTTTGCAGTTGTTGATTAAACAGCTACTGTATGTTCACCATGGTCCTGAGCATTCATAATTGGGGAAACAGCTGAGGACAAGATGGAGGGCCCTGCCCTCATGCAGCTCACATTCTAGTGGGACAGAGCAAACTCACCAGAAATCAAAACGTCAACCTCCTCCAGGAAGCCTTCCCTACCCTTGTCCCCAAATCTCTGGTCTCCCTCAGGCCCTATGCCCCTCCCCCACGACACGCACCATCCTGTACTGTGAATTTCTCTCTGTATCTGACTCCGCGTGGGAGATAAGAAGACAGGGTTCTTGCCGTTTCCATCTTATTCTGACCAGCACAAGGCCAGCACTTGGTGGTAACTGTACCTGTGGGTTGACTTCCACCGGTGGAAAAGGTGGGGCTGAGGGACGGGCATGGCCACAGCCAGGGGCTGTGTAAGTGCCTGCATATTTGGGGAGAGCAAGGAGTGCAGGGGAGCGGGGTGAAGTGAGATGCTCATTGTCTCGCCAGATCTTGGAGGGCAGCACAGGTTTCAAAGGGGTTCTATGGCAATTTTCTTGTTAAAGGAATATGGCCCAATTTATCAAACCACAAAGGGAACTGTGAACTCAGTCACACGCAAAGTCATATCAAAACAAGGTGCCCCTTTCTTCCCCCTGCACCTGCTGATTACTTATAAAAGTTTAAAATAAAGCGCCGAGTGTGGTGGCTCAAGCCTGTAATCCCAGCACTTTGGGAGGCCAAGGCGGGCGAATCACTTGAGGTCAGGAGTTCAAGACCAGCCTGGCCAATATGATGAAACCCCATCTCTACTAAAAATACAAAAATTGCTGGGTGTGGTGGTGCACACCTGTGGTCCCAACTGTTCGGGAGGCTGAGGCAGGAGAATGGCTTGAACCTGGAAACTGGAGGTTTCAGTGAGCCGAGATGGCACAACTACACTCCAGCCATGGTGACAGAACAAGACTCCATCTCAAAAAAAATAAAAGCATCCCTTTCTTATGCAGCAAGTGCCTGGCTTAGGGAACCTGTTACCCTTCTGCAATGAAGTAGAAGTTGGAGGTGCTCTTATGGGTGACCTATCCATATAGGGTGCTAAAGGGAACTGGAATGACTTGGGGACATCCCTAACCTTTGAGGCTGACGTCATGGTGATAACCACTCACCCACAACACATCTTGTGGTGCCAGTTCTCCATAAGATGGATAAGGTCCCTAAACACACGGCTGCACGTCTGATGTTCTTATGAGCACGCAAAAGGAACCAGGCCCTCCCTGCCAGGAAGCTGCAGGGAAATTAGAATCATTTGACGAGTTGTCCATTCTTTCATTTGTCTAGTAAGGAGGTACTGAAAGCCTCCTCCTAGGAGCCGAGTATGGTGCCAACAGCTACAGGAATGGCAAACCATATAAATAGCCCAAACAGGATATAATTAGCGTCGGACGTGCACATGTCATGGGTGGAATGATGCAGAAAGAGTGATGCAGCCCCCATCTGGGGCTGGCATCACATGGGACGAGGCGCTTGAGCTAGACATGGAAGGATGAGCAGTGTGATCGCCAGGTGGAAAGGCATTACAGAGGAACGGCATGTGCAAACACCTGGGGGTGCAAGGAGGTGTGTGTGAAACAGCAGGGCTGGTTCAGGGAGCAGCAGGCAGCTATCCCACTCACGCAGTGTGTTTAGTGCTGGGCCTCTTCATCCCCCGACTTAGCAAGTCCATCATTCTCTAAGGTGATTTATAGGTAAGGAAGCTGATGCTCAGAGAGTCTGGGTAACTTGCTTAGAGTGCCACAGCCAGTGGCACAGCTCAGATTCAAAGTCAAGTTTGTCAACTTCACAAATCTGTGTTCTTTTTTTTTAAGCTCCCCTTTCCCAAATCTGTGCTCTCAACTACCATGCGGAACTGTCTTTATAATATGATGCAGGACCTCTAAGCCAGGCATGGCAATTTGGACTTGATCCAAGGCAAAGTTCCTCCAAATACCTGCTATTTGCACTGTACCTTCAAGTTAAAGCTGTCAGAGCCTAGAACTTTCATTTTCTTTCTTTCTTTTTTTTTGTTTTGAGACGGAGTTTCATTCTTGTTGCTCCGGGCTGGAGTGCAGTGACGCAATCTCGGCTCACTGCAACCTCCGCCTTGCTGTTTCAAGCGATTCTCCTGCCTCAACCTCTCAAGTAGCTGGGATTATAGGCACCTGCCACCACGCCTGGCTATTTTTTTTGTATTTTTAATAGAGACAGGGTTTCTCCATGTTGGGCAGCCTGGTCTTGAACTCCTGACCTCGGATGATCCGCCTGCCTTGGCCTTCCAGAGTGCTGAGATTACAGGCGTGAGCCACCACGCCCGGCATCATTTTCTTAATGTTTGTCTTTAAATGTTTCACGTTAAAAAACAAAAAGCAAACAAACAAAAACCCAAAATTTAAGTAATTTTGGTTGATCACGGTGGCTTACCACCGTGGCAAACCCAGAAATTTGGGAGGCCGAGGCGGGAGGATCACTTGAGGCCAGGAGTTCAAGACCAGCCTGGGCAACAAAGTGAGACTCCTGTCTCTACACAGAATCAAATAATTTGCCGGGTGTGGTGATGTGCACCTCTGGTCCCAGCTACATAGGAGGCTGAGCCAGGAGGATCACCTGAGCTCAGGAGGTCGAGGATCGCCTGAACTCAGGAGGTCAAGGCTGCAGTGAGCTGTGATAGCACCACTGCACTCCAGCCTGGGCCACAGAGAAAGACTCTGTCTCAAAAAAAAATTTAAATAATTTTTTATTGATGCATAATGTACATATGAAAGAGTACACAAATCAATCACTTTTCATTTGTGTAAGAACACAATAATTTTTCACCCAGGTCCAAAACAGAATATTATGAGTCTTCAGCAGCCCCCTCCAATGAACAACTCCACAGGGTAACCACTCTCCAAGCTTTAACAGCATAGATTAATTTTGCCTGCTTTTGAGTTTTATATAAATGGAACCATAACAACTGCTCTTTTTTGTGCCTGGCTTCTTTTGCTCAGCATTTGTGTGGCTTAATTCATTTTCACTTGATACAGAATTCTATTATGTGAATATACCACGTTACCCATTCTACTGATGAACATACAGGTTATTTTTCATTTTTGGCTGTGATGAATAAAGCTGCTATGAACATGCTTGTGCATGACTTTGGTAAATGCCATGTACTCATTTCTGCTGGAATTATACCTAGGCATTGAATTCCTGGGTCATAGGGTAGTGTAGATATGTTTAGCTTCAGCAGATATGGCCAGTTTCCAACGTAGTTGTTACAGTTTATATCTTCACTGGAAGTAAATCAGACTTCCAATTGTTCCACACCCCTGCCAACATTCGATACTGTCTTTTTCGCTTTAGCCCTGTGGGTGTATAGTGATATCATGCTGTGGTTTTGCATATCTCTGAGACTAATGAAATTGATCACTTTTCATGTTTATTGGCCACTCACATATCCTCTTTTGTTAAGTTTTAAGGCCTTTGCCCATTTTTATTTCTATTGATTTTTTAAATTGATAAGTAAGAGTTTTTTTTTGTTTTTTTTTTTTGAGACAGGGTTTCACTCTGTCACCCAGGCTGGAGTACAGTGGTGCAATCTTGGCTCACTGCAACCTTCGCCTCCTGGGCTCAAGTGATTCTCATGCCTCAGCTTCCTGAGTAGCTGGAATTACAGGCGTACACCACCATGCCCAGCTAATTTTTGCATTTTTAGTAGAGACAGGTTTTGCCATGTTGGCCAGCCTAGTCTCGAACTCCTGGCCTCAAGTGATCCATCAGCCTCAGCCTCCCAAAGTGCTGAGCCACCGCACCCCGCCAAGAGTTCTTGATATATTTGGGATGTTATTTCTTTGATAGATATGCAATTTGCAATATTGTCTCCCAAATAAATTTATTTTATGGAACATTACTACCATAACTAAAGACCCAATATCACATGTCACATATAGTAGGTAACTGTAAAATAAATAAAATTAAGACCATGTTATCTTTCCATTCTAGCTTGATATCTTGCTGCTGGTGGCTGTGGCTGGGATCCTGATCCCTGCAAAAACGAGAGATTAGCAAGAGAAAAACAGATGTGAAGGATAACAGGGAGACTCTCCTTGGTGTACTCAAAAGGCTGGACAGAGTTAGAGAAGAAACAAGTTCCTCATTTTGCAACTACTAAAGATCACTGCAGTGCACCTTTGGTACATGGTATGGGGGTCCTTGAACCTCCTAGAATCATGCCATATGCCACTCACTTTGTGAGTCCTCCACTTAGGGAAACACAACTGTATGGGATGTGGATGCAATGAGGTTGGTAAGCAGGGGTTGACATAATAAGAGTGGTGTTTTAGAGAAATCAAGTGGCAATGAGCACAGAAGCAAAGGCGGAGGAGGGGAGCCTGAGGGAGGAGCAGTTGAGGAGATCCAGGTGGCAAACGGGGAGGGTCTAAGCCAGGAGTGAGCCAGGGGCTGGGGTGGCGTGGGGTGGGAAAGATTGGAGGTAGAATCTGGGAAAGCAGTGACTGGTTGATGGGTTGATGTGTTAAGTGACACTGGGATTTCTTTTTTTTTTTTTTTTTTTGAGTTGGAGTCTCACTCTGTCACCCAGGCTGGAGTGCAGTGGCACGATCTCCGCTCACTGCAAGCTCCACCTCCCAGGTTCACACCATTCTCCTGCCTCAACCTCCTGAGTAGCTGGGACTACAGGTGCCCGCCACCACTCCCGGCTAATTTTTTGTATTTTTAGTAGAGACGGGGTTTCATCGTGTTAGCCAGGATGGTCTCGATCTCCTGACCTCATGATCCACCTGCCTCGGCCTCCCAAAGTGCTGGGATTACAGGCGTGAGCCACCGTGCCCAGCCAACACTGGGATTTCTAAACTGGGGGACTGGGAGGAGAGAGGTAGCAAAGACAGGAGAAGGAAATTATGGGGAGAGAGGAGATGACAAAATCAATCTGGGATACATTGAATTGGAAGTGTTTACATGACCTCAGAGGGAGATTCATTCATTCATTCATTCATTCGTTCATTCATTCATTCATATTTACCGAACATGTGCTGGCACCAGGCATGCAGCTGTCCATCAGACAGACAAAATTCCTGCTGTAATGGAGCTTAACGTTTGTGGGAAAGACAGATGGGGGAAGGACAGATAAAGACAAGCAAATAAAGAGGAAGTGGTGGGAGGTATGCCTGGGGCTCAGGGCTCCAGGCTGTGGAATGGATTTGGGGCCTGGCAGCAGAAGGGCAGCAGTTACAGCTGGCTGGATGGGTGAGCTTGCCTAGGGAGGGGGCAGAGTGAGCTGAGCAGAGGAGAGGGCGGCCTGCCAGCATTTACAGGCCACAGGGGAACGAGTGCCCACAAGGAAAACCACCAAGGAGCAATCAGAGGGGCAACCAGTCACAGGAGGAGGCTTCAAAGATATGACAACTGGCACATTCATGCATTTATTCAATCTAACTTCACTTGACCCCTTCTGTGTGCCAAGCTCTGGGTGATCAGAAATGAATGAGAAGCCTCTGGAGGTGACAGGTGTGTTGTGTGCCAGTGACGAGACCAGGCCACATGAAGGAGATTCTATTACGAAGTCCACATGCCCATGCATTGTGGGGGCACAGATGATGGGGGCTCACATTTTTTAAGCCTGATATATGCAAGGCCCTGGGGAAGGCTTCGTGGTGGTGGGGCAGGAGGCAGAGAATGGGGGCGAGGGCGTGGCGGCGAGACCCACATGGCTTGCACGGACAGCAGAGGCATCCCGGGAGGCTGGGCATTGGCGTGAGAGCGGAGAGAGTCAGCCAGAGGACAAGGAGCCGAGGACGGGGCAAAGATCGCACAGGGAGAGTGAGCTGAGCTCTGAAGGGCATGGAGGACCCGTGCGGGTTTTGAGGAGAGTACCTGCTGCTCAGGAATGTTCCACCAAGCAGACAGGAGTCAGAGGCGGCTGAATGCCAAGGCCCCTGGGATACTGGGGACAGAGCACCTCTTCCTGGCTCCTCAGCACTTAGCAGGTGCCAGAGCTCAGTAAGCGCCCACTCTGCGCCCTGCACAAGTGCGGGATCCACGCAGCCCACAGCATGCTGGGTAAGGCACTGAGTGGGGGGCGGTGGGGCATCTGGAAAGGCATCTTGCAGGGAGGCAAGAGCCAGGTATAGAGCGTGGGAGCAAAGAGGGGCTAGCACACGCTCCAGGGTCTGGGGAGACTTCTCTTGGGAGAATCCTTGGTTGCTGAGGATGGGAAGGATGGGTGAGGCAGAGGTGCCAATGCCCGGCCCGGTGGCCTGAGCCCAGATCCGCCCTCTGATGGGGAACCCCAGGCCCACAGGGACCTCCCTCTGCCTGACCCCAGACCTCCTCTTCCTGGTCCAAGCCTCACCTCACCTTCTCCTCGACTACATGTCATCAGCCTCATCCCCCAGCCTCGAAGCTCAGGATTGGCCGGAAACATGGGGGCTGGGGTCAAGAGAGGGCGAAGACTTCAGGATTCTCTTGGCCCCATGCATAGCAGCCCAAAACTCCCTCTAACACTCCCTGCTGTTCCCGCCTCGGAATCGCCCCTTGGGCAAAAGGCCTCTGGCGCCCCCTACTGGCAGTTCAGCTTCAAGACTCCCAAGCCCTCACGCTTCAACCCTGTCTGAAGTGAGGTCCAGCCTGAACACTTCTAGGGCCAATTCCAGGCTGCAGAGAGGTGGTGTGGGGCCTGGGCCAGGACGGAAGTCTTGTGATATTTCCTTGAACACCAGCAGCTTCCTAATTGGTCCCCTCCCTCCCTCCTTCAGCCACAGCTGGGAAAATCTCTTTAAAAGCATATTTGTAGGATACCACTCAGGAGTAACAAGTAATGAACTATTGATACCCAACAATGACTTGAATGGATCCTAAGGGCATTATGCAGAGTGCAAAAAGCCAGCCTTGCAAGGTTGCATACTGTATATTTCCATCCATTAACATTCTCAAAAGAAGCAAATTATAGAGATGGATAAAGACAAGGTTGCCAGGGATTAGGGAAGGAGCGGGAGGATGTCAGTGGAAAGGGAAGCATAAGAAGTTTCTTTTGAGATGATGGAACATTCTGTATCTTGGTTGCTGCAGTGCTGGCTATACATGAATCTATGCATGTGATAAAATGTCATGGAATTATACACAAAGACAAACAAAAATGAGTGCATGCAAAGAATGGTGAAATCAAGCAAGGTCTATAGTTAGTTACATCGCTTTCCTGGTTTTGATAAGGCACAATGGTTACGTAAGACGGCACCACCAGGGGAAGCCAGGTGCTGGCTGCACCAGGCCTGTCTGTACTATTTATGTAACTTCTTGTAAGTCAATAATTCTTTCAAAATAAAAAGTTTATAAAAACGGAAAAGCATCTCTGGCCATATTGTCCACCTGGTCATCACCTAGTGGCACCCACTGGGCCATAAAGGATGAAGTCCATTCTCCCAGCAGGGCACAGAGCCCTTCATGGGCTGGCCCTTTCTTCTGGAATGACATTTGCCATCTCTCTTAATATACCAAGCCCTGCTCTGAGACTGGCAACGAAACAAGAATATCCACTCTTGGAGGACACAGGGGGCTGTACCTCACTCACAGCTCCAGTTCTACCCGGCAGGGCCTCTCTTGTTGATACCAGTGGGTCCCCTCCTGTACTGGCCTGAGGAGACAGTCATCTGCTTCTGATGCTCTTGCCCAAGCCAGACAAAAGTACCTTTCCCTACAACACTGCTGGACTGAAGACTTGAAAAAGGACGGCTCCAGTGCTCTGAAAACCAAAGAGTCACTGGCTCAATGTGCTCTACTGTCCACCAGGCGATCTGGCTGCACCCCAGGGGCTCCTCTACAGCCCTTCCACGTCTTGTCCCACCGCAGAGGCTGTCTCACCCCAGGACCCAGGACTATCCTTGGGCCTGAGGAACAAAGACTATCAAGACTTTGCAAATGTTCCAGGTGCAAATGTTCCACCACCAGGTGCTGGGCCGTGCGTGTTGCACATGTCATTTTATAATGGTGAGAAGTTTCTGAGGTAGGCGTGAATTCCTAACTTTACAGATGAGCACACTGAAGTGAACCACTTGCCCAAGATCACTTTATAGGAAATGGCAGAGCTAGGGATTGAACTCCAGCTGTCTTCCTTTTCGTGTATCAGCTCATTAATGGGTATCTTTTAAACACCTTTTTTTTTTTTTTTTTGACGGAGTCTTGCTCTGCCGCCCAGGCTGGAGTGCAGTGGTGCGATTTTGGCTCTCTGCAAGCTCCGCCTCCTGGGTTCACGCCATTCTCCTGCCTCAGCCTCCCGAGTAGCTAGAACTACAGGCGCCTGCCACCATGCCCAGCTAATTTTTTGTATTTTTATAGAGACAGGGTTTCACCGTGTTAGCCAGGATGGTCTCGATGTCCTGACCTCGTGATCCGCCTGCCTCGGCCTCCCAAAGTGCTGGGATTACAGGCATGAGCCACCGCACGTGGCCTCTTAAACACCTTTTATGTGCCAGGCACTGTGCATACGATGGTGAGCAACGACAGAGTCCCCACCATTCTGGGCTTATAGTATCATGGCAGGGAAGTCCAGACAGCAATAAATAATCATGATATATGAGGGTAAAATGACAAATTTAGATAAGAGAAGCATATGGGTCTTTGATGATGTGTAGCAAACAACGCTGACCTAGCTGGGCATTGGAAGGAGCTGCCCAAGGAAGTTACCTGAGCACAGTGCTAAAAGATGACTAAGTAAAGGGAGAAGAGAACTACAAAGAGAACACAGCACATGCAAAGGTCCTGGGGCAGAGGGAGTGTGAAACATTTGTGAAATCGATGGGAGGCCAGTGTAGCTGCAGTCCAGAAACCAAAGAGCATGTAAGGCACAGGACCGAGCAAGTGTTCACTGCAGCCAGACTGTGTTCTCAGAGCCTTGTGAGTATTGTCTCATGGCATCTTCACAACCACCTGCTGCTATTGCATCCCCATTCTCCAGGTGAAAAAACTGGGGCACAAAGGAATGAGTCAGTTATCCAGAAGCATCTGGCAAGGGCAATGTGGAGCTCACATTTGAATCCAGGGAGCCTGACTCCAGAGCCCATGCTCTGAGCCACTGCCTCACACTGGTTCACGAGAGAAGGCAGGCCATGCTGAAGCTTGGTCTTTTCCTTAGATGAGAGGAAAGGTTTTTAGGCAGGGTGATAACTTAATCAGACATGTGTTTTGAAATGAGGCTGGATGCAGTGGGGGCAATGAGGACGCGGGATGGGGAAGGGGGCTGGGAGCTGCTGCAGGGTCCAGGCCGGAGATATTAACCCCTTAGACCAGGAAGGGGCCCTAGTGATGGAGAGGGGTGGATCAGACAGGAAGGACTAACAGATACAGATCGGGCATGGAGGCAGGAGAGACAGATGAGATGGAGGGAGCAGGCCACATTCCCAGGTTTCTGGCTCACCTGACTCGGGGGATGATGGACCCTTTGCCTGGGACAGGTAAAACCCTGGAGGAGTACAAGGTTTGGGGAAAATCACAAATCCAGTCTTGGGCTGAGGACCGTCCCAGAGCAGATGTCAGGTTGTCAGAGGACACCAGGATTGGGAGCTTAGAGAGCAGTCAGGCCAGGCACTATGGATCAGTGAGTCACTGATGCTGTGGGTGTAGCCAGTCTCATCCAGGGAGGGAGGACAGCAGAGGAGGGGTGGACCCCAAGGACTCTGCTTGTACTGGCTGTGCAGCAGAGAATGAGACACATGGCCCGAGGTGGGAGGAAAATGAGGGGAATCTGCAAGCCAAGAGAAAGGGAACATTTCCAAGAATGGGGTGGTCAGCAGAGGATAGGGTGCCACTAAAAAGGCAATTAATACACAGACCCCCAAATATCCAGCAGCTATCAATGGGAAATCATCAGTGAGTTTAGGGGAAGAAACTCAGTGGTGTGATGTGGGCGGGGGGTGGGGTTGAGAAGCGAACAAGAGAAGCGGATGGATACCGTGAGTTTAGATGACTTCTGAGAAGTTTGGCTGCAAAGGGGAGGAGGAGGAGGATGGTGGCAGCTGCAGAGAGACGTGGGGTTGTAGGGGGTTTCAGAGAGAGGCACTTCAGCGTGTTCCCGTGGCAAGGGGAAGTGGCCAGTATGATGCAGTGGATACCATGGGTGCTGCTCAGATGCCCTCTTCCAGCACTGAGCGATGATTTCCCAAAGGACAGGGAGGGTCAGCAGCCAATAGCACTCATCTGAGCCTCTCTCCAGGATGTGTCCTGGGCTGAAGAGAGCTGCTCTGCCCAAATCCATGCCCTCCCTTCTCCCACCTTACAAGGCAGCCCATATCCAGTGGCCTGGCCCCCTGGCCATAATGGGACACAAGACTGAGGCTGTCCCAGCTCCAGGGCTTCCCATGGGGTGGCTGAGGCCTTAGAAGGGGCTGTGCCCCAGCTCAGCTTCTCCCTCAGCCACTCCTGCTGGCTCCACCCCTCAGGCATTGGTCCCGAGATCACGCCCAGCAAGCCCCCTGCCAACGTCTCTGTTTCCTGGGACATTCAACCTGAGACAGCAGCTAAATAGCAAGAAGAGGGGCCAGTGATCATGGATATTTCCTGAAAAAACAGATGAGCTGTACCCTGGAGAAATGTCTGCTCTGAGGTACCGAGGAAAGGAGGCCAGTGAGGCCGTGGTGAGGGAGGGCTGAGCTTTGTGATGGGATGTTAAGTGTGTCCACCATTCCGGGAGGTGGAGGTGGGTCACCTGTTGAGAGAGGGAAGGCTGGGAGGGCCAGGGGTTGGAGGGAATGAAGACCCAAAACAATTGTTGCAGAAGGCGAGAGGGAACAGAAACCCTCAAACATAGCTGGTGGGAGATTGTGCAGCTATAGAAAACAATTTGATGGTTCCTCAAAAGGTTAAAGGTAGAGTTACCTTTTATTCCAGCAATTTAATCCAGCAAACTCCTGGAAAATAATTAATAAAACATGAGTCATAGACTGAGTGTTTGTGCCTCCCACCCCATTAATATGTTGAAGCCCTAACCCTCAATGTGATGGCATCGAGGTGGGGCCTTTGGCAGGTGATTAGGTTCATGTGAGACCATAAAGGTGAGATTAGTGTCCTTGTAATAAATGGAAGTGACTGGAGCTCGCTCTCTTTGTGCCACTTAAGGACATAGTGAGAAGGTGGCTGTCCGCAAGCTGGGAAGAGAGCCCTTATCAGAACCTGACTGTACCGGCCCCTTACTCGAACTTCCAGCCTCCAAAACTGTGAGAAATAAATCTTCTGTTGTTTTAGCCACCCAGTCTATGGTATTTTGTTATGGTAGCCCTAGCTGACCGAAATGATATGTCCACAGAAAAACTTGTACGTGAGTGTTCATGGCAGCATTATTCATATTAGCCAAAAAGTGGAAAAAACCCGGCTGGGTGCAGTGGCTCACATCTGTAATCCCAGCACTTTGGAAGGCCAAGGCAGGTGGATCACGGAGTCAGGAGTTCAAGACCAGCCTGGCCAAGATGGTGAAACCCCATCGATACTAAAAATACAAAAAAAAAAAAAAAATTAGTCGGGTGTGGTGGCGGGCGCCTGTAATCCCAGCTACTCGGGAGGCTGAGGCAGATAATTGCTTGAACCTGGTAGGTGGAGGTTGCAGTGAGCCAAGATCATGCCTCTGCACTTCAGCCTGGGAGACAGAGTGAGACTCTGTCTCAGGAAAAAAAAAAAAAAAAAAAGTGGAAACAACCCAAATGTCCATCAATTGACACATGGATAAACAAAATGTGATGTATCCATACAATGGAACGTTATTTGACAATAAAAAAGAATGAGGGCCAGGTGTGGTGGCTCACGCCTCTAATCTCAGCACTTTGAGAGGCAGAGGCCGGAGGATTGTTTGCGCTCAGCAGTCCGGGACCAGCCTGGGCAACATGGTAAGACCTTGTCTCTACAAACAATACAAAAGTTAAGTGTGGTGGTACACGCCTATAGTCCCAGCTACTTGGGAGGCTGAGATGGAAAGATTGCTTGAGCTTGGGAGGTGGAGGTTGCAGTGAACTAAGATTGCACCACTGCACTCCAGCCTGGGTGACAGAGTGAGACTCTGTCTCAAAAATAAATAAATAAATACAATAAATACAATAAAAAGGAATGAGGTAATGATGCAGGCTATGACCTGGATAAAACTTGCAAACTTCTGTGAGCCCACAGCCCAGTGGGAAGGCCTGGCCACGGAAGCACAATCATATCCAGTGAGCTAAGTGTGATGAGAGAGACACACGCATGAGATCTGAGGAGGGTGTAGGGGGCAGGTGTGAGCTGAGGCTTGGGGGAGGAGGAGGAGGAACTGGCCAGGGGAAAGGGAAGGAGGCAGGAAGACTGTTGGCCCAAAAGTATCGAGGCAAGAAGCAACCTGGAGTGTCCCGGGGCAGCGTGGGCACAGCTGGTATGCATAGGTGGGAGGGGTGGCTGCTGGGTGGAGGATTAAATGGGGAGGAGAGCACCCATTCAGAGGCTGCTGTGATCACCCAGATGAGGGAGACTGATGGAGGATGGGACATATTTAGGAGTAGAAGATTGGGACTCTGGGGACTGGGGCTGCCATGCTCAGAGACAGGGAGCAGGGGTGGTTTGAGCTTTGTTGCAGATGGGTTGCACTTTGGGTGTCTGGCAGCCATCCACATGGAAGTGTCTCCTGAGCAGGTAGATTTTGCACATGACTCGCGAGAGAGCACTCCAAGCTGGTGCTAGAGATTTGGGTGACACCAGTGCAGGCTTGGTGGCTGAGTCTGCAGGGTGGAATGGATGACGGATGGTGGAAGGGAGAGAGAAGCGGGCCAAGGGCACAATCTGGGAGTGGGGGCATCACCATGTATAGGGCAAGCAGAGCACACAGGGAGCTGAGAAGGGAGGGGTGGAGTGGTAGAGAAGACTCATGTAAGCCAGGCACAGTGACTCATACTGTAATCTCAGTGCCTTGGGAGGCTGAGGCAGGAGGATCACTGGAGGCCAGGAGTTTGAGACCAGCCTGAGTAACACAGTGAGATCCCATCTCTACAAAAAGTCAGGCATGGTGGTGTGTGCCTGTGGTTCCAGCTGCTTGAGAGGCTGAGGCAAGAGGATGGTTTGAGCCTGGGAGGTTGGGGCTGCAGTGAGCTATGATCGCACCACTGCACTCCAGCCTGGGCAACAGAGTGAGACCTTGTCTCAAACAAAAAAAAAAAAAAAAGAAAGAAAAAGAAAAAGGAAACCCCATGTTGCTGCAGGCAAAGGAACAGACAGTCCATGTCTCAAGAAGGACAACAGACAGTCCATGTGTTTACTTGCACAGGATTGGGCACGTCCCCAGACTTAGCAACCAAGTGGGCACCATGGCCTTTCTGAGAGTAGCTTCAGGGGCAGACTATAGGCTGCAGGAGGACTTAAGGGCATCTGCTGAGAGGCAGTGGGCTTGGGGAGAGATCCCCGTGGCAGCCCTTATCAGCTGTGCCACTGTCGCTCCTTTTTATAGCTCTCCCCATCCAGACGGAGCTTCAAGAGGGAAGACACCACTTCTACATTCTTTGTGTTTCAGAACAATCCAATTCATTCCAAACCTATTCGATGCACACCTACAGTGCTCACCATGCATGTGCTCAGGGCTGGGGACGTATGACTGAGCCTCGGACTTCTGGTGAGGGGCACGGTAGGTCCCTAGACTGTGCAAATGAAGCTCTGGGCCAGGTTCTGCCACCAACCTGCCATGTGGCTGCAGGTGATTTATGATGTTCTCTCTAGAGGTTTCCTCATTGGTGGTAGGTGATTTCTGAAGCTCCCCTTCATGACAAAAATGTGATAATTCTAGGACCTCTCTGCCTGCTGCTGTATTATTTGCCCACTGAGGCCTTGGCAGGGTCAGAAGCCTGGGGTGGTGAAGGAGATGGTGAGCGGACACCTTTCCAAGATCTCCCTGCCTTTCAGCTCCTTGTCTTGGGGACCCAATGTCCTTGGCCTTAAGGCCCCACATGCTCTGTCCCTTACAGCTCTCCAGCCTCACCTCATACCCATGCTCCCTGGTTTTCTGGGCTCCAGTTACAATGGTCTTCTCTCAGATTTTGTTCTCCCCACAAGCTTTCCTGCCCCAGAGCCTTTACACATGCCACTCCCACTGACTAGCACCCTTCCCTTAACCCCTCTGCTCGACTCCTCTTCATTCTTTACTGCTTCTCTCAAATGTGGCTTCTGCAGAAGCATCTCAGGTCCCTGGGCAACATTCACACCCCATGACACACCTTCCGAGCACTCTACACTTCTGCTAGCTCTTGTACAAATGTGATAACCAAGTAATTATCTGCTTACTGTCTATCTAGTTTCACCCTTGGACTCAAATGAGAGGGGTCCCTGCCATGGGTCCTCTTGCAGGAGAAGGCTCCTGTGTCTGTGGCTCTCCCCACAGGGTGAGGAATCTGGGGAGCCCTCTTGAAGCCTGGACCTGCCCTTTAGAACATGCTTCTGATACATGGGGCCCCAGCATGCCCCGCCCAAATAGCTCCAAGCCCATTCCCTCAAGGGTGGACTACGTCACCAGTGGGGTAGCCAAGCGGCAGCTGGCTGCAGGGGGTATGGGCAGTTGGCACACATGGACTACGATGTCCACATATGTGCCCGTGAGCCTCTGCTTGGGGGAGGAGGGCTCTGTGGGAGGGAAGATGAGAGGGAAGGCTGAGCCCAGGGCCTGCCCTTCTCCGGCCACCACATTTGGGCATGGAACTTGGAAAAGTCAAAGAAGTTTAAATTAGAACCTGGCCTTCCAGGTCATTATCAAGACACATTTGTCAAAGTAGGAGAATAGAACATATTTTATTTAACAGTTGTTAGCTTGATTGATAACTTTTAAATATTTAGACATATGGTATGAGGCCCCTGTGTGTACTCTTGCCCTGGCCCTGTTGGCAATGGGGTGGGCTTGGGTCAGCCTCACCCATCAGACCACAAGCTCCACCAGGGCAGGCAGCCCATGCAGTGCCCCTGCCCAGAGCACAGCACCTGGCACAGAGGAGCAGACAATAAATACCGGCTGTGAGAAACAAATGGGATAATCCAAGCCGAATGCTTGGCATGGTGCAAATGTCCAATAAATATCAGCTGTCATTGTCTGTTGAATAAATGAACAGGTGGGTTGGTGGGGCTGGGGGCCAAGAGCCACAAGCTGAGGTGGCTTGTGTCTGAGGAGGGAAGGGACCCGCTGTTCCCTGGGGTTCACGCTTCCTTTCTTGAGGTTGTGTCCTCCTTCCCCACACCCTGCAGGCCTGCCCAGCTCTTCGTGGCAAAGCGGGCCCCAGATGGGTGTACTTGTGTGTCAGAGTGCCAAGAGGGGCTGGGAGCTCCTGCTAGGGCTATGTCCCCCTCCCCTAGGACAGAACAGCTGGGACAGTTTCCCTCTTTGCCTTCAGGGGCCTCCCCAGGTCCAGACAGAACACACCCAGCTTAGTTCCTTTCTTTTCACATAGGCCCAAAGGTTGGATGGGTGGTAGCTGAAAGAACTGATTTTCCCCCTACCCAGGCTGTACTCTGGTGTGGGAGGAGCCTTTTCTGGGGAATGAGGTCACTCACTGGACCTTGAGCAAGTCACACTGCTGCTGCAGGCCTCAGCGTCCTTGTCTGTAAAATGGGATGGTGTGTGGAACTGGTGCATGCCGAGCGGCAGATGCAAGGTGTGCACTTGGTGAATGGGAAGAAGCCTTGCACAGAACACCAGTGGGTCAAGGACAGCAGAGGCCCGGGACCCCCAACAGGAAAGCAGATGAAACTGGCCCACAGCCAGCCTGTGAGAGGCTCAGGCAGGAGGTCATCCCTGAGGCCTGAGGAGGATAGCTTCAGCAGCCCACACTGAAGGCTGGGTCAGTCCTGTTTCCACAGTGGGGAAGTGATCAGAGCTGCCTCATGACTGGCACAGTGCCAGCACAGGGCCAGGGCCCACAGGGTCTCTGTGAAGGCCTCCACGAGGTGAGGGCCAGAAGCAGCCAGGAAGCCCTCCATCAAACTCCTCCTCCCAGCACCTACCATTCCAGAAAACAAACTCTCACCCCCACACACGCTATCGCACACGCACAGTAGGCGCGATGCAACAGAGAAAAAACCGAATTAACCCCCAAACAGGACGTGACGGGAAGGGAAGGGGGGATGGGGAGTTGGGAAGAAGGAATCACATTTTGCAAACTGCCCACTAGGGGTCACCGTACCCTCAGAACCGAGGGTGCAGAAGTCACACCGGCCTGCGGCTATGCGCTGGCGGAGGGTCCCAGAGAGAAGAAGGCCCGGCTGCGTGGCCTCCGCCGCCCAGCTTGTGTGGCAGGACCGCGGCCGCCGCCCCAGTCACAGGCCAGCAGTCAGTGCGGCGGGAAGATGTCCGCGCACTGCTGCAGGATGAGCTCCACCACCTGGTTCTGGAACACCATGGTCATGGGCATGCTGGTCTCTTCCACCTCGGGCCGCAGCAGCGTGGGCCCGAACACAATGGCCACGCTCTGCACCGACATGCGGTTCTGCTCGCCGTGCTCGATCACCCTGTGGCAGGGGTGGGTGGGTTCAGGGCTCCGAACTGCGAACTGCGGGGAGGCGCTGGGGGCTTCAGCCGGGACCTGCCTCCCCCTTCCCGCGCGGGCCGCCCGGCTCACCGGCAGAGGTGCTGGAAGAGCATCCGCAGAGTGTCGTGGTTGGGAGCGGGCAGCGAGCGCACCAAGTCACGCACACAGCGGCTGCGCCGGGCCTGGTCCTGCAACTCTGGGTGAGGGAAGGTTTAGAGGGAGGGAGTCGGAACGGGAGGTAGGGGGTATCGGCTGGGCGAGGGGAGCCTGCTAAAGGGGTGCCCCGCCACGCCCCTACCCCATCCGCCCCACCTGCCCCAGGTGCTCACTGATGGCCGCAATGAACTGGCGGAAGTGCGAGAAGGGGAAGAGGGGCTCGGGCAGCTCCCGAAAGAAGAGCTTCAGGGCTCCGGTGATAACGTGGACGTCCTCCCAGCGCCCGTCATCCAGGTCAAGGCGCTCATCTGTGGCGGAGGAAGGGAGGAGGACGGAAGGGAAATCAGTACCCCTTGCGCCTTCAGGCCCTGGGGCAGGGGTTGGGGACGGGCCTCACCGTGGTCCACCTTATAGCGTAGCTTCTGGATGGTGGCCAGGTTTCCACTGATGCGGTACAGCCCGTCGATGTCCAGCCCTGGGCCAGAGGGAGGCGCTGATCCCGGGTTCAGGGATGGGGATAGGGTGGGGCTACGGGTCCCTGCTATGACTCCCACTCGGGGCCTCCCGTACTTTCCCCCTGGACCCTGCGTCCATCCAGGGGTCTCCAGCCTGCGGTCCTGGCAGGAGGCCTGCGGGCACCCCAATGCCTGCCGCCCTCACCCCCGCAGCGCACGTACCGCGGGCCTCGACGGCGCGGATGCACTGCTGCACGAAGCGTGGCACCCGGCTCCTCTCGCGCTCACACAGCGCGGCCAGCGCGCAGCCGAACACCTGGTCTAGGGCAGAGGCTCATCAGCTCCTGCCCAGCCTGCGCCCCGTCCCGGTCCCGGGTCCCCGCCCCCCGCAGGCCTCGGGTACCTTTGATGTAGCCCTTCTCCCGCAGCGACTGCAGTGTGGGCCGCCTCTGGAGGAACTTGCGGAGCTTGTGCCGGACCTTGCTCAAGTCGCTCTCCAGGCCCACGGGGCCCAGGGCGGGCGCGGCTGCCGCGGGGAAAGGCAGGACTGAGTCAGGAGGCAGCGCCAGGGCAGGCCAGGCAGGCCCCAGCAACCGTCACTCCCCAGGAGAGGCCTCCTGGAGCCCCCACCCCATCCTGCCTTGCGCACACCTGCATTCGGTCGCGCGTCCTCCTCTTTCTCCTGCCAGCTTCCCAAGCGCTCGCTCGACCCGAAGTCCACTCTGCTGCTCTCGCTCTCCTCTGGGGGCAGCTCTGCGGACTGGATTCCCATAGCCTCAGAGAGGCGGGGCCTTGAGCCAGCTGCGGGTCCTTCCAGGATGGGGCAAGGGACCCGAAATGCACTCCCAACAGGCATGGCCTGGAGACCCTCAGCGAAGAGTCCTCTCTTCCCTTAACCAGGTTAACTCTCCTTACCTCCACCAGTGAGCCTGAGAACATTCACCTCCCTTAGCTGCATGGAGCCCTTAAGGTGCAGAGACAGTCATCCTGTTCTCCCACACCCCTTCCTATCCTGGGGACTCCTACCCACCTGGTGCCTTCTTTCTCTATTTTCCTCAGCTCCTCTAACTGGGTCAGCATTCCTCAATACGTGGCTCCCAGTTCTGAGCCTGCACCTCCAGCTGTGGCCGGAGCACTGCCAACAACTGCACCAATATCACCTCTCTGGCTCTGGATTCCTACCTCTATTAATACAGCCAAAAGCTTCACTCAATGTTGGCTCATAGGGAATTAAGGGTCAAAAAGCCCCAGGTCATTTCCAGGTCAGTAGTTGTCAGAGGGCCCCTGTCCTAGCTCTACTTATGCAATTGGTGTTTTCAGCCTTAAAAAAATGGTCGACTATTGAAATCAATCCTTTAAAATTTTATCTGCTAGTTTCAGCCTGCCATTGGTTGGCTTGCAGAGTATTTATTTGGCCTTCTGCCTCCCGTGAAATGGGAACTTCCTTTAGAATGTGCCCTACCCTCACCTGGAGAGTCTTCCTGCAGGGCCAACCCCAGGGCTGGATTCACAGACTTACAGAAGGCAGTTTCTTCAGCCGCCTACCCTGCCATCCTAGCCATTAGTGGGGACTGCATTTGCATTACCCACTGGTACCTTAGAGCTCCCTGAGCCTGAGCAGAGGGCCCCACTCATAATGGCCACCCCCTCCCCACTGCCCCTAGAGGCCCTGGGCTCTGCTTACCAGCTCCTGGATGCCCTGAGCAATGGCCTTATGCCAGGTGCTGATGATGGCCTCCGAGTCGTGCTGGATCAGGTACTCAGAGCCATCTCGGCTCCGTAGCTGGAGGGACACAAGTCAGTGGGTCATCTCTGGTACCCTGGGTCTGCCCTGGGGGTTGGCCCTAGTTGGGGGTAGGTACAGAGATAGAGGTGACCTGTCCCTGCCCCCAGGCACTCAGAGCTTAATGGAGCAAGGGCCTCACCCCAGGCTAAGTCTTGGATCTCTGCCTCACGTAAAGCAGTGGCTGACAGCATCTCTGTGTTACAGATGAGCAAACTGAGGCTCAGCAAGTTTTAGCTGCTTCCTCATGGGCACACAGCTAGTGAGTGATGAGCACAGAGCTGCATGGCTCAATTGTCTGGTACACTTTCCCTCCCCCATCCTGCCTCCCTGCAAGCCACAGAACATGGCAGGCCTCATGCAGAGCACTGGCCTGCAAACTAAGTGAAAGAAACTTCCTATGTGAGGCCAGGCACGATGGCTCATACCTGTAATCCCAGCACTTTGGGAGGCCGAGGCGGGCAGATCATGAGGTCAGGAGTTTGAGACCAGCCTGGCCAACATGGTGAAACCCCGTCTCTACTAAAAATACAAAAATTAGCCAGGCATGGTGGCGGGCTCCTGTAATCCCAGCTACTTGGGAAGCTGAGGCAGAAGAACTGCTTGAACCCGGGAAGCGGAGGTTACCGTGAGCCGAGATCATGCCACTGCACTTCACCCTGGGCGACAGAGCAAGACTCCGTCTCAAAAAAAAAAAAACAAAACAAAACCCAGAAACTTCCTATGTTGAGACCCCTGTCTACTAGAAGCAACAGTGAATATAGGGAGAGAGGATTTGAAAGCTGATCATGGCTGATCCCAGGGAAAGAAAGGTCTCCCCTTGCCCCTCCCCATACACACACTGAGGACTCAGAAACGTTGTCCCACCTTCTGCAGCCAGGAGTCCCCACCACCTCCCACACTCCAGCCTGGGCAACACATCTTCTGTTAGCCCGCTTCATCATGAAGCATAAATTAAACAGAACACCAGAGGGAAACTTGCCACCATAGGACTGACGCTCAAAGCCCTTTCTGAGTTGGATGGCAGCTTAGTTGGATTCCTTATCAGCCTCTGGCTCTGAGGACCCAGTGTTCCAGGTTAATGTGAATGTTTGGCGGCAACAGCTCACACCAACCCTGCCCTTTTGGTTCAGCGAGAGTCAGAGACAACAGAAACTGTCTCAGACCCCAGGACACAACTTCTAGAATTGGATTGGACTATCTTTGCTGTCCTTTTAAACTTATACTTGAAGACTATTTAAACTGCTTTTTAAAATGAAATGAGGCTGGGCGCAGTGGCTCATGCCTGTAATCCCAGCACTTTGGGAGGCTGAGGCGGGTGGATCATGAGGTCAGGAGATGGAGACCATTCTGGCTAACACAGTGAAACCCTGCCACTACTAAAAATGCAAAAAATTAGCTGGGCCTGGTGGCACGCACCTGTAGTCCCAGCTACTCGGGAGGCTGAGGCAGGAGAATCGCTTGAACCCGGGAGGCAGAGATTGCAGTGAGCCGAGATCGCACCACTGCACTCCAGCCAGGGCAACAGAGCAACACTCTGTCTCAAAGAAAAGAAAAGAAAAGAAAAGAAAAGAAAATGGCATATCTCATCCCCTAGCCCTCCCCTGCAAAGGACAGAGAACCTTCAAGAGGCAGATAACACAGCCTCACTCTAATCAAAGCAGACAAGAGCCCTGCTCAAGATTATCCCAGAGAATGGCTTGACAACACTTCTAAAACAACAGCCATGATTTTTGGCAGCTCTCTCAAAACATAATCAGTTCATATTTGCAAGTTTCATATAGAGGGCAAAGCTGTATCATTACATAGCAATGTATTTCACAAAATATTCACCCCCAGCCAGGCACAACGGCTCATGCCCATAATCCTAGTGCTTTGGAAGGGCAAGGTGGGAGGAGTCCTTGAGACCAGGAGTTCAATCCTGGGCAATATAGTGAGACCCTATATCTAGAAAAATTTTTACAAATTAGCCAGACATGCTAGTGTGCACCTGTACTTCCAGCTACTGGGGAGGCTGAAGTGACAGCATCACTTCAGTCCAGGAGTTGGAAGCTGCAGTGAGCTACGATCAAGCCACTGCACTCCAGCCTGGGCAACACAGTAAGACCCTATCTCTAAGAACAAACAAATAAACAAAACATTTATCCTGCTGACCGCACAGGCAAATGCTAGCAGCTTTTGGCGGACTGTTGCTGAAGTTTTCTGTAACTCGGGGTGACTAGAAAGACCTGCTGTGAAAATTTCCTGGGCCCAACAAAGCCATCCATCCTCAATGATATAAAATTTGGGGCTGTCTCTTGAGGAAAACCCTGGAGCTGCCTACAGGCCGCCCTGCATGGAGGGAGGATGGCCAGCAGTCAACCAGGAGGCAGGGGCTTGTGATTTCCATTCAGGCCTGCCCACCTTCCCACTGGCCTGAGCAGCACCTGCCTTCCAGTCCTTGCCAGCAAAGACAACTCAAAAAGCCCTATTCTGAAACTTTCATCAAAAGTCCATCAGTGATGATCTTCATTGAGAACTGTTTGAAGGATATACCTATCCCTCAAAGTCAGGGGAGAAACATGACTAGCACAGGTGATGTCTCAGACCGGGCATGGTGGCTCACACCTGTAATCCCAGCACTTTGGGAGGCCAAGGCAGGTAAATCACCTGAGGCCAGTAGATTGAGACCATCCTGGCCAACATGGTAAAACCCTGTCTTTACTAAATACAAAAAAATTAGCCGGGTATGGTGGCAGGCGCCTGTAGTCCCAGCTACTCGGGACGCTGAGGCAGGAGACTCACTTGAATCCGAGAGGCAGAGGTTGCAGTGAGCCAAGATTGCACCACTGCACTTCAGCCTGGGCAACAGAGTGAGACTCTGGATAATAATCATAATCATAATCATAATCATAATCATAATAGTGATGTCTCTCCTCAATTTAACACCATAGCAGATATTGTTAGTTGATCACAGAACTCTATCCTGCCAAGCCCAGAGAAGCCTTCAGAATTCTTCTCAAGAAGGCTCCAGGCTAGGCACAGTGGCTCACACCTGTAATCTCAACCCTTTGGGAGGCCAAGGCTGGAGGATCACTTGAGGCCATGAGTTTGAGACCTGCCTGGGCAACATAGTGAGCCCCCATCTCTATAAAAACTAAAATTAGCCAGATGTGATGGAACGCGCCTGTAGTCCTAGCTACTCGGAAGCCTTAGGTGGGAAGATCGCTTGAGCCCAGGGGCTTGTGGTTTCAGTGAGCTCTGACCGTGCCACTGCACTTCAGCCTGGGCAACAGAGCAAGACCTTGTCTCTAAAAACAGAAACAAAAAATAAAAACAAAAACAAAACCCCACAAGACTCCAGACCTACTCATCAGAGTAGCTCATGAGATGAAACCAGTTTTCCAACTTTGCTTTATAGATATCCTGGCTCTAGAACTGAATGGAGCTTGGTGAATAATCAGGAAACTACACTCTCAGGTTCCTTGCAGAACTGTTTTTTCTGAGCTTAGACATGAGGTCATGCTCTTGGCCTTCATCATAATGATGCTACCTGAAGCAGTCCCGGATCCTGAATTAAACCTTCCTGGAGCTGTTTTGCAGGGTACCTGGCATGTGCTTCTAGATCCCATGTTCATGGAGCTACATACAAGAAATTTAAGAGTGAAGGGTTAGGAAAAAGCTTTGATTCCCTCAACATCTGGGTGGGTTTTATTATTTGTTCAACAACAAAGAGACATGCACCTGATAGCCCTTCTCTTTTCACCTCACCTAGCAGGAAAGTCGGAGCTAAATTTTCTTCAGTAACCACCACCTTAGCACCCATACATCATCTGCCCCCTAATTCCTCTCCATCTTGAGTCCCATCTCTTACTTGTTTTTCATGGTCCTGGCTTTTCAGTTAATTTGACAGTTCACCACGTGTGTTTCTGTTGTGATCTGCCTCAAACCTTCTAGGTACTGAGGTCAGGGTAAGAGTAGTTTAAAAACAAGACAACACATGGACAGTGAAGGGTGTGGCATTGGGAGTACCCTTTCTGGGTCTTCTCTCCCTTCCTGCGGGGGTAGCATGGTAGTCTTCTCCACTGCCCCAGTTTATTCACTGGGGATGCGGTCCAGTCGGAAATGGGGCTCTGGCTCAGGGGCAGGGAAAGGGACCTGGGGAGAAAGAGGTTTCCCAACCAGGCCTGTCACAGTAAGCAGCCAGGGACAGGGAGCCTCCTGTCTCTCTCAGGCTGGGACGAGGGCTGCCATTCTAGTCATGAGAATTTCCTCTCCCAGAGGCCCTACTCCTCACCACCCTCCAGGGCAAGGATTATTATTAACTCAGCTCCTGGAGAGGGAACTGCAGAATATGTGATGTTAGAAACAAAGGACAGGTCCCCTGGGGCGGGGGTGCAGCGTTGGCCTTGAGCCCTGAGAATGGTAGCCCCAATTCTTCCCAGGTCCTCCTTCTTGGGGCTTGCCTACAGTAAGGGTCCCACAGCACTGCCAACAACTGCACCAATATCACCTCTCTGGCTCTGGGTTCCTACCTCTATTAATACAGCCAAAAGCTGCACTCAGTGTTGGCTCATAGGGAATTAAGGGTCAAAAACCCCCAGGTCATTTCCAGGTCAATAGTTGTCAGAGAGCTGGCAGGCATCACTAAGCCCCTTCCCTCCTTCTCCCCAACCCCGCCACTCACCTCCAGCACATTCTTCCTACTGGATTTGTCTTTGGGGGCCCAGGAGAGAGTGGCCCCCCTCAGCTCCACTGTGTACTCAGGGGTGGAAAACTTGGAAGGCTGCCTCTGTGGGAGAGGGAGGAAGGTCACAGGGAGCCCTCAGTTCAGATGTGTCTGCTGTGGCACTCTGACCCTAGGAATAGGATGGGGTCACTGGCATGGCCAGGAAACAACTCTGGGGAAAAGTGCCCCAAGTGTTCCTGAACCCAGAGACCCTGATGCTTCTTAACCATGGAGCCTGCTGGCTGGCATGTCCACTGCTGCCCACCCACCCAGGGGAGGACAGGAAAGGAGTGCAGTCTGCATCCCTGCAAGCAGGTGTGCCCACCCCCAGCCTCCCTGCCCTCCAGGCTGGAGCTGGCCACCCTCAAGACTGTTCCCCATCTCCAGTGGGCTAAAACTACTTGTCTTGGAGTGAATCTGCCAGTATCACCCCCTTCCTGCCAAGGCCCAGCTCCTCTGACACTCATGGACCACTCTCTCAGACCTGGTCATCTCCAAGCCAGATTAGATAGAGCAGATGGGGGCTGGGCACAGTGGCTCACGCCTGTAATCTCAGCACTTGAGGAGGTCGAGGTGGGCGGATCACCTGAGGTCAAGAGTCCAAGACCAGTCTGGCCAACATAGTAAAACCCTATCTCTACTAAAAACACAAAAATTAGCCGCACATGGTGGCACATGCCTGTAGTCCTAGCTACTCGAGAGGCTGAGGCAGGAGCACTCAGGAGGGAGAGGTTGCAGTGAGCCGAGATTACACCACTACACTCCAGCCTGGGTGACAGAGCGAGACTCCGTCTCAAAAAAAATAAAAATAAAAATAAAAAAAAGCAGATGGGATGGTCCCTGCCCTGAGGGCCTGGCCTTACCAGGCCGCCTGCAGCCGAGGTCTTTGAGTCCTTGAAGAATGTCAGGACGCCACCCTCCAGCACAGTCCAGGAGGCACTCCAGTGCTTCTTCCTAGGTGGGGGTGGGGAAGTGGGGGTGGCAGGACTTAGATTTGGTCCTGGGCTGAGGGCCCCTCCTACCCCAGGAACAAGTCAGAGCTTAGGAACACAGGCTAGGGCACCCCATTATGAGGGCTGGAATCCCGACTCTAACACCTAGCAGCCGAGGGACCTTGAGCAAGTCACTTTATCTCACAGTGTCTCAGGGTCCACAGAGGACCACTCACGAAGTTGTTGTGAGGATTAATAAGAGCCTGGCATACAGGAAGTGCTCAGTGAACATCGTCACCAAGGCCCACCCTGCCCCGGCCTGAGTGTAGATGGGCTCTCACCGGAGCCGCTTTCCCTTGTCTGCCGTCTTGGTGCGATGGAGCACCCCTGCCTTGTCCAAGGTCTTGGTCTAAGAGAGAGAAGAGAGAGCAGGCGCAAGAGTGTGTAGTTAAGGGGTGAGCTATGGGGAGTAGAGGCTGGTCACCTGCTCAGCTGCCACTCTCTATGGTCTGGGCCCGTGTCTCCACTGAACCCTCCTCGCCAGCACCACCACCTGGCTGGGGGTAGGGGGTGATGCCTACCCTCACAGCAGCTGTGGCAGGAGAGACTTCCTCCCAGCTCCCAACCTCATCCAGCTCTGCTGGGACCTATGGGGGAAGACAGATAGATCCCACCAAGTCCCTCCTCCCAGGAACTCCAGAAGCCCCCCACTGCTTCTGTGGTGGTCCTGCCAGGACCTCAATGGCTCCTCCCCTACCTTCTCCTCTGGAGGGCTGGCCTGGGCTGGGGTGTCACCATCCTGGCTGGATTTATGGATGCTTCGAGGGGCAGGGACAGGGACCTGGGGAGAAAGACACAGTCGTATATGATCTCTTCCTCTCTCCCCAACACCCCCCTTTCCCCAGGTTGTTACCTGGGGCAGCTCCCATCGAACAGAGGAGTCCTCTGGATTGTAGAAGTATGGCTTCCCGTGGGGGTCCTCCAGCCTCACCCACTGTGGGGAGAGGAATGGTCAGGGCCTCCAGCCCAGCTTATGAGAGGGGAGGAAAAGTTTCCCTCTAACCAGGTTCCAAGACAGCACCAGGGAGTCTGGAGGGGCAGGTGCAGGTGACTGTGTTTGGCTGGTTTAGGCTCTGTGTGGGAGCTGCGGTTTAGAGCACTGAGGCGACCTATTAGTGAGGAAGGTTGTGGGGAGGACTCTGAGGCTGTCCGGGTCCATCTGCCCCCTGCCCCTACCTGCTCCTGAGTGAAGTGGTTGGTGTAGAGCATCTGCTTGTCCTGGCTGACATGACAAGACCAGCCGGGGGGTGTGGTCAAGGGAGAGGTAGGGCCGGGCTCACCGAAAGAGCCCACGGGAGAATAGTCCTCCTCGGGGTAACTGGTCAGCGACTCGGGGTAGTCCGTCTCGGGAGTGGGGGGCTGCGGGGAACAGAAGGTGGAGTCAGAGGCTCTGAGTGCCAGTACTGCCTGCTGGCCCTGCCGTTTTGGACCAGGCCCACCCCCTTGCCTTCTGGTCCCTGAGGCTGTGGGAGCAGGAGGCGGGGTCAGAAGCGCTCAGAGGTAGCTCCGCACCTCACCCTCTGGTCCCTGGGGCTGTGGGAGCAGAAGGCGTCAGAGGTAGCCCCGCCCACTCCAGCCCTGCCCCTCACCTTCTGGTCCCTGGGTCTGCAGAAACAGGAGGCGGGGTCAGAAGCGCTTAGAGGTAGCCCCACCCATCCTGCCCCACCCCTCACCCTCTGGTCCTTAGGTCTGTGGGAGCAGGAGGTGGGGTCAAAGGCGCTCAGAGGTAGCCCCGCCCACTCCAGCCCCGCCCTTCACCCTGGGGTCCCTGGGTCTGTGGGAGCAGGAGAAGGGGTCAAAGGCTCTCAGAGGTAGCCCCGCCCACCCATCACCACCCCCTCACCCGTGTGTCCCTGGGCCTCTGGGAGCAGGAGGCGGGATCAGAGGCGCTCAGAGGTAGAACCGCCCACTCTGGCCCTGCCCCTCACCCGCGGGTCCCCTGGGCTGCCAGGGCTCAGGCCCGGCTGCATCTCCAACTCCTCCTCGGGCTCGTTCTCGGCCTCGTCCTCCCAGGCCGTCTCGCCCGTCAGCGGGTTGTAGAAGAACACCCTGCGGCTCTCCTCATCCCAGTACTGGCCCCACTCGGTCTCAAGGCTCACGTGGCTGTCCACCGAGGCAGGGGAGGTGGCTGGGCTGGCGGCACCCTCGGCAGCCTCAAAGGGCGACTCCCAGGTGGTAACTCCCGTGTCTGGGTTGTAGTAGTAGGGGCGCCCGGTGCCCGCGTCCGTGTGCGTCTCCCACACCGGGCTGGGAAGGGGGGCTGCAGCGGCGCCCGGTGAAGTGGCCCGGGGCTGCCTCTCTATGTTCGCGTACACGGGCTCCGGTGGGTCGTCCACCTGCGGGAGGAGAAAGGAGGAATTTTGTGTTTTCAGAAACCTTCCAAAATGGTAACAGAGGTCCCCTCTGGGCAGTGCGATTATAGGGGTTTATTTGTTTTCGCTTTATTTTCTTTAAACTTTTCTGCAGCCTCAAAATTTTGTACAACAAAGCATTTTAAAAATCACGTAAGTTCTTCTGCTCACTGTGACACCATCACTAAGCCGTAAACTCCTTGAAAGGGGAAGTGCCTGTTAGAAGTGGCCTCTTCTTGAGCTTTAGCCCCTTGGGCGACCTTCAGGAAGTCACACTACCTCTCTGCCTCAGTTTCCTGGGTGTAAAATGTCTGCTCTGTCCATTCCGGAAACTGTAGTGAAGAGTGAATGAGGAAATGCTCTTGAAAGTACTTTGTAAAGTATTTAGTGCCCCAGACGGGTGGGTCAATTACATTAATTATATTTATCAATAATAATAAAACATCGATAACCCAGTTCTCACAACTGTGCACTCACAGAGGCAAGTCAGAGGTTGGGCAGGAACTGAGAAGTGGTCTGGGGCGTGCCCCTGTTTATGGTGCCCATTCAGGGCCCTGCTGCATTCTTTTTTTTGAGATGGGGTCTAGCTCTGTCACCCAGGCTGGAGTGCAGTGGCGCAATCTTGGCTCACTGCAACCACCACCTCCTGGATTCAAGCTGCATTCTTACAGCTCCACTGAGAGCTCCCACCCCACCCCACTCTCAGCCCAGAAAGCTCTGGGATTGGAATCAGCACCCTGTCTGGATTTGGGGACTGAACTTTCCAAGGTGAAGTTTGCAGGTGTCAGAACCAATTCCAGACAAGAGAGGGAGACAGGACAGCCAGATGGGCTGGAGAATGGAGGGGCAAAGAGAGGTGAATTGTTTTACTCCACCCCAAAGGAGAGTGAGGGCAGCTGGGGGTTCAATCACATAGAACATAAACCTAGCCATGCGTAAGCCTCCCGGAACAGAGGCTCTCCTGATTCACACCTCAGAGCTCCCTGCTGGCTGCAGGGCAAAGTCTAAGCCCTTAACCAGGCACAAGAGACCGTCCCTCACCGGCCTGTGCTTCCACTATTATTTCCTGCCACTCCTTGCCCCTTGCCTTGAACTTTAAGCTCCAGTAGCACCAGTTGCTAGAGGTCCCCACCGTCCCTGCTGTGTTTCCTCCAGGCCTAGGCTCATCTGCAGCCTGCCCAGGCCCATCTCCACCCCTTTTTTTGCCTGGCTGACTCCAATTCCTTCTTCAGGATTCAGCTGAGGTGCCAGGTTCCAGCCTTTTCCTGAGATTCCCCCCATCCCCGTGCCCCCACATTCAGCCCAGCACCCTTGGCCCCACAGAGGGACAGATGACTACATTCTCAAACCCCAGGCAGCAGCATGGCATACGGAGATTACTACTATTTTCTTTTCTTTTCTTTTTCTTTTTCTTTTTTTTCTTTTTTTTTTTTTGAGATGGAGTCTCGCTCTGTCGTCCAGACTGGAGTGGAATGGTGTGATCTCGGCTCACTGCAACCTCCGCCTCCTGGGTTCAAGCGATTCTCATGCCTCAGCCTCCCAAGTAGCTGGCATTGCAGGCACGCACCACCACGCCTGGCTAATTTTTGTATTTTAGTAGAGATGGGGTTTTGCCCTGTTGGCCAGGCTGGTCTTGAACTCCTGACCTCAGGTGATCCGCCCACCAGGGCCTCCCAAAGTGCTGGGATTACAGGTGTGAGCCACCGCACCTGGCCAATTACTACTATTTTCTAAGCATACACAATACTTCAGGGGAAAGCAGATTTCCACATTTCAATTTTGTGTTTTCGGAAACTTTCCAAAATGCTAACAGAGGTCCCTTCTGAGCACTGTGATTATAGGGGTTTGTTTTTGTTTTGTTTTCTTTGAACTTTCCTGCAGCCTCAAAATTTTGTACTACAAAACTTTTAAAAATTCACAGAAGTTCCTCTGCTGACTGTGACACCATCACTAAGCTGTAAACTCCTCGAAAGAGGAAGCACCTGTTCAGGGTGGTCTCTCCCTGAGCCTTAGGCAGATGCCAAAAAAAAAAAAAAATTCATTTTTCACCAAACTGATGCCAAAAAAGCAAACCAAACCAAAACAATGAAAAGAAGAAGGAAAAGAAGAACATTTGTTTACCCAACAAAGATTCACCTGCTCTGTGCCAGGCACTGTTTGAGGCACGGGGAATACAGCAGGGAAGAAAGGGACACAAATCCTTCCCTGGCAGAGCTGGCACTCAAGTGCACCTGTGTGTAAATGGTGGGGGTGATGAGTAAATGGACAGCATGTCAGTGCTGATCACTGCTAAGCAAGAAATGAAAACACTGTCAATGAAGAGGATGTTACAGTTTTAGACAGGGTGCCAGTCCCCAGGCGCCTGGGGGACAGGGAGAGCTGGGGATCCCAGCCCATCAGTTCTTCTCTCCTCTCCCCTTCCTCCAGGCTGCTGTGTGGCTGAGAGGGGACCCTCCACCCCACTTGTCCTTTCTCTACCCCCACCATAGCTCTGATGTGGCATCCTGTAGTCCAACCACAACAGGCCTCTCACCGGCCCCCAACAGAAAAGGCATCCTCCCACCTCGAAGCGTTTGCTCCAGCCATTCCCTCAGCCTGGAATTCCCTTCTCTGGTTCTCTGCCTACCCAAATCCTGCTCTCTCACGGTGCTCAGCTGACAAGCCTCTCCAGGGAGAGGTCAAACCTGCTGGCACTCTGCTCACTGCTCTGTTGAGGCCCAATGGCGTTCTGCCTTGGTGGGCAGCCAGTTGTCCAACCATCTGCCCACCTCCTCTGCCCCAAAAGGCAGGATTTTCTTGAGAGCAAGACTAAGGATAATGTAGCTGATTCCATTTGCCCCCCAGCAGCTGGGCCAATGCCCTGAAGCACATAGCAGGTCTGCCACAAACTGCTTGTGTACACAAGTCTAACCCATGCCCAGTTTCAGCAACAAACATGCCTGACATGACAGAAGAGCCTGGAATGAGCTTGAGCTTTCTGAGGAGGAGGGTCGGAGCCACAGAAACCAGGAGATTCCTGGGGAGGGCAGGATGGAAGCAGCGGGGAGAGGAAGGCAGAGGAACCAGACACACCTCCCATCCTCCCAGCTGAACGCACTGGGGCAGGAGTTGAAAGGCTCCACCAGGGGTGGATGAGCTGATAAGGAACAGGCTCTTTGGAGCAGGAATTTCTACTTGGCAGGCTGTGGGCCATGGCTCTGGGTCCACGAGGAGTCCCAGGCCAGTGAGGCTGATGGGGTCCTCACACGAAGGAATGTCCCCAGCAGGTACAGAGGAGATTTCGGAGGTAGAAGTTTAGGTCCCCAGCATGACAGGGCTGTCACAAGGAAGAGAAGATGGGGTATCATGCTGCAGGGGCACAGCAGCATTCCTCTGAAGGAAGCATTCTGAGGACTAGGGCTGCCAGAGACACAGGCTGCTTCTGGAGGTAGTGAGGGGCCCTCACTGGAGGTGACTGAGCAGAGTCTACTCCCTGTTAGGGAAGCCATAGCCCTGTGGTGGGTGTTGAACTGCAGTGTCCTTCAGGCCCCTTCAAACTCTGGAACTCTCGGCAGACCCTGCACAGTGCTGAGATAGAGATGCTCTCCTCTCCTGGCAGAGCCTCAGCTGGGTTCTAACCAGCTCCTGGGGCCAGGTGCAGTCACGCCCTCCACATCCTCTGGCCTTCAAGGAGTTACAGGCGCCTGCCACCCCTACCCTCCTCCTTGCTCCTGTTCATGGAGGCCCAGACAAGACCCAGATGCAGCTCATAAGCAGGGGCCTGACTACGGGATCAATGGCTCTTGGGTCGCATCCTAGAGACAAGAAGTGGCCTTCCGACCTCAGGCCAGAGGAGGAGCCAAGAGGGACCTGGCTCTCAGGCTCCAGGCTGCCCAGCCCCCTGGTACTGCCTTACAGTGGTTCACCCCTTATCTCCAGTTCCCTCCCCTGTCCACAAGCAGGTGGCAGCCCTGCCACTCTTGCCCCAAGCTGACCACCTCTTGGATGGGCAGGGCCTCCGAGAAGGAAAGAGAAAAGGAAGTATGAGCCCCAACTTCCAAGAGGCTCCCTGCTCTAAGCCCCAGCTCACCCAGCTCCTAACAGGGCTTGTGGTAGAGGCCCACCGGGCACCCCTTGACCCCAGCATCCCCTACCTGTGCCGGCAAGGCTCGACTCTGCCTCCTGGTCACTTTGGCGATTATGTCCACCATCCTGGCCCCTCTGAACTGCCGGGACAGAGCCCTGGGAAGGTTTTGGGGGTAGAGCCCAGGGGCACTACCCCAGTGCTGGCACAGGGCAACAGGGAAACAAGAAGTTGCCGAGATGGCGGGAGGCTGAGACTCCAGCCCATTTCCTGTCAGGGCTGCGGAAGTGCTGCCTGAGTTGGGGCGGGTGGGGTGGAGGGGCCTCAGGTTGAGGGTATTTTTATGCTTCTAGAAACACTGCTGGCTGCCCCACTCAGTGCTCTAATGACCAGTGAGCCGCATCCGAGGCCCAGACATAGCCATGGTGTGGGCTGCACAGAGGAAGATCACGGCCAGACCCAGCCACAGCATGAACTGCACAGAGAGAATCACGGCTGAGCCTGTGGGGGAGGGGCGCGCTTGCACAGACAGGGTGGGCAGAGGGGGCGCTGAGTGCTGGGGGCCTGGGCTGGCCTGGAGTGGCTCCTGGGGCGGAAACAGGACAATGAGTGGTTGTCCACTCCCTCTAGGCCCAGGGAGGGTGTAATGGGAAAGAGGAAGCTTGTGGGGGGGAGGGGAAGAGTTCCCAAAGAGGAAGGGGTCTGGGCAGATGTGATATCACAGGGAGCTGGCATCTGGACTGTGCCAGCCCCGAGGAGGACAGGAAGGATTCTGACCACATCACTATCTGCCCGCCTGACCACCTGGGTCTGTCTCCTCCAGACTCGGTCACCAAGATGCATATGCCCTCCCACGCCTGCATGCCCACATGTGCCCACTCTCACTTGCGTGTCCACATACGTGTACAAGTATGCCCGTGCCTGTCCCCTCCTCTCTAAGGACCCAGAGAAGAGGGCCAGGCACCAGCTTCTTCCAGGAGGAAGGTTAAATCTTCTTCCTGGCCTCTCTTCCCTTCACCCCCTCGTGTGGGGATGACAGACCCCAGCCACGCACAGTGGACACATGCCCTGAGTAAGAAGTTACAGCCCCTCCTCTGAGCCCATGGGTCCATCTTGTCTTCCCTCCTCCCTTAGAAGTGCTTCCTCCCCAGGCTTAAGGGCCAGGCAGCACTAAGCCCACCAGCCCACCCCTGCTGAAGTCCACCTCCTTTCCTGGTCAGGCTCTGACCCCCACCCTTCCACTCTAGGCCCATTCTTCCTCCTCTGGCCCCCACCCTGGATCTCTTTTTCTCCCCTGCCATGTCTCTCAGCCCCTCTTCTCCTGTACCCACTGTGGGCTGGGGACAAGGACCCCAAGCAGAGCCAGGCACAGTGTGAATGTGGGGCACGAGACACTTGTAGAGATCACACTAGGAGCAAGACTGGGCCCCATGCCCTGCTCTGCCCACAAAAGCTCTCATACCAGTGTCCCATCCCCTGTACCCGACTCAGAAGCCCAGACCCCAGGGGTAGACTAATCCCCTCCTCGCTATCAGGGTGGAGGACAGCAGGAATCACAGAAGGCTGGAGGCCTCATGCTTATCACACACCTGACCCATCTCTCTGTCCCCACCCTGAGGCCAGGGATGAGGACTCACACACACACACACACACACACACTACACACGTGTGCGTGCATATGACAGGTCACCAAGGGTTATGCAACCAGGCCTCAGAGACAGGAATAGCCTCTGTAAATTCCAGAGAGGCCAGAAACTCTGAGCCACCAGGGAGGAGCTGGGTGGAGAGGGGAGAGAAGAGGACAGGTGTGGAACTCAGGCCCTCAGCATTGCCCTGCAGGTAGCATGGGGGGCAGGGACTCCCTATGGCAGAGCCAGGAGTGTCAGTGTCAGGGCTGGGACTGCAGAATGGGCAGCCAGCAACTCACCTGGCATCTCACCTGCTTCTCTTCCCCAGTAGGAAGCTGGGCCCCCATGATGGGGGTCTCCCAGGGGGCTCCAGCCCCAAACTATAGGGAGTGAACAAACTCACACAGTTCCTGCCTGCTCTTGGCCACAGAAGTTGGCTCTCAGGCCCTGTCTCGGATTCCCTCCCCCCAGTGAGAGGAGGTGATGACCACAGTGGCTCCCCAGAGGGGTCCACCTCCCTCCACCACACCCTCATGCCTCTGAGAGGCACAAGGGGGAGGGTCAGGAGAGGTTCTAGAACAAACCAGCTGCACAACACCCCTCCTTTCCCCACTCTGACCTCACTCTTCCCTCCCAAACCCTCATAGGAAGTGCTGGGGCAGGAGCAGGTGCACTAGGAAGACCCAGTCCTCTGGGGCTAGAGGCAAAATGAACGCCTCCAAACCAGGACTTGGCCCAGGAACTGGCTCAGGGGCTGGCGAGGGGACATGGTGTCCTTTGTTGACTCAGTGAGTCTGCTCTGTGCCACCCAAGCCAGGTGGAGGGAGAGCCAGAAGGAATGGTGATCTTTGCCTCAAGGAGCTCAGTCATGTCCACACGACAGGTCCCTCCCCCAAACACATGTTCTCCAGGACAGAAACTGGGTCTCCCTTTAACCATCCCGGCCTGGCCCAGAGCTACATGTCCAGGGGCAGGATCGGAGGAGCTGGGGGTGACCCCACAGGATCCTGGGCCTCAGGCCTCAGTAGGCTTTGGGGAACTGTGCCTAGCTCAGCCCTCTGAGATTCTGATGGAAGTGGTTTGGGCCGGGACCTGGGGAAAGTGTTTAATTTTAAGCCTCCTTGGGTGATTTGACTGTGCCTCCCAGGTGTGGCACCACGGCTCAGTATAATCTTTTTTTTTTTTTTTTTTTTTTTTTTTTTTTTTTTTTAATGGAGTCTCACTCTGTCACCCAGGCTGGGGTGCAGTGGCTCGATCTCAGCTCACTGCAACCTCTGCCTCCCAGGCTCAAGTGATTCTCCTGCCTCAGCTTCCTGAGTAGCTAGGATTACAGGTGCCTGCCACCATGCCCAGCTAATTTTTGTACTTTTAGTAGAGATGGGGTTTCATCGTGTTGGCCAGGCTGGTCTCAAACTCCTCACCTCAAGTGATCCGCCGCCTTGGTCTCCCAAAATGCTGGGATTACAGGCATGAGCAGCCCGGCTGACTCAGTGTAATCTTATTGCATGGATGTGGGGTGAGATTCCAAATGTAACGGTTTCAGGTGAGACCCTTTTCTTGGGCTTGGGGCAGAAGCTTCCATTGATTCAGAGGGAAAAAGAGTGGAGCCGGAGACCAGAGACTTGGACTCTTGTCTAGACTCTACTTCAGCTTCTCGCTGAGCAGCTGCTTGAATTTCTGGGCCTCAGTTTCTTCATGTGTAGAACAGAGCTGTCAACCCTACTCCGTCACAGGGCTGGTTCTATGAAAGAACTGAGCGGGCCTTGGGTTCCCACACCCATGGGGATTGGGGGAAAGCAGGCCTGCACTTCTGCTTTTCTGACTTCGGGTTTCGATTGGGTGCCCTCGGCTCTGGACTCTGTCCCCAGCCTCTGGGTGACCTCATGGGGCTGCTTGCCTGGCCTGCTCCTCCAGGGCGGGGTGGGAGCTGGGGTGGGGCATCCTCAGGGCTCACAACGCTTGTGCTCTAAGTAAGGCTGGCAGACACCCAGCAGGGCTGCTGGGGCCAGGAGGGATCAGAAATGGTCCATGAGGGGCTGGGTGCGGTGGCTCAGGCCTGTAATCCCAGCACTTTGGAAGGCCGAGGCAGGAGGATCACTTGAGGTCAGGAGTTTCAGACCAGCCTGGCCAACATAGCGAAACCTTGTCTCTACTAAAAATACAAAAATTAGCTGGGCGTGGTGGCGTGCGCCTGTAATTCCAGCTACTCGGGAGGCTGAGGCAAGAGAATTGCCTGAACCTGGGAGGCAGAGGTTACAGTGAACCAAGATCGCACCATTGCACTCCAGCCTGGGTGACAGAGCGAGACTCCATCTCAAAAAAAAAAAAAGAAATGGTCCATGAGGGAACCTCCCAGCCAGCGAAGGCTGTAGGGATGAGCCAGACTAGGGAGGTGGGAAAATGAGACCAAGGAATGATCACCTTCTGCCCTCCCCCTCAAACGTATCTGTGTTTGCACCCACCATTCCTTCCCCCTCCCCCAGTGGAAGGCACAGGGGCCTGCCGTCCAAGCCAACCTCCTCAGCCCGGTCCTGAAGGACCCCATAGCCTCCCGCTTGCTCGGAAGTGGCCTCACCTCAAATTTCCAACCCTTCCTTTCTGACTACCTTTGTCCCTTTCTCATTTCAACAAACTCAAGGCCTCTCCATGTTGGTTTTTTTTTTTTTTAGACAGCGTCTTGCTCTGTCACCCAGGCTGGAGGGCAGTGGCACGATCATGGTTCACTGCAGCTTTGACTTCTTGGACTCAAGCAATCCTTCTGCCTCAGCCTCCCAGGTAGCTGGCTAGCTGGCAGTACAGGCCCACACCACCACGCCCGGCTAATTTTTTTTTTTTTTTTTTTAGAGACAGGGTCTGACTATGTTGTCCAGGCTGGTCTTGATCTCCTGAGCTCAAGAAATCCTCCCACCTCAGCCTCCCAAAGTGCTGGGATTACAGGCCTGAGCCACTGCACCCAATTGGTCTCTCCATCTTAAAAAGAAAATGTTGACTGGGCACAGTGGCTCACGCCTGAAATCCCAGCACTTTGGAGGCTGAGCAGGTGGATCGCTTGAGGTCAGGAGTTCAAGACCAGCTGGCCAACATGGTGAAACCCCATCTCTACTAAAAATACCAAAAAAAAAAAAAAAAAAAAAATAGGCGTGGTGGCAGTTGCCTGTAGTCCCAGCTGCTTGGGAGGCTGAAGCAGGAGAACCACTTGAACCCCAGAGGTTGCAGTGAGTAGAGATCACACCATTGCTCTCTAGCCTGGGTGACAGAGAGAGAGTCCATCTCAAAAAAAAAAAAAAAAAAAAAGTTTTGTTCCCTGGACCCAGCTCTGCATCTCCTTTTAACAACTAATTCCTTTTTCCCTTCCTCCTTTTTGAGCCAACTTCTCTGTTCCCTCACTTAGACAATCAGCCCACTGCTTAGAGGCCTTCTACCACTTCCTTGATGATAGATCTGGTCCTCCTCTGGCCTGACTTCTCTCCAGTGTTTGCTCTTTAAAATCCTCTCCTTCTTGGGCTTCCTCAGGCCAGGCCTCCTAGTTTTCCTTCTTTTTCTTTGCTACTGCTCAGCAATTGGGCCCCAGGCTCCACCTCCTCTGCCACGGCCTCATGCTTGGTGTCTCACCTGGCTTCTCACTCCACCGCCTTGGGAGAGCCCAGCCCCACCGGCTGTAGATCAACAACTCGCAGCACAGTCTCCAGGCTCACATAGCCCATTGCCATCTGGATGTCCTTTGTACATGTCGAAAACCGTGTGCCCCAAATCAAATTTGTCCTCTCCCTCCTCCTTCCCCGATCTTAGCATCTGAGTGACATCTACCTCTGTCACTCAAGGTAGAATCATCCTTGCCTCCTGCTGGCTTTGCCTCATCTGACACTGAGCCCCATTGATCCGACCAGCCTAAGCCTTGCAGACCTGCCTACCAGTTCTCAGGTAACACCAAGGTTAGAGGAAGACGGAAACACTGCTGCAAGGAAGCAAATAGACACCTTGCAGGCAGGGCAATGAGTCAATGTCCAGGCAGAAAGAAAGGGTAGGGCTCTTCAAGGGAGATTGAAGAGACAGCCAGATACAAGGCATGGACTTGGACGGGATCCTGAACCAAACAAACCAGCTGTGAGAGAGATGTTTTAGGATAAGGCAGAAATCTGACGATGGCTTAGGTCATAGATGACACTAAGGAATTATTGTTAATTTTCTCAGATATAATAATGGTAGGGTGTTTACTTTTCAGAGATGCATGCTGAAGTTTTTGTTTTTTTTTTTTGTTTGTTTTTTGTTTTTTTGAGACGGAGTCTGGCTCTGTCGCCCAGGCTGGAGTGCAGTGGCATGATCTCGGCTCACTGCAGGCTCCGCCTCCCGGGTTCACGCCATTCTCCTGCCTCAGCTTCCCGAGTAGCTGGGACTACAGGCGCACGCCACCAGGCCCAGCTAATTTTTTTGTATTTTTTTTTTTTTAGTAGAGACGGGGTTTCACCGTGTTAGCCAGGATGGTCTCAATCTCCTGACCTCGTGATCCGCCCACCTCAGCCTCCCAAAGTGCTGGGATTACAGGCGTGAGCCACCGCGCCCAGCCTCATGCTGAAGTTTTTAGGGGTGAAATATGATGTCTAGAATTTATAATTCATCAGCAATAAATAAATAAAAATAAACACGGCAAATATTGTTTTTTCTCTTTTCTCTCTCTCTCTTTTTTTTTTTTCTAGTAGAGCAGCCAGCAAGGAGTTGGCTCCTTGCTATTGTTAAATCTAGGCAATAAGTAACTGTATTCTTTTTTTAATTTTTTTTTGAGATGGAGTCTAGCTCTGTCGCCCAGGCTGGAGTACAGTGGCGCAATCTTGACTCACTGCAACCTCTGCCTCCCAGGTTCAAGCAATTCTCTGCCTCTGCCTCCAGAGTAGCTGGGATCACAGGCGCCCACCACCACACTCAGCTAATTTTTTGTATTTTTAGTAGAGACAGGGTTTCACAATCTTGGCCAGGCTGGTCTCAAACTCCTGACCTTGTGATTCACCCGCCTCAGCCTCTCAAAGTCCTGGGATTACAGGCGTGAGCCACCGCGCCCGGCCTGTATTCATTTCTTAAAAATATTATTGGCCGGGCGCGGTGGCTCATGCCTGTAATCCCAGTATTTTGGGAGGCTGGGGCAGGCGGATCACCTGAGGTCGAGAGTTTGAGACCAGCCTGACCAACATGGAGAAACCCCGTCTCTACTAAAAATACAAGAAAATTAGCTGGGCATGGTGGCCCATGCTTGTAATCCCAGCTACTTGGGAGGCTGAGGCAGAGAATCACTTGAACCCAGGAGGCGGAGGTTGTGGTGAGCCGAGATCGAGCCATTGCACTCCAGCCTAGGCAACAAAAGCTAAACTCTGTCTCAAAAAAAAAAACAAAAATTATTTTTGGCTGGGCGTGGTGGCTTATGCCTGTAATCCCAGCACTTTGGGAGGCCGAGGCAGGCAGATCACCTGAGGTCAGACTTTCAAGACCAGCCTGACCAACATGGCGAAACCCCTCCTCTATTAAAAATACAAAAATTAGTGGGGCATGGTGGCATATGCCTGTAATCCCAGCTACTTGGGAGGGTAAGGCAGGAGTATCACTTGAACCCGGGAGGCAGAGGTTGCAATAAGACAAGATTGTGCCATTGCACTCCAGGCTGGGCGACAGAGCAAGACTCAGTATCAAAAAAAAAAAAATTCTTTTTGTCTGGGCATGGTGGCTCACACCTGTAATCCCAGCACCTTGGGAGGCAGAGGTAGGTGGATCATTTGAGATCAGGAGTTCGAGACCAGCCTGGCCAACATGGTGAAACTCCGTCTCTACTAAAAATACAAAAATTAGCCAGGTGTGGTGGCACTTGCTACTCGGGAGGCTGAGACATGAGAATCGCTTGAACCTGGAAGGTAGAGATTGCAGTGAGCTGAGATTGTGCCACAGCCCTCCAGCCTGGGTGACAGAGCAAGATTCTGTCTCAAAAAAAAAAAAAATTTTGGCCGGGTATGGTGGCTCACGCCTGTAATCCCAGCACTTTGGGAGGCGGAGGCGGGTGGATCACAAGGTCAGGAGATCGAGACCATCATGGCTAACACGGTGAAACCCCGTCTCTACTAAAAATATAAAAAAATTAGCCGGGCACAGTGGCAGGCGCCTATAGTCCCAGCTACTTGGGAAGCTGAGGCAGGAGAATGGCGTGAACTCGGGAGCGGAGATCGTGCCACTGCACTCCAGCCTGGGCGACAAAGCGAGACTCTGTCTCAAAAAAAAAAAAAAAAAATTTTTTTACTTTTCTTCATGTTGGACATTTTCTTTTTTTTTCAGTTTTAAATTTGTTTACTTATTTTTAATATAGAGGCGAGGTCTCACTGCGTTTTTCAGGCTGGTCTTGAACTCCTGAGTTCAAGCAGTCCTCCCGCTTCGGCCTCCCAAAGTGCTAAGATTATAGGTGTGAGCCACCAGGCCCAGCCTATTTGGACATTTTCATAATAAAAAGTAAAAAAAAAAAAAAAAAAAAATCCCTTAAACTTTTTTACTATTCTCCATCCTCACTGTCACTACCATATAAGCGTGTGGTCTCAGCTATTTGGGAGGACCAAGCGGGAGGACTGCTTGAGCCCAGGAGGTTGAGGCTGCAGTGAGCCGTGATCGCACCACTGCACTCCAGCCTGGGTGACAGAGCGAGACCCTGTCTCAAAAAAGAAAAGAAAAAAAAGTTGTTCATTATTTCTCACCTGGAAACAGACTTGCCCTTCCAGCTCCCCCCACCCCCGAAGTGTTACAAAGTAGTTCCTCTCCCTTTCAGACACAGCTCTGGAGCCAGGATTCTGGGAATAAGGCCACTTAAACACGCCCTGTTTCCCCTCTGCTGCCAACTGCGACCTGCTACTGCCTGAGTCAAGCAGAGGCTGGGACAGTGGGTGGGTGGGACCTGGCTGGCACAGGTGAGAGGCTGTGTCTGAGGTGGAGGCTCCCAGGGGAACCTTGGGGCAGGCTGGCCCATCATGGGACCCTGGGGAGAAGGCAGGGTGGCTTTTGTACCCTTGAGCCCAGGAGCTGAGGAGGGCCAAACAGGTGGGCCAGGTAGTCTCTACCCGTAAGGCCAGGGCACCAAGGAGACAGGGAGAATTCCTGCTGGTGTTTTGACATCACAGATGCCCCATGCCCACAGGCCCACTGGCAGAGACCACCATCTCTTCTCCACTCTAGGGCCCCCCCACCAAGTGGGTACTCCTGCAGCTCGACCCCAGCTCTGGGGAGCAAAGTCATATAAACTCACTCTGTGACAGCTCAGCAGGGGGAACAGAGAGAACCACCAAACCAGTTGCCGCCACCAGACCCCAGCACAGCCGGGACCCAGGACGCACTAAAGATGCCATCACAGGTCATGGGGAAAGACAAACTTGTCAGTGAAAGGTCACAGGACAACTGGCTGCCCATCCAGAGATAAACATAAATAAACAAGTATATAAGTAAGGGAGGGTCCACATCTCACTCTGTCCATGCACAATAACCCTCAAAGGATTAAAGATTTAAGTTTTTAAAAACGAAGCCATAAATACAAAGAAGAAAACAAAATCTAATATGCTGTATGTATATACCTATATATAAGCCTATATATTTTATATATGTGTCTCTTTATATAGATAAAAGACTTCAATATGCTGTATGTACATATAAATATATACAATATATACTATGCTGTGTGTGTATATATATAAAAGACTTATGCTGTATGTATATATATATATATATATATATATATATATATATATATATATATGACTTTGTAACAAAGATGCAAAATATAAAAGCCATAAAATAAATGAGTGATACATTGGACTACATAAGTATATTTTAAGAAAACTTGTGTGGCAAAATAATGCTATTAGCAGAGTCAAAAGACAACTCAGGGTGGGGGAGGGAATTACAACTCATGTAATAATAGACAAAGGATTATTTTCCCTAGTATAGAAAAAGCTACTAGAACTCAATAAGAAAAAAGCCCAACAACCCAATACAGAAACAGGCAAAGGATATAAATAGACCATTCACAGAAAAAAAAGGGGGGGAACAAACAGCCCTTAAATATATGAAAAGATAATCTTACTGGAAAGAGAAATGCAAATTTAAAGTACCTTAAGATAATACATTTTATGGTCAGGTTGGCAGAAAACAAAAGTTTGACAACAGTCAGTTGGCAAGGCTTTGGGGACCAGACACTAATTTGTGTTGGTGAGGGCACATTGGTATATGCCTCATGGGACATACTCATCAAATATCTAATATTTATCTTTTGACCCCAAAATCCCACTTCTGCAATTTTTCCTACTTCTACCTGTACATATATAACAGTATTCATTATGACATTGTTGTAACAGCAAAAAATGGGAAATATTCCAAATGCCTGTCAACAGGAGACTGGTAAAATGGATTATTTGTAGTTGTAGGGAAGGAGACAGAACCTCTCTAGGTACAATCTCCAAGATACATTGTCAAAGAAATAAAAAGTAAACAAGGTTTTTGTTTTGTTTTGTTTTGTTTTTTACCTTGTTTTACACATAGGACGGTGTTGCTTGAGAGAGAAAATTAAGTAATCAGATACATAATTATACTAGTTTGTACTCAGAAACTTTGGAAGAATGAAGAAAGAATGAATGAAAGTGGTGACTTTTGAGTTGATGGAGAACAGAGCAGGGAAACAGTGTACATGTGACATTTTTACTATAGACTTTAAAATATTGCTTTGATTTAAAAAAAAACCTGTAAAAATACTATCTAGTAAAATAAATTCAAGGCTATTGGCAAAATAGAGGGGCTGGAGAATGCAATTACAATTTGAATACAAACTCTTAAGGAGACTCAAATCAAGCAGAGTTTTAAAAAAGGACTGATTTTGGCCGGGCGCAGTGGCTCACGCCTGTAATCCCAGCACTTTGGGAGGATGAGGCAGGCGGATCATGAGGTCAGGAGATTGAGACCATCCTGGCTAACACGGTGAAACCCCGTCTCTACTAAAAATACAAAAAATTAGCCGGGCATGTTGGGGGGCGCCTGTAGTCCCAGCTACTCAGGAGGCTGAGGCAGAATGGCGTGAACCCGGGAAGCGGAGCTTGCAGTGAGCCGAGATCATGCCACTGCACTCCAGCCTGGGCGACAGAGCAAGACTCCATCTCAAAAAAAAAAAAAAAAAAGACTGATTTTTAGAACTTAAAATATGTCATTGTACTAGTTGAAGGAGAAGAAATTCACTCTTGAGATTCAAATTTGCAGCCTGGAAGGTCAAGAAGAAACATCAAACCTCAGAGCAAAAGTACAACAAGAATGAAATAAAGAGACCAAAGATAAACTGGGGGGGACCCAGTTGGGAGCGCTCACATGCAAAGGAAAGAAAAGGTAAAAGAAACAATAATCGAGCAACAGTCCGGGCGCAGTGGCTCATGCCTGTAATCCCAGAACTTTGGGAGGCCAAGGCAGGCAGATTGCTTGAGCCCAGAAATTTAAGACCAGCCTGGGCAACAAGGTGAAACCTTGTCTCTCCATAAAATACAAACAAAATTAGCTGGGCACGGTGGCGTGCGCCTGTATTCCCAGCTTCTCAGGAGACTGAGGTGGGAGGATCACTTGAACCCAGGAGGTCGAGGCTGCAGTGAGCCGTGATCGTGCCATAGCACTCCAGCCTGGGTGGCACAGTAGACCCTGTCTCAAAAAAATAAAAAATAAAGAAACAATAATCAAATCAAGCAACAAATAGATGTTCCTAAGCTGAGAAAAGACCGGAGTCTACAGAGTGACAGGTTCTGTAAGCTCCAAATGAGGGTGCTGAGAAAAGAATCCCCATCGAGGCATGTGCTAAAGAATATGTGTTTGATTAGGAACCCCAGAGAAGGGACAGCTGCCAATAATGAAATGGAAAGTGTAACAGGAAGAAAAAGGAAATCGATAACCAGATCAGAGGGAAAAAAACTGCAAGATAAACCAATAAATGTAAAATAAGCCAAAGGTAATCAAATCAAGTACAGTAGATCAATTGTTAAATGAAATGTGAACAGATTGAATTCTCCCACTAAAAGACAAAGAGTCAGCTTGGGTTTAAAAATACAGTGATAGGCTGGGTGCAGTGCCTCATACCTGTAATCCCAGCACTTTGGGAGGGTGAGGCAGGTGGATCACTTGAGGTCAGGAGTTTGAGACCAGCCTGACCAATGTGGTGAAACCCTATCTCTACTAAAAATACAAAAATTAGTTGGATGTGGTGGCGTGTGCCTGTAATCCCAGTTAATCAGGAGGTTGGGGCAGGAGAATCAGTTGAATCTGGCAGGCGGAGGTTGCAGTGAGCCAAGATCGCACCACTGCACACCAGCCTGAGTGACACAGCGAGACTCCATCTCAAAAAACAAACAAAAATCCATGAAAATAATAAAAATACAGTGGTGGCGGGCAACACGAAGAAACCCCATCACTACAAAAAATACCAAAAAAAAAAAAAATTAGCTGGGCATGGTGGCACGTGGGCCATGTGGTCCCACGTTCTCAAGGTGCTGAGGCAGGAGAATTGCCTCAGCCAGGGAGGCTGAGGCTGCAGAGAGCCATGATCACACCACTGCACTCCAACCTGGGCAACAGAGGGAGACCCTATCTCAAACAAAACAAAACAGTGATGTGACATATACAAGAAATTAGTAGTTTCAAAAAATGATAATAGTAGGAAATAAAAGAATGCTAAGCAAGTACAAAAAAAAGATAAAGTAAAATAAGGAGTGGTCATATAAACAATAGAAGGGTGAAATTTAAGGTTAAGCACTAGAATAGGATAAAGAGGGACACCACGTAATGATAGAAAAGCACAATTTGTAACGAAAGAACGCTCGAAATCTGCATCCTCCTGACAGCGTCGTAGTTAAATATAAAAAGCAAAAACTAGGAAAAGCCCCAGAAGAGCTTTATAGAGAAAATGTGAGAGGAAGGTTTAACATAACACATCTCTATCAGAATTAGAGTAAAAGACCCCTGCCCCCAAGCAAAGGATACAAAGGAAATGAAAGTTTGAATAATACAATCAATAAACATGATTTGATGCAGATAGTACCTTATATCCCTTAAATAGAAAATATGCATTTTTCCGGCCAGGCGTGGTGGCTCACACCTGTAATCCCAGCACTTTGGGAGGCTGAGGTGGGTGGATCACTTGAGGTCAGGAGTTGCAGACCAGCCTGGCCAACATGGCAAAATCACCTCTGTACTAAAAATACAAAAATTAGCCCGGTGTGGTGGCGCACACCTGTAATCCCAGCTACTCAGGAGGCTGAGGCAGGAGAATCACTTGAACCCAGGAGGTGGAGGTTGCGGTGAGCCGAGACCACGCCACTGCACTCCAGCCTGGGCGACATCTCAAAAAAATAAAATTAAAATAAAAATAAAAAAAGAAAATACGCATTTTTCTTATGTGTCTGTGAAAAACTTAGCAAAATCATTTACTTGGTCACAAAGAAATTCATAATAAATTTTAAAAGTGGAGAGTTTACACATCTGGAGAAAATGAATGCTTTCCTAGTAAAATATAAAATGGCCAAAATTAACTAGAAGGTGAGTAGAAACTTAAATAAACTAATTACCATTGATGAGAAAAAAAATCTGCCACTGAAAAAGGCACCCGGTCCAGAGGGTTTCATGAGCGGGAACTGTAGAAACCTTTCGAATTCAACTCTGCCAACACCTTCCTCCTCCAGGAAGCACTCCTGGATTTCCCTCTTGCCAACAAGATTCTGGGAGGGCAGCTCCTCCAACATGCCCCCAACAGCTCTCTGCAGACATATCATATCATATCATATCTTCCATACCATAACTGCCATGCCATACAATATCATAACTGGATCTGCTGTTCAATTTCTCCTGGACAGTAAGCTACCTGAGGGCAGGAACCATCCTTTATTTTTCATTGCTCCCTAGCCCCCAGTACAGCGGCTGACATTCACTGACTAGGTGAATATGGTAAATGAAAAAGCAGAAGGCACAATCGTCATTACACTGTGATGTCTCTACGGGAACTGCCCAAGAGATACGCATAAGAAGGCAGAATAAATGGGAAGAAACCAACATGCTCACAGTCATTCGATTGAGATTTCCTCCTATTATTCAAATATTTGTAATGGAGTTAAGCTATTTTTATAGGGAGGGAATAGTAATTTACACATTTAACTGGGCCAAGGAGGAGAAAGGAAGGGGGAGGCTGGGATGATTCTGCAGGCAGGCCCTTCTGCTACCTCTGCTTCCTCTCTCTGGCCCAGTCCCTAGACAGACATGGAGGCCTGGGCAGGGGCCCCTGCCCCCCTCCTTTCATGCCTCACAGGGGACCCCCAGCCAGGAGAGGGCAAGGAGGCAGGGTGGGCACCCACAGCAGCCTCAGCTGGACAGAAGGGTCCTGCAGGCCTCACCCGGCTCAGGCAACAGTTCTGGAAGTTCCCTCAACACCAGAATCCTTCTGCAATCTGGAAACAGAGCTTCCCAAATTTTAGCAAGAGCACCTCTGTGCCTGTGCCCCAGAGCCCTAGTCCTGGCAGCCCTGTTTCCCCTTCAATATGAACCAACAGCCACTGACCTCTCACTCCCCGGCACAGATCCAGCTCCCAATCTCCCTAACATTCAGGCATGGAGACTCGACCACATCCCTGATCATCAGCTACGCCCTGGTCACGATCATGGACTTTCCCATTCCCCAGGGCCTGGCACTGACCACCCATCCAGGCTGGCATTCAGTACTGATGCCCACCCCTCCCTGTACTGGACGCAGTCAGCTCTAGGAAGGGCAGAGAAAACAGGTCTATGGGAGCTAAGCTATGAGGATGCAAAGGCCTAAGAATGATATAATGGATTTTGGGGACTTGGGAGTGGGGGAAGGGTGGGAGGGGGGTGAGGGATAAAAGACTACACATTGGGTACAGTGCACACCAGTCGGGTGACGGGTGCACCAAAATCTCAGAAATAGCCACTAAAGAACTTATTCACGTAACCAAACACCACCTGCTCCGCAAAACCATTGAAATAAACATTACAAAAAACAGGTCTAGAGTGAGGTCAACTGCTGAGGCCTGGGAAGAAAGTGAGGGGGCAGGTGGGCTTGTCCTGGGGCCCATCGCAGGCCCCTGGGCGCTGAAGGGAGCCAAGGACTAAGAGGTGAGAGCCAGGCACAGGCTCCAGCGAGACCTGAAGAGATCATGGGGCCTGCAGGAGAGCCAGGGGGTGCGGGGGGTGGGCAGGGAGATCTCTGGGTGGACAGCAATGTGGGGTGAGGGTGGGAGGGAGATCCAAGAAGCTGCTGTCTCCTAAGTCAGGTCCTAGGCAGGCAGAGGGGCTCCTGGGACAGCCTGGGGCTGCAGGTGAGTCACCGGGAGGGAACTGGGTCAGGTGTAAAGAAACCAGCAGGGCCACCCCAGGGTGGCTGCCCCACCTGGGGGTTGGGGGTGGGGGGTGCCGGAGGAGGGAGTACGAGCAAGGGGCTAGCTAGAGTCCCTTCAACTTGGCCTCAGCTTCCTGCTGTTACCAACACCCCTTGCCAAAGTCCCCCTAGCTGGCCCCGAAGGGGGACAGGAGGGTCTGTCCCAAGGCCAGTTCCTTTCTCTCAGTCACAGTGGCCTCGGGCTGCCCTTGGAGTTTGTCCTAGGAAGTGGGTGCTGGGCCTGGATCCAGAGGGGAGGGGCCCCCAGATGGGTTTTAGGATTCGGGAAAGGGAGGGGAGAGATTGGGGAAACTGCTGTGGCCACCCCCTAGTCCCCCAGGGGCGAGGACTCACTCAGTTCCCAGTGGAGGAGAAGGAATGAGGGCCCCGGGCTCCTTCCAGTCGGGGCTGCCTGCTCATGTGCGGCGCCTCCGGGGCTGCTTGTATAAGAAGGTGCAGCAGCCCGGCTGGAACTTCCCTCCCAGCGGCCAATGCCCCAGCAGCAGGGGCGGGCTCCAGGCCAGCTCCACCTGCCTGGGCCTTCCCACCTCTGGGCGGGGATGGTGACCGCACCCTGAAATCCCAGAGTCAGGACCAAGGGAAGAGTCTCAGAGGCCCCTTTATTGCACTGGCTTTGGCCTGGCTTCCCAGAGCTCCCTGAGTGGCCTCTTTGTGGGAGAGGAGGAGTCATCCCTGCTTACCTCCCCCGTCTCCCTCTATCCCCTCTCAGAAGGGTTTGCTTCTGCCCTCTCCTGGGCAGCAAAAGAACAGGAGATGTCCCTCCTGGGACATCAACTCTTCCACAACAGGGCTGGGCACGCAGGACGCTCAGAAGAAGGAGCATGTGCCTGCCTTCAGCTTGTACTGTTCTTGTTGAGGGGAACAGGGTGGCCAACCCTAAAGGCCACCAGGCTGAAACTGAACCTGCTGGCCAGGGTGGGGCTTGGGGTCAGGGGGCCTGGAACTGTCCTGAACACAGCCACTTCCTGGCCGTGTGAGCTTCGTCGTGTCACTAAACCTCTCTGAACCTCTGTTTGTACTCAGGGCAAATGGAGGTGCCTACGCCTGCCTTCCAAGCTGCTGGGAGCTTAACCCTGGGTTACAAGCCTTTCAGCAAGAGCCCACAGGACTGTTAGCCCCTTTGGGACTGCATCTTACCACACTTTGTCCCCAGTGTCCAGCACAGTGACCAGCCCACCCCAAGTGCTCAATATGCGCGATTAGAGTGCATGGGGAGTGACAAGGCTGTAAAACACCATCCATGGCAGGAGCTCCTCTGTTCTGGGGGTCCCTGGCCCTGTCTGGTAGCCTGCCCTAAGCCCTGAGCTGCTGCCTGACAGAAGGGCATCCCCACACACTCCCCAGTGCCCCCGTGCCATGCCATCCCCACATCCTGCCCCCTCTGTTCTGCACCCACTTTCTTCTGAGATCCCTTCTCAGCAACAACCTTCTCCCCATCTTTAGCCTCCCCATCTCCTGCCCACCCACCTGAGCCTGGGGACGGTTCCATCCATGACCCTACACCCCCTCTGGCCACACTGTGTCTCTCTCCTTCTGCCCGTTGTCCACACACTCAATTCGCACCCTCACTTCACTACTGACCACTGCCCTCTGCCTTCAGCAGCCCCCTGACCAGCTGAGCGTCTAGTGGTCACTTAGGGTAAGTGTTATACGGCCTTTCTCTCACATGACCTTCCTGTGCGTCCTTCTTCTGGACACTTCTTGGCCTCTGAGCCAGCACTCTCATGCTTCTCTTCCCTTTGGCACCTAAATCCAGGTGGGCCCCATCTTTTTTCCACTCTGCTCCTCCCCAAGTCATCCCCCCGTCAGGAAGCAGCACCACTGTCTGCCCACGAGTGCCAGCTGGGAATCTAGAACTCAACCTGATTTCCCTCCCACCTCCCTCGGCCCCCAGACCCTGCCCATCCATCTCCCAAACCTCTGTTTCCACACATGCCCACGAGACCACCAAGAGCTTCAGCCATTCTTGAAGCCCTGGCCACAGGGATTTTTTTCTCAATCCCATTCCTGTCTCTGCTAAAAGCCTCACAGCGGCTGCAGGATAATGTGCACATTCCTGGCAAGGGCCCACGAGGCCCTGCCCGGGTGGGCACCCACTCTCAACCCTATGCTCCACTCTGAGCCCCGGCCCCATGTCTTCTCTTGCTGGCCTCCTATCCAAGAGGGTGAGTCCCCCAGGATCGTGGCTGTGCCTCAGTCCTCTCCAGATCCGAAGGCTCACCAGGGCTTGGCAGGTATTCAGCTAGTTGATGCCTAATGAAGGAGTGAATGGGCCTGGAGGATCATGGTGGGGAAACTCTGCCTGGGACAACTAAGAGCAGGGATGGGGTTCCCTTGCGGGGGCAGGGCCAACTCCCTACCCTGGACTTTGTTGGGGGTGGAGCACCAGGGAGACCCACAGCTGCCTCTTGAATAAAGCTCTGTGGCAGGGAACGTGGTATTATTGCACACATCGCACAGGGGAGGAAACAGGACCAGAGATGCAAAGCGACTTGTGGAGGTCACAAGTGGGGCCAGAGAGCTGCCTGTCTCTGGCCAATGTCCTAGATTCCCCCCCTGGGTAAGTCCCCTACCCCTATCATCGGTGCCCCTCCCTCCATATGCCACTGCAACTGGGAACCTGCTGGGAGCTGGAGGAAGGATGGGCAGAGGGGCCACCTGGCAGGCGCCCTGGCAGCCGGGGTGATCTGTCTTCTCAGGAGATGTCAGGACCTGGGCAGTCTCCTTCCTCTTTGGTCCTGGGGCCTGGGGTGTTGGCCCTTGCAGACCTACAGAGCCCTGGCTCATAGGTAAAGGGCTGCCGCACCTCTGCGCTTCTCAACACACACTCTCTGTGCACTCTGTTTGAGCCAGACCCTGGGCCAGATGCGAGGTTCAAAGAGCAAGGCCATTCCCCCACCTCCAGGGGCTCTGCTCAGATGGGCAGGCACCCTCCCACCGTCACTAGGACAGAGTGGCAGTGCCCAGCCCCGCCCGCCGGGTGCCGTTCCCCACCCTGGCCACAAGGCGGCGGGCTACCGCTGCAGAAGCCTGAGTGAAGGCGGCGGAGACCCAGGGAAGCCAAACCAGGACTACCCAGACAGCCTGGGTGGACCCCCTGCTGCTGTCAAGCGCTTCGAAGCCTTACCTCGTTTAAGGCTCACAACCCTAATCCTTAAGTATTGTGCTTACACCAGAGGACGCTGGGCCTGGGGGAACGTCCTCGCGTGTAAGTTAAGTGGCTGTCAGCAGCTGGCAGGTGACCCAGCAGAATCCAGTTCCCCTTTCCCTAGTCTCAAAACCTGAGCTCTGCATTGTAACGAGTCGGGCGGAGGGAACACCCAGCAGCGGGCCTACGGAGGCGTGTCTCCTTCGTCTGGGCATCCCGGACTCAGTCCTGGCACATAGTGGGCATCAGTGTTCATGGTAATGACATCAGGTACAGCGAAAGAAATCAGAGGCTCCCGAGGATCAGAGGTCATCTGTCCAACCCCTCCCTTTGGGCTAAAGAACAAACCGAGACCCTAAGAGAGGAAAAGAACTGCCCCTAGATCATCACACGGCCGGTGGCAGATGGCAGAACGGTTCTGAGCATCTTTTTTTCCCCTCGGGCTGCCCCTCTCTGAAAAGTTCCTAAAGTTCAAAATGTCAGGGTCGCCTAGAGTGTTCTGAGGATGTAAGACCTGTTTTTAAAACGTGCTCTATTTTCGATTTCCCAGATGAACACAACTGGACTCTGAAGAGGGGGAAAAAAACAACCTCACTTAACCGGACGTCTTTCTGAAACAAACCCATCAAGAGTTCTTTAAAAAAAGGAACTGAAATGCTGGAAGCACCCTCAAAGGGAAGCAGACGCCTGACTTTCACATCCACCCTCTCATCTGACCCCAGACTCCTGGGAGACGGGCAAGTCGGTTGGGCCGGGGCAGGCCCGCAATCCCCCGTTCCGTGCCCAGATGCGCTTCGGAATACAGAACAGCTGGGACTTGGAAAGATAATATGGGGCACACACCTGCAGTAGGTTATATAACCTCCCAGCAGGGCTTGGGGCAGCAGCCGACCATCGAGCTCATTTGCATTTCTGCAGCGAAACATGAATATTCACACAAGTGCGATAAATAAAGACCATCAGCAGCCTCACATCAGTTCAAGCGCAATTTTGCCACCAATTGGATTACGAAAAGCCTCTGGGCTTCCAGGGAGCTTTGGAGCTTGGGAATTGCTGATGAGGGACTGCGGGCGTGCACCCCTCACGTTTCGCGGTTGGGGAGAGGGAGCTCATCCGAAGTCTTCGGACAGAGGTGGGCGTCGTGCCCGACGCTGAGCGGAGCGGGTCTCCTTGCGCCCCGGCTCCGTGCGGGCGCGGTCCCTAGCGCGCCACCCGCCTCCGCGCCCCAGCGCCCGGGGAGGTACCTGCTCTGCGCTCTCCTCCGGCGGCGGGACGTGCAAGTCCTGGATGACCTCGTAGACGTTCTCTGAGTCGCTGCGCGCCAGAGGCCGCGGGCACACCCAGGAGCCCGCCACGCTGCAGGCCTTGAAGCTGCCGCTGCTTCCTAGGAGGCCGGCGGGAGGCGAGACGGCGGCGCAGGCCAGGTCGTTCAGGGACTGCGCGGGCCGCACGGGCGCCGCGGGCCGCAGGTACAGGCAGGCTGGCAGGCCGGGCGCCAGGCTGCTGCGCTGGGTCGCGGCGCCGCGTTGCGCAGGGCCGCACAGGGAGCTGGCTCGGCCTCCGGACTCCTCGGGGGCGCCGTCGGGGCCCGCGGTCGCCGCCGCGCTCACAAACCGGTAGTCGTAGGCGAGCGGCTCAGGGGCCGCGGGGCTCGGGTGGGGACCTGGCGGCGCGGCGGCGGCAGGGTTGCCCAGCGCGGGCAGCTCGCGCACGTACTGCGCAGGCAGGTAGAAGGGGCGGCCGCCGGGCTCACGCCGCACGTGCCACCAGTGCTCGGTGCTGCGCCGCAGCAGCCGGTAGCGCTCATTCGGCCGGATGGCCACGCGGCGCCCGTCCTTGCCGGTGTACTCGAAGGGGTGCTCCACCAGCACGTACACGTCCCCCACCACGTCCGCCGCCATCGCAGCCGCGGCGTTTTCCTGCGGGCAACAAGAAGGAGGGCCGCGGAGGTCAAGACCACCGAGCCTGGAATAGCCCCGCACTCGGGGACAGACTTGGGTTCGAGTCCCGATCCTGCACTCGCCGTTCGCCTTCGGGCCTCAGTTTTCCCATCTCTAAAATGGGAACTTGCATAAAATCACATGTAAGGCTTCCATTCTTACACTCAGTGCTGGAATTAGGACAGCCCTTCGTTCTGTGGGGTTGATTCTAAGATTTGACCCTTGCTTCAGTCCTGCGGTGGGGAGATTGTGGGTAGTCTTGGTCCAAATCGACTGCGAGGGAAGCCTTGGCTTTAAAACGAGGGGTGATTGCCCGCTCTAAGGTCGACACCACGCTTGCTTAATAGTTGACTGCGCCTTAGTTTTCCGTCAGTCAAGTAGGAAGAACACCCCATTTACTGCCGCTCCCCGGCTCTGTCCCGCCTGGAAGCCTCCCGCCCGCAGAGAATCAGCAGAGGGTCTCGTAGCACTGCCTCCCTCCAGCAGCTTGCGCCCCGACCCCCTGGTCAGAGTTGGAATGTGGGCTCTGTAGGGGGCCGAGCGAACAGCTCTACCTGGGGGCTGTCGCTGCCCCCCTTAGTCCGAGGGCCTTGCTGTAGAGGCCTCCGCTGCCAATGCAGGGGAACCGGTTCTCTCGGTTTCTCTTTCCTTCCCCAGCTGCATCACCGCAGACGTGAGCCCGAGCCCGGCCCGCCCAGCCCGGCCCGCACCGCCCCCTGCTCTCCAGCTCTCACGCCGCCCCCCGAGAAAGGCCCTGCCCCTGTGGCCTGTCCACCTGCCCTGTGACCCCTACAGTGTCCCCACGAGTGGCTCCTGGAGAATGCACTCTGAGACAGTGACTATAAGTGCGGAGTCCCAGAGCAGGGCCACCCAAAGCTCTCCGGAGTGGTGGTCATAAGCCCCGCTCCCGCCCGGGCTTCGGGGTGTCAGGGATGGGGGAGAGCCTAACTAAATCTGTCTGCGCCCCTCCACCAAAGCCATGAGTCGGTTTTCTCCGGAAGTGCATGGCCCCTCCAAACTCCCACACTGACCACACCTCTTCCTGCCCCCTAAGGTGGCCCGGACCCGGGGCCAGGAGACCGCCGCTTGCCGAGGCAGAGGAGCAGGTTCCAACGGGGGCCCCAGCAGGGCTCCTCCGCCACTTTGTCAAGCGTTCCTCGACGAGGAAAGGGTGTAAACTGAGTCACTAAGCACGCTGGGCCCCGGAGGCGGGGTCATCGAGCTGCCCGGTGCTGAACCAACAAACCCCAAGCAGGACACTCCCCCGGCGCCCCCTCCCCTTGGACCCCGCAGCGCACTCACGTCGGCTGGGCGGGCCTCAGGGAGCCCATGGGCTGGGTGGGCGGAGCCGGCGGTGGCTGCAGGTTAGGCCCCTACCATCGCCCTGGGCGGGGTTTCCAGGGGCGAGGCCGGAGAGGCTGCGCGGAACAGGAGCTGGCAAGCAGAGCGAAGAGGGACAGGGACGCTCAGGAGTGCTGTCACCGATACCCAAAGCAGCCGTGTCTGGGTGGGGCGAGGAGGAGCCTGAATGCCTCTGCTGGGGACCTTGGGGGGCATTGGGACGAGGCCCAGAGCAGAAGGCCGGCACCTGGAGCCGGGACTGCTGCGTCTGAAGGGGCACTGGCAGGTCGCGAGCGGAGCCCAAGGAGGATGGGACCGCCCCCGCTCCGCCTTCCCCCTCTATTCCCCGCCCCCCCACCCCCCACCCCCCGGGATTTGCTGTCCGGGAGTGCCTGCGTCCCTCCTGTGCGCGGCTCTGGGAATGCCGGGCTGGGGCTGGTTGTCTCGTGCGGGCGTTCCTGTTCCCGGGGAGGTCATTTGCACCCTGAATCACCCACTGCGAGCCCTTCCAACCGGATTGCAAATCCGCCCGCTCCGGGCCCACCTCTTCCCTCACCAGGGCCTTTCCCGGAGCAGCCCGGCCGGGCCTGGAAAAACTCCGAGCGGGATTCCCAGCGCAGGGACGCCCACCGGAGCTCGATGTCTCGGGCTGGATAAGAAGGGGACCGGACCTCGGTTCCTTCCCCGACCCTGGGGAAACGCAGAGAAGGGGAGGGATTGGGGAAGCCGGGAGGATCCCTGGAGCGCGACAGCGCACCAGTCGCCAGGAGGTCCCCTGCGTCCACTGCCCAGGCGACTCAAGCTACAGGGGCGTCAACGCCTGGGTCGGCGCTGGGGGCCTGGGCCTGCTTCCCTCCAGCCCCCAGATGGAGGGCAGCCCTTCGCCTACCTTCTCCTCCCCGTGGGATGCGGCCCGCGCAGCTCCCGCCCCAGCGCGGAGACAAGGGGAGCAGGCGCGCGGAGCTCCCGGGTGCGGACCCGCCACCTGCCGCACCCTTCCCTTCCCAACCCTGCCCTTTCCCCACCCCCACCCCACTTCCCACCCCCAACCCCCGCTCGGCGCCCCACTCCCGACCCTGCCTGCCCGGGCACCTCGGGGCGTCCGCTCGCCGGCTTCGCCTCCACTTGCCCCGGCAGGCGCGCGTGGGCTCGGCGTCCCGCGCTCCCTCCTCGACTGTGCGGCTCCCGCGCTGCCGGGTTTCCTGTTCAACAATATAACCAGGGAGGCACCGGCGGAGAGCGCCGGGCAGAACTTCCTCCCGGACTGGGGCTGGGCTGCGGTTGCGAGAGACAATCCCCGGTGTCCTGGCTTCCTGTCCCCTCTGGGCCGGGCCAGCGCCTGAGGAGCGAAGACGCCACCCCCTCCCCTGCCTTTCCCGGGATCCTGGGCCGCACCTGGCTGTCTCCAGGGAGAAAGAGGCTGCGGGGCTGAGATGGTGGGACTGGGGAGGGCGGGAGCCTCCCCCGCAGGTTCGCCTGGCCAGATTGCCCTCCCACCATCCCCCACCCCCTCTTGATCCTTGTGGGGAAGGAGGGCCACCCTCCAATCCGTCCACAGGGTAAGCTCAGAACAACCTCCAGGAGTCCAGCCCCAGGGCCCTCCGCCTTGGGGGTCTTCTGTTGGAGAATTTTCTGCCTCTCTGGACAAGCAGCCTCGCCCTGATCTGAGCCTGCACTCACTCCAGACATTACAAGCCACAGCCCCAGCACACCCCCTGCCCTCAGGGGCCCCAAGGAACAGTTGTGCCTGTGGACCTGGCTGTGTGTGCCAAGAGCTGGCTGATTCAGGCCAGTGTTCTGGGAGGAAGAAGGGCCCGCATCCCAGGCCATGGCCTCTCTTGACACCACCTCCTGGGGACCCAGGGTTGGGTGGGAAGCTGAATCTGGCCACCCAGATTCAGAGGAACTCCCTTACCTCTATATCTTTGTAAGATATAGTAAGTAAGGAACTCCCTTACCTCTATATCTTTGTAAGATATAGTAAGTAAGGAACTCCCTTACCTCTATATCTTTGCCTCTGCTAGGCATTGCCCACCTGTGAGTCCACACTTCCTCTGAGAATCTGTGTGTCTGAGCCTTGGTGGCACCTTGGGACCCTCCAGGGTGGGCACACAGCAGAACTCAGCACTGGTCTTTGGTGCCCGACATGCTTAGAAAATAGTGGCTGGTGCCGGGCACGGTGGCTCACGCCTATAATCCCAGCACTTTGGGAGGCCGAGGCGGGCGGATCATGAGGTCAGGAGATTGAGAAACCCTGGCTAACACGGTGAAACCCCGGCTAACACGGTGAAACCCCGTCTCTACTAAAAATATAAAACATTAGCCGGGCGTGGTGGCGGGAGCCTGTAGTCCCAGCTACTCCGGAGGCTGAGGCAGGAGAATGGTGTGAACCTGGGAGGCGGAGACTGCCGTGAGCCATGATCGTGCCACTGCACTTCAGCCTGGGCGACAGAGCAAGACTCCGTCTCAAAAAACAACAACCAAAAAAGAAAAAAAGAAAATCGTGGCTGGAGGAATCTTCTCTCCCTCCCTACCTTTTAGGTCCCTCTCCACCTGCAGCACAGCCAGGCAGTGGCTGGCAGTGGTGATGGTCTTTGCGTGGGGTCAGGCAGGTATGATGCCCCACTCTGCTGCTTGGCGGCTGGTAGGCCTTGGGAGTTCTGCCTTATCTCTGCAGCTCAGATTTCTTTCCTGTCAATGGGATAGTAACACCCACTTCACTGGATTATTGGGAAGATTAAATGAGGTCCACTAAGCAGTGCTTACCACATGCCCAGCGCACACAATATATCAGCTATTTTTTTTAAGACAGAGTCTCACTCTGTCTCCCAGGCCGAAGTGCAGCGGCACGATCTTGGCTCACTGCAACCTCCGCCTCCGGGTTCAAGTGGTTCTCCTGCCTCAGCTTCCTGAGTAGCTGGGATTACAGGCACCCGCCATCATGCCCAGTTAATTTTTGTATTTTTGTAGAGACGGGGTTTCACCATGTTGGCCAGGCTGGTCTTGAACTTCTGACCTCAGATGATCCAACCTCCTCGGCCTCCCAAAATGCTGGGATTACAGGTGTGAGCCACCATGCCGGGGTACATCAGCTATTATGACTACTTACATTATATGATAAGCTCTTGGGGGTTGGATTGGAATCTCCAAACCACCTGTCCTCCTTCAGAGAGAAGAGGAAAAGGGGAAGTCTCAGCTACTCAGGAGGCTGAGGCAGGAGAATTGCTTGAACCCGGGAAGTGGAGGTTGCAGTGAGCCAAGATCACGCCACTGCACTCCAGCCTGGGCATTGGAGTGAGACTGTATCCAAAAAAAAAAAAAAAAAAAAGGGAGGGGAGAAGGGGAAACAAGTGGCCTCAGGGGCGCTTTGCTGAGGCTGGAGAGGGCCTGAACCCACCGGCAGGGCAGCACCAGGTCACGTGCTGTGGCCCTCCTCTGGGCCTCCCTCTCCCAGTTTCTCTTCTCTTCTCCGGGCCTACCATCTACTGTCCTGGAGGGAGGTGAAGCCCTTGGGGGAAGCTGGGGCACCTAGATTGGCAGAGGGTGCCACCTTGTAATCTGAAAGGGGCCTTTAAGGACAGGAAATCTCAGACCTGAATGTTGTCTGTTTCCATCCCATTTTACTGCAACCTGATTTCCCTGAGAATTAAGTCTGTTTCCTGCTCCTGTTCTTAAAATGGACAGTGGTGTGGGCCTCCCCTTGGAGGGGTCCCCTGGGCTTCTCCTGGAACTTCTGAGGAAGGTCAGCAGCCAAGTAAAAGTCATTTTGAGCCCTAAAACCATGAGCCCTGAATCGGGGGATCCACTTAAATAACCCTTCTTTCCTGAGCCCCATCTCTCCTTTATTTCTCCTCTGAGAAATGTCCCCTGTATCCTGAGGTTTCACATGATCCAGTGTCAAGGGTCTGTGTTTTGACATTTAAGTCACAGGAAAAGAAGCCACCGGCGTGGGATCAGCTTGAGTTGTTATACAAGTGTGGGTACACCTCCCCAGAGACCCTGAGATCCTACCCCAGGAAGAGCCTGACTGCTGGGCTTGGCAAGGTGGTTTTCTTACTCTCTTCTCCCTGCCCACTCCTGGCATGCAAGCCCTCTGCCTACAAGTGTTTGCCACGGACCTCCCAAGCCTTCCCCCGTGCCAGGGACTAACATGAGGGTAGGGGACCCTGACAGATGGTAACAGATGGCTGGTGGTCTCCCCCCTGGCCGTGGCAGTGTTAGAATTCAGAAGCCAGACCAGTGATGAGAAAGATCAGGTCTTTACTGCAAAATCATTCAAAACTCACACGGCAGCAATTCCTTCAATACATTGCAAAGACTCCTCAGGGCCAGAGCCCTGCTCACTAGGAACAGTGTATTGCATAAAATAACATTTTAAAAATAGTGTGGGCACTACCTTTCTGAGGGAGGGGAGGCGGGAAGAGTCAATGCATCTGAAAGCACTGGCAGCTTCTGGGGAACGGGCCCCCCAGGGCCTCAAACCTGCTGCCTCCGAGGGCACCTTCGGGGAGAATCCTCACAGGCCCAAGCCCTCCCCAGGCCAGGCTCCTGCCCACTCAGGGATGGGGCAATGAGGGCTCTGACTAGGCTGGGCTTGTGGTGGAGCGTTAATGTGGGCCATGGCGGTGCATAACCCAGCTCCTGGCTTAGGAGGCATTGGCGTCTGGGCACAGGTGTGTGCCATGACCGGGAGAAGCTGTGCGCAGCCTCCACCTGCCTGCCACCGTTGCCTCTGTTCTGCTGCACAGGCATCCAGCTCCAAGGCTGGGTGGGTGACTCAGCAGCTAATCGCCCCCAGGGAAGGGTGGGGGTGGGCTCATCTCTGACAGTGACATGCGGCTCTCCACCTGAGGCCTGACTCCAAGCTGAGCGCAGGTAAGACAGCTAGGACTGAGGGCCTGCTAGGTCCAGGAGAGGTGGGGGAAGGCGACAGAGAGACCAGCAAACCCACATTTCCCCGAAGCCTGGAGGGTCTGACCATCACTTTGAAAACAATTCCAGACTCCCACCCCAGCCCCAAGGCCCCTTCAAAGGCAGTCCTGCTCCGGGGAACTTCTTCAGTCTCCAGTGTCCCGGCTGGGCAAGTTCAGTGATGCTTTGGGAATTCATGGCTTTGTGAGGTGGTGGCTGCATCCACAGGGCAGTTCCCCCGCACGCCCTGCACAGCTTAGGACCAGGTCACTTCTCCACAGTGCAGGGCGTGGCTGCCTGCCCTCTCTGGGGTCCTGCCTATCTGTGCCCTGGCAGGGGTCAGTCAGGCAGAGAGTGTGACCCCGGGCACCCACCAAGGTGGGCCTGGAGCATCTGCAGCAGCGCCCCTGTCTGTAGAGGGGTGAGGAGCGCACGGGGATCGGGGGTGGGCAAGACGGCGACCCTCCATAAACCGAGGAGGGCTCAAAGTGCTGACAGTGCTGGTTTCCAGTCATTTCTCCTTCTCCTAATGGGGCCAAGGCCCCAGGCTAGAGAAGAGCTAGGGGCTCTGACGCTGAGAAAGCGGTGGGCTCAGCAGGCGAGACGCACTGGGGTGGGGAGTAAAGAGGACACAGAGGAACCGGGGTCGCCAGGACTGGCCCTGCCCTGCTGAGGGGCGGTTTGGCACTGGCAGTGAGGGCCAAGGAAAGGCACTGGGTGGGCCCATAGACCCTGTCCCAGCAGTGGCCTGCCCACCAGCCACCCGCTACCTCTAAGCCAGGCCTGAGTGGCTCCTGTGCATCCGCTGGGGGTGAGAATGTCTGGATTTCATGGGTGACTCACGTAGGGTCAAGAATAAAAAAATACTTTCTGTTGAAATATGAATGGGAAAAACCCACCTTAAAAAACTAGACCTTTTAATCAGGAATGTGGAATTGAAAATGCTCCCCAAGTCCCCTTTCCACAGTGTTTGGGCAGCCCTAACGGAGGCGCCGGGACGCTGGTGAGCCAGGGCCTGGTGAGTAAACGGCCCTGCCTGCCCCAGACAGGGAGCATCTGGTGGTGGCCACGCCTCCTGCAGCAGAGGGGTGGGGGGAGGGCCAGGGGACACCACGGGGACTTCCTGGGCTTTCTCTGGGAGGCCGGTGCTCTGGCCACATCTGAGGGTCTTCCTGACAAGGGGACACAGCTGTGACACGGTGAGTATCCTGGGCTGATGGCAAACCCAGCCGGGATGGCTGAGCCACACTCACCCCCGGCTTTCAGAGCGGGGTCAGCAGATGGGCATCAGGCGAAAATGTTCTGTTCCTGGTACTTGCGCCGGCGGGCACAGCGGGGGCAGCCCTTCTTCACCACAGCCTGGCAGCTCTGGTGGAAGACGGTCTTGCACTCGGCACACCTGGGGAGAGAGCAGTAGGCCTGCTGGTGCCGGCTGGGCTGGAGGTTGCCCTGTGGCCACGCTGGCCAGCCCTTTTGACCAGAACCCACGATACGGCTGTGATGTACTGTGTAACCCATGCACGCACACCGTGCCTCTCCGTTCTGGAACAGGAGAGTCTTGAAACAGTGCTTACCCATACGTCACACAATGCACACTGATATTCTCTGTCCTATTGCATTTTTTATAAATGCTGCTTGAGATTCATTAAAGATCTCTTGCCTATATTTAAAAAATATTTACGGCCAGGCGCAGTGGCTCACGCCTTTAATCCCAGCACTTTGGGAGGCCGAGGTGGGCGGGTCACAAGGTCAGGAGATCGAGACCATCCTGGCTAACACAGTGAAACCCTGTCTCTACTAAAAATACAAAAATTAGCCGGGCGTGGCGGTGTGTGCCTGTAGCCCCAGCTGCTGGGGAGGCTGAGGCAGGAGAATGGCATGAACCCGGGAGGCAGAGCTTGCAGTGAGCCGAGACTGCACCATTGCACTCCAGCCTGGGCGACAGAGCAAGACTCCATCTCAAAAAGAAAAAAAAAATTTTTTTTACTTACTTTATTTATTTATTTTTCAGAGTCTTGCTCTGTTGCCCAGGCTGGAGTGCAGTGGCACGATCTCGGCTCACTGCAACCTCTGCCTCCCGAATTCAAGTGATTCCCCTGCCTCAGCCTCCCAAGTAGCTGGGATTACAGGTGCCCACCACCACACCTGGCTTACTTTTGTGTTTTTAGTGGAGACGGGGTTTCACCATGTTGGCCAGGCTGGTCTTGAACTCCTGACCTCAAGTGATCCACCTGCCTTGGCCTCCCAAAGTTGTGGGATTACAGGCGTGAGCCACCACGCCCGGCCAAGATGGTATAATTTTAAAAACTCAGCCCCAGGCCCATTCAGGGCTGCATCCCGGCCAGTGGACACCGACAGAAAAAGAACTAATGTTCCCAGTTCAGTTTTCTGCTCCCACATGGGTTGCAGGAAGGTCTGGACAAATTTTTCCATTGAGAGGTTGCGGATAATGAGCAATAACTGGGAACAAGAGTGATCATTTCAGCAACAGACACAGTGGCAGTGGCAGGTACCACCCACCAGGTGCCACTTTGTGCCTGGTCTCATGCCAACAGTGCAGGGTGGTAACTCATACAACCCTCCTCAACCCATGCATACACTGAGGCGCCAGGAGGCTCCACTCAGAGAGCCGGCAGCCACCTCTTCTTTAGGAAGAGAGATGGTTCCATAGAGGCAGAGGAGTCCTGGGAAAGCTTGTCTTGTCCCCTGAGCTGGACTGGAGCTGGCCATGACTGCCCAGAGCATGGGCTGCCCCAACAACTGCACCACCCCTTGGCACAGCACAAAGTGGATGTTCAATAAGTTCCTGCCCACAGAGCGAAGCCTGCTGCCCTGCGTGCTTGGGCCAGGCTGTGGGTGTGGGGAAGGGTGGGGCTGGAAGGCGGCTGGCTGGGTGTCCCGCATACCTGACTGTGGTGTCAAACTCAAAGGGGAAGATGATGTCGTGGTGCTGGCAGATCTGGCAGATGAAGCCGCGCTGGGTGCACAGGTCGCAGTGGTAGACATGCTGGGAGGCAAATTCAATCAGGGCCTTGAGGAATCCTTCATACACCCCGTCTGCGATCTGCGGAGGGCAAGTAGGAATCCTTCATACACCCCGTCTGCGATCTGCGGAGGGCTGGTAAACTGAGGCCCCAGGCCTTTCAAGCAGCTGCACTGAGGTGCCATGGCACCCTGCCTGGAGAACTTCTACCCCCCGTTTCCACACGGGCAAGAAAAGAAAACCTCCCTGAATCAGGCTGAGCAATGCCAGCGTCCAGCCCGTGGGCACTGAGGTCACTGGGGGCTAATGGGATTTATAGCTGAGACCCAAATTCACTGTACCCTCCCCTTGGGGAAAGGAGTATTCCAAACTCTCTTCCCTGTGATCCTGGGGTTGCTGGAGTGCTTGTTTATTCCAGGGGTGCTGGGGGTATCCGTCCCTGCCCAGGAAGCTGGGGCAGCAGGGCAACCCACCCTGAGCTGCAGAAAAGCTACAGACTGCTGTCTTCTTCAGTAAACTACAGACACCCCCTCTTCCATCTTCCTTGCTGACTTCTCTGGGAATGAAGTCTCTCTAGAGGTCTGGGCGGGGGAAGCATGACACTCTTACCTGTTGGAGGTCAGCAACACTGAACCTATGCGGAGATTCCAAGAGATAATTCCTGTGGTTGAGCCTTCAAACAAAACACAAGCGATTCTTTAGAAAGGTTTCCAGAACCCAGGCTAGCCTGTGTTGTTTGTTTACACTCCCCTGGCGCTGCTCACCAGGCAGACACCCCCCGCCTGGGCGGGGCAGGGGCTAGGAGTGTAATTCGGCCTGCCTGGGCTTGGGGCCTGGTCTTCAACGTAACTAACTAGCTGGTGGGACCTTGGGCACGTTACTTAACCTCTCTGAACCTTGGGTTTCCCTCTCTGGGAAATGGAGTTGTCTGGATTAAGTAACTTATTTAAAGCATTTGGCTTGGTGCCAAGCTCACAGTAAACACGTAATTAATCATGAGAAGGAGGATGGGTGCAGACACCTGGGACCAGGAACTGGGCTAAGAGCTTCATACGCATTCATTCATTTGATCCTCACAATAATTCTGTGAGGCTGGTACTATCACAATCCCAACTCTGAGAAGAGGAAACAGAGAGGTTAAATCACTTGCCTGAGGTCACACAGCTAGTAGGTGGGAGAGCTGGAGTTTGAACACAGGGGCCTGGCTCCAGAGCCTGCACCCCTGTCCACCTAGCAAATGCCTAGAGATGCAGGCTGTTGTCATTATTGCCACCATTACATACCAGGGACAGTGCTGGGGACAGCAATGCACAGGATATGGCCTCTGCCCTCCTGTGGCCCCTGGTTTGGCCGAGGGACAGACATTCAAGTGTCTGGTTTCAGTGCTACACTGGTTTCAGTGCTGAGACGTGTCCTAAGCACAGCAGATCCCATTTCAGAGGTGGCCGGGGGAGCAGAGAACAAGGGCTCAGCCGCCAACGCAGCTCTAGTTTCTACCACACCAATGGGAGGGATCCAGGGGGCCCCATCCTGATGGGGAGGAAACACCTGCAGAAAGTCCCTTAGTGCAAAACCTGCCTGGCCTGGCTGTGTGTGTTTACATGGGTACTGGGGGTGGGAGGTTACTCCAAGTCAGAGGATGCTTGGGAACCTGCCCCAGGATGCCCCAGACATCTGGGGACAGGATGGTGCCAGCCCTGGGTCTGGGCCTCCGGGGTGCAAACTGTGGAGCATCTGGAATGGGGGCTTGGCCTTGTCCCAGCTGGTGGCTCAGCTGTGGTCCAGGGGAGCCCAATCCGGGGTGGAGAGGGTGAGTCTCACCAAGCAGCCACACAGGCCAAGATGCCAACTGGCCCCTCAGTTTACCATGCTGGTGTCCCCAGTAAACTTCCTGCACTCTAGGAAGGGAAGCTGCCATTTGTCACCAAGAAAACATGGGACACAGCAGGCTGGGGGGACACAGGTTGGCCTTCAGCTGGCAGGAGGGTGGGCGGATCTGGATGGAGAATTAGCTTTGCCATCTGTCCTCTGACCACAGTCGTGGAAGCCCTGGGAGCCCCTGTGCCCTGGGCCTGTCACCCTCTCAGCAAGGACTTGGAAGTGGCTTCTCCGCAGTGCTCAGTCAAGGCCAGAGGGGAGAGGGCGCTGACCCAGGGGTGAGAGGCCACTTCTCCTGGCCTCCAGGAGAGAAACTCTCATGCACTGGGGCACAGTCAGGCCTACTTGGGGCCTCAGTTTCTCCACCCACACAATGAGGAGAACCCTCTTTGTCCTCTGGCGTGAGGCTGGCTACCTGGGAAAGAGACCAGAGGAATCTGGACGGCTCTCCGGGAGAGAAGAAGATGAGGGGAAAGGTCGAATCTTAGTTCCTGGAACCGATGAAGTGATGGGGAAGGAAAGGGCCAGGCAAGGGCTGGAAGATCCGGGGGACATGGGTGGGGGGCCTGGGTGCCACCTGTCTCCTGAGCCCTGGCTCCTCCTCTGCCCACCCCTTCCCGGCTGTCGGGAGGGACAATGAGGTCTGGTGGGTGGACAGGGTGTGGGGCATTTCTGTGATGGCTTCCTCCCAAGGGCTGGAGAGGACACTGTCAGGGGCTTCTCTGGCCCTTGGAGACATGTCCCAGGTCTGCCGGAGAGAACCCTGCCAGGCAGCTGCCACTAGTGCAGGACAGCTCCTCCCTGACTCCCTGACATCCAAGACCTTCCCATGTCTCAGCCCTCTCCTCTCAACCTTCCCTCTGGCTGACTCGGTCCAGGCCCAGCTCCCTGGGCTAATTACTAACACCAGCTGCCACCCAGGGCTCTCCCCTTCACCAACTGCACTCCACTGGGGCCAGAATGGTCTTTTTGTGTGTTTGTTTTGTGTTTTTGAGACAGAGTCTCACTCTGTCTCCCAGCCTGGAGTGCAGTGGCGTGATCTTGGCTCACTCCAACCTCTGCCTCCTGGGTTCAAGTGATTCTCCTGCCTCAGCCTCCCTAGTAGCTGGGATTACAGGTGCCTGCCACCACGCCCGGCTAATTTTGTACTTTTAGTAGAGACGGGGTTTCACTATGTTGGCCAGGCTGGTCTCAAAATCCTGACCGTAGGTGATCCAACCACCTTGGCCTCCCAAAGTGCTGGGATTACAGGCATGAGCCACCGCACCTGGTCTTTTCAGAGTGGTCTTTTCTAAGCCGCTGACCGGAAGTGACAGCCCTATGCTCAAAACCCTTCAATGGTTCCCCACAGGTGGCAGATCAAATCCAAAGGCCTCGAGGGCCCTTTGAGTTCTGGGCCCTGCACCTGAAGCCCAGCTGCCCAGAGCCCCTCAAGGGTGTCAGTGAGCTGTGCTCCTGCCAGCCTCTTGCTACCGGTCTCTTAGCCAGGAAAGCCAGGTTCTCCTCTGCCCTTTCTACTCTTTTCTCATTTTTCTAAGCCCCAGTTCAACAGACACACAATGCCACTGGTGTGGCAACATGTGTGTGTGGATGGAGTGAGGTGCAGAAACAGGTGGTGGTGGGCTCTGAGAAGGGCTGATTGAATGGTCTGCTTTATTCCCTTTCATAAATTTTCCTCGCTTGGAAGATTGACCTTTGTAAAGAAGAAAAACATTTTAGAAGGAAAAAGGAAAATATCTCTGCATGCCCTCAGCTCAGATGCCATCTCCTCTGGGAGCTCCTCTGGCCCCTGCCAAGGCTGGATCAGGTGCCCTCAGGGCACACACGATGCTGACCCAGGGCCATCTGTGGCCCAGACTCTGGGTCCCTCATGCAGCTCTCACCACTGCTCAGGAGGCCACAGGAACAGAGGAATCACTGGCCCATTTTATAGACGGGAAAGCTGGACCCGGAGAAGTGAAGCAACTTTCCTGACTCACAGTGGGTGAGGGCCTCCCACACTCTTTCCCCTGCCCCATGCTGTTTCCATGGGACTTCCACAGGCATGGGAAGCAGGCTGAGCGCCTAGCAGGAGTACAGCGCTGCTGCCCAGGGATGGAGCAGGAGGGTCAGGGAGAGAGACAGGGCTGCCCCTGGTGCCCACAGAGACAGGTCTGTAAAGCCGATGAACAGACTCTCTCAGCAGGGTGGGGATGGGTGAATGGGGCTGGGGTCCACAACCCACCCCACAGGCATCTGGTCTACACAGGTCTGCATGCCTGTGCAGGTACCTGGCTCCTTGACCAAGGAGGGTGATAAGGCCCCACCTGACCCCAGAGATTTCACCACCTGGTTAGGTGGGCAGGAGGATAGTCTCTCTGGAGCCCTGGGTCATGGACTCTCAGAGGTAGGGAGTAAGTCAGCGCTTGCCAAGAGGTGGAGACCCAGTCACCCACGATGCTTGGGATGGGCAGAGCCTCCTGGGGTGAAGTCTTCTAGGGTCTAGGGTCCCACATGGTGGTCCCTGGAAGGCTTTCTGTTCTTCCAGGCCCTACAGAGGAGACCAAGGCTCAGCTGGCAGCTGTGGGGCCAAATTCTCCTCTCTGCCTAGGGGAGAGCCCCCTGCAGTACCCCTTGAGAGCCCCTGGGGACCTGCTCGAGGCACACCCTGGCCCTGAGGAGGCCCGGCTCTGGGAGCACTGCAGCCAGGATGGAGGAGGCAGTCTTCAGAGAGGCGCTCTCTGGGCCAGCCCTGTGGGGAGGGAAGGCCAGACGGGGGAACCTGGAGGGGCTTGTGAACTGGTCCCTGCCCCCAGAAACCCAGCAGAGGTTGATTTGAAGCCCATTCTGGGCAGTAGGCACCGGCAGGCTTCTCCGCCTGAGGTCTGCCCTCCTGAGGGTGCTGGGAGAGTACAGCCCTGGGAAGACTGCAGCCTGGGCGTGACCTGAGGACTAGGAAGCGTTTATGACAGGCATGGAGAGGCCTAAGTCCCTGTTGAAGCCCAGCATCACATCCCATTCCTGAGCACCAAAGGCCCCAGGCCCTGGGTAAGAGAAGCTTCCTGAAGGGCATCCTGAGGGCCCCGCCCGGATCACGTCTTCTTTGGAGAATTTCAGGAGGGAGGCTGGCATGGGCCAGACGACTGGCTGGTACAGGGAAGAGATGGGAACATCTGGCCCTCACCTGCCTCTCGCCACACTCCCCACTTCCCTCCTCACTGTAGCCAAAGTTCTCCCTGGGCTTTCCACCAACGGTGCCTTCGTTCATGGCCTGTGCGTGCCATTCCTTCTGTCTAGAATGCTCTTTCCCCCTTTGCTTCTCCTTTCTGATTCTTCCTAATTTTTCAAGTCTCACCTTATAAGTCACTTCCTCCAGGAAGTCCTTCCTGCTTTGTCCTCCTCTGATCTGGGCTGGATGTCAAGCCTCTGTGGTTCCAGGACGTCCTGCCTCTCACCCTCACCCCCAGATGGAGTTGCTGGCTTTCCCACCTGTCTCCCTCTCACCCTCACCCCCGGATGGAGTTGCTGGCTTTCCCACCTGTCTCCCTCTCACCCTCACCCCCGGATGGAGTTGCTGGCTTTCCTACTTGTCTTCCCTGCCAGGCCAGAGACTTCCGGCGGGTCGGCCCTGGCTCTGTCCTGCTCATTGTTGGAGCCTACATGCCTCGCCAGGTGTGCAGTGCTTAGTATGTTCTCAGTCCATGTTTTTGAGTGAACAAATAGATACATGAACAAAACCCCAAAATCACCCCCAAAAGATGTGATCATTTCGCAGGCCCAGTGGGAAGATCTCTGCCCAGGTTTCCTCCAGGTGGACGCCTTGCCCTGGGCACTGCCCCTGTGTGTGTGTGCATGTGCACGAGTGCCTGCATGTGTGTACATTTGTGCACATGTGCATGGGTGTGGATGTCTATGCATTTGTGTATAAATTTATGTGTGTGGGTATGTGTGCACATGTGTATGTGTGTCTGTGTGTACATGTGCATATAAGTATGTGTTTGTGTGCATGCATGTGCGTGTGTACGTGCACTCACACGCATACACGTAGAGGTTGCTCACCTCTTGCTGAGCTCCTTCAGGGCGCCACTCCGGCACAGGCCCAGGTAATCCCCCAGGAGCTTCAGCTGCTCCCGTCTCCTCCCAATGAGGTGCATCCGCTCCACATGCTCGTACAGAGACGCGTTCACCATCTGCAGGTTGATGAGGGGCTGGGCCCGGATCTGTGTCAGAAACTTCAGGGCCTGCCTGCAGATCTGGGGGTACCACCAGGCATTGGGGATGGGAAGGAATGGCTGTTCAGTGAGCACTGCCTGGCCAGGTGCCACATGACCTGCTCACTTACCTGAGGGGCTATCTTCATTTTACAGATGGGGAAACTGAGGCTCAAGGAGATGAAGAGATTTGGCTAGGGTCACCCAGCTTGTAAATGGTACAGTCAAGCTCTGAACCCAGTTTATCTGACTCCCAAACCCGCTCTCCCTCTAATGACAAGGGTCACTGCCCCCTCCCCAATCATGCTGAGATGAGGGAGGGACTGCTCTGATAACGCCCCCTCCCTCTGGGCCTCACAGATCCTTCCCACTCTTTCCTGTCCTCCCAGCCCCTATTTCCCCCCACTGAAGGAAACAGGCACTCCCTTCTGTGCCCTGACTCAGGAACCAGGTGACGGGCTGAGTCAGGCTCCAGCCACAGGAAGCTACAGATCAGACACAGCTCACCAACAGGCTTCCCTGAGCTCCCTCGGCTCACACCAGTAGCAACACCGGGACTCCGTGTGCAGCTGAGTGATCCATCTCAGTCTCTCCTGGCTGACAGGGTGTTGAAGGTTCTACCCTTGGCCCTGATCCTAATACCAATGCCAATAATCGAGCGCCTACTATTTGCAAAACACTGGGTCAGGAACTTGACCACATCCTCCCGTCATTCTCAGAACAACACGTTAGGGAGGGTGTCCCTGTCCCCGTTTTCTAGATAAGGAAACGGAGGCTTAGAGGGGCTAACGTAGCTTATACAACCTGCCTGCAGAACCTGCCAGGTTTGAGCTGAGGTGTCATCTCTGAACACCAGGCTGCTGCACTAATCAGAAGCCCCCTCCCCTGCAGTGATCTCGCTGTATCATAAGGACGGAGGAGCTGTTGTCTCCACAGCCGACAAGTGCACAGTGACTAGAAGTCTGGCTTTGGCCTGGCTCAGATCTTTAACATCTTAACTAGTCCTCTCGTTACATATTTTATTTCTGGTGGCTTTGTTTTTGATACTATTATAAGTGATTATCTTTTAAAATAGTAATTTGTTTGCTGATATATAGAAATGAAATTGATTTATTTGACTGTCGTATCCAGCAACCTTTTCAAATTCTGATAAATTGTGTAGGGGAAAAAAAGTCTGGCTTCGGAGTCAGAATGGAATTGAATCCTGCCTCCACCACTTTATACCTGTATGAATTGGTGAAACTTATCCCTCTCTGTGACTCAGTTTCCTCATCTGTAAAATGGGGAAAATGAGAGCAATTAAGGCTCACGGGTTTGGGGCCTTTTCGTTCGCTGCTGCTGCTTTAGTGCTTTGGCCCGGCACTCGGCAGGATGTCAGCCCAGGACTGGAGCTTCTTTTTCATGGGATTATTTTGAATTCAGATTAAAAGAGGTATTCCAGGAGAGCTCCTGGCATAGGGCCTGGCAGGTGGCACATCCCCAGTAAATGTGAGCTGCTATCAGCTGCTGTGTGAGTGCCTGGTGTGGCCCTGTTGTCCCCTTGAGGGTTGGGGGACTAAACTGGCCCTCAGGAGACCTGCCCCTGTATTTGGGGGCTGAGGGGGCCTCTGACCTCTTGTCTCCCAGCTCCACCAGCATCTCTCACCTCCCCCAGCAATGGACAACCTCTTCTTTTCCCAAAGCCTGGGGCCCTGAGGTACCAGCCCCCCAGCCCAGGGACAGCCCAATGGCAAACTCCTGGTGACTTGGGTCAAGCTGCTGTTCTCCAGTCCTAACTCAGCTCTTCCCATGACTTGGCCCCAGGCCTTGGGTGAGGCTCCAGTGAAATAACACACAGGAATGTGCGCTGAACACTGCCAAACACTGCAGATGGGCAGGGGCTTTGTGCTCCCCAGCGACTGTTCCTATCCTGCGGGAATGGAGGAGACAGAAAGAAGCCCCACTCCTGGGCTGACATCCTGCCAGTGCCAGCCAGGCCTCAGCACCAGTGGGTCAGCCAGGCCTCAGCACCAGTGGGTCAGCCAGAACAGCAACGGCGAACAATAAGGCCCCAAACCCGTGGGCCCCCTACTTTCTATCTTGAGTTTCCCTGTCTTTCCTAGGCCAGCAATCTTTGAGAGGGAGAGCGAGCTGAGGATTTCCTGATCTCAGATATGCCTAGAAAACGATTGTACTTTTCTTTTTTTTTTTTTTGAGGTGGGGTTTCGCTCTTGTTGCCCAGGCTGGAGTGCAATGGCGCAATCTCAGCTCACCACAATATCCGCCTCCCAGGTTCAAGAGATCCTCCTACCTCAGCCTCCGGATTAGCTGGATTACAAACATGCGCCACCACGCCCAGCTAATTTTTGTATTTTTTAGTAGAGACAGGGTTTCTCCACGTTGGTCAGGCTGGTCTCAACTCCCGACCTCAGGTGATCCGCCCACCTCAGCCTCCCAAAGTGCTGGGATTACAGGCATGAGCCGCTGTGCCCAGCTAGGATTGTACTTTTCTAGTTAGAAAAGGAAGTGGCACAAGGATGAGGGCAGTGAATAAGGAGATGGCTCAACGGAAGTATCAGGGTCCTGTAAATAGTTAACGTGTTTTATGATCAAAGGGTTCTTTGCATTTTTGGTGATTTTGAGGCTTAATTTCCTCTATGTAGTTAGTTAAATATTTAACACTGAGAGCGAGGGCGGGGACAAGGCAAACAACAAAAAAATCAAAATGAAGCCAACTTCTGCGGGGTTTCCCCGCCCCAGGGAGGTGGAGGTTGAGGTAGAACTGACTGAGAGAATCACCCTGCACTATGATGAAGACACATCCACACATCAGGACTACATAGCTGGCAGGCCCTGGCTCTCCAGAGGAGCAAACAGCTTCTTCCTTGTGTTTCTGTGTCTGTCTTAGTAGAAATCTGTGCCCTTGGAAGAAAACCAAATTTGCACCCCTTGAGGCAGACACTAACCAAGTGAATTAGGTAGATGGGTGGATGGGTGGGTGAATATAGGCAGGAGGTGTGACAGGCCCCAGGGAGAGAAAGGACACTGTTCTTACTGACAGGCACACACTGCCACACCTGCCCTCCCAACAACCCCGACACAGACACTGTTGTTAACCCTCCTTTTACAGATGAGGAAACTGAAGCTAATTTGCTCATGGTAACACAGGTAGGAAAGTGGCTAAGTTCAGCTGGAGAAAAGGAAAATTCTGAAAGACTTTAAGATACATCTTATTCAAAAGCATTTGGTGAACATAAAAAAGTACCCAAGGCATAATATTAAGTGAACCAAGCTTCTTATAAAGCAGTATGAGTCCTGTGTGATCCCAACTTTATAAAAAATAGATGCATATGTCAATAAATGCACAGAAAAGGGTATACCCCGAAATGTTAATAATGGTGATCTCTTGGTTATGACACAGAATTTTGATTGGTCTTTGGGTTTTTCTGTAACTTTAAAATGTTAAACAATAACTGTGTATTATCTTAATAATGGGGGAAGTCACAGAAAAAGTGCTTTTCAAAAACATGAAATAAATAAGCCCATGTAGGGCCTACAGGGGAGTGCAGTCACCTGGGCCTCATAGGGTTGGCAAAGGCAAGGATGACTGCTCCAAGGTATAGCCCTGGCCAGCCCATCTACCCATCCACCTACCTATTCACCCATCCACCCAGCCATCTACCCACCGTCCACCCATCTACCCATCTACCTACCCATCTACCCATTCACCTAACCATCTACCCATCTAGCCATCTGCCCATTCACCCACCCATCTACCCATCTACCTACCCATCTACCCATTCACCTAACCATCTACCCATCTAGCCATCTGCCCATTCACCCACCTATCTACCTATCTACCTACCCATCCACCTACCCACCAAGCCATCCACTCATCCACCTAACCATTTACCCATCTGCCTATCTAGGCACCCATCTACCTACCTATCCACCCATTCACCAATCTACCCAACCACCTACCCATCCATCCATCCACCAACCCATCCACCTAGCCACCTGCTCATTCACCTACCTACCTACCCATCCACCTAACCATCCACCTAGCCACCTGCTCATCCACCTACCTACCTGCCCATCCACCTAGCCACCTGCTCATTCACCTACTTACCTACCCATCCACCTACCTACCTGCCCATCCACCTAGCCACCTGCTCATTCACCTACCTACCTACCCATCCACCTAGCCACCTGCTCAGCCACCTACCTACCTGCCCATCCACCTAGCCACCTGCTCATTCACCTACCTACCTATCCATCCACCTAACCATCCACCTAGCCACCTGTTCATCCACCTAACTACCTGCCCATCCACCCATCCACCTACCCATCCACCCACCCACCTAGCCACCACCTGCTCATTCACCTACCTACCTACCCATCCACCTAACCATCTGCTCATCCACCTACCTACCTACCCATCCACCTAACCATCTGCTCATCCACCTAACCATCCACCTAACCACCTGCTCATTCACCTACCTACCTACCCATCCACCTAGCCGCCTGCTCATCCACCTAGCCACCTGCTCATTCACCTACCTACCTATCCATCCACCTAACCATCCACCTAGCCACCTGCTCATCCACCTACCTACCTGCCCAGCCCCCTAACCATCCACCTAGCCACCTGCTCATCCACCTACCTACCTGACCATCCACCATCCATCTATCTAATCTATCAAATCTATTTTATCTATCTATCTATCATTTATCTGCTGGTGCCTTAAGCAGTTATGTTTGTAGCTGCAGGAAACCATCCTCAAACTCTTTCCTCCTGGGGACCAAGACAGCCACCGATAGAGCCCTGCCCAAGGCTGTGGACAGGCACCAAGCTTTTCTCTTGGTTAGCTCCCCAACATCACAGTGCCTGAACCAGTGACCCTGGCTTCCCTTGTTTAGAGGAGCCAAACTCCTCTAAACAGATGAACAGCAGCAGCAAAGAGGAGTGAACACCCCTCTGTCCCTCAGCAGCTGGGCTGCTGGGCTTGAGACTTACCGGGCGCTTGGTGAGGTCCCAGTTGTGGATGATCCTGGCCGGAATCACTGAGGCATCGTCTTGGTGGCAGATGTCACAGTAATAGAGGCCAGAGAAGGCACAGAGCTTGGGTCGTACAAAGGAGAAGCCGATCTGCCGGGAGCAGCCTGGGGAGATGGGTGGAGAGTGAGTGGTGTGGCCAGAGTCAGCTCCTAGTAACTTGGGAGCTGCTGTGGTGGAAAGGATCTGCTGGTTGATTTTTTTTTAAGGTAGGCACAAACACAAGAATAACCACCACTCGTATTTCCACCACTCAGAACTCCCCTACTAATTAATCTTTACAACAACACACTGTAAGAACTATCATTATTTTACAGCTGAAGAAATGGATGCTCAGAGAGGTTAGGAAATCTGTCTGGTCACATAGTGATGAAGTGGCATGGCTGGCATTCAGATCTGGGTTTGGCTGGTTCCAGAGCCTGAGTTCTGCTCCACTACCCCTTGCTGCCTGTGTCCGGTGTCCCCACTGCTGGCTTGGCAATGCCAGCCTCCTCTAGGTCCACCCCTCCACTCGGGCCCCAGAATGGAAGCAGCAGAGTAGGGGCTGTGGCAAGCAGCGAAGTAGCTGGGGGACAGGGACCAGGGTCGGGGCTGGCAACAGGGAGCGGATGGGCAGCCAGCAGGGGGCAGGGGAGTGTGCACAGTGTCTGATGCCTCGGGACTGTGGGGTAGGGCTGGCTTCAGCCCCCTTGGTTGGAGGTGTCTCCACAGCCGGAGCCAGTGGGAATGGGAGTGGGATGTGCCCTGGGCAAAAAGCAGAGGCCCTGACTCAAACCCTGAACATGTGCCCTAACTCCTCCAAGGGCAGGCAGAAGGGTCCCCGGGCCTTGGGACCAGAGGGCGGGTTCTGCTCCTCACCAGCTGCCTCACCCTGACCTTCACCTGATTTCTTCAAGGTTCCATTTCAGTGACTGTAAAATTCAGCTACTACCAGCTATTTTGTGGGGTTATTACAAAGCTTAAATGAGACAAGGTTCTGCAAGTACCCTGCAAATTATGAAATACAACCCAGATGCCAGTGGTTGGTGTCTGCCACTGAGCCATGCCTGCTGGGTAGAAAGGAAACCCAAACTCCCCGGTGGCACAGTCCCACCCGCTGGTGGGTGGCAGCCATGGTGAGAGTTGCCCCCGCAGCATTCACACCCACAGGCGAGGAACCCTTTCTTGCAAGCCCTGGAGTCCTGGCCCCCTCAGAGCCTGGCCTTCACAGGCTGAAGAGCAAAGTGTGAGCGCTGGGGCAGGCGGGGGAGAGGTCAAGCGAGGCTTGCAGGTGTTTTCTGCAGGAAGCTCTGTTCTGCCTAGCTTCTCCCATCCTCGCGGGGCCAACCGCAGACCAATTCCTTTCAGATGCTTGAAACAGGCTTCCCTCCAGTCTGTGCCAACAGGACAGCTCCCAAACCAAGGCTCAGCTTCTTGCTCTGGCCTTCTGCAGCAGGACAACCCCCTCACAGGTCACCTAAGGGTCCCATGGTGATGGGATGCCATCTGCCCCTGGATGGTGGGGGGAGTGGGAGGGGCTAACAATGGAACATGGGCAGGGGGATGTCACTCAACCTTGAATAAGACCCTAGAGGGATGCCCTCTAGGGTCCTGCCTATGAGCAAAGGCTCTGGGGCCTGACTGTCAGGGTCCCATTTCTGCCTCTGGCCAGGCATGGTTGCTGATATCTGTAATCCCAGCACTTTGGGAGGCTGAAGCAGGAGGAACACTTGAGCCTAGGAGTTCAAGACTAGCTTGAGCAACAGGGGGAGACCCCATCTCTACTAAAACAAACAAACAAACAAACAAAAAAGGAAAATTCTGCCTCTGCCACTTACTAGCTGTGTGAGCTCAGTAGCAGACACCAACCAGGTACTTACCAGCTCTGTGCTTCAGTTTCCTCCCCTATCAACAGAGATGATAATAGTAGCGCCTATCTCTACAGGGTTGTTATGAGACTTAAATGAGATAATCCAAATAAAGCAGCTGGCCCAGTGCCCAGCACAGAAGTATTAGATTTGATGATGAGGAAGACATAGCAGATGTACTGACTTGGAATAACATCCACAGTGTAGGAAAAAACCAAGTTGTGGAACAATATATCCAGCATTCAACACAGCAGCCAAGAGCCCCGTGTGTCCCCTTTAAATGCAAATGAATTTAAATAGAAAATTCAGTTGCTTAACCACACTAGCCACACTTTAAGCACCTGGTAGCACTACATGGCTCGCAGCTATGGCACTGGACACACAGATCTAGGACATTTTCATCATCACAGAAAGTTCTATTGGACAGCACTGAATAGCACGAGCCCATTTTTATAATTAAAAAAAAGGGTGTACACTTATAAAAGCAGCAGAAATATTTGGAAGGAAACCATGCCCCTGCTCTGAAAGAACAGGACGGTAGAGCAAGAAGAAAATGAAGCAGGCTGGGACTCCCTGAGCAGCGCAGTGAGTAGCCAGCCTGCCGCCCATCAGTGGGAGGTGGCAGGAGAGGGACGGGTGAGCAGGGCCCACTGCCTATGAGCAGGGCACTGGCCCCAGCCGGGGCTGGGGAGGAGCAGAAGCTGTAGGGCAAGCCTGATCTGTGGCCTCATCCCTAGGGGAAGGATGGGGGCATTTGCGGGGAGGCAGAAGGGTGGGGAGCCTAAATCAGGAACCAGCAGGAGGTGGAGTGAGGCTGGCAGGCTGGGGGTGGCAGCAGAGCAAATCGGCACCTGCGCAGAAGCAGCCTTGGGAGTCAAGGCCTTTCTCCATGGGGATAGCCACCAGGTACTGCAGCAGGAAGCCATTCTCCCGGGTGGCAAATTTCAGCACCTCCTGACAGTTTTCATCCAGGCTCCCGCCCAGGGTCACCGCCTCCTCGGCTGTCTCCAAGTAGGATGCCAGGACTTTGCGGACCAGATCCCTCCACAGGGCGGCTTCCTCGGCGTTTCCGGCCTGCAGCTTCAGGACAGCCTTGGCCGTGATGATTTTGAAGAAGGATGGGCCCCCAAGGCTGGTGTCTGGCAGGATGTCCCGGATGGTCTCCACGCCGTGGCTGTCACTCAGCATCTTCTCATTGTTCCTGATGCGGAAACATTTCAGAGCCTCCAAGGACAGAGAAAATATATAGGGCATCCAGGTCCTGTCCATGTACAAGTACAGCAGGGACTCCTTGATGGCATCTGGCTCTGGAACCTGGGCGGACGACCAGTCAAACTGTGTGCCCTGGAGGGCCGCGGGCTCCGAGAGCAGGTCTGAGGGAGAGAGGCAGCCCTGGGGCGCCTCGGGGGGTTCCTCAGGCTGGTCTGGGTACTGCACGTTCACCCACTCATCCTCCTGCTGAGGCCGGACCTTCTGCAGGGCCTCCCGCACCCGGTCCAGCCAGTCCTCAGCTTCGTCCTGGGAGGAGGCGCGCAGGGCCAGCTTCTTGCCAGAGAAGACCAGCTCAAAGCGCCCATCACTATGGGCTGGCCCCACAGACTCACAGCGAAGCAGCGAGCAGTTCTCCACACAGGTGTGCTCCTCGTTGCTCAGGTAGAGGCGGAACTCCAGCGGGGAGAGCTCGCAGAAGAGCTCCTTCCAGATGCCCATTGCCCCCCGCCGCTCCACGGTGCCCAGCTTCATGAGACCCCGGAATGGGTTGGACAGTCCTGGAGGCAGAGGCAAAAAGGGGCACATTAGTTGGCGGGCCTGTCTCTGTCCTGCCCAAGGCAGCCTCTGCTGCCTGATGCCCTGCAGTGCATGTGGCCAGTGACTGTCCCCAGAACACAGGCCAGCCACGGGGCACTATCACATGGGACCCTGAAAGCTGGATGGGAACATCCCCATTCTCACCGTCCACTGCTGCTCTTGCGTCCTGTATTTCACTGAGAAAATAAGAGCACCCAAAAGATCCCCTCCACACGCCCTGTTCCCTACACCCACGCCTTCCCTCCTGCTGCCAGGGATGAACCAAGTGTGCTTCTTTCTGCGTGAGGCCAAACCCTCCATTTGTGCAGGAGGTCTCTCCCTTGGCCAACTACTCAAGGACAAGGAGCAGTCCTCTCCTCTGTCACTGCTTTCTTCCTTCTCTATGGGGTGACTCCCATCGGCACACATGCACGCTGTCATTTCTCCCATCTTTAGAAACACCTCTCGTCTCCATGCACTTCCCTAATGACCACCATATTTCTCAGGCCCCTTTACAGAAAACCTGTTTGAAGAGGCATCAAAACTGTTCATCTTGGCCGGAAGCGGTGGCTCATGCCTGTAATCCCAGCACTTCGGGAGGCTGAGGTGGGTGGATCACTTGAGGTCAGGAGTTTGAGACCAGCTTGGTGAACACGGTGAAACCCCGTCTCTACTAAAAATACAAAAATTAGCCAGGTGTGGTGAGCACCTGTAATCCCAGCTACTAGGGAGGCTGAGGCAGGAGAATGGCTTGAACCGGGAAGGCAGGGGATTGCAGTGAGCTGAGGTCACTCCACTGCACTTCAGCCTGGGTGACAGAGGAGTGAGACTCCGTCTCAACAAAACAAAAAACCTCTTGGTCTCTAGTTTCCCTGCTCCCATTCCTTCTCGAACCTGCTCCAAGTAGGCTTCTCTCCCCCCATTCTACTGACACTGTTTCTGAGATGGTCAATGCCCTCCTCGTTGCCAAACCCCAAGGCCACTCCTCAGCCCTCGCCCCCACCCTTCTATCTCTCTGGCTCGGTCCTCCCTGTGGCCTCTCACGTTAGAGTGCCCAGATGTCAGTCCTGGGTCCTTGTCTCCTCTCTGTAGATGCCACTTTCTCACCACTCTACCTGCTCTCAGGCTTTAGCTCCCAATTTTTATCGCCAGCCTGGACCTTGTTCTTGAAATCCACATTCATATATCCACCTGTGCCATACATGTCCACTAGGATCTCAGCTGACATGTCCAGGATGAATTCCTGCTGCCAGCCTGCTTCCTCCTGAATGGTCCTCATCTCACCAAATAGCAAAATTCATCCTTCCAGATGCCTGGGCTAAAAATCTTGGTGTTACCCCAGGTTTTCTTTCTTTCGCAGCCTACATCAGCAAATCCCATTGGCTCTGCCTTCCACACATCCGGAATCCCCGCCTCTCCCCAGCTGCACCCCACCCACTGTCATCTCTGGCCTGGCTTGTGATGACAACCTCCTAACTGGTCTTTCTCCCCTTCTCCCCTGTAGTCCCTCAGCGTAGGAGCCATGATGACCCATTTAAAGGGAAGTCAGAGCATGTCCCTCTGCCCCAAAACTCCACAGTGGCGGCCATCTCCCTTAGCTGAAGCCAAAGTGCTTCCAGTGGCCCACAGGCCTCGTCAGATTGACCTCATCGCTCACTGCCACGCCCCCATCTCCTCTCTCCTGCCACTCTGGTCTCCACTGTCCCTGGATGTGTCAAGCGCAGCCCCAGCGCAGGGTCTTTGCATTTGTTCTCCTTGCTTGAAACACGTACATTGCCTCATGACTCCTTCCCTCTCTCCCCTTGCATCTCCTCAAACATCCCCTTATTGGTGAGGGCTTTTCTGGCCATCCTATATGCAGTGGTCCACTCTCTACCTCTGTAGACAGGTAGAGATTTACTGTCCTCCATAGCACTTATGACCACCTGACCACACACTATGCTTACTTGTTAATTTTATTTCCCGTCTCCTCTACTAGAATCTAAATCCCATGAAGACAGGGACACTGCTTTGCTGCCTGCTATGTCTCCAGCACTTAGAACAGTGCCTGGCACATCACAGAGCCTCAATAATATTTGCTGAATGAATGAGCAGGTGAGTGCCTATGTATCACATGTTGCCCACAGCTCCCTGCTGCCTGGGGTGTGACAACAACCAGGGTGTCCAAAGGACACACAATTCTCTCTCCGCCAGCCTGGAATAGCCTTGGAGATTTCACACTATTCTATGGGGGTTCCCTGCCCCTCAAGAAACCTGATGGCCTAGACCTGAAGCACAGCTTCGCTGGCAGGTTAGAGACCACAGCCATCACACGGGCCAACAGACAAACCTAACAGAAGCCAGCCCGGAGACCGGGCTCTACCCACACAACCCATGCCAGGGCTACCCACAGCAAGGCCCCCTGAGCTGGGCAGGATTCTCTGCTGGGTCACTGCAGACAGAAAATGAGGAGAGAAAGAGACCAATTCTAGAGCGTACTTTTTTTGTTTGTTTTGAAGAGGAAACCCATCATGAAGGTTACTGAAAAATTTGGTTATGGTTATTTAAGGCTTTCTGGAATTTCAGTGTGTGGAGATCAAGCTGACCTTGCTGTAAAAAGCACTGGGGAGGTCGGGCATAGTGGCTCACACCTGTAATCCCAGCACTTTTGGAGGCCAAGGTGGGTGGATCACATGAGGCCAAGAGTTCAGACCAGTGTGGCCAACATGGCAAAATCCTATGTCCACTGGAAATACAAGAATCACCTGGGTGTGGCAGTGCATGTCTGTAATCCCAGCTCCTGGAGAGACTGAGGCACTTGAGCTGGGAGGCAAAGGCTGCAGTGAGCTGAGATTATACCACTGTACTCCAGCCTGGGTGACAGAGCAAGACTCTGCCTCAGAAAAAAAAAAAAAAAAAAAAAGAAGCACTGGAGGACATTAAACAAATAGCAGATCCTCCAGCCTGGCCAACATAGCAAAACACCATCTTTATTAAAAATGCAAAAATTGGCCAGGCGCAGTGGCTCATGCCTGTAATCCCAGCACTTTAGGAGGCCGAGGCGGGGTGGATCACCGGAGGTCGGGAGTTGGAGACCAGCCTAACCAATTTCGAGAAACCCCGTCTCTACTAATACAAAATGAGCCAGGCATGGTGGCTCATGCCTGTAATCCCAACTACTCGGGTGGCTAAAGCAGAAGAATTGCTTGAACACGGGAGGCGGAGGTTGTGGTGAGCTGAGATCACATGATTGCACTCCAGCCTGGGCAACAAAAGGGAAACTCCACCTCAAAAAAAAAAAAAAATTAGCCAGGTGTGGTGGCAGGTACCTGTAATCCCAGCTATTTGGGAGGCTGAGACAGGAGAATTGCTTGAACCCAGGAGGCTGAGGTTGCAGTGAGCAGAGATCATGCCACTGCACTCCAGCCTGGGCAACAAAGGGAGACTCCATCTCAAAACAAACAAACAAACAAAACAAATAGCAGATTTGATCAAGCCACCCAGAGCTGTTACATAAACCAACTACTGAGGGTAAACACGTTTGGAAGGACCATTTAAAACACCTGGGGCTTCATGGGGCCGGATGTGCTCTGAGCTACAGGTGGAATCAAGAGTTTTCTATAATCATAAATTGCATAGTTTTCAGGGAAAATATTTTCCTATTTGACTGGTGAAACAGTATTTTTGTCCTCTGTAGGCAGTTTTGAGACAATATACTACTTTTCCTGAAATGCTTCCCTGAATGAACATGATTATGATGGCATTCTGGAATGAGGTTTTATAACACTTGTGGGAACACACTACCCCTTTAGCAATGGAAAACAGAACTTCACAGCTGCCTTCTGAAAGGCCTGGTCCCTGCAGATGGGACCCACCCGGGACCCTCCTGGTAACCTACCCATCTGTCTCCGGTGTACCACCCGGAAGCTCTTATGCCCCTGGGATGGGGCTGCCTGGGCTTGCCTTCTTCCTGGGGAAGGTACACACGCTTGGTCTAACGCCCCCAGGGAGCAGTTTTTTCTTGGTTCTTGAGAAAAATGCCTGTGGAGACCAGGCCTTGACCCTGGAGTCCCCCTGTAAGAAGCTATTGGGTGGTCTGAAGCACTCTCCAGGGGTTGCTCCCGGGAAGGCCGGTAGAAGTCATCCTCTGAGATCCAGCTCTTGTTTTTCTGTTGGGAAAGAAGACAACAGTTGTTTGTTTTAAAGTTTTTTTGTTTTGAGACGGAGTCTCGCTCTGTTGCCCAGGCTGGAGTGCAATCGCGCAACCTCGGCTCACTGCAACCTCTGACTCCTGGGTTCAAGCGATTCTCCTGCCCCAGTCTCCTGAGTAGCTGGGATTACAGGCGCCCACCACCATGCCCAGCTAATTTTTGTATTTTTAGTAGAGGCGGGGTTTCACCATGTTGGCCAGGCTGGTCTAGAACTCCTGACTTCAGGTGAGCCACCCACCTCGGCCTCCCAAAGTGTTGGGATTACAGGTGTGAGTCACTGTGCCCAGCCTGAAGTTTTTTTTTTTTTTAAGTCTTTATCTAGATATGGCTCTTATATCATAAAATTAACCCACTTAAAGTATGTAATTCGGCCAGCCATGGTGGCTCACACCTGTAATCCCAGCACTTTGGGAGGCTGAGGTGAGAGGATCACCTGAGCCCAGGAGTTTGAGACCAACCTGGGCAACACAGTGAGAACCCATCTCTACAAAAAATAACTAGCTGGGTGTGATGGCACACACCTGTAGTCTCAGCTACTGAGGAGGCTGAAGCGGGAGAATCGCTTGAGCCAGGGAGGTCAAGGCTGCAGTGAGCCGTGATCACGCCACTGCCCTCCAGCCTGGTTGCAGCCTAGGCAACAGAATGAGACCCCATCTCTAAAAAAATAAATAAATAAAGTGTCCAATTCAAACATTTTGGCTTAGTCAGAGTTGGGCAATCGTCACCACCATCTAAGTTTAGCAAATTTTCCTCACCCAAAAAGGAAACCCCGTACCCATTAGCCGTCATCCCCATTTCCCCTGGCCACTCTCAGCTCTAGGCACCTACTTACCTACTTTCAGTCCCTACACACCTGCCTGTTCTGGACATCTCATATAGATGGAACCATACGACACGTGACCTTTTGTGCCTGCTTCTTTCTCTTAGTGGGAGGTTTTCCAGGTGCATCCATGTTATATAAGCATGTTTAAGTGTTCATTCCTTTTTATTGCCAAATAATATTCCATTGTCTCGATCCACCACATTTGGCTTATCCACTCCTCGGCTGATGGACATTTGGGTTGTTTCTACTTTTTGTCAATTATGAATAGTGCTGCTATGATCACTTATACACAAGTTTTTGTGTAGACATGTTTCATTGTCTTGGGTATATACTTAGGAGTAGACTTGCTGGGTCATGTGTAACTCTATGTTTCCCTTCTTGAGGAACTACCAAGCTGTTTTCCAAAGTGGCCGCACCATTTTATATTCCCACCAGCAATGTACGAGGGTTCCAATTTCTCTCCTTGGGAAATCTATCCAAATCCATTGGAATCTACTGAAATCCATTGTCTGTCTTAAAATGGGGCTGTCTTTTTGTTGCTGAGTTGTGTTGTGGGTTGAATTGTGACCCCCCCACAAAAGGACATGTTGAAACCCTACCCCCCAGTACCTCAGAATGTGACCTTTTTTGGAAATAGAGTCTTTGCAGAAGTAATTAGTTAAGATGAGGTCATGTTGGAGTAGAATGGGCTGTTCATCCAGTATGACTGATGTCCTTATAAGAGGAGGAGAAAAGATACACAAAGAGAGGAGAACACCAAGTGAAGACAGAGATACAGAGGAAGAACTTGTATGACAGTAGAACATGTGTGACAGCAGAGGGGAGACAGGAGTGACATGTCTACAAGCCAAGGAATGCAAACGAGCACCTGCAACGCCACCCAGGAGAAAGGCGGGAACAGATTCTTCCTTAGATTCTCCAGAAGGAGCCTCCAGAACGATCAGAGAATAAATACCAGTTTTGTTTTGTTTTTGAGACAGAACCTCACTCTGTCACCCAGGCTGGAGTGCAATGGTGCAATCTCAGCTCACTGCAACCCCCGCCTCCCAGGTTCAAGCAATTCTGCTGCCTCGGCCTCCCGAGTAGCTGGGGTTACAGATGCTTGCCACCATGCCCGGCTAATTTTTGTATTTCTAGTAGAGACAAAACCTTGTCGGCCAGGCTGGTCTTGAACTCCTGACCTCAGGTGACCCACTTGCCTCAGCCTTCCAAAGTGCTGGGATTACAGGCGTGAGCCACTGTGCCTGGCCTATTTTGTTTTGTTTTGTTTTGAGGCAGGGTCTCGCTCTTTGCCCAGACTGGAGTACAGTGGCGCAATCAGGGCTCATTGCAGCCTTGACTGCCCAGGCTCAAGCAATCCTCCTGCTTTAGCCCCACTGAATAGCTGAGACTACAGGCATGCACCAGCATGCCCAGCAAATTTTTTATATTTTTAGTAGAGATGGGGTTTCACCATGTTGGCCAGGCTGGTCTTGCACTCCTGGACTCAAGTGATCCGCCCACCCTTGCCTCCCAAAGTGCTGAGGTCACAGGCATGAGCCACCTGCCCAGCAATGTCTGTTTTTGTTTTTTGTTTTGTTGTTGTTGTTATTGTTGTTGAGACAGAGTCTTGCTCTGTCGCCCAGGCTGGAGTGCAGTGGCACAATCCTGGCTCACTGCAAGCTCCGCTTCCCGGGTTCACGCCATTCTCCTGCCTCAGCCTCCTGAGTAGCTGGGACTACAGGTGCCTGCCACCACGCCTGGCTAATTTTGTTTTGTATTTTTAGTAGAGACGGTGTTTCACCATGTTAGCCAGGATGGTCTCGATCTCCTGACCTCATGATCCACCCGCCTCGGCCTCCCAAAGTGCTGGGATTGCAGGCATGAGCGACCGCGCCCAGCCAATGTCTGTTGTTTTAAACCACCCTGTGTATGGTACTTTGTTATGGTGGCCCTAGGGACTAATTCAAGTTGTAAGGTGCTTTATATATTCTGAATACGAGACCCTTATCAGATTTACGATTTGCAAATAATTTCTCCCATTCTGTGAGGTGTCTTTTCATTTTCCGGATGGTGTGCCCTCTGGAGCACATAAGTTGTTAGTTTTGATAAAGTCTAGTTTATCTATTTTTGTTGTTGTTTTTGTGCTTCTGGTGTTGCATCTTAAAAAACCATTGCCTAAGTCAGTATCACAGATTTACTTCTGTGTTTTCTGCCAAGAGCTGTATAGTTTTAGCTCTTACATTTAGGTTTCTGGTCCATTTTGAGTTAGTTTTTGTGTAAGGTGTAAGGAAGGGGTGTTATTATTTTGCATGTGGGTATTCAGCTGTCCCAGCATGTAGGGTTTCTCAGTCCTGCTTTTGGGTTTGAGATGAGGGAGTCCTGGCGAGCAGGCCTCAGGGTCCTCATTGGCCGCCTCTGTCTCTGCCGCCCACTTCTGTGCAGGCCCCTGCAACCCCAGGCAGCCAGGCCCTGCCCCTTCCCTTCGTTGTTCTCTTTTGAATCTGAAGCTGCTCACTGGCTGGGGAAGATGGGGTTGCGGGGAGCATCTGGGGTGAGTGGGCTTGTGGGAGTGGATTCTGGTTCCTTTTCTCCAGTATTTCAAGTCCTCCCTGGCATTCTGTGCCTCAACATGGAAGGGCAGAGGCAAGGAAGCTGGCTGGGCCACTCTAAGTGGCTGTGTACACAGAGGAAATGAGTCACACAAGCAGTGGGACCAGCCCCACTGTTTTGTTAAGTGCCACTAACCTCACCCTGACATCGCTATTTCCAGTCCCTGAATCAAGACTGCACTCCCTGCTTTGTAAACAGGGAAGGGTTGGTTTGGACAGTTGGATCCATTCAGATGCTACACGACTCCTCAAGCCAAGGGTGGCAAGTTCTGACTCAGGCAACTTGAGGGGTAGCTCACAGAACTAGGTCCCCAGAGACTCCTCCACGGGGCCTTCAGAATTGGCAGGTGCTTCCCCCCTGCCAGTGACAGATGATGTGTCAGTCAGGGCAGCCACTGGGGACCATCCACAACACTAGATTCTGAGCAAAGCCTGCCTAGGTCATCAAGAACTGGGGGACCCCCCTGAGGAAAATGGGTGGGAGAAACAGCTCCCTGGCAACCATGTGGCTGTCCTGGCAGCCTCACATATACCTGGGAAGTTGTGTGATCTCCAGCGCCTGGTGGGAGAGGGCACTGTCCCTGAAGACTCAGCTCAGGAGACATCCATCGCCTCTGCCTGGAAGCTTCTCTCACCCTTCCCCAGCCTCCACCCCTTCCCACCCCCTAGCTGGGTTAGGGCCCCTACTGGGATCCCACAATATTCTGTGCTTACCCTCATTCTAGCATTTATAAGGCTGTTTGGAATGGTTTTCTTGATATCTCCAGCAAGTGCCTGCCCGAGTCATACAAGATGAGGGAATAAATCATGACCATCACAATGTCTTTAACATAAAATAACAAAGGTGGGTCAAGTGGACTGGAAGGAAGGAGACAAATGTAAATTTTAAGATTATGGACATTCAGAATGGGCATGATGGATCATGCCTGTAATCCCAGCACTTTGGGAGGCCGAGGCAGGAAAATTGCTTGAGGCCAGAAGTTTGAGACCAGCCTGGCCAACATGGAGAAACCCCATCTCTACTAAAAGTACAAAAATTAGCTGGGCATGGTGGTGCATGCCTGTAATCTCAGCTACTCGGGAGGCTGAGGCACAAGAATTGCTTGAGCCTTGGAGGCAGAGGTTGCAGTGAGCCGAGATGGATGGAGCTATTGCACTCCCACCTGGGCAACAGCACAAGAGTCTGTGTCAAAAAAAAAAAAAAAAAAGTATATGGACATTCACTGGGGAGGACTTCTCTCTCCTTTGAGGAAAAAGACTACTAGGAAATGTTCAGACACAGTCCATTGAGCACAGCTGCCAGGAAATGAAACTAGGGAACATCTTTTACTCTCTTAAGCAACAGGGAAAAAACAGTGGAAATGCAGGTTCCTCGGAGCTTCTGCACATGGGCCTGGACAGAGCTCTGAGGCTGTGTGCCCCTGGCCCCAGGCAGGTGGGGAGCAGAGAGAGGGTGTGAGAGAGAGTGCATGCATGAACACCACTGTTTCTCTCTTCTCTCCTTTTTTTCTTTTAGAGATGGAGTCTTACTCTGTTGCCCAGGCTGGATCACAGTGGTGTGATCTCGGCTCACTGCAACATTTGCCTCCCAGTTTCAAGTGATTCTCCTACCTCAGCCTCCTGAGTAGCTGGGATAACAGGCTCACGCCATCATGCCCGGCTAATTTTTGTATTTTTAGTACAGACGGGGTTTCACCATATTGGTCAGGCTGGTCTCAAACTCCCGACTTCAGGTGATCCACCTGCCTCAGCCTCCCAAAGTGCTGGGATTACAGGCGTGAGCCACTGCACCCGGCCCCCTTCTCTCCTTTTTTCCCACCACCTTCCGACAACCTGCTCACTCAGGGTCCATGTCTGGCCAGCACCCCGCCCTTTAACAGTGGAGAGAAACCATCATCGACGAAGGATCTATACCAGAGCTGCAACTGCCACCAGCGACCCAAGACAGAGAAATGCCACCTTGCGTTACTAAAGGGCTCATGACACCATATACAACAGCTGAATCCCCAAGAGGAGTGTGGCTGAGGAGTGAGACGAAGGTCTCTGGGACACTTTCAGAAGGATGAGACTTTGTCCAGCCAGTCCTCATTATGCCAGGCAAAGGAACTGCCTGTACTCATAACTGTGGAAGGGGAACCACATACCATGGGCAGGTGGTCCATGGGGGCAGTGATTAAGAGCAAGTCCTAGAACTCACACTGCCTTTTGGGAGTTAAACTGAAACGAACTCACAACCCCCAGATCCCAGACATGCATCACCCTTGAGAGGCCCCTACTCCCTGCACCTCTCCTTCCCAGTGCTTAGCACAAGTGTAATTATGATGTGGATAATCATTTGTCTAATTTAATGTCTGTCCCCAAAGGGCCTTTGTCTGTCCTGTTGTATCACTCTACCCCTAGGACCTAACATGGTGCTTGGCTTATAGTAGGTGCTTTGGGTTCAATGAATTAAAAATAAATGTTTTTAAAAGAAAGACTGAATGGGTCTCTACACTATAAAACTTGACAGCGACCCCAACATCTCCCCCAAAATAACATCAAATAAAAAGCACGTGGCTAACTGATAGAAGTACAGAAAGATGAGGACCACAGGGGCAGACATGCAGGGCACAGCCTGGCACTGTCCACAGGCCAGGAGCCCAGCAGGCCCACATGAGCTGGCAGGCTATTCAGTGGCACCTGGTGACTACCTACTGAATAAGCAGTGAATGAATCCACAACTTCCCTGTGAGACAGACACAGGACGGGGGCAGGATCCGAGATTCTCACATCGGATTCAGCACCAAGCGCTTAGATGTCACATTCCCTAAGCAACCTTCCAGCAATCAGAGTCCCCTGTAGCTGGCACAGAGGCAGAGCCTGCCATGATCACACCAACCTGACCACCCTGTCCACTCGATGGTACACTTCGATGACCCACTTTGGCCTCCCAAATTGCTAGGATTAGAGGCGTGAGCTATCACGCCTCGCCTGAACGTCCATAATCTTAAGTTTCACATTTGTCTCCTTCCTTCCAGTCCCCTTGACTTATCTTTGTTACTTTATATTAAAGACATTGGGATGGTCATGATTTATTCACACATCTTGTATGATTCTGGGCCAGGTACTTGCTGGAGATACCAAGAAAAAGAACCATTCCAAACAGCCTTATAGCTAGGATGGGGGAACAAAATAAACTTAGGAATTGGCATCTCAAGAGTCTCTTGGGAGTTCAAGAACTATTCATCCATGCCTACTTTCTCCCAGGTACAGTGCTTGGTGCTGACAATACAGAAGTGAACAGGCCTGGTGCTCTGTATCATAGAGCTAATATTCTAGTAAGGAAGACAGAAAATAAACAAGGAGACAAAGAGATAATATACTGTAATTGCACATAGTGATGAGTGTTATAAGCAAAGTCAAGCAGATGAATGGGACAGAGAGTCACTGGGGATGGTGCTTTTGAGCTACGGGGGTCCGGTCAGGGAAGGCTGAGACAACAATGAAGTGAGTCGGGAAAGAAGGAACAGCAAATGTAAAACCCTGAGGCTGGGCCGGGCACGGTGGCTCATGCCTGTAATCCCAGCACTTTGGGAGGCCAAAGTGGGCAGATCACTTGAGGCCAGGAGTTTGAGACCAGCCTGGTCAACATGGTGAAACCCCATAATTTTGTAAAAATACAAAAATTAGCTGGGCATGGTGGTAGGCATCTGTAATCCCAGCTACTTGGGAGGCTGAGGCATGAGAATCAGTTGAACTTAGGAGGCGGAGGTTTCAGTGAGCTGAGATTGCACCACTGTACTTCAGCCTGGGTGACAGAGTGAGACTCTGCCTCAAAAAAATTTTTTTTTTTAAAAGAAGCCTGATGTTGGAAGGAGTTCGCTTGGACTATAGAGCTGCAAGGAGGCCGGTGGGTCAGAGCTTAGTGAGCAAAGATGCTATTCTGTCCCACCAGCTTTGAGGCCCTGGCAAGATAAGATGCCTGAGCCTGCAAAGCAGAAGCTAGACCATGGGCAGGAGTGAACTCAACATGCTTAGTGCCACTCTGGAGTCCTGTGGGGCGCACAGCCTGCATCCCCAGCAGACGTCACTCTGCCTCCAGCTTGAGGAAGGGGCTGCAGAGCTTTCCTCTTCAGCCTTCAGCTTGAGTTGGCAGGTGCACAGTCACAACCTTCAGGGTCCTAGAGCATTCATTTTCAGGAAGCAAATCTTCAGGATGTACTGAAGCATCTTCAGGATAGCAAATTCGAAGACTCTGACCCACACTGACAGTTTTGTGATTTACATGGTCATATTCAAGAAACAGTGAGGCCAATCAGATATCCATATGGAAAAATATGAGGTTTGACTTCTAACACCACACACAAAAATTAATCCCAGAAAGATCATAAACCTAATTTTGAAAGATAAATCACTAAAGCTTCTAGAAGATAATATAGGCAAATACCTTCAGATCCTTGGGGGAGATGAATATCTCTTAAATGGGACAAAAACCAAGCAAACCATAAACAAAAAGACTGATAAACTGCACATCATTAAAAGAACCTCTGTTCAATAAAAATACTATTAGGAGGTTTAAAAGTCAAGCCTTATAGACTAGAAAAAGATACTTGATAAATATACTATTTTTGTCCAATAAAAGACTTATATCTGTAATATATAAAGAGTTCCTACAAATCAACACATACACATACAACTCAATTTAAGACCGGAATGACAACTTGGACAGACATTCTATAAAAGAGGATTGACTGGCCAATAAGCAAATGAAAAGGTATCATCATTTAGTCATCAAGGATATGAAAATTAAAACCACTACACATCTACCAGAGTGGCTAAAATTAAAAAGATTGGTAACACCATTGGCCAGGATAAAGAGCAACTAGAATGCTCATTTGTTGCCAATATGAGTATAAATTAGCACAAACACTTTAGAAAACTGTTTGGTGGTGGTATCTATTAAAGGTAAACATAAGCCACCCAAGGACCTAGCAATTCCATTCCCAGGTATATATACCCACAGAAATAAGCACCGAGGTTCTCCAAAAGCATGTATGAGAATGTTCACTACAGCTTTCTTCATAATAGTCAAAACCTGGAAACAACCCAAATGTCCATTAACAGGAGAATGGGTAATAGGTTGCAATATATTTTTACAATGGAATACTGCAGAACAATGGAAAAGAATTAACTACAGCCTCATGCTATATGTACAGCCACACACCACCATGCCCAGCTAATTTTTGTATTTTTTGTACAGATGGGGTCTCACTTTGTTACCCAGGTTGGTCTCCAACTCCTGGGCTCAAGCAGTCCTCCCTCTTGGTCTCCCAAAGCGCTGGGGTTACAGGTGTGAGCCACCACACCCAGCCCCCAAATATTTTCATTTTAACTTGTAATCCATAAAAATGAGATTTTCTATTCTTTTATCATACTAAGTTATTGAAATCCAGCGCTTATTTCACATGGCACATCTCCATTTGGACTTGCCACATTTTAAGTGTTCAACAGCCACACGTGGCTTGTAGCTGCCATATTGGACAGCACGGCTCTAAAACCTGGGTCATGTTGCAAAGTGAGTATGCTCAAGGCCTAGTATTTTCTAAAAACATTAATTTAATAGGCTGAGTGCACCAGCTCATGCCTGTAATCCCAGCACTTCAGGAGGCCCAGGCAAGAAGATCGAGACCAGCCTGGCCAACATGATGAAACCCCATCTCTACTAAAAACACAAAACTTAGCCAGACATGGAGGTGGGCACCTGTAATCCCAGCTACTCAGGAGGCTGAGGCAGGAGAATTGCTTGAACCCAGGAGGCGAAGGTGGCAGTGAGCAGAGATTGTGCCACTGCACTCCAGCCTGGGCAACAGAGCAAGACTCCATCTGAAAAAAATACCAAAAACCAAAAATCAAAAAATATTAATTTAATAATAACAAGTACTAAGGAGGAAATGAAGGTTCAGAGAGCTGAAGTGACTTGCCCAAGGCCTTATGCTGGTGAGTGGTAGTGGTTAAAGAGCTGAGACTGCGGTCAGACAAGAACAACCTTCACAAAGTGACGTGAAAATGACAGGAGATACACACGGGAAGTGATCAGCACAGTGCCGGGCTTATATCTACAGCTCACATGCCAAGAAACAGCCGGGCTTATATCTACAGCTCACATGCCAAGAAACATGAGCCCCATCATCATGATGCTATTAACACTATCACTATGCAGGGAGAGGAAGGCTAACAGGGAAAAGGCAGAGACCACTCAGGGTCACTAGCTGGGGAAACCCTGTGTCAGCTGACATTTCCCAAGACTGCCCCCTGAACGGCTTGCACCACTCACCGGACTGGTGGGTGAGGAAACTACCAGCTTCAGACCAGCTCCGTCATGAGCCTGGGCCTTCTGCAGGCCATTCCCTTGGCCCACTTCTCTGGCTGTCTCGCTGACAGTACTAGAAGGCTGCTGGCCTGAGGTGCTCTCTACAGGCTGCTGTAAGTCCAGGGGGCTGGGCGCCTGGGGACGCGGCTCCTGCACGTGGACACCATCTTGAGTTCCAGAGGCTGCCTGGGCAGGAAGGGGCTCTGCAGGTGCCTCACAGTGCAGGTATGTGCTGGTGTTGAGGCCATGGAGGGAGAGCGAGGCCTGTGGTGTGGGGATCTCTGTTTCTTGGCTCAGTCCGTTGGTTGGCACAGAGTTTACCTGGGCTTTGCTGAATTCCAACAATACCCTAGAAGTTTTAAACAAAGAAACCTGTGTGACAGGTTGTCTGCGATAATGCCCAAGGCAACTGGGGCAGAGGGAAGAATGCAAAACTGCTGTTTTATGATTTAAAACAACCCACACCCTCTAAATGATCCACTGCACTCCCCCTCACGCAGTCCTCCTCTGACACTCCCACCACGTTTTTCCTGGCCAGGATTTAGGCAGACTGCGTGGACAGGTGATTTGTGGAGCCTGGGATCTCAGGCGAAAAAGCTCCCCAGCAGAGGAAGAGGACTTGGTATGAATGAGGACTTACTGGCATTCTGAGCAGGCTAGCTGTGGGCCTGGAGAGCTTGCTCAGCCAAACACATGGTTGTGTGGGCAATCGTTTCCCCAAACATGGTATGCAGCAGAGCCTCCTCCTCCACAGCACAGGGAGTAGAGATGCCAGGACTCTGCCCTGGGGCAGGGACTAGGAGAAGCGAGGGCTAGGCAGGTTTCCTAAGCAAGGTCATACTTTGTTCCTGTGCAGGCACTGGGACAGCAAGGGGAGGTGCAAGGGCTGGTCCCCTCAGAGCTGGACTGGATGTGGAGACAGAGAAGCTTCACATCCCCAGAAACTGCTGCTGGAGCTCAATGTATACCAGGTGTGTGAGGGTGGATATGAGTACACACGAGATGTGCCCCTGCTCACTCTCTATGGTGGGACTGCCACTCCCTGTCTCCTCCGTGCTGCTTCCTGGGGCCACAGGGAGCAAATGTTACTGCCTTGGTACACGTGCATGCACACCACACTCACACATACACACTGCACAGAAACATGCCCTGGGCCCTCTGGAATGTGCACTGACTAGCAACTGCTCCTCCCTCTCCTGAGGCTTCTTCTGAGGATCCAAGCTCCATTTTGAAAATAAACCCGTTTGCTATCTCTTCTGCTTATAAAACCAGTGGAGCATGTCATGGGCAAAGCCTGGTTCAGGTGGCCACAGGCTGTCTAAGGCCCCAAAGCCTCCCTGCATCTGCCCTGATGGCTTGGACTGGGTCCAGAAGATACATGAAGCTCTGCTTAATTTGGGCTTAGGGAAATGAGGATTTTAGAATTCAAGTTGCTTACCTGATTGTCTTTCCAGTGAGCTCTGCACCATCTTAACCCCAAACAACATTTCAAGACATTATGGTCAAGAATAGGTGGCCAATCCATACATGTATAAGTAACTGATTTTGGCCGGGTGTGGTGGCTCACATCTGCAATCCCAGCACTTTGGGAGGCTGAGGTGGGTAGAACCACAAGATCAGGAGTTCAAGACTAGCATGGCCAAGATGGTAAAACCCCGTCTCTACTAAAAATACAAAAATTAGCCAGGCTTGGTGGCAGGCGCCTGTAATCCCAGCTACTCAGGAGGCTGAGGCAGAGAATTGCTTGAACCCGGAAGGTGGAGGTTGCAGTGAGCCGAGATTGTGCCACTGCAATCCAGCCTGGGTGAAAGAGCGAGACTCCATCTCAAAAAAAAAAAGAGTAACTGATTTTCAACATAGACACCAACACATTTTAATGGGGAGGGAATAGTCTTTTCAACAATTGTGCTGAGATAAGTGGATAATCACATGCAAAAGAAAAAAGCTGGACTGCTATCTCACATTGTATACAAAAATTAACTCAAAGTGGATTAAAGACCTAAAGGTAAGAGCTAAAACTGTAAAACTCTTAGAAGGAAAGAGAGGTATAAACTTCATGTCTTTGGATTAGGCAATGGTTTCTTAGATGTGAGATCTACAGCATAAGAAAGCAATAAAAAATAAATTGTAATCCCAGCACTTTGGAGGCCAAGGCGGGTGGATCACCTGAGGCCAGGAGTTCGAGATCAGCCTGGCCAACATAGTGAAACCCTGTTTCTAATAAAAATACAAAAATTAGTTGGGCGTGGTGGTGCGCACCTGTAATCCCAGCTACTTGGGGGGCTAAGGCAGGAGAATCACTTGAACCCGGGACGGGGAGGCTGCAGTGAGCCGAGATCACACCACTGCACTCCAGCCTGGGCAACAAAGTGAAACTCTGTTTCAAAAAACAAAAATAAAAAACGTTTGTGTGGTTTTTTTTTTTTTTATTTGAGACTGAGTCTCACTCTGTCGCCCAGGCTGGAGTGCAGTGGCGCCATCTCGGCTCACTGCAAGCTCCGCCTCCCGGGTTCATGCCATTCTCCTGCCTCAGACTCCCGATTAGCTAGGACTACAGACGCCCGCCACAACGCCCAGCTAATTTTTTGTATTGTTTTTTTTTTAGTAGAGATGGAGTTTCACCGTTTTAACCAGGATGGTCTCGATCTCCTGACCTCGTGATCCGCCTGCTTTGGCCTCACAAAGTGATGGGATTACAGGAGTGAGCCACTGTGCCTGGCCAAAACGTTTGTGTTTTAAAGGATACTATCAAGACAGTAAAAAGACAATTCAAAGAATGGGGGGAAATATTTTTAAATTATACAGAAGGGCCTATTATCCAGAATATATACAGAACACTTACAAATCAACAATAAAAAGACAAATAACTAAATGTTTAAATGGGCAAACGATCTGAACAGACATTTCTCCAAAGAAGATATCCAAATGTTTGATAAGCACATGAAAAGACACTCAACAGCATCAGTCATCAGAGAAATGCAAATCAAAACTACAATGAAATACCACTTTATACCCACTGGGTTGATTGTAATAAAAAAGACAGAAAATAATAAGGGTGGGAAAAGATGTAGAGAAATTAAAGCTTGTATATATTAGTGGGTGGGGGATGTAAAATGATGCAACTACTGCAGAAAACAATTTGGTAGTTCCTCAAGAAGTTAAACATAGAGTTACATATGACCCAGCAATTCCACCCCTAGGTATGTAACTAAGAGAATTAAAAACATGTCTACCCAGGCTGGGCATGGTGGCTCATGCCTGTAATCCCAGCACTTTGAGAGGCTGAGCCAGGCGGATCACCTGAGGTCAGGAGTTCACCTGGCCAACATAGTGAAACCCTTTCTCTACAACAAGTACAAAAATTAGCTGGGTGTGGTGGCAGGCCCCTATAATCCCAGCTACTCGGGAGGCTGAGGCAGGAGAATCGCATGAACCCAGGAGGCGGAGGTTGCAGTGAGCCGAGATCATGCCACTGCACTCCAGCCTGGGGGACAGAGCGAGACTCCGTTTCAAAAAATAAATAAAATATTGAATAAAATAAAATACAACAATACCATCAATTGAGCACTATTGATGCCTCTGTGCCAGGGACCATTCTAAGTACTTAAATCTAAGTACTTAAACCCTCCAGACTATACCTATGCCACTCAGTGATGATTATAATACAGATCCAATCTACACGGAAGAAGCTATTTAGGACAGTCAATTCACTAGGCCAACTGCAATTTGGTTTCTGCCAAACAGAACCGCTTTATATTAATAAATTTCATTTTGAATGTTGTGTCTTTTATGCTTTTCTTTATGTTTGATTTGTGGATGTTTTGATTTTATATGTGTAATGATAAGCACAAGGAATTTATGTCTAATTTAAAGTTACAAATATTTAAATAATGTAACAACTTTGATGAACTCTAAATGTCGGTGAGAACATTTTACCCTTGAAATATACACTTCAAGAAATGCTGGTCTCTGTGGATGCTCAAGGACTAACTTCAAGGCCCAGCTCTATGAATGCTGGTGCTGGCTGTGTGTTTGTGCATCTGTATGTCTTACATTTGCCAGTTACTCACACCACTGTCCGGCATTTGTCTATACATCCTGACCCTTGACCCTCCAGTTTCCCCATAATAGCCGGGACAACACTTCCTGCACAGAGAGGATGGTCACTGATTCAGTGACCTTAAGCTGGAATTTTCCATCACAAGACACATGAGATAAAGGCGAGACATATGACAAGGGATGGCTGGCTGGTCTGCAGAGGAGGCAGACACACAGGAAGGGCTAAGACAGGTGAGTGAACCTAGGTCATGCCCTGTGCCTGGGTCACACTGCAGGCCTGTCATGCCATGGTCCCAGTGGTCACAGGAGGCAGACACTGTTCCTCCCCAATGTATTCTATCTAAATTCCTCCATTTAACATTTGAAAACTCCACCTAATATGCTCAGAAGCCATTTCTGGGACTACGAGACAATCTCCTATATTGTTTGACTAACAAACAATGTGCCTGACCTTCCTGGGCTTGTAAGTGGTGGAACAGGACTCGAAACTAGGTCGGCTCCAAGCCCAGTCCGTAACACCACCCAACGCTGGTGCTCTTTCCATGGTGGGTGAGAACCCTGGAGGGACCTGAACCAAGGCGAGGGCACAGGGCGAGTGGAAAGAAGGTCCCAAACACGTGGGACCTTCTTTTCCGCTGATGCAGCATGGATCCAGCTGAAGGAGGCTTTTAATAAGAAGTTCCCATTTTCCACCTATCAGATGAGCAAATATCCAAAAGTTCACTAATACCATCAGTTGGCAAGGCTAAGAAACAAGGACATTCCTGGTGGAGTGTAAATGGGCAATAATCTGTGAACATTCCATATTAGTCTATCCTTTTGCTCGGCAATTTTGCTTCTGGGAGTTTATGGAACAGAGATAGCTACGCAGAACTAAAAGACCACATACACAAGGTTATTTATGAAAACACAGGCCCCAGCACCCATTAAATACTGGGCTGATTAAGTAAACTAAGGTACATTCATACACTAGAACAATATGCAATAGAAAAAAAAAGAATGAGGCTGGGCGCAGTGGCTCACGCCTGTAATCCCCAGCAATTTGGGAGCCTGAGGCAGGAAGATCTCTTGAGCCCAGGAGTTCAAGACCAGCCTGGGCAACACAGTGAGACCCCCGTCTCTATAAAAAATAAAAATAAAAGAATGAAGAAGCTCTGAAATGAAAAGATCTTCTCCAAAACAAGATATAGAACAGTGTGTATATACTGCCTTTGTAGGAGAGAAAGTAATAAATAAGGAAGAAATTTTAAAAATCTTTTATTTTTTTTTTTTTGGGACAGAGTCTCACTCTGTCACCCAGGCTGGAGTGCAGTGGCACGATCTCGGCTCACTGCAAGCTCCGCCTCCTGGGTCCACACCATTCTCCTGCCTCAGCCTCCTGAGTAGCTGGGACTTCAGGCGCCCGCCACCACGCCCGGCTAATTTTTTGTATTTTTAGTAGAGATGGGGTTTCACCGTGTTAGCCAGAAAGGTCTCGATCTCTTGCCTTTGTGATCCGCCCGCCTCGGCCTCCCAAAGTGCTGGGATTACAGGCGTGAGCCACTGCGCCCAGCTGAAAATCTTTATACTGGTATTTGTTGTAGATGCATTTAGAAATTTGGAAGAATATACAGGAAATTATTATGGTTTTAGGGGTGGGAGGAAAGAACAGGGTAGAGGGAGAACAGGAATGGGAAAGGCTTTCACTGTATATGTTTTAGATTTTTTTTAACCATAAAAAGATTATCTATGCAAATTTTTTATTTTATTTATTTATTTATTTTTTTTTTTTGAGACAGAGTCTTACTCTGTCACCCAGGCTGGAGTGCAGTGGTGCGGTCTCAGCTCACTGCAAGCTCCACCTCCCGGGTTCATGCCATTCTCCTGCCTCAGCCGCCCATGTAGCTGGGACTACAAGGCGCCCGCCACCATGCCCAGCTAATTTTTTGTATTTTTAGTAGAGACGGGGTTTCACCATGTTAGTCAGGATGGTCTCAATCTCCTGACCTTGTGATCCACCTGCCTTGGCCTCCCAAGGTGCTGGGATTACAGGCGTGAGCCACCGTGCCCAGCTGCAAAAAAATGTTTAAAAGGCTGTGTGAAGAAGGCTCTGCCCAGTTCTCTCTTCAGCCTAGTTCATCTGCCCCACATACTCTTCCACACATCTGTCTGTCCCCACCTGTCCACCACCTCCTGCATGCAGCACTCAGGTCCTGTGTCCCCCAGGAGGTATTCTGTGAAGTCACACTCTTATGCGTTATGTTTCATCTATTTGTTGGACGTTTTAAATGTACTCTGACCTATTAGTTTCCTTCCTTCTAGATGAAGACAACAATATTTTACACTGTGCCTTGTAGAGACTAAGTATCTTGTTTTTTTGTTGTTATTGTTTGTTTTCAGTTTTTGTTTTATTTATTTATTTATTTTTAATTTAGAGGCAGGATCTTGCTACATTGCCCAGGCTGGCCTCGAACTGCTGGGCTCAAGCAATCCTCCTGTATCAGCCTCCCAAGTGCTGGGATTTCAGGCATGAGCCACCGCACCCGGCCAAGTAACTTGCTAAAAGTCACCGGGGCAGAGCTGGAGCCCAAACCAGCTCTAAGCTGTTCTAAGTCCACTTTCTCCACTATGCCTGTATTGCCTGCTACAGTTCCCAGCTACTCCAGTCCCTGGAGAAGTCGATGACTCCCTTGGCTTTCTTTAATTACTAATAGAGTTCAGTAACAGACAATCACATGCTATGGGAAGAAAGGGAGGAGGAGAGGAAAGAAAGGAGGGAAGAGAGAAGATGGGAAGGAGTGGGGGCAGCGTACTCACTCTTGCAGAGACCGGTCTGAGTCCTCAGCATTTGCTGTGCCCAGGTCTGAGTCACAGGACATGGGCTCCTCGCAATGGTCTGGACTCTTGGAGCCATTCTCTTGGAGTAAGCAGCTATCAGAGTTTAGGCTGCAGGACAGCTGGGATGAACTGGCCGTGTCCAGGCTGAGGGAGGAGGCAGTCAGCTTCTGGTTCCTCCGTATCTTATGGCCCGAGTGATGGACTTCGATGTCTTCAGAGCCTGAAGAATGGGAAATGGAATCCAGAGATTCCTTCCGCTGTAGTTCTGCACCAGAGGTAGAGAGAGGGTCCAGCTCAGAAAGCGGGCAAAGCCCAGACAGGGCCAATGGGGTGAGCGTCCACTCATTTAAGATGGCAGACTTGTAGGAGAGTTCGAAGGACAAGGACGTGAGGCCCTGCAGGAAGCTAAGGAGGAACTCGCCCTCCTCAGCATCCCGGAGCAGGGCGGTGGGCTGGTAGTACTCATGCAAGCGGGCCTGCTCCTGCAGCAGCAGCTTCAGGTAGCACTCCATCAGGCCATCGTTCAGGGCCAGCCGCAGCCATGCCCGGCAGCGGCCCACATCCGTGTTGACAAACGTCAGGTGCTCCAACTCTGAGATGATGTGTCTGGGAAGGGAGAACAGACGTGTTTCAAGAAACTACCCCAAATCACAGAGATGTGCTTTTATCCACTGGTTAGCAGGAACCAGGAATAACTACTGCAAATAGATACAGGCATGAAAAAATATTGGGTAATAGTGTTTTAGGCCAGATGTGGTGGCTCACACCTGTAATCCCAGCACTTTGGGAGGCCAAGGCAGGTGGATCACTTGAGCTCAGGAATTCGTGACCAGCCTGGGCAACAGGACGAAACTCTGTCTCTACAACAACAACATAGCCAGATGTGGTGGCTTGCACGTGTAGTCCCAGCTACCCAGCTACTCGGGAGGTTGAGGTGGAAGGATAGCTTGAGCCTGGGAAGCAAAGGTCACAGTGAGCGGAGATTGGACCACTGCACTCCAGCCTAGGCAATATATATATATATATTTATATTTATATATAATAAATATATAAATATAAATTATATATATTTATACATTATATATATATATATATTTTGAGATTGGAATTGTGAAAGATAATTTCCATGTTCATTCCAACTACCACGGGGCCCCTGACACATCTGCTCATCTAAGGCATGCTGTCAGAGCTCCTTAAGTGCAAAGTCCTTGGAGCAATGAAGATGCAGGGTAAAGACATGGTCCCTGCCCTCAGGCACAAGGGACTGATGGAAAAAGGCATAAAGTGTAGGAAATCAACAACCCTGTAAGAGGATTGGGGAGCGCTCCAATTACAGCATGTGGCGGAAAAGTGGGTGGTTTGGTTGCAAGGCCAGGAAAGAGAGGGTCTTAAATATCAAATCAATAAGGCAACACGGGGTAATGGCCCCACACCCAGCTGTGCACCAGAACCCCCTGGGGAACTTGAGCAGGATACAAGTTCTGGGACCCCAACCTAGTGAATCAGTCTCCAGGCTAGCATCTGGGAGCCTGTAGGCTACAGATTTTTGTTTAGAAAAGTGACTTGACCACAGTCATGCAGACTGCAGGGTAGATGTTCTGCATAAGGAGATCAGACCCCAGGTGTACCAAACTCAGTCCCAGAATGCCTCCGTCTGATGTACATGCCCCTCTGAGCTACCACAGTCCCTAGCGCAGGTTTATCTCCTCCATGGGAATGTAGACCGCACTCTACTAGGCTCAGTGAGTAAGCTCCAGGGAGCTTCAGCTCAGTAAATGTTGACCAGATGATGGACTCAAGGAAAGACAGAGTGAGATAAGGGGGACAAATAGAAAGCCAGTGTCACCCAGGAAAGAAGAACGTGAGACAAGGCAGTGGCAATCTGCATGGAAAGGAAGATTAGAGACTGACAAGGCTTCTTTTGGGCTGAAGGTGGCATTTAGTAGTCCTCAGAGGCACAGTGCCAGCTACTTGCTCAAAAGCCCAGACAGTTAGGGGCCAAAGAGATAAGTGTCTCAGGGTGAATATTCATATGCTTTTCCTGATTCCACTCTTTATATAATCCCAGCACTTTGGGAGGCGGAGGTAGGCAGATCACAAGGTCAGGAGTTTGAGAGCAGCCTGACCAACATAGCAAAACCCCTCTCTACTAAAAATACAAAAATTAGCTGGGCGTGATGGTGCGCGCCTGTTGTCCCAGTTACTCAGGAGGCTGAGGCAGGAGAATTGCTTGAACCTGGGAAGCAGAGGTGCCAGTGAACCGAGATCGCGCCATTGCACTCCAGCCTGAGTGACAGAGCGAAACTCCATCCCAAAAAAAAAAAAAAAGATTTACAATTCGGATGTTTGAATAATCTAAGGCAGGGTCAGCAAATCCAAGGCAGGGTCAGCCCTTCTGTAAAGGGCCAGATAGTATATTCTTCAGGCTTTGCAGGCCACACAACCTCTGTTGTAACTATGTAACTCTGCCCCAGTGTGGCAAAAAAGGCTGTTCCTGCTAAAGGTGGCCAGTCTCACCTGCTTTTTGTGACCAGTCTCAAAGCAGCCACAGGCTCTTGCCTGAGTGCTGAGGGTCTCAAGATCTGCTGGCACACTGGCTGGGAAGCTTGGTCTAGAGATAAGCCTTTCTAGAAGACACTTTCAACCCCTACCTCACCCTCTCTCTATGCTAGAACACAGGGCACCTCTGTTGGCTTCCTGAACAGCTGGGGAGGAAAAGCCAAGTGTCCCATAGTCTGCTGCTCCTCCGCAAAGCAAAACCTCTCCAGCTAAATCTCACTTGTGGGTGACAGCTTTCAGGAGGGGCCAGAAGACAGGCTGGGGCAGAGGCTTCTGGTGGGCACTTTTCTTCCTTTTTCCTCCGGCCTCAGCTCGGATGTGCTTGGCGTGCAGGCCATGGATAAATACGGCCTCCAGGGCGCTGCACATGGTGTTGGCATCTCCGTCTTCACTAGTGACCACCGTGTCCAGGGACACGTACTGCTTCTGCAAGGCCTTCACGGATCCCACCAGCTTCTTCTTGATGACCTAGGCAGCACCACACAGAACACAGGCCTTTAGCGGAAAATCCTATGGAGAGTCCCTAGAGTGTAATCCTTTAGCTGGTGCCAAATACGTGTGCAACCACATGCACACACATCTATGTGTGTGTCTGTAGATTCCTTCTGCAAAATTAGCACATTGTTAACTACAGCAAAGAAAGATAAAGCATAGAGAAGAAAAGGAAAATCACACACACTACCCAGAGATAATTACTGTTATTGTTTGTTTCATATGTCCTTTAGTATAGATACTTTTTGTTTTTTAGACCAAACTTAAGTGAACTTAGAGCCATATAATCTTGTGTTTAAATATTGGCCCCATCATAGCTGCAGTGATGGGAGCTTGGGTAAATCCATCTAGGACAAGGGTGGGGCTTCCCACCTTTTTTACATGGACAAGCTTCTGTAGAGAATCAATAAGCCAAGAGGCAAAAACAAACAAACAATAAACACCCACACTGCTTTAGAACAATAAAAACATGAGGAGAACAGGAGCATGGTTTACTTTAAGAAAGATCCTAGGCTGGGCGTGGTGGCTCAAACCTGTAATCCCAGAACTTTGGGAGGTCAGAGGCAGGAGGACTGCTTGAGTCCAGGAGTTCAAGGCTGCAGTGAGCTGTGATCACACCACTGTACTCCAGCCTGGGCAACATAGCAAGACCTTGTCTCAAAAAAAGAAAGATCCTAGGCCTGGAAGCCAGAGGACTAGGCTCAGTCCTAGCTGCCAGTAACCAGATGGGCCTCCTCAGACATTCCACTTAACCGCTTTGAGCCTCAATTTCCTTATCTGTTAAAGTGGAAATAATACTTTCTGATTTATAGTACTATGAGGATTCTCCTGAGGACAGGACTACCTTTTTTTTTCTTTTTTTTTTTGGGAAGTGGTTTCTGGTGAAAACCAGAAAACCTACTAGATAAATTCTAAAAAGAGGCTGGGTGTGGTGGCTCACACCTGTAATCCCAACACTTTGGGAGGCCAAGGCAGGCGGATCACTTGAGGTTAGGAGTTTGAGATCAGCCTGGCAAACATGATGAAACCCTGTCTCTACTAAAAATGCAAAAATTAGCCAGGTGTGGGCCGGGCACGGTGGCTCACGCCTGTAACCCCAGCACTTTGGGAGGCCGAGGTGGGCGGATCACGAGGTCAGAAGATCGAGACCATCCTGGATAACAGGCTGAAACCCCATCTCTACTAAAAATGCAAAAAAATAGCTGGGCGTGGTGGCAGCGCCTGTAGTCCCAGCTACGCGGGAGGCTGAGGCAGGAGAATGGCGTGAACTCAGGAGGCGGAGTTTCCAGTGAGCCAAGATCGCACCACTGCACTCCAGCCTGGGCGACAGAGCGAGACTCCGCCTCAAAAAAAAAAAAAAAAAAAATAGCCAGGTGTGGTGGTGAGTGCCTGTAATCCCAGCTACTTAGGAGGCTGAGGCAGGAGAATCACTTAAACCCAGGAGGCAGAGGTTGTACTGAGCCAAAATCGTGCCACTGCATTCCAGCCTGGGTGGCAGAGTGAGACTCCATCTCAGAAAAACAAAACAAAACAAAACAAAACAAAACAAAAAACATATATATAAAAGAGCTGAGTGTGGCACTAAGACTAGTGTTTTATTCATCCTTGTGTCAACACTTGGCACTGTGCCTGGCACATAGAAATACTCAATAAATGTTTGTTAAATGATACACCACAAAATGTACATAGAGTCTTTTGGAAATATAGAGTAAAAATTGAGCATAATTATAAGCATGTGAAAATCACATAAGTGATTGGAAAAGGACTGGAAGGGATTACAGAAAAACTGGTTTGAATTGTTGGGTGATAGGATTATGGCTACATATTTTAATCTTTTATTTTGATTTCAGCCAAAACACTAAATGTTAACATTCTTTGAAAAGTTAAATTTGAAAAAATATAACGGTTTTAATGAGATATAATTCATATACCATAAAATACACCCATTTAAAGTATACAGTTCAATTGTTTCTAGTATATTCACACAATTGTGCAACCATCACCACTACCTAATTTTAGAAGATTTTCTGGCCGGGCACAGTGGCTCACGCCTATAATCCCAGCACTTCGGGAGGCCAAGACGAGTGGATCACCTGAGGTCAGGAGTTCGAGACCAGCCTGGCCAACATGGTGAAACCCCCATCTCTACCAAAAATACAAAAATTAGCCGGGCATGGTGGTGCACACCCATAATCCCAGCTACTTGGGAGGCAGAGGCATGAGAATCACTTGAACCTGGGAGGTGGAGTTTGTAGTGAGTCAAGATTGTGCCACTGCACTCCAGCCTGGGCAGCAGAGGGAGACTCCGTCTCAAAAAAACAAAAAAACAAAAAAACAAAAAAACAAACAAAAAAAACGATTTTCATCACCCCAAAAAGAAATACTGTATATTAGTGATTGCCAGGGGCTGGGAGAAAGGGGAATACGAAGTGAATGCAGTCACTAATCTATTTTCTGTTTCTGTGGCTTTGCATATTTTGTACATCTCACATGAATAGATATCAATACAGCATATGACCCTTTGAATCTGACTTATTTCACTTAGCATATTTTCCATCATGTTGTAGCATGTATCAGGACTTCATCCCTTTTTATTGCCAGAAAATATTCCGCTGCCTAGATATACCACATTTTATTCATCCATTCATCAGTTAATAGACATTTGGGTTGTTTCTACTCTTTTGCTATTATCAATAATGCTGCTATGAACATCCATGTACAAGTTTTTGAGTGGACTTATATTTCTAGTTCTCTTGGGTATATATCTAGGAGTGGAACTGTACACATAACCCTATGTTTAACTTATCAAGGAACTGCCAAACTGTGTGCCAAAGTGGCTGCACTATTTTACATTCCCACCAGCAATATATGAGTTCCAATCTCTCCACATTTTTGCCAGCACTAGTTATTGCCTTTTTTATTACAGCCATCCTAGGGGGTGTGAAGTAGTATCTCACTGTGGTTTCGATGTGCATTTTCCTGATGTCTAATGATAATGAGCATCTTTATTGGCCATGTGTGTATCTTCTTTGGAGAAGGGTCTATTTAAATCCTTTACCCATTTTATAACTGGATTATTTGTCTTTTTATTGTTGAGTTATAAGTGTTCTTTATACATTCTGGATACTAGACCCTTATCAGATATTTGATTTGCAAATATTTTCTCCCATTCTGTGGGTTGTCTTTTCATTTTCTTGGTAGTATCCTTTGAAGCTCAAAAGTTTTTAATCTTGAAATAGTCTAATTTTAAATGTTCTTTTAAAAGCAAGATGTTATTTGTATATTATATTTAAAAAGTACATACATACTTCGTTCAATTGAGCACCTACTAGGTGTTGGGTTAGGGTATACAGGGAGAAATAAGGCATACCCTCAAGAAAGGCATACCCTCATGGAGTCAGTTTGTGCAGCTGTTGTTAGAAGGCTGGGTTGGCCAGGCTTCTGCCCTAGCTCTGGAGGGTCCTGGGGTGGGATTCGGCAGGCACTGGGGGTGGGAGAGTGGGGGTGCAGAGGGGAGGGAAGAGCCTCTGCATGAAAGCCAGCTGGGAAACAGGTGGAGCTGGACTCTCCTGTGGCCAGGACGGGGAAAGGCACGTCTCTGAGAGCTACAGTTTCTTTCAAGCAGAGTTCTCTGAGCTGGGAAGCAGCAGTGGGGAGGAAAGGAAATCCTGGCTTCTCCCCGAAAGCCATCTCAGGATGCTGCTAAGGGACCAGCCCCAAAGCTACCTGACTTCCTGCCTCTCCAAGAGAACAGAGAGCTCTATCTGGAGTACCCAAGATAGCCCAGGAGGGTGCAAAGGGCTGTCCAAGAAAAGGTCCTAGGGGGCTCCAGTGAACTGCTCACAAATAATTACATTTAGAATATCCTAGAAAATGGTAAGTGTTCAGATACATGTAAGTTACCAATTTACCCCCATTACTGAAACAACAAACCAGTGCCTGGGAATATCTGTTTCCCACCCATTCAGTGCTTTGGCCAGACTGTGACCAAATCATGGCCTAAGGGCAGAGGGCTGAAGGGCTGAATGGAAATCCTTGGTCTTCAGGTTACTGATCTTAAATTCCCACTGCTTTTCATAAATCTCCATCTTATCACCAATAAGGTGATCTAGAAAAGACAGGGTCTCCTCAGAGCCTGCTTGTGCTGTAACTTTTTCTCAACCTGGTCTCTCTTGCAGGACAGTGCCCAAGGAAGTGAGCCAAGCCGATGATACAACTGTCCCCTGCAGCCCTTCCCCGCCCTTGATCCTCCCTCACCCACCTACCGGGATGGCAGCCTGGGGGTCCAGTCCATTCTCCACCACTGAAAGCATCTCCACTCACGCAGCTGCTCCCTCAGAGAATCACATGACACCTGAAGAGACAGATGGCAGCCAGATGAATGGGCAGGGAACTTTCCCCCAGCCAGAGTCCATTCCCAGCAAGCAGCAGGAGGTCAGCCTCTCTTACTCAAACTGCAACCAAAAAGGCCTTTGCAGAACACAAAAGTAAAAACTGATAATAGATTTGAAGGAAAGAAACAAGGAAGGAAAGCCCAGGGGGCTTAGTCGTTGGGAGGCAAGGAGTCCTGGGTGCCAGGGGTGGGTCCACCCCAAGGAGTAGGTGGTAAGGGCGCTTCACATCAAATGCTGCCCAGAAAGCCAAGGCCCTGTAGGATTGAAACCTGTAGGCAGGGAACGACAGGCTGATTCAGATACGGAGCTGCAGGTTCGAGGGGGAGGCTGCAGCTGAAGGTGGCAGGAACCCAATGGGACCAGGAAGCAGGGGCTCACAGGCTCACACATCACATTCAGGGGCTGGGTCCTGCAACACCCTGCCCCCACCCCTCACTCCTGTCCCAGTCCAACATCTGCCAGCTCAGCAGTAAAAAGTACCACTGGAACGGCTTCAAAAGGGGAGGGCTCCCTTGCTACACTTCTGCTCCTCATTTGGGCTTCGAGGGTCTGGCTTGAGCAGCACAGACAGGGACGTGTCTAACCGGGATGACCATGAGGTCTCATCGCAGTTTGCCACTAACCAGGTAGGCATGCTCAGACCTCTCAGATGGAGAATGTGTAAAATGCCTGTCACGGGGCCTGATATGTACCTGTACCTGATATGTTGTACCTGGCATCTGTCATCCCAGTGGATGTGGCCACCTAAACCTACAGACCAAGAATGTCATCACCTAAATGAGTATGCAGGAAGAGCTGAAGTCAGTGAGTGGTTAAATCCCTCAGGGCTGCCAGCTTCCTCCTGGAAGTGGGTGGGGTGGGGTGGGGTGGGGTGGGGTGGGGCGGGTGGGGTGGGGACTTTAGCCTGAGCCTGAGGGGGCTGCTGACTGGCTTGGCCCCACCACAGCAACTTGGACAGACCTGGGCCAGGCAGGCACATTCACACGTAAACAAATCTCTAGCCAACTCCTGGCTGAGCATCAGGGGAAAGGGAAAGGTGATGTCTGTCTCAGCTCTCAATCACCGCACAAAGAAGTTAACAAAACCAAGAAAAGTTAAATGGGCTCAGTTCTCTTTACATATATTGCCTAATTTATGTTCCTCCTAAGGACCCTAGGAGTGCTGTTTTATTGTCTCCACCTGACAGATAAGGAAATGGCAGCTGACCCAGGTCAAGGAAGTTCCTGAGGTCCCAGGGCTGATAAGCGGCCTGACTCCACCACCAGCCCCCAGGAGGAAGCCAACCCCAGCCCTAGGAAAACCCGATTCCTGAGTGAGTGCTGTAAACCAAAAATAAAATTCTAAGCTCCCCAACTGCCTGAATGGGCCCCCCTTGGCCAAAGGGATTTCAAAAAAACTGAAAACTGAGTTCAGGCCATGACACGAAGTGGGGCGTGGGCCATGCCTCATCCTAGCCTCTCCCTTTTGGAGCTTAGACACAACTGACCAGCATTAACATTAAAACAGACTCCTAAGACTGACAGAACAGACTCTCAGCAATTAAGATACCAACTCCAACCTGACTGGTCTAACATCACATGGGAGATAACAGGCCCTAAGGAAATCAAAGTATCTTACCCCCAAGTATATTTTTGACATAGTTTGGAATGGCCCTGCAAAGCCATCTCTTGTTGGGAAAATTTATGTCCTGCAGAGATTCCCTTCCCTTTCTAGGCCTTTTCCTGATTTAGAGGAGATTTAACTAAGAGTCTGACACCTTAGAGACATTTACCATCTATTCTCTTGAAGGCTTCATCTACGTTACATGAACCTTGGCTTTCACAACCCACCTTATCTTAACCCCAAGCTTTTCTTCTGCTGACTTTTAACTCTTTAGGCAAAGTTTAACTTTTTCAGCCAATTGCCAATCAGGAAAATCTTTTAATCCACCTTACCCTGTCCCCACCAATGTATACCTTACATATATCAATTTATGTCTTTGCCTGTAACTTCTGCCTGTAACTTGGATAAAAATCAAGCTGTACCCCAATCACCTTGGGCACATGTTCTCAGGACCTCCCAGGACTATGTCACAGGTCATGGCCCTCACATTTGGCTCAGAATAAACCTCTTCGAATATTTAACAGAGTTTGGCTTTTTCATCAACAGTGCCATCACCTCAGAGCTAGGATTCCAGGGGTGGTCTGGGAAGACCCTTTCGCTGGGGGCCGGGAACAGGGGGTGCAGGGGAACATTAAGGCCAGTGTGGCAGGAAAGGTTTCCTGGACAGCCCTGGAGCAGCATGAGGTTTGGAAAGCAGACAGGCAGGCTGGCCCTAAATGGTGGAAGGTGCTCTGATTGGATCTCTGGCTTCTGGGGATAGCAGAGGGCAAACAGGACACAGGGAGTCAGGACCCAGAGCCAACCTCCCTAAGTCAGGTCCCTCAGGAGGAAGCAGGCATGTATGGAGGATGGTTCCTGCAGACCCAGTAACAGGCCGGGTGCTGCAGATGGCCAGAAGAGCCCTCAGTCCTGACTACAGCCCCATCTGACTGCCTCACCCTTCACCATAGTCTGCTCCCAGCTACCCAGGGATTCTCAGAGCCCTCCTCTGGAGACCAGTTCCACATTCTGGCCACGGGGTGACAGGAAAAGGGGGTTGTATGCTGCAGTGACTCTGCATCTAGGGTCACTTCCAGAAACAGGCCTGGTCTTGAGGTCAGGCTCCATCAAGGCTACCCTTTTGCAGCTCAGCAGGCCACGTCCAGCTTCTCTGGCTCCGAAACCCTGGGCTCCAATCCCAGTCCACAATTTCCAGTGGCCTGAGGCCCTCAGGCCCACCCTTCTAGAGAGAGCCCGAAGCCCCAAAGTTGCCCTTCCCTTAACCAGCTACAGGGCCGGGACCCTAAGGACTTAGACCCAATAATTTGAATTATAGCCCAGGCCCATTAAGACCTCATTAACTAATTAGCTGAGAGTGATAGAGTATTCACAGAGTATTCACTGGGAGGAGCAGGCCATTGGTAAGTGAGTGCTCTGGCCAAGTAACAGTATGCTAAGAAGACAAAATAGGCCAGGTGCCGTGGCCCACACCTGTAATCCCAGCACTTTGGGAGGCCGAGGCAGGAGGATCACTTGAGGTCAGGAGTTTGAGACCAGCCTGGCCAACATGGTGAAACCCTATCTCTAATTAAAAAAAAAAACAAAAATTAGCCAGGCATGGTGGCCCATGCCTGTAATACCAGCTACTGGTATTACCAGCTACCATACCGGCTGAGGCAGGAGAACCACTTGAACCCAGGAGGCGGAGGTTGCAGTGAGTCGAGATCATGCCACTGCACTCCAGCCGGGGCAGCAAAGCAAGAATAAATAAATAAATAAATAATTTATGGCATGGCGCCGTGGCTCACGCCTGTAATCCCAGCACTTTGGGAGGCCGAGGCCGGCGGATCACGAGGTCAGGAGATCGAGACCATCCTGGCTAACACGGTGAAACCCCGTCTCTACTAAAAATACAAAAAAATTAGCCGGGTGCAGTGGTGAGCGCCTGTAGTCCCAGCTACTCGGGAGGCTGAGGCAGGAGAATGGCGTGAACCTGGGAGGCGGAGCTTGCAGTGAGCCGAGATCCCGCCACTGCACTCCAGCCTAGGCGACAGAGAGAGACTCCGTCTCAAAAAAAAAAAGATAAAATAAAAAAATAATAATAATAATAATAATTTATGTCTCAAATAAATAAATAAATAATAAACTGAAGCTGGCTGGGCGCGGTGGCTCACGCCTGTAATCCCAGCACTTTGGGAGGCCGAGGCGGGTGGATCACGAGGTCAGGAGATCGAGACCATCCTGGCTAACACGGTGAAACCCCATCTCTACTAAAAATACAAAAAATTAGCCGGGCGGGCACCTGTAGTCCCAGCTACTTGGGAGGCTGAGGCAGGAGAATGGCGTGGACCCAGGAGGTGGAGCTTGCAGTGAGCCAAGATTGTGCCACTGCACCCCAGCTTGGGCAACAGAGCGAGACTCCATCTCAAAAAAAAAAATTAATAATAATAAACTGAAGCTAAGAGAGACAGGGCCAGACAAGAGAAGGGTCACTTGGCCTAAAACAGAGTCAGAAATGCCACAAAATGACTGACAAGAGCTCAGAGAAATCCAGCAGAAGAGCCACTTGAAAATTCACAAGACAGGACTGAGCCTCTGGGGTTCCAGCCACAATGCAGGACACCTCTGTTTGTAGGCAGCCATAGCACCCCACCTATCTGTATCTGTTCCATCATGCTCAGGGAGGCAGGGCTCAGATGGTCAGTGACATAAGAACTCACGGCGGGAATCAGAAGGAGGCTTTGTGTCTCTTGACTGTGGGGACAGTACTGCGTCACCCACCCTGGTGGCCCAGATTCTGAATCTACCATCCTATGGAACTGGTTCCACTTTCTGTCCTCAAAACGCTCTTCATTGACACAAAGAACCAAAGTGAAGAGAGGTGTGGCTTCAAGGAGACCTACCTGAAGGGAGTGAGGCAAAGCTGGGCAACAGTACCAAAGGGCTCTTGAACATGACGGGTGAAATCTTAGCAGGGGAAAGGTGACTGGTGCCATTTAGGAAGCCCCAAACCACACCAAGTCTACTGCCACCCTGTGTATTCATTCGCCTTCACATAGCTCTCCAGAGTGCAGAAAGCAAGCTTCTCTGATGTCCCTCTCTAACCTCATTTAATTCTCACAGCAATCCCGTGAGAGAGTGATTATCCCTGTTTTACAGAGGACAAAACTGAGGCTCAGTAGCAATGGGTCTCGGGTAAGGGACAGAACTCTCTGGTTTCTTCATCCCAACTCCTGCATCTTTCCCTGGACCAAAAGGCCTCAGGTCTTTGGCTCAAATTCAGACAAACTATTACTTCTTCTTTAGAGGTACTCGGAAGCTCCATTTCATCACAGAAGGTCTGAAACCAACAAGAAACAGTTCTGCCAATCAGGTTTATAGCCCCAACCAGCTGAGACCAGGTCCTACCAATGCTCCTAAAGTCTCAGAGCTATACTTTCTTAAATGTTCCAACATAGTTAGGAAGGAACAGTTCCGGTTGGTTTCCTGCATTATACTGCCTGGCCTTCTCTATATGTCCAATTTCACTTCCTCCAGAGATCAAGGAAGCAAAAAAAGAGAATGACTTGGATGAGACTTACGTTAAAAGAAGAAAGGGATAACCTGGTTCCACCACTCTCAAAACACTCCACCATCAGTGAACAGCAACCTCTTCTCTTGAGGGACTCCTCAGCCACTCCCCACGGCCTTCTCTCCACTGCCTGAATTGTGTAACTGGCTGTTCAGAGCCACAGCCTGGCTTTAAGCCATCCAACTGCTGTACCAATTGATGAGTCATGTTTTTTCAATTGGAAAAGAATGACAAAGTTATCCTCTGATTCAGAAAGGCAGCTGATCTTTCAGGCATGTGAGTGCTGACTGAGGAAACTGCACCTCTGTCCACCTGAGGAAAGCTGGATTTCTGTGATGGGTGGAGTGGTGGGGGTTGGAGCTTTGAAGCAATTAAATACCAGATGAAGGGTGAGAAACTTTTAGCTTGTGATTCCCAGACTCAGGGCTAGTGGATGAGGGCAGAATTGTGGAGTCAGTGAACACTAGCTATCTTTCTTTCCTCCCTCCTTCCTTCCATCCAGTATCACCCAGCTTTCCTGTATTCTTGTCCCATATCCCAGAGGATTCTAACAAGGACCAAACTCTGAATGAATGAAAACAGGACCGTTGCCTGACCCATTCACCATTGTATTTCTAGTACCTGGAACAGTGTTTGTCACACACTGGTGCTCAAAAAATAAGCTGTTGAATGAATTGATTAATAAAATAAAAACAAGGCACGGGGTAAGTACCTCCACTTCACACACTGTGGGAAGTTGGGGTATACAACTCTTAAGTGCTGGGGCAACTGTGGAGCTCCTGTCATTAAGCCAAGCTGCCAATAAGGCTGAAAACAACTTAAATATACTGCATATTAATGGGAGGACATTGAAGGTAAACAGCATTCACTTTTCAAAGGAATACGACTATAAGTGGCAAGCAGAGACAGTGTTCTTTGGGGCTCTTTAAAACTGCAATCAGCCAGGTGCGGCGGCTCACGCCCGTAATCCCAGCACTTTGGGAGGCCGAGGTGGGTGGATCACCTGAGGTCGGGAGTTGGAGACCAGCCTGATCAACACAGAGAAACCCCCATCTCTACTAAAAATACAAAACTAGCCGGGCATGGTGGTGTATGCCTGTAATCCCAGCTACTCGGGAGGCTGAGGCAGGAGAATCGCTTGAACCTGGGAGGCAGAGGTTGCGGTGAGCCGAGATCATGCCACTGCACTCCAGGCTGGGGAACAAGAGTAAACTCCGTCGAAAAAAAGAAAGAAAGAAAGAAAAAAGCTGCAATCAAATGGCCCACCCATCTGATGCCGGGTCCTCAGGATTCAGAGAAAATGTGTACCAAAAAGCCCCCAGGAAACTATAAATGCTGAGCATGGGACTTGGGTGCCTCTGGAATGTCCTTCTGCCTCAGCTACTCTGAGATAACATGGTTCCCTGTGTTCATGGAACCCAGATGGCCAAAAGTCAATGATCCAGCACTTAAAAGAAAAGAAAGCGATTCAAGAGCCTCTGTACCCACCTAGGCCTCAGCCTCCCCAGGACCTACTCACCTATACTCTTCACAACAGGTAACGTTGCCTCTGGCACCCATCATATCCCCTGAATTCAGCATCAGGACTGATCTGCCATCAGCTCTGGCAGGGAGAGGCCCTTACAAGTGCCAAGAAAAGGAACACGAACAATATTCTGTGACCACAGCCAACACCACACAGAACTTCCCAGAAGCTCTCCAGGGCGAGAACACCAACCAGAAGGAAGTGACAGCTTCCATCATTCTGTGCTAAGTGAGCTGAGTGAGTGGCCGTCTCTCACCTTCCAGATATTTGAATGATACCTACCATTCCAGCAGCCAGCACAAGTCATTTAATATGAATGCCAAAAACACAATCCCTGAGGACAGGTGCAGGAGACCAGATGCCAGGAAAAACCCCGGCCCCACCCAAGAGTTGGGGAGAGCCCACTGCTCCTCCACCCTTATTTACCACCTGAGCCCCTGCACCCGCCAATCATGCTGCTCAGTCTGTAACTGCGGGTCTGAGTGAGCACCTACATTTGGCTGTTGAGGGGCAGCTGGTGGAGTTGGCAGGCGACTCTGCACTAAGTTCTCAGGTTGAATGGGAGTTGGGTCGAGGGAAGCAATGGACGCAGAGTTGGGGTGAAGAGTTGCGGTGGGTCAGCGGGGGTGAAAGGACATGGAGATGTCATTTTTAACAAGATTGGGTGAGGGTGGTAGGAAAGGAGGCAGCAAGAGTTCGGGACAGTTTGGCAAAGACTTAGGGATGGGCTGTCCTCAGTACGGCAGGAGACGCAAAGGAAGGTATACAGTGGCTAGGAGACTAAGGACGAGAAGACACAGTTAAGACTTGGAATAAGGCTGAGATCGGAGTTATCCAGAAGAAAGCGGTGAGCTCAACAGGGCACCTACTTTGGGGGTGGGTCTTAGATGAGAGGGCGGAGGTAGAATGTTTGGGATGAGCAGATCTTGGGGAGCTAGACGGGGGATGGGGGTGACTGGGATAAGAAAGCTGAGCCAGAAAAGGGGAAACCTGAATGGTGGGTCTCGGGGAGGTAAGCGCGGAGCATCGGGATTACCAGAGGGGTGGGGAGAGAGGATGAGGTGTGTCAGGGCGGGGCGAAGGGACGTGGCCGAGATCGGTGTTGGAACTGGGGTAAAGTGGGGTCACGAGTGAAGCTGCATTTAAGCAAGACCGCTGGTGAGGGGATGCGGGCGCGGGCTGGGGGCTGGACAGACGGAGGGGACGGGGCCACAGCGGCGGTGCAGGGGGAAGGCTGGGTCGGAGAGGAGCGGGCGCGGGCTGGACAGGGCTGAGGGCCCTGAAGCCGGGCAGTCTCAGGGTAACCAGGGGCTGGGAATCGCGGAGGGAGCGGGAGGCCCACCGCCCGTTCGCGCCTCGGCCCTCCCACCACTCCGCCGCCCTCCTCGCATCTTGACCCCCTAACTCACCAAGCGGAGCGAGGAGCGAGGCGAGGGGCGCTCCCGGCCGCGGCAGCCCCTCAGCCTCCGAGCCGACGATGCGGTCTCTCGGCCACTGACAACAGGAAGCGGCGCCCCGGCCCCTGACGCCATCACGTTGGCTCGGCGCTCCGGCCCTGCCCCGGCCCGCGGTGCCAATCGCGCAGCCCGAAGGAGCCTTGGGGCGGGGCCAGCTGCTCCCGGAAGTCCCTGGGAGCTGAGCCCCGGGGCAGATGCGAGGTCTGGGAGGCTGGGGAACTGGGGGCGCCTGCAGGGCGCAGAGAGGCGAAGGCACCGGTGTCAGGGAGAACGCATCCGTTACCGCCCGCCTCCCGCAGGTCTGCGTCAAACTAGATCCTGGCTTCTGGGTTCCTGACCTCGTTTGGCCTCAGAACCATCTGTGCAACATTGGGGCTGTCACTTCGCCTCCCTCAGCTGAAGAGTTCCCACTTGTGAGTGGGACTAATAACGCCTGCCCTATCTTTGCCTCTCCGAGGGCAGCAGTGCAGCCCGTGGGGCGGAGCCCGGGCCCAAATTGGAGCCTCCGCCTTGCGCTTTCAGGATAAACATAGCTGTTTTGACCACACTTTATCCCAAGGGAACGCCTTGAGGTCCCCTTGGGCACTCTCCCGTGTGTAACTCGCCCATTAGCACCGCCTGGCTTGAAGCTTAGGGGTCTGGTTATTCTCTTCTAGCCCGTGTAGAGGATTTCTTTCTTCCTTTCTGCTTTTTTTTTGAGACAGGGTCTCACTCTGTCGCCCAGACTGGAGTGCTGTGGCACGATCACGGCTCACCACAGCTTTGACCTCACGGACTAAGTGGTTCTCCCACCTCAGCCTCCAAGCAGCTGGGACTACAGGCGTGCACCACCACGCCCAGCTAATTTTTTCTTTTTTCTTTTTTTTTTTTTTTTTGCGACGGAGTCTGGCTCTGTCGCCCAGGCTGGAGTGCAATGGCGCGATCTCGGCTCACTGCAAGCTCCGCCTCCTGGATTGACGCCATTCTCCTGCCTCAGCCTCCCGAGTAGCTGGGACTACAGGAGCCCGCCACCACGCCCGGCTAATTTTTTTATGTTTTTAGTAGAGATGGGGTTTCACCGTGTTAGCCAGGATGGTCTCGATCTCCTGACCTGGTGATCCACCCGCCTCGGCCTCCCAAAGTGCTGGGATCACAGGCGTGAGCCACCGCGCCCGGCCAATCTTTTCATTTTTAAAAAAATTTGTTTATTTTGTAGAGACAGGGGTCTCACTGTGTTACCTAACCTGGTCTCCAACTCCTGGCCTCAGGCGATCCTCCTGACTCGGCCTCCCAAAGTGCTGGGATTACAGGCATGAACCACCACACCTGGCCTGTATATCTTCTTTCTAACGCAAAAGTGACATTTCTCTTTCAGATGAACTCGGAACAAAATGTCATAAGTGGTGGCCACAGGTAGTGAAGAGCAGGGCAGGGAGTGTTGGCAGGGACCCATGCTCTGGACACTTTATACTTGCAGGCTTTGGTCAATTGGGAGCCTAGGGCCTGAGTGTGGATGAGGAGAGGTACTGCTACATGCCAGTCCTAAGTGGGCACAGGGGTTGGCTGGGGAACGGGCCAGTTCTTGGAAGCAAGCTTCACTGCCCTCGGCCTGGGCGTCCTGTGCTCTTTTGGCTTCTCTGGGTAGGAAGGTGTCCCTCTTATCTCTGCAAAGTTCAGAGTCCCACTGTCTGCTTTCAAGTATAAAACCAGCACTTGGGGGTATGACCCTGGACTGTATGAGGGCCGCCCTTTCAGTAATTCTCTCTCCAGGAGTGAGAACCTCCCCTTCTCAATTTTAGACTAGATGGGTCTGAGTGTGTTTACTGCAGTTAATGGTTGAGCAGGAAGATTAGAAATAAGGACATAGAGACAAACTATTCTCTCGGTGTTAAACTCATTTTAAACAAAGTGGAAAGTAAGGGATTTAGTAGGGAAATCCTTTCACCTTGGCAAAACGATAGTATACAACTGGCACAGCATAATCCTTGGTGGCTTGGCACAAGCATTCCCTGTCCCCCATCAAGCACATAATGTCCCTCAGTAATTCCACTGCATTTTTGTGCAGCGGCTGTGTGCTGGAGCTGTGGGGAACCCCTCGGTAATCTCTTGTCTGCTTTTTAGGAGCCCCTATCTCCTGGTCTTCTCTTACTTCCCAAGCTACCCTGCTTCTTTGAAAAGTCTTCAGGCTTGCCTACCTCTTCTCAGCTTGCTCTGCATGCCTTGGGGAAGCTGCATAAAGCATGGATCATGAAGGAGGGGGCGCAGAGGAGAGGGAAATGCATGTTTGCACAAATGGACCCTGAGCCCACCAGGCAGGCTCCAGATGGGGGGGAAAAAAAAAAAAAAAACCCTTACATTATCACGTGACTTGCGCAAGAAAAAAGGTACCTGCAAAGGGCCAAGGGACCAGAGAGGAGAACTTGAGAGGTATTCTGGAGGAGGCGACTTTTGATATGAGCTTTCTAGGTGAGTAAAGGGTATTGCAGCTGAAGGGACTGGCTGGTAAGTGGCCAGCACATAGGAATACAGGCTGAGCTCAGGGAAGGGTGCACCCAGAGGTGGGGAGGAAGGTGGGAAGTGAAAAAGGAGGCTGGGCACGGTGGGTCATGCCTGTAATCCCAGCACTTTGGGTGGCCGAAGCTGGTGGATCACTTGAGGTCAGGAGTTCGAGACCTGCCTGGCCAACATGGTGAAAGCCCATCTCTACTAAAAATACAAAAATTAGCCAGGTGTGGTGGTGTGTGTCTGTAGTCCCAGCTACTAAGGAGGCTGAGGTATGAGAATTGCTTGAACCCGGGAGGCGGAGATTGCAGTGAGCCAAGATAATGCCACTGCACTACAGCCTGGGCGACAGAGTGAGATCCTGTCTCAAAAAAAATTTTTTTTAAATAATAATAAAAATAAATAAAAATAAAAGGAAGTGAAAAAGGAAAGGGTAAGGGGAGAGGGCCAGAATGGAAGGGGAGCTGAAGACTGAGCAAGGCAAAGTTGGAGGCCAGTGCAGAAAGGGCTCAAACCATTTGCAAGGATGGTTCACATCCCACTGGTCTGTCAGCTTGGATTTAAAGCACTACCCAGCGTTATTCAAAGCCACACAGGAGAACTGTAGGCATCAGAATGCCCTGGGGACAGGTCCAAAATGCAGATTCCTAAGCCCCACACTAACCCTAAAGAGTCACTCTAGGATGAGGTCCAAGAATTTGGGCTTCACCCCACCTCTCCTGTCCCCTGCCCTCACCACTGAGGACCTAAAGGATAATGAAAGGGGGAAATCTGTGCCCTAAATAATCCCTTTTGGCAGTTACTTTCTGTTTTCAAAGTTCAAGTCTGTCCTCCGGGACTAACCTAGGAGATGAGGGATAAGGGAATTAACATTTATGGAAAATGGAAGAACATACATAGGCACCTGTGTTCACCTAATATTCCTTACCAGCCACCTGAAAGGTGGGTGCTGCCATTATCTCTATTGTATGGATGAGAAAATAGGCTTAAAAGAGGTTAAGTGGCCAGGTGCGGTGGCTCATGCCTGTAATCCCAGCACTTTGGGAGGCCGAGGTGGGTGGATCATGAGATCAAGAGATCCAGACCATCCTGGCCAACATGGTGAAACCCTGTCTCTACTAAAATACAAAGAATTAGCTGGGCGTGGTAGCACGCATCTGTAGTCCCAGCTACTTGGGAGGCTGAAGCAGGAGAATCGCTTGAACCCAGGAGGCAGAGGTTGCAGTGAACCGAGATCACGCCACTGCACTCCAGCCTGGTGACAGAGCGAGACTTCATCTCTTAAAAAAAAAAAAAAAAGAGGTTAAGTAACTTGCGGGGGGGCCACAGCCACAGAAGTAGTAAGTGCTAGAAGTAGGATTCTTACCTAGTTCTTTCTGATTCTAGTTTCAGCTTTGTTCAGTGGATTTTAGAGCCAGGGCTGTTTAGGTTTGAATCTCATCTCTATCCCATATTGTTTGCTGGGACTTCCTTAAAACAGTGTGGGGCCCAGGGCAACCCAATGAGTATGGGGCTAAGATAGCTGACAGCTGCCACCGAGTCAGCATTTTTCACAGGCCCGTTGAGATCGCACTGAAGACAGAAATTTCTAAATTGAATTTTATTGATGTTCAGGAAAGAGAAGTAAGTCACAACGCCCCTTCGCCCTCAGCCCCAAGCAGAGAGCCCAGAGTGTGTGACCTCAGGCAAGTGCCAAAACCTCTCTGAGCCTCAGTTCCTCATTGTAAATAGGGGCTAATGTCAGTTGATGTGAGGAGTAAATATCATGATATCCTGGCTGGGCACAGTGGCTCACGCCTGTAATCCCATAACTTTGGGAGGCTGAGGTGGGTGGATTACTTGAGGCCAGGAGTTCGAAACCAGCCTGGCCAACATGGTGAAACCCCATCTCTACCAAAGATACAAAAATTAGCCAGGCATGGTGGTTCATGCCTGTAGTCCCAGGTACTTGTGAGGCTGAGGCACAAGAATCGCTTGAACCTGGGAGGCTGAGGTTGCAGTGAGCTGAGATTGCGCCACTGCACTGCAGCCTACATGACAGAGTGAGACTCTGTTCCAAAACAACAACAACAAAAAAAAAAAAAAAAAAAGGAAAAGAAAAAAAGAAAAGAAAAAGATGATATCCTTAATGCAAGTTCTGGCCTGTAGTAAGTGCTCAAAGATGAACAGTTGTTACTATTCTAGTTGTGGCTAATTTTCACCCTGCCAATTGGGCAGGTCCTTGCCTTCCATTGCTCTTGTAAGCACTTGAATGAGAGCCTTTCTTGTCTGAACCCCAGATATATTCTTGCTTGGCATCTGATTGAAATAATAAAACTAGTGTTAATGCACCCTCCTCTCTGGACACTGTAATCACTGGTGTGCTCTTCAGTTCTGTTGTAGGAAGCGGTTTCTTTCCACTCTCTCTTTTTTAAAAAATTGATTAAAAAGTGTTGTTATACACACGGTTTACAATTCAATAAAATGAAACGGAATGGGGATGAAACATAACGAACAACAGCAGTTCATTGTCCCTATTGTTCCCACCCTTCTGGGGAGCAGGCTTTCAGCAGAATCTTCTGGTGCTTCTCCCCACATCTCCTGCACGTCTCATTGTTTGTATTTTATTATTTTTTTGAGACACAGTCTCACTCTGTCACCCAGGCTGGAGTGCAGTGGTGCCATCTTGGCTCACTGCAACCTCCCCCTCCTGGGTTCAAGCAATGCTCCTGCCTCAGCCTCCCTACTAGCTGGGATTACAGGCACCTGCCACCATGCCCAGCTAATTTGATATTTTTAGTAGACGCGGGGTTTCACCATGTTGTCAAGGCTGATCTCAAACTCCTGACCTCACGTGATCCACCTGCCTTGGCCTCCCAAAGTGCTGGGATTACAGGCGTGAGCCACCGCGCCCAGCTGTCTCATAGTTTTAGACACTGTCTGTTGCCTTCCTGGTAAACCTGGCAAGGACTTAGCTCTTTTACACCCCAGCCCTGTCCATTCTTGAGGTTTGGGTTTGCCACAATTTGTAGAAAATGAACAGTGTTTACAGAATTGTGACTATATAAATATTATTCACCACAGAGCTTAATAATGTGCTGTGAGGTCAGGCATGGTGGCTCACGCCTGTAATCCCAGCACTTCGGGAGGCCAAGGTGGGCGGATCACCTGAGGTCGGGAGTTCAAGACCAACCTGGCCAACATGGAGAAACCCCATCTCTACTAAAAATACAAAAATTAGCCGGTGTGGTGGTGCCCCCTGTAGTCTCAGCTACTTGGGAGGCTGAGGCAGAGAATCACTGGAACCTGGGAGGTGGAGGTTGCAGTGAGCCGAGATCATGCCACTGCACTCCAGCCTGGGCAACAGAGTGAGACTCTATCTCAAAATATAATAAAATAAAAATAAAATACACTCTGATGATGGCTGCTTCCCCCAAGGGTGCCTCAAGCTCTCTCCTTTTCTTTCAGTGCCATCTGCCATTATCGTGCCATCGTTCTCTTCCAGTGCTCTGGTGGAGCAGGTGGCGCCCAGGCCCACAGTGCCCTCTCCAAGTTCTGTCCTCCATGTGCTCAAGTTATCCCCTAAACTTGTCACATGTGGTCATCCTGGAACTTTGCTTAACTGCTTCCTGGGTTGGGGCCTTTATTTCCTGGCTCCCTTCTCTTCTTGCTTAATTTCCCCTCCCTTTGCTGCAGCACATACTCAGTTAAGAATCCCTTTCTAACATTAAAAAAAGAAAAAGAGAATAGTTCTTGGATCTCCTCATGATAGAAATTATATCTTTAGGCCGGGTGTGGTGGCTCACGTGTGTAATCCCAGCAGTTTGGGAGGCCGAGGCAGGTGGATCACTTGAGCTCAGGAGTTCAAAACCAGCGTGAGCAACATGGTAAAACCCTATCTCTACAAAAAGTACAAAAATTAGCCAGGTGTGGTTGCATGTACCTGCAATCCCAGCTACTCAGGAAGCTGAGGGAGGAGAATCTCTTGAACCCAGGAGGTGGAGGTTGCAATGAGCTCTGATCATGCCACTGCACTCCAGCCTGGGCGACAGAGTGAGACCCTGTCTCAAAAAAAACAAAATAAAGTTGTATCTTTAATATCCATTAACTGAAAAATAAAAATAAAAATAAGGACCAAAAATTACTATGAGGACACACATGCTTTTAAATGAATTTGTGTGTTATTAACCACAGTAACATCTATGAACTTGTGAAAAACTGTTACTGGTTTAGGCTTAAGGGTTTGCCCAGTCTAGCTTCAATGTTCAATGGGTGGGCACGGTGGCTCACACTTTGGGAGGTGGCCAAGGCAGGCAGATCGCTTAGTCCAGGAGTTGGAGACCAGCCTGAGCCACATAGTGAAACCCTATCTCTACAAAAAATTTAAAAATTAGCTGTGCGCGGTCACGCGCACCTGTAGTCCCAGATATTGGAGGGCAGTGGGGGTTGGCGCTGAGGTGGGAGGATCACTTGAGGCCAGAAGGTCAAGGCTGCAGTGAGCCGAGGCTGAGTCACTGCACTCCAGCCTGGGTGGCACAGCAAAACTCTGTCAAAAAAACAAAACAAAACAAAACAGACAAACAAGAACCAAAGTTGGATGCAGTGGCTCATATCTGTAATCCCAACAACTCGGAAGGCTCAGGCAGGAGGATTGCTTGAGGCCAGGAGTTCAAGGCCAGCCTGGGCAACATGCTGAGACCCTTGCCTCTGAAAAAATTAAATATTAATAAAAACAAACCCTAGTAGCTTCAGTCTTTGATTCTCCATCCCTCATTTCATCCCTTTGTCTTCTGGTAATAGAATTTCCTTCTTGTTTTTCTTTTGGGATGAGCCACCTTCGCTCCCTGGGATTCTGCTGGGATTGAGTTACCGCCTTCCGGGCTCAAGCGATCCTCCCACCTCAGCCTCCCAAGTCGCTAAGACCATAGGTGCATGCCACCATGCCTGGCTAATGTTTTGTATTTTCTGTAGAGCCGGCGTTTTGCCCTGTTGCCCAGGAGTTTTTCCTTTAATGTTCTCCTGCTACTTACTAATTCACTTTGTCACCCTGTGAGCTCATAAGAGCAGAGAGATAGCAACAGGAGCTAAAAAAACTCTAAGCTGTGAAAAAATATTAAATATGAAATCATGATAGCTATTAGCTTAATTTGTTTTAGGCAAATTGCAAAGTAATTTTTTGGGAATCAGTGTCCCACTGCAGTGATTCCATATGGGGATTCCTAATTCCCAGTATGTTTTTAAAATAATTTGTAAACACCTAGTACAAACGCATGATATGAAATTCAAGAGGTACAAAAGGGCATACAGCCCTGCACTCTCCCAGTTTCCCTCCCCGAAGGCAACCGCCATTACCAGTTTCTCGTGTGTGCTTCCAGAGGTATTCTTGTCCAACAGAACTTCAGTGATGAAAACAGTTGCCTGTGCTGCCAGTTTGGAAGCCATTAGCCACACGGGGCAGTTGAGCACTTGATATGTGGCTAGTGTGTCTTAGCAGCTGACTTTAAAAAAAATTTTTTTTTTTTTAAAGACTCAGCGTCTTGCTCTGTTTACCAGACTGGACTGCAGTGAGTGTGAACATGGCCTCAAACTCCTATTTATTTATTTTTTGAGACAGGGCCTCACTCTGTTGTCCAGGCTGGAGTGCAGTGGTGCAGTCATAGGTCACTGCAACCTTGACCTCCTGGGCTCAAGAAATCCTCCCACCTCAGCCTCCTAAGTTGCTGGGACTACAGATGAATGCCACCATGTTTGGCTGATTTTTACTATTTTAAATTTTTTGCCTGGGCGCAGTGGCTCATGCCTGTAATCTCAGCACTTTGGGAGGCTGAGGCGGGCAGATCACCTGAGGTCAGGAGTTCGAGACCAGCCTGGCCAACATGGCGAAACCTTGTCTCTACCAAAAATACAAAAATTTGCTGGGTATGGTGGTGCGTGCCTGTAGTCCCAGCTACTTGGAGGCTGAGGCACGATAATCGCTTGAACCCAGGAGACAGATGTTGTAATAAGCTGAGACTGCGCCACTGCACTGCAGCCTGGGTGACAGAGTGAGACCCGTCTCAAAAAAAATAAAAATAAATAAATTTTTTGTAGAAAAGGGGCTTCACTATGTTGCCCAGGGTGTTCTTGAACTATTGGCCTCAAGCTATCCTCCCACTTGGCCTCCCAAAGTGCTAGGATTACAGGCATGAGCCACTGTGGCCAACCTAAGTTTATATGTAAATAGCCATATGTGGCTAGTGGCTACTGTATCAGACCTCACAGTTCTGTACAGATAACGCACAGTGCACAGTAGCATACTATACACGCCCTACTAAATCTTGCTTTGTTCCCTTAACAGCACCTATGCATCTTGGAGATAGATTGTCCCAGTCTGCCTCATTTTTAAAAACTGCTGCATAATATCCTCTTGTAATCCACAAAGGCAATCCCAGACCCAGCCTGGGGGGCCATGGGTCATCACTTTTTACAACAAGCTCTAAAATCTTCCACATATACCATAATCAAGGCACTTCAGAACAACCCTAGGTTCCTCATGCCTCTACTTTTATTAGCCTGGGCCTGACATAGTTGGACATTGAATAGTCACTTCTGGGGGCTGGTGGAAATAATTTACCATGAGTGACTGCCCTAAAATATACTCTCCACCCACGTGGCCCGTGCCTGGCATTCACTAGTGCTGGTGGCATTCTTTAAGGTTGCTCATATCTCTAAGTGGTTCTCCTTTAAAGAGCAAAGTCTCCTGGGAAAGGTGGTCATTAAGCAGAACATCTGGGGCTCATCTTGCTTTTGCCCTGTTGAGAGGGGCCAAGGGACTTGGTAGAGCAGCAGGGGCTCTGACGGTGAACCTCATTGTTTTTAAAATTATTCTTAAGAGGCCAGGTGCGTTGGCTCACACCTGTAGTCCCAGGACTTTGAGAAGCAGAGGCAGGAGGATCGTTTGAGTCCAGGAGTTCAAGATTAGACTGAGCAACACGGGGAGACCTCATCTCTACAAAAAATTTAAAAGAAAATTAATTGGGCATCATGGCACGAGCCTGTGGTTCCCGCTACTTGGGAGGCTGAGGTGGGAGGATCACCTGAGCCCAGGAGGTTGAGTCTTGCAGTGAGCTGAGTTCACACCACTGTACTCGAGCCTTGATGACAGAATGAGACTGTCTCAAAAAAAAAAAAATGTCCTTAAGTCCATGTGGACCCCTGACTAGGTTTGTGCCCTAGACAGCCGTCCTCTGAGGGCAATTCAGGTGGTGAGACTCCAGGTTTAAATGGCCTCCACAGAAATTTCACTAACCTGCCTTGGTGTTTGACCCTGTATAACCCCTTTCTTCTGGAGGTCCCTTTGGGTGGCAGTAGATACAGGATTTGGTGTCTGACAGCTCTGGGGACAGATCCCAGCTCCAAATGGCAGAGTCTCTACAGATTACAAGCCAAATACTTAGCACTATGTGCTGATCTTCAGGAAGTCAGTCTATATTTCATAACAAGTCACATGGGGATAATGAAGGAATGGCCTAAAATGCTCTCAGTAATATTCCTGAGTCATCCCTCAGGGCTGGGCTTGGTGTTATGCATGGCGGGGAAGGGAGCAGAGCTGTGTGCAGAGGAAGATGCAGTTCTTGCCTTGTCAGGATCCCTGACCTGATGGCGACCCATGGTGGAGTCTTCATAGTGACAGACACCACTGTAAAAGCAGATCCAGGTTGTGCAACCCTCAAAGCAGGTCTCCTCACTCACCGGGATAGATAGACTATTGGCCGTACCTGCATCCACCGCTTGCCATGGTTTCGTTGTGGGTGGAGGATACTTTCCTGTCCCCTGGCTTTGGGTTTGCCCACGTGGCTTGCTCTGGCCTTGGAATGAAGCAGAAACGAAAGGCTGCCAGTTCCGAGCCCACGTCTGAAGTCGCCTTAGGTGGTTCCGCGGGCCCCGTGCGCTCCCACCTTCACCCAGAGGGCCTTCTCTGGTGCAGCCGCTGCTTCTTCAGCCTCCGCCCAAAAGGAACGGAGCCCCCTGGCCGATCCGCAGGCCTACAGGGAGCCACAGAGCGCAGCGGCTGGACCAGCATTCAAGCCCAAGCACAGGCCTGCGAGAACCTTGTTCGAGCCGCCGTTTAGGATGGTTGATTAGGACGCGTTGCAGTGGCGGTAGCTCACCAATCCAGTGCGTGCACCCGCTCCTTTATTAGGCTAAAGAACCAGTGGCTCCCACAGGGACCTGATACAACAGTGCGTTAAATAAGGAGCTTATTGAGCTCTCATGTCCTAAGTCAGTGGAGAAGTCCAGGGCTAGTGTGGGGGCTCCGGCGGGGGCTGTGGCCCCCATCCGCATGGAGCCTCCCCATGGTTCACAGGTCTCAGTCTTCGGAGCCTTCGGCCCTGCGAGCCCGAACGGTCCACAGGGCGGCGCCAGACCCTCTTTCGAACGCCATCCTCTTAAAGCCTCGGCTCCAACCGGTTCCACTTCTTCAGGCTCAGGATTTTCACTCTTCTCGAATGGGGGTGGCCCTCCCCCAATCTTCTGAGTCGCAACAGCATCTCCCTCCCTCCAGGACCTCAGAGCCAGAGCTGGGCGAGAGGCCCTAACCTCCGGGGTAGGGTGGAAGCGTCCCTGTGAAGGTGCAGTCCTGCCTCCCATCCCCAGGCGCCGGGCCTCTCCCACCCTCAGCGCCCTGCTCACCTCCAGCTGAAGATGCCAGGGCACCTCTGCTTCCTCCCTGCCCTCTCTGCAGTACCGCCGAGTGTGCATAAAAGGGTTTAATATAGGCTTTGCCGGGCGCGGGGACTCCCACCTGTAATCCCAGTACGTTGAGAGACCAAGGCGGGAGGATCACTTGAGGCCAGGAGTTCAAAAGCAGCCTGGGCAACAAAGTGAGGCCTGTGGAAAAAAAAAAAAAAAAAAAAAAAAAAGAATAAAAGAGGTCCCTTTTTCTGGGAGATTGATATAGGGGAGTGTGAGTTAGAAGGGAGGCATTGAGGATCAGTCATTTAAAGCAGCATCCAAGGATGTTCAAGGCTAGAGATCCACAGGTGTATTTTCAGAAACTGAATTTCCTGGCGGGGCACAGTGACTCATGCCTGTAATCCTAGCACTTTGGGAGGCCAAGGTGAGCAGATCACTTGAGGTCAGGAGTTCAAGACTAGCCTGGCCAACATGGTGAAACTGTTTTTAGAGAAAAAAAAAATTGGCCAGGCATGGTGGTGGGTGCCTGTAATCCCAGCTATTCGGGAGGCTGAGGCAGGAGAATCACTGGAACCCGGAAGGCAGAGGTTGCAGTCAACCGAGATCACGCTACTGCACTCCAGCCTGGGTGACAGAGACTGTCTCCAAAAACAAACAAACAAACACAAAAAAACCCCAAAACCCAAAACAAGCCAGGCGTGGTAGCTCGCACCTGTAATCTCAGCCCTTTGGGAGGCCAGGGCGGGTGGATTACCTGAGGTCAGGAGTTCGAGACCAGCCTGACCAACATGGTGAAACCCCGTCTCTACTAAAAATACAAAAATTAGCCGGGCATGGTGGCGCATGCCTGTAACCCCAGCTACTAGGGAGGCTGAGGCAGGAGACTTGCTTGAACCCAGGAGGCAGAGGATGCAGTGAGCTGAGATCGTGCCATTGCATTCCAGACTGAGCAACAAGAGCAAAACTCCACCTTAAAAGAAAAAAAAAAGAAAAAACAAACAAAACTCCTGAATTTCCCTGTGGATATCTTTTCTCTGGTAGCCTTTTTCAATGAGGGCTAAGTTTTCTCCAATACTATATGGCCTGCAGACCGCTCAGCTTTCATTCCAGTGAAAACATTCCAGAAAAAACTCTGAATCAATCCCAGGTGTTTCTCCAATCAGCTCAGGATGATTGTGTGTTACCTGCTGCCCAGCTAGTGACACCTCTCCAGGCCTCTGACTTAGCTAGGTCTCCATGTCACTCCACCGTAGACTCCCCGCCTTCTTCTTTTGCAAAGCCTCGGACACCCAAACACCTACCAAAAGTGGGTAGGGTGCCAGGACACCTCCAAGTGTAAGTGGGGCTCTCCAGCACACCTGGATGTGGAGGTGTGATGCAGAGTGGTGGCTGCTCGTGACACTCATTTCACCCCTTTCTGTGCAGGTGCCAGAAGCCCAGGAAGCACACATCAAGGCTCGCTTGCCAGCGGGGTGCTGCCAATAAAATGTAGTCACGTGGAATTTGGAATGTGGAAAGGAGGTAGAAGTCATCCTTTCCTCCCCCATAGCAGCAGGTGTGCAGGCTCTGGTGGTCAGCTGGACTCCATACTCCCCCACCAGTCACCAGCCTGGGGACCGTGGGGCTGCAAGGACCTCAGCAGCGGTTTCCCAAGTTTCCTGACTTCTTCCATCCTCTGGAAATCAGCTGTGGTAAAGTAGCCTGAAAGCCAGTGGTGCAACCCCTTCCCCACAACCTTCACCACCTCTAGCCCCTCCAGTGATAAGCACTAATTGCCTATATACAACCCTTTTTTGTTTGAAATATCTAATTTCTGTTTTCCTATCTGGGGTAGTGTAACATAAGAAGAAATATATATTTGGTCTCTGCCCCCAGTTCCTACCACAAAGCTCCTAAAACCCTTGGAAATTCCTGAATGATGGCGGTGCTAAGAGCATTGTCCTTTGTTAGTTTATCATTTTTCTTTTCTCCTAGGTGTTTTTTCCTTTTTAAACTTTTCTTTTAGGTTAGGGGGTACATATGCACGTTCGTTATATAGCTAAACTTGTGTCATGGGGGTTTGTTGTACAGATTATTTCATCACCCAGGTACCAAGCCTAGTACCCAATAGTTTTTTCTGCTCCTCTCCCTCCTCCCACCCTACACCCTCAGGTAGGGCCCAGTGTCTGTTGTTTATGAGTTCTCATCATTTTGCTCCCACTTACAAGAACATGCAGTATTTGGTTTTCTGTTCCTGTCTTAGTTTGCTGAGGATAATGGCCTCTAGCTCCATCTGTGTTCCTGCAAAAGACATGATCTCGCTGTTTTTTATGGTTGCACATCTTTTGTTCTAACATTTGGTCCTTAAACCTGGTTCCTGATACAGAGCTCCTAAATCCCTTGGAATTTTCTGGGTGATAGAAGCGTCCTTTGTTCTCATGAGGTGACTCTTGGTGGGCTCCTTATTTGGGGACTGGTCACCAAAAAGACCTATGGTTGGAAGCGTTGTGCTGTCAGCCCCATTCCCCATCCTCTGGCGTGGGGAATGGAGCTGGAGCTCAATCATGCCTATGTGATAAAGCCTCCAGAAAACTCCTTAAAAGACAGGACTTGGAGAGCTTCCGGGTTGGCGAACACATCCATGTTCCAGGAGAGTGGTGCACCCCAACTCCACAAGGACCCTTCCAGACCTCACCCTGTGTATCTCTTCATCTGGCTTCATCATTTGTGTCCTTTAAAATATCCTTTGTAATAAATCAGCACTAGTAAGAAAACTGTTTTCCTGGGTTCCATGAGCTGTTCTAGCAAATGTTCAAACCTGAGGAGGGAGTTGTGGGGACCTCCAATTTACAGCCAGTTGGTCAGATGCATAGGAGATGCTTGGCCTTGCACCTGGGGTCTGACATGGGGATGGTCCTGTGTGACTGAGCCCTTAACCTGTGGAGTCTGGTGCTCACTCTGCTTAGGGCTTCTCTGCCTTTTTAGTGTCCTTCTAGAAGGCCTTTCCTTCCTCTTGTCAGCTCAGAAAACTTTTCTTCCACTTCCCTTCTTCTAAACCATCCCTTACATCTACTCCTTTCCAGTCGACCAAGAGCAGAACCACGGCTGGCTCCACTGCCACCATGCTGTCCCACACTGTCTCCTCAGGATGTATTCAGATGTCCAGCCCTCCCCCCAGTCTAGGAGCCCCCCCTTTGAGGAAAGGGATGCTGGCCTAGTCAACTCTTTCCCAGCACCAGGCACAGCATCTGGCACGTTCCATCTTTTTCGTGGACTCCCCCCAGGCGGCCTGACCTTCCCTCCTCTGAACCGGTGCATTTCTTGTCTGCATCATGTTTGCCCTAATCAGATATCGCCTTATTTCCATCTTTTAAAAAATGCTTTATTTCTCTGGCAGGCTTCATCGGAATCACAATTTTCATTCATTTAGTAACTGTTGGCCTTGTATCCACCCCTCTCTGGCACTCAGGTCTCACTTAAGAGCTGGCTGTCTGAGCTGTGATTTGCGATCAGTGAGATGGAGACAGAGGCAGCCCTAGGCAGTCATGTTTTGTTCCACCTGACCCTGGGCGCCACTCCCCCTCCCAGGCTACAGGCAGGCATGGGCACCAGCCAGGGAGAGACAGCTCATCCATACTCTGGCCCAGCAGAAACTCTGGGCTTAGACAAAACTGCTCAATTGAGGACAAACTGGGCAAAGTAGAATCTTTCTTTGGGAGTTTTTAGAAATATGGTGGGGTGGCATTTGGGAATAATAAGAATAGTAGCTGGGCATGGTGGTACGCGCCTGTAGACCCCCAGCTCTGGAGGCTGAGGTAGGAGGATCTTTGGAGCCCAAGAGCTTGAGGCAGCAGTGAGCTATGAAGGCACCACTGCACTCCAGCCTGGGTGACAGATCAAGACCCTGTCTGAAAAAAAAAATGTACACATTTGAGATGCATAAAATTTTCTTGTTATATAAAAAAATTATAAGCATCGAAATGCGAAATTATGTAAATATGCCAAAATAGAAACCTGGAGGTGCTTGGAATCCAGACTTTGAGAGCCCAGCAGTGGAAGGATCTCTAGTGTTGGCTTTTTTTTTTTTTTGAGATGGAATCTCGCTCTGTTGCCCAGGCTAGTGTGCAGTGGCCCATTATAAGCTCACTGCAAGCTCCGCCTCCCAGGTTCAAGCAATTCTCCCTCCCTCAGCTTCCTGAGTAACTGGGATTACAGGCGTGCATCACCACCCCCAGCTAATTTTTGTAATTTTTAGTAGAGACAGGGTTTTGCCATATTGGCCGGGGTGGTCTTGAACTCCTGCCTCAGGTGGTCCACCTACCTCAGCCTCCCAAAGTGCTGGGATTACAAGCATGAGTCACTGCAACCGGCCTTGTCTTGGCTTCTTCTCAGCTCCCTGCTTATGTCCAACACTCACCCCTATTAGAGCTGGTGTGGGGAGCTTCTGTTCTGATGACTTAACAGTGTAATTATAGTGCTTAGCGCTGTACCTGGACCACAGCTGGTGCCAATAAACAGGAGCTGCCATCCATCTGCATGTTATTGTTATATTAACTCTTTGATGGCAACCATGGCTTATCCCCCCATCTCCCCATGCCCTACAGCAGGGCAGTAGAATGGTTAAGAGGCTTTGAAGTCTAACAGTGCTAGCTTAAAACCCTAATTTGTTGCTTTGTATGTGTGGCTTTGGACACTTTGGGCAGGTCACCTTCGTTCTTCGAGCCCTGTATCCTTATCTGTCAGATGATGATTTTTTTTTTTTTTTTTTTTTGAGATGGAGTCTCACTTGCCCAGGCTGGAGTGCAGTGGCGTGATCTCAGCTCACTGTAAGCTCCACCTTCCAGGTTCACACCATTCTCCTGCCTCAGCTTCCTGAGTAGCTGGGACTACAGGCTCCTGCCACCACGCCCGGCTAATTTTTTTGTATTTTTAGTGGAGACAGGGTTTCACCATGTTAGCCAGGATGGTCTCAATCTCCTGACCTCGTGATCCGCCCGCCTCAGCCTCCCAAAGTGTCAGATGATTTTAACAACTATGCTTCCATGACTTGCTGGGCTAGATGATATGACTGTAAAATGCCAAACCCACGGTTTAGCATCAAGTAAGCAAATTGTAAATGGTAGCGCTGCTCTGCCTATGACTAGTCTTGTGCTTTAAACTCAAATATTTGTTGGCCTACTGAAGTCACCACACAGAGAAAGATGCTTTTCATTCTCAGTAAAGAACTTTGGGAGATAACTGGGGCAGGCAGCAAGAGAACAGATGTCATATGTCTAGCATCAGCAAACTCATCGGAACTGATGGGCAGCTCACTTTGCTTAGAACCTGCACCAGCATACACACGGGGCTGCTTCCCAGTCACACTGCTCCTGGGAAGGTAGGGGGGCTGCTGTTCTGCAATTAGCGTGGTTCTTTACCTCCTATTACTGAACTGCCAGAGTTCATTTGTGTTCAGTTAGGTAGATGACCAATTCTTGTTCATTCCTATTTTCTTTTGCTCACTAATGTGTTTAACATTCACTAACCTACCAAATGTGATTTATTAGCGACTTTTTCTTTGAAGATGGAGTGGAGGAATCCTAGCACTTTCTGCAACATTCTACTGCTGTTATGGAACAGTGCAGTTATGGATGAGCGTCAGCCGGGGATGGGGAGAGGCTAGGGCAGTACATGTGAATTGAGAGGTAGCCCCACCAGTGTGTTTTCTGAAATACAGTCCCACAGAGGGCAGTCTTGGGAAATTACTGTTCTCACACTCTTCTTGACTCTACCCCTCCAGCACCTCCCTGCTATCCAAGGGTTGGGATTTTTAAAAAGAAAAACAAATTTTTAAAAAAGCAATGTGAATCTTTTGCCATCTTGTAAGGGTGAAAAGCCCCCTACCAAGTCGGGATGAACACTCATGCGTGTGCTTGAGGGCTTGGGAAAAAGACAGGGCTTGGCCCCACAGTGCAGGTAGGCCCAGTGATCCTATGATAGGGGCCAGGAGATGGGAGGTCCCCTGTGGGCAGGAGTTCAAATCTGTGGTATTATATGACTGATGCTTGATGAAGCAAGGGAGAGGGCACCAAAAACAATGGTAATTGTAAAATCTCCACCCCCTGAGGATATGTTTTCAGGTCTGGGTGACTAATTAGACTGGGAAACAAGGGCAGGAACGATGGCCCTGTGCTTGCTCTGCCCGCTGCCTCTGTGGATGTGTGGGCCGCTGGCTTCAGTCCTGCTTTTCTTTCTGATGGTATTGTTTATGCTATGTGTTTTTGCAGGAGGCCTGAGGTGGGCTGGGTTCTCCTCCTATGGCAGGGCTTCACTCTCCTCCCCCTTCTCTGTTGGGGCTTCGCTGTCCCTGGGATAAGAATAACAATGCCAAGGTTTTGATTCTTGAAAGGAGCAATTAAGCTTCTCACCCCCTCCTCATTTTAGATGGGACCTGTGAGGGCTCCGTCATTTACCCAGGGTCCCTGTTGAGGATCTCGTCCTCATTAGATGACTTCTTGTGCAGCTTCCATGCGTGATTATTTACTCTTGTGGCACTGAGAGGTTTGTACATATCTTTAAGCCAGAGCGGCCGTCTGAATGAAAAAAGTCCATCCTAGAAGATAGAAAGGGAAATACTAATTTTGCATGTCCTCTGCCTTCCCTGGCCACAGCAATGAATCCTCCAATGTACCTGACTCTCCCTTCGTGAAGAGCATCTCCTCCGTGGCAGAAACCTGAAAATGCCCCTGGGGAGACACATGCACAAGACAGTGAGTGATGCAGCCATTTCCCACGTATCTCACAATGTACTTCTCTGGTCTTACTAGGACTAAATGAGTATCTCAGTCCATAATCACAGGGAGAAGAACCACCACAGACCACATACCTGGGGTCTTGAAAATAATTCCATGCATGTGGGACTTTCAGAAGCTCTCCCATGTCTGTCCAGAAGGGCCCCACAATATAATGGGGGGACTTTGTATGTGGCTCAGCATGGAGCAGGGGCAGGATGTTCAGTCCCACTCACTCCCTTGGCCAAGTGCCCTTGTGCAGTGAACAAACTGCACAACCATGCTGGGCGGAAGCATTTTATATCAGTCCCCTTTGGACTTAGTCTCACAGGCATCATTTGATGGGGGGGTGGGAGATGAAGTGGTTCTTCCTTTTCTAGATACTTTATTCTATAAGTTGGATCACCTCAAGCAAATGTCTGAGTGCAGCTAGCCAAGTTCTCTATCTCAGTCTTCATACGGCTGGCTGTCGCTGATGAGTGAGTGAGCTACGAAATCAGCTTAAAGCACAACATGTTATTTTTGAATTTGAATAAAATAGGAAAAGGCAGAGTGCATTGTGTGACCATGGGGTAAGACACTCTCCCTTTCTCCTTCTCAGTTTTCCTGTCATAAAAGGACAAACTACTATCTAAGGTCTCCGTAGTTAAAATTCTTTTTTGTTGTTTTTTTTATTTGAGACAGTTTGGCTCATTCCCCAGGCTGGAGTGCAATGGTGCTATCTTGGCTCCCTGCAACCTGTGCCTCCTGGGTTCAAGCAGTTCTCCTGCCTCAGCCTCCCAAGTAGCTGGGATTACAGGCCTGCGCCACCACACCCAGCTAATTTAGTATTTTTAGTAGAGATGGGGTTTCACCATGTTGGTCAGGCTGGTCACGAGCTCCTAACCTCAAGTGATCCCAAAGTGCTGTGATTACAGGCGTGAGCCATCCTGCCTGGCCTTTCTGGTTAAAATTCTGTGAGGTTTGCCTAAAAGGAATAGAGTAGGGACACAAAAACCAGTAAGATGAGAAAATAGTGTTTCCTCAGTTCTAGGATCCAGGGGAAAAAATAAATAAATAAAAGAGAAAATACTGTTTCCTGCCACTTAAGAGGAAGGACTCACATATCCTACCTTCCATCAGCCTTGAAGGAGACAAGTGCCCTCTCTCTCACACCCGGTGGCCTTCCCTTCCCCTTTCCCAGAGCCTCCAAGAAGGCCCCTGGCCTGGCCTGATGCCCACCATCAGCAGCAATAGGCACCAAAACCTTTCTCCTTCCTATCCCTCCCCACCTCCCGAAAGGGCTGGGGACAGCAGGTGTGTCCTTGTTAGTTCCATCCAGCTCAGCTTTGGCTGGGGAGCTAATTTCACTGGAGCCAGGCTAAGCATTAGGGTAAGTAAGTATTTGTCCTGTCTTGGGCAGTTTCCTCACTGAAAAATGAGGGCAGAGTTCTAAGCCCTCCTCTAATTCTAAAATTCTAATTAAAACGTCGCGAGACTAGTGGTGGTGCATGCCTGTAATCCCAGCTACTCGGGAGGCTGAGGCAGGAGAATCGCTTGAACCTGGTAAGTGGAGGTTGCCGTGAGCCGAGATCGCGTCATTGCACTCCAGCCTGGCAACAAGAGGGAAACTCCGTCTGAAAAGAAAAGAAAAAAAAAAATCACCAGACTAATATTTACCTTGAGAATCCTTCTTCATCTTCTTGTAATGACCTTCGGTGACAACACATCTGTTTTAGAAGAAAACGCAATTAAGATTATCTATGACAACAACCACCATCTCCAAATCTGTATTGATTCATTTTATTCATTATAAGTCTCATCTACCTGATGAGGTAACTTTTTTGAAGACAGGAATTGCATACTGTGTAACACTGCTTTGATTCTTCCATAGTTCAGTCATCCTTGCTATCTTGCGGGGGATTGGTTCTAGGATACCGCCCCCACACCATACCAGAATCTGTGGATGCTCAATCCCTTACACATAATGGTGTAGTATTTGCTTATAACCAACACGCATCCCCCCTATACTTTATTTACTTAGCGACAGGATTGCCCTCTGTTGCTTACGCTGGAGTGCAGTGTCATCCTCTGTTACTCAGGATGGAGTGCGGTGTCATGATCACAGCTCACTGTAGCCTCAACCTCCTGGGCTCCAGTGATCCGCCCACCTCAGCCTCTTGAGTAGCTGAGACTACAGGTGCATACTACCACACCTGGCTATTTTTTTTTTTAATTTTTAATAAAGACAAGGTCTCACTATGCTGCCCAGGTTGGCCTCCCAATGTGTTGGGATTACAAGTGTGAGCCACCATGCCTGGCCCCATGTAATTTAAGTCATCACTAATAAAATGTATACATATTGTACAGTGGTGACAGTTGTTATATTGTACTTTCTGTTTGTATTTTTATTGTTTTTTTTTCTTCAAATATTCAGCCTGATCTAGTTGAATCTGAAGATGTGGACCTGCTGATGAAGAGGGCTGACTGTATCTAACTTAGGGTCTTGCATGCAGCTGGCACTTAATACATTTTATTGACTGTTTTAGATAACATTCAACAGATAATTCCTAATAAAAACTCTTAAAAGTAGGAGAAAAAGGAAACCTGAGTCCTTCCTCTGAAGTGGCAGGAAAACTAGCCTGGGCAACATAGCAAGACCTTGTCTCTACAAACACATTTTTTAAATTAGCTGCCTGCCTGTAGTCCCAGCCACTCAGGAAGCTGAGGCAGGAGGATCCCTTAAGCCCAGGAGTTTGATGTTACAGTGAGCTAGGTCACACCATTGCTCTCCAGCCTGGGTGACAACAAGGCCCTGAGAAGGGAAAAAAAAGGAAAGGAAAGGAAAGGAAAAAGGAAAAGGGAAAGGAAGGAAAGAGTAGAAGTATTGGAAAGGAAGAGACAAAACTATCATTATTTGCATATTAAATGAAAAATGTTAGCCAAAGAAGCCTAAGAGAATCAACTAAGATTTTACTGGAAGTAATGAGAATTCAATACAGTGGCTATCTACAAAATCAAGAAATCAGCACACAAACCTCAAATACTTTTCCCATGTACCACCAATAACTAATTAGAAAATGGAAGAAAGATCCCATTTACAATGGCAATACAAATGTATGAAGAATTTAGGAACAAAAATACAAAGATCTTTTATCTAATAAAAGATGTGTAAGATCTATATATGGAAACACTAAAGCTCTTCTGAAAGACATTAACAAGAAATGAATACATGACATGAGATAGCACGTTCCTAGAATGTTCTACAGATGTAAATTCTCAAATTAATCTACAAATTTAACATAATCCTATTCAAATCCCAAGATAGTTTTTGGTGGTGGTTGTTTTTAAGACAGGGCCTCGCTGTGTTGCCCAGGCTAGAGTGCAGTGGTACGACCACAGCTTACTGCATTCTCGACCTCCCAGGCTCAAGCGATCCTCCCACTTCAGCCTCTGAAGTCTCTCATATGGTGTCCAAGAAATGGTGACAAATCTCACAAAGGGACTAGGCTCAGCAGGGCTGGAATATTCAGGGAAGGTGTCAAGAAGAAAGATGAACTTGAGTTGGCTTTTGAGAGATGCATAGGACTCCCACAGGCAGAGTGAAATAAGGGCATTTTAGATGGACAAACACACAGACAAAAGCAGAAATGTGGGTGGTGTGACTGGGGTATGGTGAGGGGCTGCTGTGGCTGGAATGGAGGGCTGCCACAATAATGGAAATGGTAAATGAGGCAAATAAGGTTGGACTGGTGGCATAGCGTCAAGGTTGCCAGCTTTATTAAATCACTCTTCCAATATGCTAGCACTGGCCTGTTGGGAAAAGTAATATATCATGTAATCGAACAAAAGACAAACAGAGGCAAGCTCCAGGAATGGGCACTGTAAACAGGACTTGCCCCAGAGTAGCCAGATGTAGGCTTTAGATAAGTTGATGCAGGCTGAGCATCTCTAATCTGAGGGGGAATGTCTCACGTGGTGTCCAAGAAATGGTGACACATCTCACAGAGGGTCTAGGCTCAAGAGGGCTAGAGTATGAGACGTTCCCCCTCGCCTGCGAACTTAAAAATGTGGCCAACAATTTTTGTAAAAGATGGCTACTCTGTAGTGCTTTAACTGGACCTATTTAGACAATGCCTTACACACTGGAGGACGATACTGTGTAAATCTAATAAGTCTACAAGACAATACTTCTGTCTTTTGGCTCTCTCCTTCCTCTCCAGGGTGATGACAAATCCGTGAGGGTGGAGATTATACCTCTCTCATCATTTCAGCACCAAGGAAATAAATTAGTGGCAGAGTAAGGGTGACTTGATGAGTACATCCAATTGTTGACATAGTTTTGGGTGGAGAAATTTTGCTATTATATCGACTTCTTAAAATAGTCTAGTGGGATTAACTTGGTTTCAATTCACAGAGATCTGGAAGCGAGGATCTTTTAAAAATCCTGAAATATACACTGCAATAAAAGAACAAAGCATACACCTCAGCCTTAAATGACTGAAGAAGTATGTCAAGTAGCAGCAGGTGGGAAAGTGGCTTTGGTTTTCAGTTTGTGAGCTCTGAATCCACACAAAAACAGGACTGCATTCTGAAAACCTGAATTAATTATTGTCCTTACCACAATGAGGCAGAAAAGTATAATCAAAATCATTAGTATTTCAGTCACAATTAATGCCAAGATGAGTTTGTCAGTATAGCCGTATCCTGGAACTTCTTTTGTGAGCTAAAAAAAACAAAAAAACAAAAAAAAAACACACCAGAATGAGAGCTAACTATTCAAAACCCCAGTATTCCAGGTGAGTAGCTTACAGGTTCTATTTTATTTTTTTGAAAGAGGGTCTCACTCTGTTACCCAGGCTGGGGTACAGTGGTGCAATCACCGTTCACTAGACTCGACCTCCCTGGGCTCAGGTGATCCTCCCACCTCAGCCTCCCAAGTAGCTGGGACTACAGGCACGTGTCATCAACCCAGCTAATTTTTTTATTTTTTGTGGAGACAGGCTTTCACTATGTTGGCCAAGCTGGTCTCAAACTCCTGACTTCAAGTAATCCACCCACCTTGGCCTCCCAAAGTGCTGAGATTACAGGCATGAGCTACCACCCCCGGCCTACAGTTCATCTTGTGCCCTAATCTATATTTCACTCTCTACATGAGCAAAGTGGGAGATCACTGTCATGACCAAAGTTACATGGCCAAGATAAGCTATGGCCTGGGAGTCCCAGATTCTTCTGTGTGGGCACTTTCCTGGGATATGCTAAATGATGGGAAATCTGGGTCTCATGTTTCTGTGTGGTCCTCACCTCAAGCGACTTCTCTTTCTGTTCACTCTGGGCTTCCGTGCTCTCATTAATGTAGTTCTCAGTCTTCCATTGGTCCGTATCCCATTCTATCTCAGATGCCTTTACTTCCTGCTGCCCACTGAGAAGCTTCATCAGGTGGCCTGTCCTGGAGATGAGCTTGGCACAGGTCACTTGCACATGGGCCCCAGAGCAGTCCATCTTCAAGGTCCGGATAACATGAGAAATGAGCCTTCTCACATTGTTGTTGGGGATAAGGGACTGTAGCTGCTGGGTTAGCTGAATTTCAAACTGAGCAATGGGTAATTGAAGCTTTTGGGCTCGGGGGACAGGTCAGTGCCCACGTTGTTGTATTCCCATTTTGTCTCAGTTTGTTTAACAGTTGGCCCTAAGTTGAATGCAGTCCCAGCGGAATCTGCCTCAGGAGGATGATTGTAGTTTGTGTTTTCAGAGATGGTGACTTCTGGCATGTTAGTGTTTTCCATAAAAACATTTTCTTCCAAGGCATTTCTTGCAGTTGTGTCTTTTATATTAGTGGTTTCTATAAAATGTTCTGAAGGAGCAGATACTTCCAGAAAAGGGTTTTCTTGAGGACTCAGGTCTCCTAAGGATGAAAAAGCCCCTTGTGAAGGGGAATTTATGAGGCTCTTCGCTGCAGAGAACGGAGGCCTGTTTGCGAGCATCAGTCTACTCAGATAACTTTTCTTTCTGAACTTTGGACTCTTTTTGACCTTGGGTGTTCTGTGGGTCATGCGGAGCGAGTTTTGTGAAAGCGGTATTTTTTTCTGGAATGTGAAATTGGTTTAGAAGCCTTCATATTTGTAACTCTAGCCTTTGCACTTTCTAAAATGGAAATAGTGTGTGTTGTCTTTCAATCTGTCTCTCACCTGTGGTAGGGCTTTTGCAGGGCTGGAGGTAGAAGGCGCGCCCTTGGAGAAGGGTGTCAGCACAGAGACTGCTGCCTTATGCTCTTGGCTGAACGAAGGCTTGGTGTAGATGGCGTTTCCCGCTAACTTCTCAGGCCCCTGCTGTGTGTGAGGCTGTTCCAGCTCCCTTGGGGCTGGACTCCCGAGCCTTTTTTCTTCGGCAGCGTTCTCCACAGATGCCTGGGCACCCTGTTCCCTCCTGATGCTCTGCCTTCCCACCTCTTTGAAGTGCCTTTTCTGGATGCTCATTGGGCCCATGAGGACTCTATTCACTTTTTGCCAGTTTTGGCCTACAGTTTGAATCTTTGCCAGGCTGTTTCCTGTGGTTGGCAGTTTAATGAACGGTAGTAACATTGATTCCACATCTAGGTTTACTGCTGAGAAATATGGCAAATGTAACTTAGTGCACTGATAACATCACTCTCGTCATTGGTGTCTAGCTGCTCACTCCCAAAGCCTGACAAGTTGATGCCACTGCTGTCTGAGGGCTCCTCCGGCTCAACAGTCAGCTCAGTGCTTGTGTAATTCTTCCGGGCTTGTAACATCTTCATGAATGCTCCTTCTGGATTCCCTACAGATTCTTCTTCAGCTGTCAAAAAAGAGACTGCTTTGCTCGTGAAAGATGATGGGATGGGATGCATCAGTCCATAGCTGTACACCCCAGTCACGCAGAGTAGGAGTCAGCAAACATTTGAGTGCCATTCAGAGAGGAGACACACACACCCAATCCTAAACCTATGAAATGGCAACAACAAAAGGAGAAAATATATCTTTTGAAAACACGGCCATCTACTTGGAACATTCCATAGTGTGACATAGAGTAACTCTGCTTAGGATTATTTCATTGATCCCCAGGGTCCAATTGCCCAGTGCTCAGTCAAAGCCCAAGGTGGAAGACAAGTGCTTCCCTGATGAGCTGATGAGCTGGCCTCTCTGCAGACTGCTCCATACCCTGTGCTGTCCTGCCTCAGATGCAGAGAGAGCACAAGGCTCCCGCTCTCCTCGTCCTCGGTGCGCCTGTGTTCTTGCTACCATCACAGCTGAATGCAATGAAAGGCGGTCCTCTGAGAGGAGCAGGGTGGAGATGCTAAAGTGGAGGCCCCCTCCCATTGCTGATAGATCCTCATCTGGCATGCGCTCCACCCTCCCCATTCTCTGCTCCCACATATCGTAGCCCCATCACAGAAGATGCGACATGGAAAAAAGCACTGTGTCCACCCTAGTTCTTAAATTTGGGCAGGGATTTGGGGTGTATGTTAAGAGTTTTTCAAATTTGCCAGATTGTATGCCTATGTTGTTAAATACACAGTGAATCTCTGGTATGATAGCAGTTTCTGGTGGGAGATGCATAGGACTCCCACAGGCAGAGTGAAATAAGGGCATTTTAGATGGACAAACACACAGACAAAAGCAGAAATGTGGGTGGTGTGACTGGGGTATGGTGAGGGGCTGCTGTGGCTGGAATGGAGGGCTGCCACAATAATGGAAATGGTAAATGAGGCAAATAAGGTTGGACTGGTGGCATAGCGTCAAGGTTGCCAGCTTTATTAAATCACTCTTCCAATATGCTAGCACTGGCCTGTTGGGAAAAGTAATATATCATGTAATCGAACAAAAGACAAACAGAGGCAAGCTCCAGGAATGGGCACTGTAAACAGGACTTGCCCCAGAGTAGCCAGATGTAGGCTTTAGATAAGTTGATGCAGGCTGAGCATCTCTAATCTGAGGGGGAATGTCTCACGTGGTGTCCAAGAAATGGTGACACATCTCACAGAGGGTCTAGGCTCAGGAGGGCTAGAGTATGAGACGTTCCCCCTCGCCTGCGAACTTAAAAATGTGGCCAACAATTTTTGTAAAAGATGGCTACTCTGTAGTGCTTTAACTGGACCTATTTAGACAATGCCTTACACACTGGAGGACGATACTGTGTAAATCTAATAAGTCTACAAGACAATACTTCTGTCTTTTGGCTCTCTCCTTCCTCTCCAGGGTGATGACAAATCCGTGAGGGTGGAGATTATACCTCTCTCATCATTTCAGCACCAAGGAAATAAATTAGTGGCAGAGTAAGGGTGACTTGATGAGTACATCCAATTGTTGACATAGTTTTGGGTGGAGAAATTTTGCTATTATATCGACTTCTTAAAATAGTCTAGTGGGATTAACTTGGTTTCAATTCACAGAGATCTGGAAGCGAGGATCTTTTAAAAATCCTGAAATATACACTGCAATAAAAGAACAAAGCATACACCTCAGCCTTAAATGACTGAAGAAGTATGTCAAGTAGCAGCAGGTGGGAAAGTGGCTTTGGTTTTCAGTTTGTGAGCTCTGAATCCACACAAAAACAGGACTGCATTCTGAAAACCTGAATTAATTATTGTCCTTACCACAATGAGGCAGAAAAGTATAATCAAAATCATTAGTATTTCAGTCACAATTAATGCCAAGATGAGTTTGTCAGTATAGCCGTATCCTGGAACTTCTTTTGTGAGCTAAAAAAAACAAAAAAACAAAAAAAAAACACACCAGAATGAGAGCTAACTATTCAAAACCCCAGTATTCCAGGTGAGTAGCTTACAGGTTCTTTTTTATTTTTTTGAAAGAGGGTCTCACTCTGTTACCCAGGCTGGGGTACAGTGGTGCAATCACCGTTCACTAGACTCGACCTCCCTGGGCTCAGGTGATCCTCCCACCTCAGCCTCCCAAGTAGCTGGGACTACAGGCACGTGTCATCAACCCAGCTAATTTTTTTATTTTTTGTGGAGACAGGCTTTCACTATGTTGGCCAAGCTGGTCTCAAACTCCTGACTTCAAGTAATCCACCCACCTTGGCCTCCCAAAGTGCTGAGATTACAGGCATGAGCTACCACCCCCGGCCTACAGTTCATCTTGTGCCCTAATCTATATTTCACTCTCTACATGAGCAAAGTGGGAGATCACTGTCATGACCAAAGTTACATGGCCAAGATAAGCTATGGCCTGGGAGTCCCAGATTCTTCTGTGTGGGCACTTTCCTGGGATATGCTAAATGATGGGAAATCTGGGTCTCATGTTTCTGTGTGGTCCTCACCTCAAGCGACTTCTCTTTCTGTTCACTCTGGGCTTCCGTGCTCTCATTAATGTAGTTCTCAGTCTTCCATTGGTCCGTATCCCATTCTATCTCAGATGCCTTTACTTCCTGCTGCCCACTGAGAAGCTTCATCAGGTGGCCTGTCCTGGAGATGAGCTTGGCACAGGTCACTTGCACATGGGCCCCAGAGCAGTCCATCTTCAAGGTCCGGATAACATGAGAAATGAGCCTTCTCACATTGTTGTTGGGGATAAGGGACTGTAGCTGCTGGGTTAGCTGAATTTCAAACTGAGCAATGGGTAATTGAAGCTTTTGGGCTCGGGGGACAGGTCAGTGCCCACGTTGTTGTATTCCCATTTTGTCTCAGTTTGTTTAACAGTTGGCCCTAAGTTGAATGCAGTCCCAGCGGAATCTGCCTCAGGAGGATGATTGTAGTTTGTGTTTTCAGAGATGGTGACTTCTGGCATGTTAGTGTTTTCCATAAAAACATTTTCTTCCAAGGCATTTCTTGCAGTTGTGTCTTTTATATTAGTGGTTTCTATAAAATGTTCTGAAGGAGCAGATACTTCCAGAAAAGGGTTTTCTTGAGGACTCAGGTCTCCTAAGGATGAAAAAGCCCCTTGTGAAGGGGAATTTATGAGGCTCTTCGCTGCAGAGAACGGAGGCCTGTTTGCGAGCATCAGTCTACTCAGATAACTTTTCTTTCTGAACTTTGGACTCTTTTTGACCTTGGGTGTTCTGTGGGTCATGCGGAGCGAGTTTTGTGAAAGCGGTATTTTTTTCTGGAATGTGAAATTGGTTTAGAAGCCTTCATATTTGTAACTCTAGCCTTTGCACTTTCTAAAATGGAAATAGTGTGTGTTGTCTTTCAATCTGTCTCTCATCTGTGGTAGGGCTTTTGCAGGGCTGGAGGTAGAAGGCGCGCCCTTGGAGAAGGGTGTCAGCACAGAGACTGCTGCCTTATGCTCTTGGCTGAACGAAGGCTTGGTGTAGATGGCGTTTCCCGCTAACTTCTCAGGCCCCTGCTGTGTGTGAGGCTGTTCCAGCTCCCTTGGGGCTGGACTCCCGAGCCTTTTTTCTTCGGCAGCGTTCTCCACAGATGCCTGGGCACCCTGTTCCCTCCTGATGCTCTGCCTTCCCACCTCTTTGAAGTGCCTTTTCTGGATGCTCATTGGGCCCATGAGGACTCTATTCACTTTTTGCCGGTTTTGGCCTACAGTTTGAATCTTTGCCAGGCTGTTTCCTGTGGTTGGCAGTTTAATGAACGGTAGTAACATTGATTCCACATCTAGGTTTACTGCTGAGAAATATGGCAAATGTAACTTAGTGCACTGATAACATCACTCTCGTCATTGGTGTCTAGCTGCTCACTCCCAAAGCCTGACAAGTTGATGCCACTGCTGTCTGAGGGCTCCTCCGGCTCAACAGTCAGCTCAGTGCTTGTGTAATTCTTCCGGGCTTGTAACATCTTCATGAATGCTCCTTCTGGATTCCCTACAGATTCTTCTTCAGCTGTCAAAAAAGAGACTGCTTTGCTCGTGAAAGATGATGGGATGGGATGCATCAGTCCATAGCTGTACACCCCAGTCACGCAGAGTAGGAGTCAGCAAACATTTGAGTGCCATTCAGAGAGGAGACACACACACCCAATCCTAAACCTATGAAATGGCAACAACAAAAGGAGAAAATATATCTTTTGAAAACACGGCCATCTACTTGGAACATTCCATAGTGTGACATAGAGTAACTCTGCTTAGGATTATTTCATTGATCCCCAGGGTCCAATTGCCCAGTGCTCAGTCAAAGCCCAAGGTGGAAGACAAGTGCTTCCCTGATGAGCTGATGAGCTGGCCTCTCTGCAGACTGCTCCATACCCTGTGCTGTCCTGCCTCAGATGCAGAGAGAGCACAAGGCTCCCGCTCTCCTCGTCCTCGGTGCGCCTGTGTTCTTGCTACCATCACAGCTGAATGCAATGAAAGGCGGTCCTCTGAGAGGAGCAGGGTGGAGATGCTAAAGTGGAGGCCCCCTCCCATTGCTGATAGATCCTCATCTGGCATGCGCTCCACCCTCCCCATTCTCTGCTCCCACATATCGTAGCCCCATCACAGAAGATGCGACATGGAAAAAAGCACTGTGTCCACCCTAGTTCTTAAATTTGGGCAGGGATTTGGGGTGTATGTTAAGAGTTTTTCAAATTTGCCAGATTGTATGCCTATGTTGTTAAATACACAGTGAATCTCTGGTATGATAGCAGTTTCTGGATAAACATTACTTGAGGTCCTAAAATGCAGAAGGGAAAAAGCAACTTTTGTCAGATGCCTACTTTGCTTTCATTTCATCTCTAATATTTTGGATGGGGAATCAGCCAAGGCTTCTGACTGCAGGAAGGTCAAGTGTGCCAGTGTGCAGCTGGGTTTCTTTTCCAGAATTAAAAGCATTTTGGGTGGTGGTGAGGGTCAGAGGAAGAAGTAAAGATTGTGAGAAAGTGGAAGAAGCATGGGCTTGGGGAGAACCCAGAATTGGGGCCAGAAGACCTGGCACTAGGCTACAGCACTTAGCACCTCTGATCTTGTTTTTCTTCATCTGTAAAAGGAGGTTAACAAAGCTTTTCTGCCCACTTCTTGGGGAGAAGGGAATAATATAATTGGTAAAAAAAAAAAAAAGTTTTGAAAAATAAGCAACACTGACTTTATGTAACCAAGCATTATTAATTCTCCACCCCATATCACTGGTAGATACCTGTATTCAAGCTATCTGGACATGAAAGCAGTCACATTTTAGAAGTCATGAAGTTGATGCTAATAAACCTAATCTACAGAAACACTCTTGAAAGCCCTTGAGCGTTTGTTCTGTGAACAGAAAGGTTTGAGATTCAGAGCAAGTTCAGAGTTGGATGGTCTAAGAATGGAAAAGACCTCCATTCTATTAGAAGAGTCAGGTAGCAATTTCTGGTTATGGAACCAGAAGCTCTCAGGCTTCAAATAAAACAGCATCACTTGTACTCTCATAAAACTGTAAAAACAGAAAAACCGAAACCGTATCTACATCTGTCCTATAAGGCAGAGAGTACTTGAGACCTCATGAATTTAAAACCACCTTACAAACTACATTGCACTATATGAAGAAATTATCACTGTGGGCAAAGCATCAAGCAGAGAGCACAGTACACAGTGTGTGGATGTTAATGTTATTCTCTAGCCTTCCCATTCCTTTGTCTTGGTCCTTTGTGCATATGGAACAGTTCTATTATTAAATTTTGTAATAGTAACTGAGAACCTGACTCTCAGCAAGGGAGTAGTTCAGAAATTGAGGGAGTTTAACTCTGAATGAGTAAATAAAAATAAAGCAATTATGTCATTAGCTTAAAATTTTATCATCATTAAAAATAAAAAGTTTAAAAACAAATACTTAATGTAACAATTTATCACCGCGCAATTTGGACTCACGACAATGTATGGTGTTTGTCAGACATGCACTGTTGCAATGCAGCTTGACTGTCTTGCAGACAGCCTCAATGCTGTTTTTAAGTTGGCAGAGGCAGCAGGCCATATGGCTAGGTAAGATCCTATAGATGAAAACAGAGAGCAATAAATTAGCGGTAAAGCGGTTACTTGAGTAGGTAAAGGAGGCAGCCAACGCTACCACAGGTGTGGGAAAAAGGTGTCATTGAAGCCTATGGACTGGACAGTTGGGTAGGAACCAGAAGGCCAATAGGAAGGAGGGCAAAGGTGCCCAACTGAAGGGTAAGCATGGCAGTGAGTATGGTATGCCTAGAATAAAGATGGTTGGGATTAGAATTGGGTGACAGTGATTAGTAGTTTAATTCAGAAGTATCTCTTCCCAACTCAAAAGTCTCACTTTGGGCTGAAAGTACAGAGGAAGAAGGTAGACTTTTAAGAAGTCTGAATAAGCCCCCAACTTCTGGAGTCCCTTTCTCAATTCCTGTTGGGAGTGGGAAATATTATAAATTACTCTGGGCATTAAAAATAGCTTAGTTTAACCTCGATTGTGGAGTTAAAAAATAACAAAGATTGCATTGGTCAAATCTGGACAATTTGAGCATTCAAAAGAATAACAACAATAAGTTACAACATATTTAATATAAAGAAGAATCCACGAAGAGTGATATAGAAAAAGAAAGAGGGGGAGTTCTTCTTCAATGAAATAATGCCAGCTAGTAAATGTAGAAGGAATGACAGAATTTTTAAAAGTGTCACTTTGCAACCATCAGTGTAATACAAATTCATTCAGACAAGGATTATCACTGATGCACATTTGGGTGAAAAGACATTTGAGAACAGGATCTTCACTGAACTCAAAGTAACAACCCACAGATTATTTATTAATTACCAAGCGGAAAATTATTATTTTTTATTTTTATTTTGTCACCCAGGCTGAAATACAGTGGCAAAATTATACCTCATTGCAGCCTCAACCCCCCTGGGCTCAAGGGATCCTCCAAATTCAGTCCCCCGAGTAGCTGGGAGTATAGGCTTGCACCACCATGCCCAGCTAATTTTTTTTTTTTTTTTGTACTTTTGTATTTTCAGTAGTGACAGGGTTTCCCCATGTTGCTCAGGCTGGTGTAGAACTCCTGGGCTCAAGCAATCCTCCCACCTCAGCCTTCCAAAGTGCTGGGATTACAAGTGGGAGCCACTGTACCCAGCAAAATAATTACAATGGAGAGATCTGGAAGTTCACCTTGGTCAAGTGATCAAACTTAGTATTACAGGCCATCTGCAGTTACGAGGCAGGAAGGATACATCACCTATGCAGTATTTTTCCCAAAAATGCTTAACTTGAATTTCGTCATGAGGAAACAGACAAATCCGGATTGTGGGACAATTTACAAGACAACTATCTTTGACTCTTAAAAAATGCCAATGTCATGAAAGATCAAAGAAAGTAGAAGCATGTTTTAGATTAAAGGAAATGAAGACATGACATGCAGTGCCTGATCTTTGATTAGATTCTGTACTATTCTTTCATCTTTCTGGCTTGTTTGAATTTTTTTCAATACGTAAATTTGGGCAAAAGAGGTAACTGAGACAATTGATTAATTTATTGTTGTGGCTTATTGGGGGCACTTTCAGAGAGATAAAAACAATCCCTGTAACTGAAGTAAAAGGTTAATCTTAGGCAGTATAGCATGGTCATTAAGAATACAGATTCCATAGCCAGACTATGCTTCAATCTCAGCTCTGCTAATAATGTGAATTTGGGCAAATTGTTAAATCTCTGTTCCTTGGCCTTGTCATTATAATAGTACCTACCTCTAATGAATTTTGAGGATCAAATGAATCCATACCTGAAAAATGCCTGGTGCACAGTGAGTGCTCAATAAGAGTTAACTATAATTATTATGTTGCAGAGGTTGTGGGGGGCCTTTTCTGAGTCCTCCAAAAGGATGGCTTTATTGGGGCCACATTGAGACTGTGAAAACAGAAGAGGGTTTCATGGATACAAGAAGTCTATGAGTTGGGGGTACAATGTATAGAGTTTTAGATTAAAACTGCATCCAATGAGTTGGCCTGACACATCTTTCAAACCTATAGAGGAACAATCACAAGTGACTAGTATTATTCCTTTGGGTCCAGTGGAAGCCTCTGATCTTCATATGGAATGGACCCGGAACCGTAACCCAGCATTTTGTTATATAGCAACCTTACCTCTGCCACAAAGGTGTTTCTTTTGTTTATTTTGAGGCCGGGTCTCGCTCTGTTACACAGGCTGAGTGCAGTGGTGCAATCTTGGCTCACTGCAGCCTCTGCCTCCTGTGCTCAAGTGATCCTCCCACCTCAGCCTCATGAGTAGCTAGAACTACAGGTGTGTGCCACCACGCCTGGCTAATTTTTGTATATTTTGTAGAAATGGGGTTTCACCATGTTGTCCAGGCTGGTCTCGAACTCCTGGGCTCAAGCCACCCTCTCTCTTTGGCCTCCCAAAGTGCTGGGATTACAGGCATGAGCCCAAAATTTTTGGTATTCTTTTTCTGCCCCCAACTTTTTATTTTAAACATTTTCTTTTTTTCCTTTAAGCCTTAGGATGGTTGGGAAACATTTTCAAATGGTATAATGAACACCTGTATAACTTTAATCTGGAATCAGTAGTTGCTAATACTTTGCCACATTTGCTTTCCGTGTGTGTATGTCTATACATTTTCTGGACAAAACCATTTGAGAGTCAGTTGCAGACATAATGACCCTTCACCATTGAAGACTTCAGTGTGCAGCCCCTAAGAACCAAGGCATTCTCCGACATAACCAGAGGACTATCATCACCCAATGGAACTTCATATTATCATTGTCTACTATGTGGTCCATATACACATTTTCACAATTGTCCCAATCATAACATGGCTTAAAAAATTCAGAATCCAATCAAACATCAGACATTACACTTAGTACATGATTCTTTAGTCTCCTTCAATCTAGAACTGTTACCAGGATTGTTTTAAAGTATACTGACAAACCTTTCAGACTACAAGGAAAAAAAAAGTGGATAGCAAAGAAAAAATATGCCACAGAACTTTTCAGGTCAAAAACCCTAAAAGTGACTATGTTGGTAGGAAGCCCTGACTGTGGAGGAAACACTATTTCTAGCATCCTCCATAATTCAAGTTGCTCATCATAATTCGTTGTTCATCTATTTTTTTTTTTTTTTTTGAGATGGAGTCTCACTCTTGTTGCCCAGGCTGGAGTGCAATGGCTTGATCTTGGCTGACTGCAACCTCAGCCTCCCAGGTTCAAGTGATTCTCCTGTTCTGCCTCAGCCTTCCGAGTAGCTGGGATTACAGGCACCCACCACCATGCCCAGCTAATTTTTGTATTTTTAGTAGAGACGGGGTTTTACCATGTTGGCCAGGCTGGTTTTGAACTCCTGACCTCAGGTGATCTACCTGCCTCAGCCTCCCAAACTGATAGGATTACCAGCATGAGCCACTGGGCTGGATGCTTGTCTTTTATCTTTATAAAGTTTTTAAAATTCATGGCTTAATTTGCACAGTTAAAAAAAATAGGACCAATTCTTTTGCTTTATAGCCAAAGAAGAAGGAATAAATCTAAGAGGAGGAACTGGTCAAAACCATACTCCCACTTGTCTTCTTGTATGACATCACAGCCTTTCTTACATTGCATGTAATCACCTGTCCACTTGTGAGGCTCCTGGACTATGAGCGCTTTGAGGGCAGAGACCACATTTTTTTATTTTCCTGAGATGGAGTCTCACTCTGTCGCCCGGGCTGGAGTGCAGTGGCGCAATCTTGGCTCACTGCAATCTCCGCCTCCCGGGTTCAAGCAATTCTCCTGCCTTAGCCTCCCGAGTAGCTGGGATTACAGGTGCCCGCCACCATGCCCTGTCATCCCCGTGCCTGGCATGATGTCTGAAATGTATTAGGCATTTAACAAATGTTTATTGAATAAACAAATGACATTTTGTTTGTATGTCAATAAAATGAATAAATTGATTTTGATGCAAATTTTTATTCCAAAATGCTAGAATCGATTTTCTTTTTAATTCTTTAAGGTGAACAAGAAAAATAAAAGAAACAGGAAGAAATAAAAGAAAATCTGCCTTTAGGTTGACCCAAGAATCATCTTTGTACTTAGGCAGAAATTATAAAAATAATAATTATTACAGTGAGTATCTACTGGGTTGCCAGGTATTTGTGATCAGCAAACACCTTATGTGGTAGATATTATTATTGCCCTATTTTTAAATGAGGAAACTGAGGCACAGAGAGGTTATATAACTTGTCCTAGGTCACCAAGCTATTAAGCAGCAAAGCTGTAATTTGAACTCATGTGTTTATGTATGAAGAAAAAGGGTTTATTTTAACCTTAGGTTTTTAAAAAATTTTTATTTTCGTTCTTCATTCTTTTTCTTTCTCTCTCTTTTTCCTTCCTTCCTTCCCTCCCCCTTCCTTCTTTCTATTTTCTTTCCTTTCCTTTCTTTCCTTTCTCCTCTCCCGTCCACTCCCCTCCCCTCCCCACCCAAACAGGGTCTTGCTCCATTGACCAGGCTGGAGTGCAGTGGCGTGATCTTGGCTCACTGCAACCTCCTCTTCCCAAGCTCAGGTAACCCTCCTTCCTCAGTCTCCCAAATTGCTGGGACTATAGGCACGCACCACCACGCCTGGCTATTTTTTGTGTTTTTAGTAGAGATGGGAGTTTCGCCATGTTTGCCAGGCTGGTCTTGAACTCCTGATCTCAAGTGATCCACCTGCCTTGGCCTCCCAAAGTGCTGGTGTGAGCCACTGGGCCCAGCCTTAATATTGAGAAGACTAAATACAGAAGTGCCTTTCAACCTTCTTCTACTCCTCTGGGAGGACCTCTATGAGAATTACAATTTCTCATTAGCAGGGCATGGCAGCGCTTGCCTGTAATTCCAGCTGTTTCAGAGGCTGAGGCAGGAGAATTGCTTGAACCCGGGAGGCGGAGGTTGCAGTGAGCCAAGATCAAGCCACTGTACTCCAGCCTGGGCGATAGAGCAAAAAAAAGTGGATTACAGTTTCTCTTTTTATGTCTTTCCCCTAATCATTTCCCATGATTAAATAGTTAATTAGTCTATGGTCGATGAGACTTCTTTTTTTAAGAGACACATTCTCACTCACTGTGTTGCCCAGGCTGGAGAGCAGTGGCTATTCACAGCCATGATCCCACTAGTGATCAGCATGGGAGTTTTGACCTGCTCTATTCCTGAACTGGGCTGGTACACCCCTTTTTAGGCAACCTGGTGGTCTCCTTTTCCCGGGAGGTCACCATACTGATGCTGAACTTAGTGCGGACACCCAATCAGCATAGCATGCTACAGCCCAGAATTCCTGGACTCGAAGGATCCTTCTTCCTTTGCCTCCCGAGTATCTGGGACTACAGGCATGTGCCCAGTGAGCCTTCAGACATTTAAAACCATGTTGTAAGTGACATCAGTGAAAATGGTGGAATAAAGACATCGAGGCTGGGCGCAGTGGCTCACGCCTGTAATCCCAGCACTTTGGGAGGCTGAGGCAGGTGGATCACGAGGTCAGGGGATCGAGACCATCCTGGCTAACAAGGCGAAACCCCGTCTGTACTAAATATACAAAAATTAGCTGGGCGTGGTGGCAGGCGCCTGTAGTCCCAGCCACTCGGGAGGCTGAGGCAGGAGAATTGTGTGAACCCAGGAGGTGGAGCTTGCAGTGAGACGAGATTGCGCCACTGCACACTCCAGCCTGGGCAACAGAGTGAGACTCTGTCTCAAAAAAAAAAAAAAAAAAAAAAAAAAAAAAAAAAAAAAGAGACATCCAAAAATTCATCCCTTCATAAAAGCAACAAACACCAAGAAAAGGGCAAAAAAAAAAATTGACCATAATAAACTTTTTCAGAACTCTAGAAATGTAACCAAAGTCTTGCAGCAACCCGAGGAGCATTTATTCAAGAAAAATTTCTGTAAGAACAGTGAGATTTGTGTTAACTTGCCTTAGACCATTCCTCACTCTCTAGCTCAGTAGTTGCCTTGAAAAACAGCCCACATCCCCAAGCAGAGGGAGCAGAATGGAGCTGGAGCTCCTTCAAAGCCTTATTCTCAGTTAACTGTCATGATGTCATCTGTCTGGTGGTTCCCTGGAAGACCTCATTTGAAAGGTTTGTCTTTATTTGACCAGAATGAAAGCTGTCTAGTGCTAAAGCCTCTCCACAGAGGGTGTTTTTGGAAAACAATTACAGACAAGTGTTTTAACATGGCAACTGTATTCGGCAATGAATAACAGTTTGGGGAAAAAAAGCCTAATCGAAAAGCTTAATAGGAAAAGCTGAGTAATAAGATGTCCACAGGAATTTTGAAACACTCTGATATATGCTTGGGAAACTAGAAGTCCATAAGACATATTCCTGGCAATTTGCAATGTCATGCGCATGCATAGGGCAGGCTGCCAGCATGGTCAGGAAAGACCTACTAAGTTCATAAACTCTCACCCCTGGCTGATCTTGAGGTTCTGCACAAGCAAGAAGTGAAAGCTAAGGCATGGCTGTAAATTGTCTAGCTGAGTGCTGAAGGTATGCCCCAACATGTACACAGAGCCCCTTGGCAAAAACTAGGAGACTTATCAGTTCCAAGAATTTAAGTAAATCTTCATTTAATCATTAGCTGATCGGTAAGCTAACCAAGGAGATACTTTAGTGGCAACACATGACATATAATGCAACACTTTACAGAAGAAGTTCAGAAAAGTCACTAAATAAATAGCAACTACTAACACAAGCAGCAGTAACACCAAACCCTGGCAGCATGGATCTGATTTTCAGAATTGCTACATTATATTATTTAAAATATTCAATTTTTAACAAACATTTATGAAAGATGCAAGGAAACAAAGTATGGCCCAAACACTTGGTGGGGGGAGAAATAAGCAGAAATTGTCCCTGAGAAAGACCAGATATTAGACTTACTAGACAAAGATTTTTTTATTTTTTATAGTTGGGGTCTTGCGAAGTTACCCAGGGTGGTCTTGAACTCCTGGCCTCAGCCTCAACCTCAGCCTCAGCCTCCCAAAGTGCTGGGATTATAGGCATGAGCCACCATGCCTGGCCTAGAGAAGGATTTAATTCAGCTATTTAAAATATATTCAAAGAGATAAGAGAAATGATTCAGTTCTGTAGACTAGAAAACTAAAGGAAAGTATGAAAGCAATGTCTCATCAAATAGAGAATATCAATAAAGAGATAGAAACCATAAAAAGGAGTCAAATAGAAATTCTAGAGTTGAAAAGTATGGTAACTGAAATGGAAAAATTATTAGAGGTTCTCAATGGCACATTACAGCAAGCCGAAGGAAGAATGGGGAACTTGAAGGTTAATTGAGATTGTTGACTCTGAGGAACAGAAATAAAAATGAATGAAAGTGAATGGAATCTCAGAGACCTGTTTGTGGAACACATCATCAAGCTTACTAACATACACATAATGAGAGTCCCAGGAGAAGAAAAACAGAAAAAAGGAGAAAGAATATTTGAAGAAATAATGGCCCCAAACTTCCCAAACATGATGAAAAACAATCTGCATATTCAAGAAGCTCAAGGAACTACAAGTAGGAAAAACTGAGGGATCCACATCTAAACATACTGTAATCAAACTGACAGAAGCCAAAGACAGAATATCTTGAAAGCAGCAAGAGAAAAGCAACTCATCACATACAAGGGATCCTCAATAAGATTAATAGCTGATTTCTCTTCAAAAACAATGGAGATGCTGGGCATGGTTGCTCACACCTGTACTCCCAGTGCCTTGGGAGGCTTGAGGCTCAAGAATTGCTTGAAGCCAGGAGTTGGATACCAGCACTGGCAATAGAGTAAAACCCTGTCTCTACAAAAAATTTAAAAATAACTGGGCATGGTGGTGCATGCCTGCAGTCTCAGCTACCCAGGAGGCTGAGGTGACAGCATTGCTTAAGCCTGGGAAGTGGAGGCTGCAACGATGTGAGTGGTTGCACCACTGCACTCCAGCCTGGGTAACAGAGCAAGTCCCTGTCTAAAAACAAAGCAACCACACACAACAGTGGAGGACAAAAGGCAATGAAATGGCATATTCAAAGTGCTGAAGAAACTGTCAACCAATAATTCTATACCTGGCAAAACTACCTTTGAAATTGAAGAGAAATTAAGATATTCTAGATAAATAAAAACTGAGAGACTTTGTTGCTAGAAGACCTGCCCTATAAGGAGTACTAACGTGAATCTGCACAAAGAAATAAAAAGCACTTGCTGGGCGCAGTGGCTCAGGCCTGTAATCCCAGCACTTTGGGAGGCTGAGGCTGGAGGATCACTTGAGGTCAAGAGGTTGAGACCAGCCTGGCAAACATGGTGAAACCCTGTCTCTACTAAAAATACAAAAATTAGCTGGGTGTGGTGTTACGTGCCTGCAGTCCCAGCTACTCAGGAGGCTGAGGCACTAGAATCGCTTGAACCTGGGAGGCAGAGGTTGTGGCGAGTAAAGATTGTGCCACTGCACTCTAGCCTGGGCAACAGAGTGAGACTCTGTCCCAAAATAAAGAAAAAAAAATAAGAAAAAGATACTTACATAATGCAATAATTATAAATCTAGTTGATGAACATAAAGTATATAAAGATGTAATGTGTGACAATAACAGTATAAAGGAGGGGGTGAGAGTGGAGCTTTAGAGAAGCGAAGTTTTTGTATACCATTGAAACAAAGTTGGAATTAATCTGAACTACAACGTTATAAAATTAAGATGTAGCTGAGACTACAGGTGCGCACCACCACACTCGGCTAACTAAAAAAAATTTTTAGAGATAGGGTCTCACTATGTTGCCCAGGCTGGTCTCAAACTCCTGGCCTCAAGCAATCCTCCTTCCTTGGCCTCCCAAAGTACAGGGATTATAGGTATGCACCACTGCATCTGGCCACAAACATTTTGTTTTTTTACTGTTCATTTTTCTTTTTTTTTTGAGACGGAGTCTCGCTCTGTCGCCCAGGCTGGAGTGCAATGGCGTGACCTCGGCTTACTGCAACCTCCACCTCCTGGGTTCAAGTGATTCTCCTACCTCAGCCTCCTGAGTAGCTGGGATTACAGGTGCCTGCCACCACCCCCTGCTAATTTTTGTACTTTTAGTAGACACGGGGTTTCACCATGTTGTCCAGGCTGGTCTCTAACTCCTGACCTCAGGCAATCCACCTGCCTCAGCCTCCCAAAGTGCTGGGATTACAGGTGTGAGCCACTGCGCCCTGCTAACATATCCTCTTTCTAAAAAGCTACATATATTGCAAAGTATTGGAATAGGAATAACATAGCAGTTAGGTTGGGCGTTTGGGTTGATTACATATCTTTGCTATTATCAGTACAATTCTTATCAAAATCCCAGCTGGCTTCTTTCCAGAAAGTGACAAGCTAGTTCTAAAATTATAATGCAATTTAAGGCACCCTAAATAGCAAAATAATCTTGTAAAATAACAAAGTGGGAAGACTCAAATGTCCCAATTTCAAAACCCAAATCAAATCTACAGCAATCACAGTGTGATACTGGAATGTGGACAGACAAATAAATCAATAGAATAGAATTGACAACCCAGAAATAAACCCTCACATTTATGGAAAATTGATTTTTGACAAGGGTGCTACAACAATTCTACGTGGAAATAATGTTTTTTTTTTTTTAAATGGTGCTGGAACAACTGAACATCTATGTGCAAAATAATGAAGGTGGACCCCCTACATCTCACACGATTATAAGAATTGATGCAAAATATGTCAAATACCTAAATGTAAGAGCCAAAACGATAAGACTCTTACACAAAAACATGAGAGTAAATCTCATGACCTTAAATTAGACAACAGTTTTTTCTTCTCCAAACTGGATTTTTTTTCTTTTAAAACAATTTTGTCTTTTGAATTTAATGAAGTATTACTAGCTGAAGGCAGCCTGACATGGTGACAAGAATGTCAGACAGATGAAAGGGACACAGCCTGATTTAAAACCAAACACTGAACCTTTTTAAAGAAGAATAAGACATTTTATACACACACATGACACCAAAAGCACAAACAACCAAAGGAAAAATAGATACATTAGATTTTATCAAAATTAAAAACTTTTGTGCATCAAAGGACACTGGCAAGAAAGTCACAGAACTCACAGGATGAGAGAAAATATTGGCAAATTATCTGTTAAGGTCTAATATCCAGAGTATCCAGAAGATATAGAGAAATTCCTATAATTCAATAAAAAGACAAATCAATTTTTTAAATGGGCAGAGGATGTGAATAAATATTTCTTCAAAGAAGATATATAAATGGCTCATATACACATAAAAATGTTGAATGTCTTAAATCATTAGGGAAATGTCCATCAAAAACTGCAGCGAGATACTACTTTACACTCACTGGGATGGCTATGAGAAGAGACAGACAACGACAGTGTTGACAAAGACCAGGAGAAATTGAAACCCTCAAACATTGCAGATGGAAGTGTAAAATGGAGCAGCCACTGTGGAAATCAGCCTGACAGGTCCTCAAAAAGTTAAACATAAGAGTTGCCATACGATCTAGCAATTCTGCTAGGGATGCACCCTAGAATTAAAAACATGTCCACGCAAAAAGTAGTACATGCATGTCCATAGCAGCATTATTCATAAAAGCCAAAATAAAGTAGAAACAACCACATGTCCACTAAGTGATGAATGGATGAACGGATATAGTGATGGCTCCATACAATGGAATATCACTCAGCCTTGCAAAGGAATGATCCATGCTGCAGCATGGGAGGACCTTAGAAACAACATGCTTCGTGAAAAGAAACTAGACACAAAAGGCCACATACTGTATGATTCGTTTATATGAAAGATCTAGAATAGGCAAATCCATAGGGACTCAAAGTAGATTAGTAGTTACCTGGGCCTGCGGGAAGACAGCACTGGGGAGTGATGGCTAATGGGTACCATGTTTCTTTTTGGGATGATGAAAATGTTCTGGGGTTAGATAATGGTGATTGTTTGCTATACAACCTTGAGAATATACTAACCACCACTGAATTGTACACTTTATAATACTGCGTTGATGGTATGTGGATCAAGTCTCAATGTAACACAAAGAAGCATGTTGTACTGTATAGAACACCAGGTGCCAGAAGACCAAACATGCTGGCAGATGGAAAAAAGAGGAGTGAAGATTCACTCTCCCTTGACCAAGATCAGAGTGAGTCAGTGGCGAGGCTGGGAGCCACACAGCTTGTCCTGCCTTGTGATCCCCCTCCTCTTCCTATTCCAGATGGTTTTTCAGTGCCATTAACTTGTTTTGTAACACTAATATTCAATAAGATGATGTTACAAAGAGAAAGAATGTGAGTGCCACATGACTGGTTAAGTATGGATTCTCAAACTAGGGCTTTAAATATCCTTCGTGATTTTTTTTGGCATGAAAACTTGTAAGACCACTGGTGGGCTCTGTACAAAGTCGGCTACCCCTTCATTCTATATCTTCCTCTGCCCACTTTCCTCCCAGCTATTAAAAATGAATGTAGGCTGGGCACAGCATCTCAAGCCTGTAATCTCAGCACTTTGGGAGGCCAAAGCAGAAGGAGAGCTTGAGCCCAGGAGTTTGAGACCAGCCTGGGTAACAAAGTGAGACCCTGTTTCTATTTTTTTTTAAACACCAAAAATAATGACTGTAAGGCAGTATGTAGCCAAACAACTTGGCAAAGTTTGTTATCTTTCCTCCAAAATTCTCTCACTCTCCAACCTTCCCTCTTTCTTGATAGCTCATCCATAGCCTTGAGCTCAGCATTACCTCTGAACTAGGAAGCTCTTCTCCAGCTGACATTAGGATCTTTGCATTTGTCCCTAATGAAATCAAAATATAGGGCCATTCGATATTATCCTCTTTTCCTCCTGTTCTAAGGCATTCTTTTCTTGACTAAGGTTGTGCCTGGGCCATGGAGAGACTGAGTGGGAACTGGCTCAACGGCTCAAGTTTGAGGACTCTACAGCAACTCTTTTCCACAAACCAAATGATATGAATGTTTTTATTTATTTATATTTATGTTTCCACTTTTTAAAAGTCTTTTTGTAGAGATTGGGGTCTCACTTTGTTGCCCAGGCTGAACTTGAACTCCAGGGGCTCAAGCGATCTGCCTGTCTTGGCCTCCTAAAGTGCTGGGATTACAGGCATGAGCCAGCGCGCCCAGCCTCGAGTGTTTTTAGATTCACAGTAGATGACCATTTCCATTTCTGGTTCAAGTCCTTCATTTTATACATTAAACTAAGGTGCACTGACTCCCAGTCCATCGCCTTTTTGGTATCTTTATGGAAGTAAAATGTGGCAAGCTTTTTTTCAGCCTCAAAGACTGTCTCAGAGTAAAAGTTTAAGAAGTACTGCTCTAAATAATTTTATTAAATATGCCTTATTAGATGAGGAAAACTGAAATATTTTTATACAAGCCTTTTGCTGTAGAACAATGGGACAGAATAAAGGTAGCTCACAAAATAAGGGAACATTTCTTGCCTGTTTTTTTTTTTTCCCTCCAAATTCTTCTGTACAGGTCCAGATAGATGAGCTATGTTTCCTTTCTATTAACTGAGGAGACAGAGATGAAAGGACTGGAGCATGTCATCACTGTCTTAAATGTACTGAAATCCTAACAGCTCTAGCTGAAAAAATGTCCAAAGCAGGCCGTGAAAATAAATTTAAATGACAAACTCCAAAATGATCTATGCTAGAATCCCAAGGCTGTCAGGGAAAACTGGTTCCATGGAAGAAGGTAGTCAAAGAAATAAGCAGATGACCTAGACCCTCACCCAATATGCGCGATGTACTTGGGGAGAAAGTAACCTCTTTCCTTTATTCACCTACATAGGTTCGTGAGCCACACATCTCCCCACACCAAGCTCCTCCATACAAGACCTCGGACTGCATCATGTAAATGCTTTTTCAGGGGCAAAAACTAGAGAATCTGAAATGGTGAGCCTTTTTCCTTTTTTTTTTTTTTTTTTGAGATGAAGTCTCACTCTGTTGCCCAGGCTGGAGTGCAGTGCAGTGGTGTGATCTTGGCTCACTGCAACCTCCACCTCCTGGAGTCAAGTGATTCTCCTGCCTCAGCCTTCAGAGTAGCTGGGATCATAGATGCCCGTCCCCATGCCTGGTTAATTTTTGTATTTTTAGTAGAGACAGGGTTTCACCATGTTGGCCAGGCTGGTCTCGAACTTCTGAGCTCAAGTGATCCACCCACCTTGGCCTCCCAAAGTGCTGAGATTACAGCATGAGACACCATGCCCAGCTGTGAGCCTGTATCTTAATCAAAGTCCTGAGAATAACCTTGAAGAAGACTCCCTTGCAATGAGCAACAACAGAAGAAGCAAGGGACCTGGAATCTGGCAGACCTGGGTTTGAATTCTGGCTCTGTCACTTTCTGGTGAAGTGACTTGAGTAATGAACATGAGCCTTTCTGGGTAGCATTTACAGCACAAAGCAATTTGAGGAATAAATGAAAGAGCACGTGTCTAGTGCCTAGCAATGCGCTGGACACAGTGCCGGTGCTCAGCCATCATGTCACACCAGCACTGACCGGTGAGCATAAACCCTGGGGATGCCCAGAGCTGGTACAGCCAGGAGCTCCAGAAGCGTGGGATTCTCAGAGGGAAGTGGAGCTCACTGCTCTACAGGTCCTATTCAAGTTAGAAAGTAAGATACAATGCACACAAAGCCAAATTGTCATCATTCAGCTCCTATTACAGGGGAACTAAGAGCTGCATTGAAAATTACTTGCAAAGCTTGTAAGTGGTTCTGCCACTTATTAGCCGTGTGAACCTTAGCAAATTACCTAGCATCTCTGAGTTTCAACTTCCTCATCTGCAAAATAGAAATGATAATAATAACTGCATCGCAAGAGTTGTTGGAAAAATAAAAATGAGGTATCATAGGAGGTAACATGTATGGAGCATTTACCATAGGCCAAGCACTGTTCTAAGAACTTCGGACATGTTATCTCACTGGTATAAGTACTTAGGTGCCTACAACATAAACAGCACCTGGTAAATTAAGTATTGAAAAAAATGCTATGGGGCAGAGGAAGAAATGCTAAGCTTCTGTGAGAAGAGAAGACAGCTTGTTACACAGGTGAAAAGAACAAGCTGCAGCTGAGAGAAGAAAAGTATGAGTTGCTAGGTGTGACAATCTCAAGACTTTTCAACCACTACAAATTTAAACAGCCACCCTAAATCACCCCAAAGGACAGACTCGAGTTGTTCTTTTTGTCTTTAATGTTTGCGCCTCTCCGAATCAGAGAAGAAGCTGCCAGGATTCCAGTACATACCAAAACATGATGACAATACCCTCAACTGTGCAAACTTTTGTGCATCTACCGCTATGTAAAGGAAGCTGATGTCAGTAGACTGGGGGGAACAGTAAGGCATGTTTGTGACCGAAGCTCAATTTGCCATCACAGTGTGGCCACACCTACCTCACTAATATTCTAATAGTGGGATAAATAATTCAATAGGGATAAAGCCTGGATTTTCCTCTTATTCTCTCTTAGTGCTTACATTCTTGGCATGATATCGATGTGCCATAGACAAGCCAATATGTGAGTGTACTCTATCTGAATAAAGTATAGCCTTTCTACATTGCAAAGTCATCCAGTTTCTAAAATTATTGTTAGAACCAATGAAGTGACTAAGAGAATTTTAAAAAATAAGCCATCAGTCTGGACCTGTGTATAGGAATGAAGGAGAAGCACTTTAAAGTCAGGGAAAAAATATAAACATACTTAACATTTAGGATTATCAACCATTGCTGCTTTTCCATAAACCATTTCATTCATGATTTCATCTGTAAGAGATATGATTATTGCCCCCATTCAGTGAGGGACTTTGATAGTTAGCCGCCTGGTCCTTCTTGCTTGGATGCCCTGCAAATAAATGTCCTCCTTTCCCCAGTGCAAAACCTCGATATGGTTGTTTGACTTTACTGCGCTTGGGCCAGCAGAATCCAGTTAAGTCCACTAATAAGCTCTTGGCCTGTCTTTGAGATGGATTTCAGATTCAAAATAGACTGACCCTATCACCCTGCTAACTTGGCCAGTCAGTATTTGTCAATAACATAGAGGCTTCATTCAAGAGATTTACTGGGTTGTAACTATTGGAACCCAGGGATGATTTCAGGATTTTGTGGGGCCTGAGCCTTATCTAGTAAAAACATTAAAAAAATTATGACTACAAAAATTTCCAGGGGCCCTCCCAGGACCTTGGAAGGGCCTGTGCAAGTGAGAAGCCTGGAAGGTTAGGCTCTATTCAATTCATCATCGATCAACCACAGCTGGGGCCTCTTTTTTTGTTTGTTTTTTATAAACTTGTGTAATGCAGGGAAATATATTGTTTCAACTTACAAACACCACAAAATGGTGTCATATTGGTCATAAAATTACTGGCACCTTCCCTTGGCATCTTGCCTTTGGAAGGAAATGCAGTGGGCCTATATGTCACATATGCCAAATATGACTGCAGTGTAGCTTTGTTTACCAGGAAGATTTGACTCCAACGGAGCCCAGCCCCTAACATACACTTGATGTGTTGAGACCCTTGTGCCAATCTTTGAAAGTAACTGTGACTTAGTTTGAAGGGTACAGCTCTATTCTGTTTATATGAAATGAGTGCTAGTTTCCAATATCAGCTAGCTCTGATTTTTTCATCACCATGAAGCAAATGCCTTTTTCTGTTCTTTAAGATGAACACAGAAACTCAAGATAAGCAAGTTAGTGTCTCTCAAGTCTTTCTTAACCCAGCCCCCATTCCTGCTTTGTCTTCTCCTTGTCACCCTGCCGTACAGATCCCCACATGGCTCTCATATGTTTTCCCATCAGCATCCGCTTCCTCCTTGAGGAATGAAAGTCCCCTGGGGACAAAGTCCTCATCTTGGTGTGTCTTTGAGATGGATTTTGTAGCCCCAGCACTTAGTACAGTACGTGGCACAAATGGACATGGCACTCTGAATGTTTTTGAATGAATTCATTAATTTTTATCAACTGTGATTCCAGTGTTTTCCTGGTGTTGCCTACGTAATTGTAGTGAAGCTGGCTAGATGATGATGATGATGATGATTATTATTATTATTATTATTATTTGAGACAGAGTCTCACTCTGTCCCTCAGGCTGGAGTGCAATGGTGCCATCTCGGCTCACTGCAACCTCCGCCTCCTGGTTTCAAGTGATTCTTCTGCCTCAGCCTCCTGAGTACCTAGGATTACAGTTGCCTGCCACCATGCCCAGCTAATTTTTGTATTTTTAGTAGAGACAGGTTTCACCATGTTGGTCAGGCTGGTCTTGAACTCCTGACCTCAGGTGATCCACCCACCTCAGCAAAGTGCTGGAATTACAGGCATGAGCCACTGCTCCCGGCCACCAGATTTTTATGAGGGACTCCCAGTGGTATAAAGTGCTTAGTAAAGATGGTGAGTTTAAAACATTTGTATTGATGCTACCTAAACCTCTTGGTGGAGGGACCTAATGAGCCTGTTCTCTGGTGTGAGGGCAAAAGAAAAACAGACCTTTAGTGTACTTTTCCTAAGTTATGCATCAGCAAATTAATGAGGACAGAGGGGAGCATGTGCAGAAACTGCTGCTCTAGTCCAGACACATCCTGAATGCCTCCCTCTAACTTGAAATGAACTGTGTGAAACTAGATTTCTGAACCACAAGGCAGGTGGAAAGTCTTTTCTAAAGTCAGATGTAGAGGAGAATCTTCACCTTGAGTCCCCTTCAGGCCACTGAATATACCCACTCTGATTTGATGGGTATGTTATACAGAGAAATCATAGAATTTTTGCAATTATGGTAGAAGAGTAGTCAGGAAAGTATATGGAATTAAGATACAGCGATATATTTTCTTTACAAAAGTTTTTTTTTGCACAATAGCTTAACATAAACACCATCTTGGCCAGGCATGGTGGCTCACACCTGTAACCCCAGCACTTTGGGAGGCTGAGGTGGGCGGATCACCTGAGGTCAGAGGAGTTTGAGACCAGCCTGGAGGGGAGGTTGGAGGGTAGTGGCACAATCTCGGCTCACTGCAACTTCCACCTCCCGGGTTCAAGCCATTCTCGTGCCTCAGCCTCCCGATAGCTAGGATCACAGGTGCCCGCCACCATGACCTGCTAATTTTTGTATTTTTAGTAGAGATGAGGTTTTGCCATGTTGGCCAGGCTGGTCTCAAACTCCTGACCTCCAGTGATCCTCCCACCTTGGCCTCCCAAGGTGCTGGGATTACAGGCATGAGCCACCATTCTGGCCCTACAACTTTGGATTTGATTCCTGCTCATATGCAGAGTTTCTAACTGCTTAAATGTCTGCAACATTTAGCTGCAAGGAAGGAAGCTTAACACAAAGTCCTCCAGGGAGCAAAAAACTGCACCACCACGCCCAGCTAATTTTTTTGTATTTATAGTAGGGACAGGGTTTCACTATGTTGGCCAGGCTGGTGTTGAATTCCTGACCTCGGGTGATCCACCCACCTCGGCTCCCAAAGTTCTGGGATTACAGGTCTGAGCCACCCCGCCCAGCAACAAGGCTAATTTGAGGGTCACTTCTTTGATGCCTTTTCTTGCCCATGCTATAGGTCAGAACTAGGACAAGCAGAGGAGGTCATATATAAGCTACGTAAGTCTCTTGGCCTCTTTGTACCTTAGCTTCCCCATTTGAGAAAAATGAATGGATCTTAAGACACGCTTTTCAGAGTTGATAATGGGCTTATACCCAGCTACCCAATAATTGTATGAGTTTTTGTACATAAATAGTTGTTTACATGTATTCATCTTCTATTTCACTTACAACTTATGTAAAAACTGCATTCCGTGCCAGGCCTGAAATGTTCCAAAGCTGAGTTCTGTAATTACATTGCAACTAAGATTTCTAAAAAAAAAAGACACAAGCCAAAGAAAAAAAAAATTATTTCAGAACATTTATCATTTGCCATGATTCTAATTTATATAGGATGGAACATAACCTCAATCCTTTCTCTATGCACTAAGGAAATCTGACTGTGGAAGATACTGGCTTATGATTTATACTTTAACACTGCACATGTGGTGCATTAGATACAAAACAGTGAATGCTCAGTAAATACCTGTGTTAAGTGATCTTTATTTCTCTAGAACAGGATTTCACAACTTCAGTGCCATCAACATTTTGGACTATATAACTCTTTGCCATGGGGGTTTGTCTTATACCTTGAAGGATGTTTAGCAGCATCTCTGGCCTTTGCCCACCAGATGCCAGGAGCACACCCACAGTTTTGTCAACCAAAACTGTCTCCGGACATTACCAAATGCCACCTGAGTGCAAAATCACACCACCTGAGAACCACTGCTCTCTGATGATTCACTAAGATCTGTGTAATAATTCTCACAATAATCCTTGCTAGAGACAAAAAGGATTTGCTGTATAATTTTAGTAGCTTTCTACTGGTAAAATTTTAATCATATTTCAAGAATAGCAAAAAGGTTTATAATTAAGTTTTATAAAAATTCCAAATGTAATCAAGTTATATTTGTAACTTACATAAACTTCAAAAATGGTAGTGGTTCAAATGTATGTCTTTCAATAGACTGTATTTTATTGCAGGATAAATCTCTAGGAAAACAAAAATATTGCCTTGATTAGTTATTAAATGTCAATTGGTATGAATAACAGCAAGAGTTTAGAATAATACTGAATACCTATTTTTCATCTCAACTCTAAACGTTTGGACTTGTATTGGAACATTCCAGAGCCCCTAACCCTGCCCATACCTCTCCTAGAGTCTCACCTTCATGGTTTTAATAAATATACAACATAATAGACTTTGGAATTAATTTTTCCTGAGAGCAGTAGACTTGATTAGATGCCCTTTTGTAGTGTCATCAAATCTTAGATTATGAGCTCAAAGATTTTATCTCTATATACACAATTTCTAATATTAAAAAAAATAGTCGGGCCGGGTGCGGTGGCTCAGGCCTGTAATCCAGCACTTTCGGAGGCCGAGGCTGGCAGATCCTGAGGTCAGGATATCGAGACCATCCTGGCTAACACGGTGAAACCCTGTCTCTACAAAAAAAAAAAAAAAATTAGCTGGGCCTAGTGGCACGTGCCTGTAGTCCTAGCTGCTCAGGAGGCTGAGGCAGGAGAATGGCATGAACCCAGGAGGCGGACCTTGCAGTGAGCCAAGATTGCACCACTGCACTCCAGCCTGGGCGACAGAGCGAGATTCCGTCTCAAACAAACAAACAAACAAACAAACAAGTCTCACATTTCTACACCTTCTTAGTTTAGGTCTGTTTTCCTAAGCCACTTCAATATCAGAAGAAATAAAAGACATCCTTTCACATCATTTGAAAGGAAGCTACCCCTTTACCTAATACATAACTTTGAACTAATTCAAATCATATTAATAGAATTAATTTCTATCATATTAATAGAAATTCATTTTTGGTTTTGTATTGCTTTAATATTTCATAAAAAAAAAATTTCTTCAGTTATACAGTGATGGAGTTTGTCCCTCCCTCTTTACCTGGATGGTGTAACGTTGTCTGGCTGATATCTCCATCTCTAGTCTCTCCCTACCTAAACTATCCTGCACACAGTCATCATATAAACTCTCCAGAAGTGGCTTGCAAAGACCAGCATCTCCTGGGAAATTACTGAAGATGCAAATTCTTGGTCCCACTCTAGACCAACTGAATCAGTAACTACGAGGGTGGAGTCCAGAACTGAGTTCTAACGTGCCCTCTCAATGACTGTGATGCAGATCTACCTTACAGCGCTGCTGTGGTAACACGGTTCCCCATGTTGGCTCCTCAGCTTGGCATTCAAAGCTCTAGAAGATCTGGCTCCATTTTCCTACTCTCCCTTCTTGTACTCTACGGGTACTCATGGCATTCCTTGAATACTTTCCTGTGTTTTGCCCTCCCATTTTCCTTTTGCAAGTTTAGAGTATTTTCCCCAAGATGTCTGTCTGATGTTACACAATGGCCCTTCAAAGTCCTATTCAAATGGCATTGTTCTAGTAACATCCTCCTGGGTCCAAATTGAAGGCATTTTTTCCTCTTCTATGTTCGAGAAACAATTTATCCCTCCTAGTGCCCACATCCATTTCTTCTTCTTAATGTAGTTATTTTTTATCCCATTTCTTCTGAGCATAAACTCCCTGAAAGCATGGACTAGGTCTTGCTCATCTGCATTGCCCACCATGTTTAAAACTGACACATGGAAATAAAGCAAACTCAAATATTTGTAAAATAAATGAATAGCTGGGGGAGTGAGTAGAAGGAAAATAACTATTTTAAAGGAAATGTAGTTTTATTATTTCATGGTCTCTGTAGCACTTTGGCATCCACCTGAGGGTCTTTACACCCACTTTCCTTAAGCCTTCTATATTTGAAAGAATCTGTTTGCAAAAGAGCATCACTAATGAGCTTAATAAGGATTAATGACATACAGACCTCTATGGACAAAGGGTAAGAATCAAGCTTTCATAGCAATGAACATAGTATCTTCTTGTCTCTAAACAGACAGAAATACAGGGATCCCTTTCTGGTAACAGGGCTGGGGCGATCGTTATTTTGTAATTAGTGAAGAGTTAGGGGCATTTCTGATGTGCTTCTTAGTGTAAACATTTCTAGCTCTACCAGTTAACCATCATTTTAAACATCTGTTTTAATATAACAATTCCTGAAATGAAATCCTTAATACCAGTCTATTCTCTTGGTAGCTTAATATTCTTGATAATATTATTGATATAATTCAGCTATTTTTAATATTTAAATGTTAATTTAATTCCGATTAAATTACCAAAAAATTCTGGATTAATGATGTTCAAATGAATGCAGGTGGTCTCCATTTTCTTCTCCTTTAGGCAACCATCTGAAGTTAACTTTAGTTCCTTTCATCCTACTAAACCAACTTTTTGAAATTTTTTTTGGTGAAGGTCAGACAGTAAATATTTTAGGTTTTATGGGCCACATATGATCTCTCGCATATTTCTTTGTTTCTTTTCTTTTTCTTTCACAGTCCCTTTAAAAATGCAAAACCCATTCTTAACTTAATGGGCTATTTAAAAATAGACCATAAATTAGATTGGATCTATTGGTTGTAGACTGAATAGAAAAAGAATGATATGTGAACCCTTATAAAACAAGGTTCATATGGGTGTCAGTCACTGCTCAGATTTTCTTACCATGTGAAATGTTTTTGTCTGTATTTTGTCTATATAACTTAAAAACTGAAAATGCACAGGAGGTAGCTAGTGCTAGAGATGGGCTGAGACCCTATACAAACTTACAGAATTGCAGAATTTTATTGCTCAAAGAAATCTGAGAGATTATCTAATTTGAACCCCTTATTCATTTTACAGATAATATGACTAAAAACTCATAAATATAATTAACTAACTTACAAATACTGGAGGGATAGCAGGCCTTCAAATGAATCCTTGTGTAATTCAGTCAAGTTATTTTCTCTGAGAATTCTGGAAAATGAAGAAGTTATTTCTAGATTAAAATGCAAACTACAACTATTTGCTACACAGAACCATCTCCTGCATGTGGAGGAAAGCTGGGTCATGGTCACTTCAAGATGGTGGGATCTGCTCTGCTTTCATTCAAACCTTTTCTTATATTTTCCTTTTTGTGTCCATCTCTCTCCACCACCACCACAAACACACACACACACACTCAAGCACACCCCTTGAAGAGTGGGTTTCTTCCCACCAAATTCTATTATTTCATGCCTCCTCTCTAGATCACAAAATCCCTTTTAGAATCCAACTCTGGGTGGCACCAAGATCAGCAGAACCTCCATTTCCTCCTCTCTTTTCCCAAACCTTATTATGAAAGCCCCACATGGAACCATGTCAGGGCTGCAAGTGAAGCCATTCAACCTTTTTCCCCCCATCAAAAAAATTGGAGAACTATAATGTGCATAAAGTGCACATAACATAAATGTTGTTTATATTTAATTTAATTTAATTTTTGAGACAGGGTCTCACTCTGTTCCCAGACTGGTCTCAAACTCCTGGCTCAAGTGATCCTCCTGTGTCTGCTTCCCAAAGTGCTGTGACTGCAGACATGAGCCACCTCACCTGGCCAAAATATTCAGTTTAATAATTATGAAGCAGATACCCATGTAAACATCGTTACAAAAGATCATTGCTAGCATGCCAGAAGCCCCAGTGTGCCCCTTTCCAATCATATCCCTCTCTCTAACCCTAATAGGTAACCACTATCCTGACCTTTGTAATAATTTTCTTGTTTTTAAAATGTAGTTCTGGCCTGGCGTGGTGGCTCATGCCTGTAATCCCAGCACTCTGGAAAGCCAAGGTGGGTGAATCACCCACGGTCATGAGTTTGAGACCAGCCTGGCCAACATGGTGAAACCCTGTCTCTACTAAAAATATAAAAATTAGCTGGGTGTGATGGAGGGCACCTGTAATTCCAGCTACCCAGGAGGCTGAGGCAGGAGAATCGCTTGAACCCGGGAGGTGGAGGTTGCAGTGAGCCAAGATCGCACCATTGCACTCCAGCCTGGGCAACAAGAACAAAATTCCATCTGAAAAAATAAATAAAGCCATTCTCCTGCCTCAGCTTCCCAAGTAGATGGGATTACAGGCACCCACCACCACGCCTGGCTACTTTTTGTATTTTTAGTAGAGATGGGGTTTCGCCCTATCGGCCAGGCTGGTCTCAAACTCCTGACCTCAGGTGATCCGCCTACCTCCCAAGGTGCTGGGATTAAAGGTGTGAGCCACCGCGCCTAGCATATGTTTATTTTTAATTTAGAACTCATCGTGGCTTGTCTATGTACATTGAAATAATGATGTGACACACAAACTGTTGTGAAAAATGTCAGTTACTTTGAATGTAAGCATTTTTTCCAAAATCACTTATGTGTCTAAACCAATTCCTTCTATAAATCAGTAAGAAAATGATAAAACAATTCAACAGGAAAATGAACAAAGGCCAGAAAACTCAGAGAAGAAACACAAATGTTCAATAAACATATAAAGATACTAAATTAAATTCATGAGTAATCAGAAAAATTCACATTTAGATGGAATCCCTTTTATTCATCCATAACTTCAGCAAAAAGTTGGAGAATACCCAGCGGTGAAAAGGTGTTGGGAAATGAATGCTGTCATATTCTGCTGACAATAGAGTAAGTTGGCACAAAATTTTTGAAGGCAATTAAAATTTTATATCTACATAGTCTTCACCCCAAGAATTCCATTTCCAGATATCTATGCTACAGGAATACTTGCACATGTTCACAAAGAAGCATGTACAGGGATTTCATTGCAGCAATGCATGTAACAAGAAAACTAAGCATAATCTAAACATTCATCAATGGGGGAATTATTAAATAAACCATGATGCATCCATACTATGGATTATGCAGGAGTTTAAATGAATGGGGTGACCCTCTAAGTACTGGGAAGGAAAGAAATCTAAGGCATATCATGAAGTGAAAGAATTAAGTTGCAAGATGTTACCCTTTATGCGAAGAAAAAATTTTAAAACCACAAAACAAATCTATTTTGCTTTATGTAAATATGTATGTAGGTAAATGAGGAAAAGTCTGGAAGCATGTATACTAAATGCAGAGTAGCATTACTTCAGGGATGAGGGAGTAGGGCACAAGGAGAGTTTTTGTTATATCTGTTATTGCATTTTTATATATTAAAAATGGAATCATGGGCTGCGGGTGGTGGCTCATGCCTGTAATATGAACACTTTAAGAGGCCAAAGTGGGAGGATCACTTGAGCCCAGGAGTTCAAGACCAGCCTAAGCAGCATAGGAAGACCCTGTCTCTACAAAAAATACAAAATTAGGTGGGTGTGGTGGCATGCACCTGTGGTCCCAGCTACTGGGGAGGCTGAGGTGAGAGGATCACTTGGGCCTGGGAGGTGAAGGCTGCAGTGAGCTGTGATTGTGCCACTGCACTGCAGCCCAGAGGACAAAGTAAGACCCTGTCTCTGAAAAAAAAACAAAAAAGAGAACAAAAAGGAATATAACCATGTACTATTTGTATGATAAAAAATAAATTTAAATTGCCTCTTATTTTAAAGAGAGCCTACCAAATTTAATTTTAAAATGACCATACAATTGCAATCAACAGTGGTTGATTTGGGGCATGGAGGAGAAATATCTTTCCTCAGAGGTACCGACCTCAAAATTCTGGACCAAGAAGGATCTTACAATGCAGTTAGCTTTTTGTCATATTTGGAGAGAATATACTCACAGTTTCTCAGTCCAACTGTATGCTTTCCATACATTTCCATCAATGTAAGAAATATAGTTTCCTTGGAAATTTCTGTGAAGAAACACAGTTTATATCCTTGAATAGGTAGGAAAACAATGAACACGATAAGTAAAAGAATCATTGCAACCTTGTTGGGGATATTCAGAAACAGAAAATAACACCTGCTTTCTCATTTCCAGAGCTATCAGCTTCCCAGTTTGCACAATTCATCAAGAAATTATGCGGGGTCACTGGCACAAATGATGAGGCATCTCCTGGAAGCTTAACTTCTTATCCATCCCATCTCTTGGACAGATGATGCCAGTTAATTACTTTGAATGTAAGTATTTTATCTAAAAGCACTTATGTGTCTAAACAGACTTCTACAAATCAGTACCAAAATGGTAAATAATTCCACAGAAATATGGGCAAAAGCTTATCATTATCAACAAATGAGAAGAAAGAAACCCTATGCCAGGTAACACCAAAGCTTTGGCCCAGTGCCCTCTGTTGAAACATCCTAGGCTTTTTCTTTCCACTCCTATTACAACTGATCTGATTTGGCCCCTTCACACTTCACTCCTAGATTTTGCTAGACCTTTCTATTTTGTCTCCCTGAATTAAGCTTTTCCTTTTGGACACTTTACATATGGATTCTAAAACAATCCTCTGCATGTCTACACTTGCACATAATGCAAAAAACAAAATAAAATAATCTTCCTGTTTTGATCATGTAATCTCTCTTGCTTGGAAACTTTCAATGGCTTTCCATACCTCATTGTGTAACTTTCAAACTCCTATAGCTGATAATCAAGGTTTTACAGAATCGTATCTTCATTGCTCCCTCACCTAATTCTTTGTAGCCACATTGGTCTACTAAATTCCAACCATACCTGTAGCCATGCGTTTGCCTAGACTGTACTCCCATTTTTCTTCTATTTAACAAATTATAGCTACTCTTTAAGACCCAAGTAAAGTTTTAGCTTACCCATGTAGCATCTCCACACCTCAAGGATCACAGATTCTGGCAAATTCTAGCACCAATGGTCTGCATTATCTTTTAGTACTTAATTATATATACCTCCCTTTTTATGCCTATTCTCTTTCTTCCCTCCTATCATTTTTTTTTTTTTTTTTTTTTGAGATGGAGTCTTGCTCTGTCACCCAGGCTGGAGTGCAGTGGTGCAATCTCGGCTCACTGCAAGCTCTGCCTCCCAGGTTCACGCCATTCTCCTGCCTCAGCCTCCCGAGTAGCTGGGACTCCAGGCACCCACCACCATGCCTGACTAATTTTTTTCTGTATTTTTAGTAGAGATGGGGTTTCACCATGTTAGCCAGGATGGTCTTGATCTCCTGACCTCATGATCCGCCCGCCTCGGCCTCCCAAAGTGCTGGGATTACAGGCGTGAGCCACCACACCCAGCCTCTTCCCTCCTATCATTTTCGTGTTCTGGAGACAGTAGCATACTTGGCCCTGGGTTTGACATAAAACTAGTTCTACATATAGAAAGCTAGGGACAAAAATGAGTTCTGGACAAAACTAAAGGACTGAATAATCATGTGAACAGCCAACTCTCCTACATATGCTAAGCACTGATGAAGTGTTTCATATATTCACTCACCTAAATTTCACAACAATCCTATGAAATGCTAACTAGCATGATCCCCAGTTTAAAGGTGAGGAAATTGAGTCACAGGCAGAATAACTTGCTCTGGGTCACCAAGCTAATAAATAGATCTGGGTTCAAACCCAGGCAGCCTGGCTCCGGAATCAACTCTTAACCACTTAGAGCATCATCACTGAGATCGGGAGAGGGACAGGCTGCTGTAAAGAGGGTGAAGCGAAAATGGGAGGAGAGCAGCGGTTAAGCAATGATGTGATGGGGCTAAATAAAAATGGATACAAAAACGAGTAAAAGACCAGAGTAAAAGGAAAAGACTGGAGAAGGGACCTAACATTAAAAGAGAATGAGGAGAAGGGAGAGTTGACAAGCAAAGGTGAAAGCAGAAAGTCAGTTGTCCATATGGCTTGGGGAGATAAAGAAGGCCCAGGAAGGCCTCCAGGAAAAGGCTGCCATGTCAGGCAGGACACAGAGGACAATTGAGGAAAAGTGATTCTTACAAGATGGTGAAGGTGCCATTGTGGGTGTTGGGCTCTGGCACAGGCACTTGGCGGAGCCTCTGCTCTGGGTTGAGATCAATACATGACAACATCTCATCTCCGCAGGTACAGAGCTCACATATGTTGGTGCTTGTGGAGGCCTTCTGTTCCTCTGGTGCAGTTAAAGCCTTATTTTGGGTGTAACTTTCAGACTGCACCAGTGAATCCTGAGCAGGTTCTAGTTCAGTAGGTGGACCTGTGACTTCAGTCAGGCTTCGATGCAGACTCTGAACCCGGTCTGGATGAGGAGCTGTAGTCTTCTCCAGGGCTGTAGAATGTCCAGTCTCTGTAGTGGGTTCTGGAATGATGGCAAGTCCCAGGTCTGGAGGCTGAGTTGAGGTCTCCTCTGTGGTTGGAGATGGTTTAACCTCTGTAGTAGGTTTTGTAGTTATGGTAAGCTCCAGGTCCAGAGGTTGAACGGTGGCTTGAGTCAGGTGTGAATGCTGAGCCTGACCCTTGTCTGAAGGTGGAAGTGTCACCTCAGGGTGTCCTGGAGGAGGAGCTGTAGTCATCAGGGCTGTAGAAGGTTCAACCTCTGTCATGGATTTTGGAGTGATGGTAAACCCCAGGTCCAAAGGTTGAACTGTGGCTCGAGTCAGGTGTGAATGCTGAGTCTGAACCTGGTCTGGATGTGGAAGTGTCACCTCAGGATGCTTTGGAGAAACTATAGTCCTCTTCGGGGCTGTAGAATGTCCAACCTCCGTAGTGGGTTCTGGAGTGATGGTAAGTCCCAGGTCCAAAAGTTGAACTGTAACGCTGGGTGACACTGGATGCTGAGCTTGATCCTGACCTGGTGTTGGATTTGTTACCCCTTGATATACTCGAAGTTGGGGTACAACTTTCTTAGGAGGCTGAGTTGGGGTCTCCTTCATGGTTGGAGAAAGTTCAACCTCTGTCATGGATTCTGGAGTGATGGTAAACCCCAGATCCAAAGGTTGAACTGTGGCTTGAGTCAGGTGTGAATGCTCTGGAGGTTGAGCTACAACTACATTAGGGAACTCTGGAGTCTGAGCTGGGGCCTCCTGATGGGTTAGGGAAGACTCACCCTCCTCAGCGGTCTGTGGATGCTCAGCTGCAGCCTCCTGCTGGGTTGGAGAGGGGTTCTCATTATTAATAGGTTCCGGAGATTGAAATGAAGTCTCCTGTTGAACTGCTAAAGGTCCAGCTTCTTCTGATGACTCTGGAAGCAGAGGTGGGCCCCCGTGCTGGATGGCGGGAGGTTCTACATCATTACCTGACCCTGAGAGCCGAGCTGTAGCCTCCTGGTGGACTAGAGAAGTTCCCACCTCTGCACTAGGCTCTGCTGCTATGGTGAGCTGCACGTCTGGAGGCTTCACAGAGACACTGGGTGAATCTAAATGATGAGTTTGATGGTGACCTGGAGGTGAAACTGTGACTTCATGATGTTCTGGAGGCTGACCTGGGGTCTCCTGCTGGGTCAGAGAAGATTCGACCTCCCTAGAAGACTCAGAAGGCTGAACTGGCTGCTGCTGCTCACTGATGGAAAGTTCATGCTCCATAGGAGAAACTGGAGGCTCAATTGGGGCCTCCTGTTGGGTTGCAGAAGGTTCCACCTCCTCTGGAAACTGAATTGGGGTCTCCTGCTGGGCTTGGGAAGATTCTGTCTCATTGGTAGGCTCTGAAGTTATGGTAACCTCCACATCTGCAGGTTTAACTGTAATGTTGGGCAAGTGATAATAAGCTTGATCCTCACCTGGAGGTTGAACTGACACCTCATGATTCGGTAGAGTTAGACTCTCCATAGAGGACTCTGGAGGCAGAGCTGGGGCCTCCTGCTGCATTGAAGAAGGTTCTTCCTCAAGGAGCTGTGGAAGCTGTGCTGGGGCTTCTTGCTGGAGTGAAGAGGACTGGATGTCTTCAAGGGTCTCTGGATTTTGAGTTTCGGGCTCTAGATGGAATTGAGAAGGTCCAACTTGCTCAGAGGGCCCTGGAGGCTCATCTGACTTCACCCGGAGTTCTGGAGGCAGGCTACTGGGATACGGTGTATCTGTACTGGAATATTCATTCTGCAAAGTCTGTTTCTGACTCTGAGGTGTGGATAATTGGCGTGCAATTCCAATAATCTCAGCAAGGCTCCAACGCTGAGCTGGATCTTTCTTCAGCTTCTTGGGCGAAACAGGGAGTCTTTCCTGTGGACTCAGCTTGTCCTTTAAATCCTGCTGTGAAGCCAAGAACTGCTCTGGCTCCAGGGGCTGCTCTCCAGCTGAATCCCAGGTGTCCAGGAATGGAACCAAATTTTCAGTCGATTCCTGGGGTGGGGCTGGCATCTCTGAGGAAGCAGAGGGCCCCAGGTGATCAAAGTCCCACGGGTCTGCTGGGAGAGTAGGCGCATGGGGAGATTCCCGTGGGAAATGGGAGGAGTGGGAAGACCAGGACTCAGGCGGCCCCAGGGGATTAGAGGTGAGCTGGAGCGGGTCCTTGACCCACTCCAGAGGCTGAGCCTCCTTAACTAGTAGCCACAATAGTTGCCACATAAGGAGGGGCCATGGGCCCCAGAAACGCAGCCGGGACATGACACACACTAGTGCCGGGCACTGAGCAGAAGACATTCTGGCAGCTCCGAGACGCTCGTGCCCCTTCTAAGCGTGAGCCCCGCCCTGTCTTTATGACACCTTTATTTATGTCACAGATCTGCTCCATGTCACCAGGGCACTCTTATGTCACAATCCCGCCCAAGCACGCCTTCCCATCCTGCCCTGCCGGAACACCCCTCTCCTCCCCTTAGTGAGGAAGGATTTGGGCCTCAGACCCTGGTGGTCCCAGGACTCCAGCGCCTGCTGTGGTGGGGTAGGGTGGGGTAGGGTGGGGTGGGGGCGTGGCAGAGCTTCCCAAGGAAGTCACCGGACCTCGCCTCAGGATATTCAGAAGTGCTAGTTCAGTTCTGGCAGCCTTCCTCCTTTAAGGTGAAATCCGAGAACACTCTTCCTTCCAGGGAGAGCAACTGACCTGCAAAATGGGCGCCAGGATGCACATTACAGTCACTTATTCCAAAGTGTTGCCATTTTCGCTAAACTGTCGCATGTTTGATAATTAATTCACCACCCTATTAGGTAGGGGCTGCCAGGGAATAAGCGAGGACTCCAAATTTTCTGTAGGAGGGGTGTTGGGAGTTGGCAATTCGGTCTGGGAGAGAAGGTTTTAATCCGAGTGAAGAGCCCTTTGCACTAGCCTGGGAGGAGGCTGAACTGTCATCCTGCCTTGACTCAACACAGCCATTCCCCTAGAAGTTACAGCACTTCTAGGGTCACCTGTGTTCAGAGATCTACCCTGTGTGCACACATGGAGAAGAGGCTTAGGTTGTTAAAGTCAGCATGTTAAATCATTTCCTGAAATGCGACTGTAACTAGAACCCAGCTGACTTCCCCCACAGCCGTTCTTACCTATTTTATTACTGTCTGGCATAATTACCAGCATGTAAACTCCAAGAAGGTGCTTCATCTTATTTTAGTGCCTGGCATAGACATAGGGTGCATAGTGATGGCTTTAAAATTGAAGGGGGGCCGGGTGTGGTGGCTCACACCCATAATCCCAGAACTTTGGGAGGCCGAGGTGGGGGGATCACTGAGGTCAGAAGTTCGAGACCAGCCTAACCAACATGGTGAAACTCCGTCTCTACTAAAAATACAAAATTAGCCAGGTGTGGTGGTGCATACCTGCAATCCCAGCTACTCAGGAGGCCAAAGCAGGAGAATCGCTTGAACCTGGGAGGCAGAGGTTGCAGTGAGCCGAGATCACAACATTGCACTTCAGCCTGGGCAACAAGAGAGAAACTCCATCTCAAAAAAATAAAATAAAATAAAATGGAAGAGATTCCAAGATTCACCTCATTTAGGGATGGAGCTATTGTTATAATCAGATTTCTGAAATGAGTGCTGACTTCCTCTCACATTTCACAGGAAGCTAGACTTCTTAAAGCTTGAAGTCTCCTTGGTGGGTTTTATTTAAATTGAATTAAAATAATTATTTTACAGGGAAAAATTTCAAAACACTTTGCAACTTTGGGGTAAAAGTTAAATAAAACACTGTAGCCCCAAGTTAAGTTCCCACTGAAATGAGACTTTTGCTCCTTTTTTTAAAAAAAATTCCATAAATAGTAAATAATGACTGTTTTGAGATTAATTTAGAAACAATCCCTATTTAAGAGCTTTCATATGCAGTCATGCATTGCTTGCCACGTGAGGAGCTTGAGAAATGGGTCACTAGGTGATTTCACCATTGTGCTAATATCATAGCGTATACTTACACAAACCTAGGTGGTGTAGCCACCATACCTAGGGTACACGGTATGGCTTAGGACTCCTAGGCTACAAACCTGTACTGTATGTTACTGTACTGAATACTAAAGGCAACTGTCACAGAATGGCAGGTATTTGTGTATGTAAACATGGAAAATATATAGTTAAAATACTGTGTAAAAGATAAAAATGGGGCCTGGGCACAGTGGCTCATGCCTGTAATCCCAGCACTTTGGGACGCCAAGGTGGGTGGATCACTTGAGCTCAGGAGTTCAAGACCAGCCTGGCCAACATGATGAAACCCCATCTCTACTAAAAATACAAAAATTAGCTGAGTGTGGTGACGCGTGTCTATAATCCCAGCTACTCAGGAGGCTGAGGTAGGAGAATCACTTGAACCTGGGAGGTGGAGGTTGCAATGAGCTGGGATCATACCACCGCACTCCAGCCTGGACAACAGAGTGAGACTCCATCTCAAAAAAAAAAAAAAAAAAAAAAAAAAAAAAAAGATAAAAATGGTATACCTATATAGGGATAGCTCCATTATACGCTTACGGAACCACCATCATATATGTGGTCTACTGTTGACGCAAACTTCATTTTGCAGCACATGATTGTAAATGATTGACAGAAAGATCTTCAGCAAAATATTCCACCCAAGATACGTGGGAGATATTGAGATCCAAGCAATAAGCCATATTTGAAAGGCATTATAGTTTTCAAAAGCTGTAGCGCAATCATTCTTAAGGCCAGTTACCTTCTCCCCACATCTCTGGGATCCTGTTTGAAGGGAGTTCTAACAAGGCCTGTGTTCGAGCAGCCCAGCATCCCTTACTCCTGGAGCGGGGGGAGACTAACCCCTCTCCTGTGTCCACAACTGTAGTAATACAATCCTCGGTTCTGCTCTCCAAACTTCAAATAAGGGGTCAGAGCCAAGGGTTAAGACTTTAGGAAAAGCCCCGGAAATACCCTGCACTCAAAAAGCAGTTTCAGAGTTTCACATTTTCCTGAGAATTAAACAAATTATCCTCCAAATTCTGCTGCTTGTTTTGAATTATGGTTATACTGGCAATGTTATCCAACCCTTGAGTTGTTTTTCTTTTCTTTTTTTTTTTTTCCTCGAGAGAGTGTCTTGCTCTGTCACCCAGGCTGGAATGCAGTGGCATGATCTCGGCTCACTGCAACCTCCGCCTCCTGGGTTCTAGTGGTTTTCATGCCTCAGTTTCCCAAGTAGCTGGGATTACAGGTGCCCACCACCACACCCAGCCAATTTTTGTATTTTTAGTAGAGACAGGGTTTCACCATATTGGCCAGGCTGGTCTTGAACTCCTGACCTCATGATCCACCCACCTCGGCCTCCCAAAGTGCTGGGATTACAGGTGTGAGCCACAGCGCCTGGCCTGTTTGTTTTTTGAGATAGAGTTTCACTCTTGTTGCCCAGGCTGGAGTGCAATGGTGTGATCTTGGCTTACCGGAACCTCCGCTTCCCGGGTCCAAGCGATTCTCCTGCCTCAGCCTCCCGAGTAGCTGGGATTACAGGCATGTGCCACCATTTCTCCATGTTGGTCAGTCTGATCTTGAACTCCTGACCTCAGGTGATCCACCCGCCTCAGCCTCCCAAAGCACTGGCATTACAGGTGTGAGCCACTGTGCCCGGCCCTGTTACCTTTGAGTTTTTATCTCCACATACTTATATTAAACCGTGTAGTTCTTCTTCCCATCTGACATCTACAATCTCTTCACTGGGTCTGTACTCCATAGCTATTTTACCACTTTCTGAAATAAAGTTAGCAAGGATGAATTCAGAATCTTTTTCATTCCAAAACTTCCTGCATATAATGGTAGCAACCCACAATGAGACATTCTTTTAGTTTCTAAAAGCAGGAAATAAGCATTTTCCTGAAAGTTTCCTCATCTCTTCATCATACACTTCGATTTTTGTTTTTCTTTTTTCTTTTAGACAGGGTCTCACTCTGTCACCCAGGCTGGAGTACAGTGGCACTATCATAGCTCACTGTAGCCTGGAATTCCTGGGCTCAAGTCATCCTCCTGCTTCAGCCTCCAGAGTAGCAGGCACTATATCACTGTGCCCGTCTAATTCTCTTTTTTAGAGACATGGTCCCGCTTTGTTTTCCAGGCTGGTCTCGAACTCCTGGCTTGAAGTGATCCTTCTGTCTTGGCCTCCCGAAATGCTGAGATTTCAAGCGTGAGTCATCATGTCTGGTCTCACAGCTCAGTTTTTAACATATGTATGAAATATCAACTGTGTTTGGTTCAAAGGACTTTATGATCTTACAGATAGGAACTAAGGAATAATAACGTAAGAAATAAAAAATGTGGAAATAAAAATGTTCAATCATAACATGATTAAAAGGTAAGGCACCAGGTGGGGGGTCGAAGTAAGTTCAAATCCAAAATAGAGACCACTGGGCTAGTAGACACTTCACATTAGAAGCATGGCTAGGTGTCTACTCCCTGAGAACCAAAATTCCACCAGATACAATGAACAAAGCTTTAGAGAGAGAAAACATTTGAACATTTTACGGGCAGAAAATGGCCCACATACTCTATAGACAATACAATTTCCTTCAAGGCAAACTAGAACTATAAGGCTTTTGGTCTAAGAAGTGAGTGTGTGCAAGGGATACCTTTGCATACTAGGGAGGGGTAGACAACCCACACATTTAGCTTGGTTATTAAATGTCATTACTCAGACTTGACAGTTGATGACCAAGGAAGTAAGACTTTCACTAGAAGGGCTGCCCAGGTTGGAAAGCTGAGAGCAATCAGGGCCACCTCTTACAAGCAAATAAAGGTCTGTAGTAACTTAATTACAATCTCAGTCTCTAAGCCTTCAGGGTTGTGAAGCAGAAAGGCAACTCTGTTCAGGGACTCGTTAAACACCAGGTTTCCTTTGGGCACAGGCTATGACATTTGTGCCACTGTAGAACTGAATAGGAAATACAAGCAGTGCCATTCAACAGCATGACCACTTCCAAGGCTCACAGCAAAGCAGCTGATTATTGTATAAGAATCATATTTGGCCAATATGTCAGTGCCAGAAATGAGAGCTGGAACTGAATTCTCGATTCGAGAAACATAATCTAATAAATTCTTCAGCAGAGTTTATTTATTCAGAGAGAAAACAATCACAACAATAGCATATTTTGTCTGCTTACCTTGTAAGTATAGTTCTGAGTTTTTACACTTGTCATCTCATTTTTTCTTACAATATCAGCAATAAGGTTGATTGGATTACTAACCCCAGTTTGCAGATAAAGATTGCAGCTTAGAGATATTAAATATCTTCAAATCTCTCTGGCCATAAGACCTAAAACTGCATACAAAAATCTAAGAGACAGAGTTAGGACTCAAATCCATGTGTCCAGGGCTTATAATCACTATTCTGTACGATAGGCATGCAATTAAAGAAGACCTGCCTCAAACATTTTCTGTGTGACCTGAGGCAAGTCCTTTTATAGCTATAAACTAGGGACAATATTTGCTGTCATTTTTTCTACAAATGTCACAAAGAACAAATTTGAGCCTGTCGCTGTGAAAGAACTTAGCAAATGAAAGCATCCTAGGGAGTGTTTTAGATATCGATATTTTTATCCAATTAACTTTTCAAAATGAGTTTATTTGCTCACTGAAACTGAAGTACTTCAACGACGATTAAGAAAGTTTTACCTAGAACCACAATCAACAGTTTCTGGAATGCATCTGACAAAGCCTTCTCAATAGCAATCTGGGCTATCTTCCCTTTCATAGGAATGACAACGGTCTTAAATCCAACCCAAACTAATGGATTTAAGATGCCTATCTGAGTGATCATTGCTACATGTTGGTTAAAAAATAAAAATGCATCCACGAATCTTAGCTCATAATCTTCGTGATTAAAGGCAGACAGCACAAGGGTATGGTTGAACGTCTCTGTTATAGGTACATCCTGGCAGGGCCCATTTTTACTGCCTCCATCTAGTTGGGAAGTTCCTAAAGTACTAGAGGGAGACATAAGCCAAGAACCTGGCACATATCTCACATCACCCAGAGATTTAATTCATCAGTTAAGGCTACACTCCTATGGACCCCACCCTCCTATGCATCAAGGGCTGGAATCACTCACTGAAAAAAAGCTTTGTTGGCTGGACACGGTGGCCCATGCCTGTAATCCCAGCACTTTAGGATGCCAAGGCGGGTTGAGGCCAGGAGTTCAAGAACAGCCTAGCCAACGTGGTGAAACCCCATCTCTCCTAAAAATACAAAAATTAGCCGAGTGTGGTGGCACACACCTGTAATCCCAGCTACCTGGGAGTCTGAGGCACAAGAATAGCTTGAACCGGGAGGCGGAGGTTGCAGTGAGCCGAGATCATTCCACTGCACTCCAGCCTGGGTGACAGAGTAAGACTATTTTCAAAAAGAGGCCAGGCACAGTGGCTCATATCTGTAATCCCAGTACTTTGAGAGGCCAAGATGGGCAGATCACTTGAGGTCAGGAGTTTGAGACCAGCCTGAGCAACATGATGAAACCCTGTCTCTACTAAAAAATTTTTTAAAAATTAAAAATTGGCTGAGTGTGGTGGTGGGCAGGAGGGAGGTGAACTGCTTGAACCTGGGAGGTGGAGGTTGCAGTGAGCCGAGATCACACCGGTGCACTCCAGCCTGGGCGACAGAGCAAGACTCTGTCTCAAAAAAACAAAAAAGGTTTGGTACAGATAATCTGGCTCCTCCCTGGGCATCATCCATGAAAGCCTACTCCCCTCCATTAGCCTACAGCCCTGCCTCTGACTTCAAACCCTAAGCCTGAGGGCCATGAATACTAGAAAAAAATCTCAACGTCAGTTATCAATTGAGTACCCTTTCTAGTATCTCTAGTAGACTCTTGTTCCACTGAAGCCCTTCTACGAGTAAAAAAAAGGCTGAATGGGCCGGGCGCAGTTGCTCATGCCTGTAATCCTAGCACTTTCAGAGGCCAAGGCAGATGGATCACGAGGTCAGGAGTTTGAGACCGGCCTGACCAACACAATGAAACCCCATCTCTACTAAAAATACAAAGATTAGCCAGGCATGGTGGTGCATGCCTGTAATCCCAGCTACCCAGGAGTGTCAGGCAGGAGAATCACTTGAACCTGGGAGGTGGAGGTTGCAGTGAGCCGAGATCACACCACTGCACTCCAGCCTGCGCGACAGGGCAAGACTCTGCTTCAAAAAAAAAAAAAAGACAATGTTTACACAAAACTTTCTGTAAATCTTTACATGATGACTTGGCATGGTGGGTGGCTCATGCCTATAACTCCAGCACCTTGGGATCCTGGGGGAAGAGGATCACTTGAGGCCAGGAGTTTGAGACCAGGCAGGACAACACAGCAAGACCCCATCTCCAGAAAAAATAATTAGCCACATGTGGTGGCACACGCCTGTAGTCCTGGCTAGTCAGGAGGCTAAGGTGGGAGGATCCCTTGAGCCCAGCAGTTTGAGGTTGCAATGAGCTATGAGCATGCTACTGCACTCTAGCCTGGGCAACAGAGCAAGACCCTGTCTCTAAAAAATAATAATAAATAGATAAACAAATCTTTAGATAATTTTGTTGGGATAACTGAAGGCTATAAGAGATACATATTTGAAGGACTATTTTAGACGAGATTGGGCGCGTTCAGGGTGGTATGGCTGTAGACTTGAAGGACTATTTTAATACAAAGCAAGTTCTTAACCGAAAACTGGAAAAACATTACTTCCTTCTTCCTCCTACGCTTCTTGGCAGGAAGTACACTGTACAATTTTAAATTTAAAGGTTCTGGCCGGGTGGGGTGGCTCACACTTGTAATCCCAGCACTTTGGGAGGCCAAGGCAGGCAGATCACGAGGTCAGGAGATCGAGACCATCCTGGCCAACATGGTGAAACCCCATCTCTACTAAAAATACAAAAATTAGCTGGGTGTGGTGGTGGGCGCCTGTAATCCCAGCTACTCAGGAGGCTGAGGCAGGAGAATGCCTTGAACCCGGGAGGCGGAGGTTGCAGTGAGCCGAGATCACGCCACTGCACTCCAGCCTGGTGACAGAGCAAGACTCTCTCTCAAAATTAGTTAATTAATAAATCAATTTATTAAATAAATTTATTAATTAATAAATCAATGTATTAAATCAATTTATTAAAGCAATTTATTTACTTATTTAAAGGCTCTGTCAGGTATTGCCTAAGGTAAAAGTCTGTATTGTAAGACAGAAAACCTCTGCCCAGGACTTCAGTAGCTCAGAGAGGGAAAGGCTTGATATGTGTCTGAAAAGACAAGTTTTAGACAGCAAGAAAAAAGAGATCCTTCCCATTTCAACTCCTTACCCTCCTCTACCCCCAATGAAAACAGACCTTCCTTCGCCTTATCCACAGGCTCCTCCACCAAGCCAAGGCCAGACTCCTGCAATCATAGGATGGCAACACCACCTCTAAAGCACAGAACTTCAGGCTTTGCTTCGGAAGTGGCACCATGGTCTCTTCATTTTCCCTTTCTTCAAGGTCAGAAAACTGAAGCTGTTAGGAGTTTTAGTGTTAAGTTCCTTCCGAGGATGTTAATTAGGCTTCAAACTGTTTTGTTCTGAGAAATAAAAACTAAACTCCAGTCATTCAAGCTAACAGTTGAGGTGTTCTATGGCTTCAAAATCAAGTAAGATTTGTAAATGAATTGCTAGGTGCAACCATTACTTATTATATGCCACACAAACAGTGGAGAAAATTATGGACACCACCATCCAAGTGATTGAGATTATTAATTTTAGGTAGCAGGCCAATTCAGACATGTCCACTTATCCTCAATGGCAGGGGGCCTCTCACATCCCCTCCCTGTAACCCAGTTCAATACTTCTGTCTAAAGTCTAGAATTTCAATGTTGAAAGGAGAGCGTGGTTAGTGAGAGAAAATCCACAAAGTTTATCCTGATGATCCTTTCTGACCATCCATTGAAACCAAAGTAGTAATTCACCAGTTCTTGGCATCAGGAGCTGTTTCAGGCAAGGGCCTGATGTGCAACTGCCTTATGTCTGCTGCCAAGAGGAACCTAAAGTCACAAGAGACAGACCCACAAATATCACAGCCTGCCAGAGATTTTATTTTGGATACACCTGAGATTTATCAATACCAACTGTGCAAAGAAAAGAAATTGTTTCAGTCTTCCCATTCAGTAGCTCCTTCTTGAGAACATGACCTGAAGAATAGATAAGATGAACCCACCCATCCCCCACCCCAAGTTACCCCTGCTTAAAGAGGAAATACACATACCTCTATACATTTTACAAGCAACTAAAACAACTAGAGGTTCATCTGCATTTATAAGCTTCTTTGACAATGCAAATATCTACTGAGTGTTAATTCTTGAAATATTTTACACATTTCTGTGAATTTCTTACATCACCAGTTCTTTCTTATGTCTATTTCATTTTGTAAGTGTAGAATATGATTATATTCATGAAACTCAAATGATACAAATAGTCAAATTTATTGTATTAGAAATTAATAAGAATAGTAAAGTTAATTCTTTGTTGATTTGTTTATGCACCTTCCTCTGTCACTGGTTTATAAGCTCCATAAGTGCCAGAGGAAAACATATCTTATTCTTTTTTCATTCCCAGAACAAAGCACAGTTCTTGGCATACAATACAGGATAGATGATCTGTTGATTGAGTGAATGAATAAAACAATGAGCAAGTAAAAAATGAAATTACTTTTTCCCACTGAAGAGAAAGAGAAATGCTTGTTGGGAAGGAGAAATGAAGACTATTTTTTTTTTTTTTTTGAGACGGAGTCTCCCTCTGTCGCCCAGGCTGGAGTGCAGTGGCACGATCTCGGCTCACTGCAAGCTCCGCCTCCCGGGTTCACGCCATTCTCCTGCCTCAGCCTCCAGAGTAGCTGGGACTACAGGTGCCCCCCCACCACTGCCGGCTAATTTTTTGTATTTTTAGTAGAGATGGGGTTTCACCGTGTTAGCCAGGATGATCTCCATCTCCTGACATCGGGATCCACCCACCTCAGCCTCCCAAAGTGCTGGGATTACAGGCGTGAGCCACCACGCCTGGCAATGAAGACTAATTTTTAAACGTTGAGTGCTACCACGGAGACCAGCCTGTATCATGAGTCACAGTGGAGACTTTCGGAACATCTAGGAAACTTCAGAAGGGCTCTGAGCCCCTGGGTGGTACAGACAGTTGTCACCTTGGATAACGTTGCCACAGTTCTTGCTGGCGACCATTTCCCTTCATTTCACTGAAACAAAAACAAAAACAAAAAACCCTCACAGATGCCTTAGGCCTTTCCTTGATTTTAAAACATTATTCTCTTTTCTGTATTTATAAAAACCAAAAAAGACAGGAACTAGGTGCATGTGCTAAAGTAGAAAAGAACACTTAAGGCCAGGAGCAGTTGCTCATGCCTGTAATCCCAGCACTTTGGGAGGCTGAGGTGGGCAGACTGCCTGAGGTCAGGAGTTCGAGACCAGCCTGACCAATATGGTGAAACCCTGTCTCTACTAAAAATACAAAAACTAGCAGGGCGTGGTGGTGGGTACCTATAATCCCAGCTACTTGGGAGGCTGAGACAGGAGAATCTGGGAGGCGGAGATTGCAGTGAGCAGAGACCGGGCCATTGCACTCTAGCCTGGGGAACAAGAGTGAAACTCCACCTCAAAAAAACAAAAAATAAAAGGACCCTTAAACTAGATAACAGTGGGGGTCAAGTAGTAACCCAAGGCTCTGAGTTCAGTAAGTAAATAAATCTAATATGAATGCCCTCTCCTCTCACTCATCTATTAACTTGTAGAACATTTCCTTCATTACTGCATCAGCGATGAGCTTTATGCTGTGAAATTCTCAAAATCTAAAGCTTATGAAGTGGTCTCAAGGTCCAAAGCACACTAAAAACTCATTACTTACAAAATGATACCAAGTAACTGTTTCATCATCTTTACCGTACCTTTACCATATTTGAGTGGCTATGTGAAATGGTCACAGGTTAGAAACACATCATAGTCCAAAAGTTGAAGAATATTCCACAGGTAATCATTTCAGTCACAGGAAGTGGAACCAGGATTGAAGAGGGTGTTGAATAAGCTACAAAAGTGGGTATAGTATACCTGGAGTCATTACTAAGCAGAGTTCTCAGATTTGATCAAGGTTAATTCAATGAGAAATGGAATATATATAGACAATAGGCAACAAGATTAGCAGGAAGCAGTCAGATCAAGTAGCCAATCAGGAATTGAAATCGGTCCTTGAAAATGGAAAGGTGATTGAATTGAGGCATACAATGAGATATCCTTCTGTGGCTCTGGGAAAGTAAAATTGGTTGGCATGTTAACATGGAATAGGATTTCTACAAGGCCGCTTAAAGAATGTTTCCATCCTCTGAGAACTGAAGGGAGTTCCAAATAGGCAGTTTGTGACTGATGATGAGCATGTTGATGATAAAGTCTCCTTTATATAACAGCCGGCAGACGACTTGGTCACACCCACACATCTTAAATTCACATAAAGGTAAATATATGGTCAGGCGTGGTGGCCCACACCTGTAGTCTCAGCACTTTGGGAGGCGAAGGCGGGGGTGGATCATTTGAGGTCAGGAGTTCAAGACCAGTCTGGCCAACATGGTGAAACTCCATCTCTACTAAAATACAAAAATTAGCCAGGCATGGTGGTGCATGCCTGTGGTCCCAGCTACTCAGGAGGCCGAGGCAGGAGAATCACGTGAACCCGGGAGGCGGAGGTTGCAGTGAGCCAAGATCGCACCACTGCCCTCCAGCCTAGGCAACAGAGACTCCGTCTCAAAAACAAGTCAATATAGCTGGGCATGGTGGCTTGTACCTAGCTACTTAAGAGGCTGAGGCAGGAGGATTGCTTGAGGTCAGGATTTAGAGACCAGCCTGGGCAACACAGGGATACTCTGTCTCTAAAAAAATTTTAAGAAGTACCACCACCATGCCCAGCTAATTTTTTTTGTATTTTTAATAGAGACGGGGTCTCACCATGTTAGCCAGGCTGGTCTCAAACTCCTCACCTCAGGTGATCCACCCGCTTCAGCCTCCCAAAGTGCTGGGATTACAGGCATGAGCCACAGTGCCCAGCCGAGAACTTGCATTTCTAACAATTCCCAGATTGTGCTGTTTGGGGAACCATACTTTGAGAAACACTTCCCTATAACCTGATAGGTTATTTCCCCTAAGATCCAGATGAGTAAAAATTAATACACATTAGATGAAATTCCAGAAGTTATCTTCGAACTCTGCTACTCATTGAATGTCATGAAGATATTGGAAAAAAAAGAAAAAAACAAAAAACAACCTTGCTACTCAACGAGGGATTTGCTATTATCACGTTTCAGAGAAATTCAGAACCTCAGGCCTAAACGCAGGCCTACTAAATTAGGAACTGCAGTTTCTCACAATCTTCAGGTGATTTCTATGGTCATTAAAGTTTGAAAAGCTGCCTTGAAACAGTCCTTCCTAAAACTGAAGTGGAGGTGCCGCAAAAATCATCTGGTAAATTGTTTAAAGTAATCCCAAATGCAACTCAAATCTACAGAATCCCAGGTGAAGCTCAGTAATCTGTATTTTTATCCTTCTCCCCAAATAATTCTGATGTGCAGGCAAGTTTGAAAACCACTGCTTTAAAGAAAATGGATACTCCCCTTACCAAGCAGAAAGTAGGATTTTGGAAACTGATGCAAGGGAAGCAAAAAGATGCCTCAGGAGGCACGATTACAACAGGATTGATGCAAACGGAAGCTGAAGCTTAACCAAAGACATTAATATACGCCCACAAAAGAAAATGCTAAGGAAGTCAAGTGGTCTGCATGAATTCTGAAGAAAAATGGAGAACCAAAGAACAAAATTTGTCAATGAATTTCCAGCACAGTCTAGGTTAAGGGAGTGAATTTCTTGACTGAATGGCACAGACTCTGTACCACCTGATTGGCTGTTACCTTAATGGAGGAATTATATTACAATGTATAGGTACTTTAATTAGAATGACCTGGCAGTTACTGAGGCAAAATTTTCCGCTCCTTTGTATTCTGTAATACAAGAAGGATCTACATGGATGTTCTGTTCTCTGAACTGTCTGGATGAACCGGTCAATGGCACTCATCATACCTTAGTTTTTAAATCTGCATTGTGGTCATAATCTGTTATTTAATTAATTTCTCGTATTTTTAATAAAAACGTTGCCTATATATTTTAGACAGAAATTGCCTTACTTTGCTGAAATGCTGAGAAATCCTAGACAGTTTTCAAGGCTTGGCTCAAATGTCACCTCTACTACCCTTTGCTGTGCCTCCTGGCACTGTGCTTCTGACACTTTGTACGGTCCTCCATGACAGCGTGAGCACAATTATATTACAGGCAATTACTCATGCCCCCCTGGCTCAACTGTGGACTCCTTTAGAGCACAGATCATGTTTTATTTATTGTAGCAACTAAAACAATTATTTATTCAACCAATGACACCCATAAACAAAACTACCTGCAGAGGGCAGAGATGCAGGGGTAAAGTCATGCCAAGATTAAACCCCAGAAACCACTGTAGATTTTTCAGAGTTGACTCCTACGTTTTCAGACTTCTAGACTTCAAAAAACAACTCTCTATAAAATGTATGTTTCTAGAAGGAAGAAGTGTAACATTGTCCCCCATTTTTTTTTTTTTTGAGCTGGAGTCTTGCTCTGTCGACCAGGCTGGAGTGCAGTGGTGCAATCTTGGCTCCCTGCAACCTCCACCTCCCAGGTTCAAGCCACTCGCCTGCCTCACTTCAAGTAGCTGGGATTACAGGAGCCCACCACCACACCCGGCTAATTTTTATATTTTTAGTAGAGACGGGGTCTCACCATGTTGGCCAGGCTGGTCTCAAATACCTGACCTCAAGTGATCCACGTGCCTAGGCCTCCCAAAGTGCTGGGATTACAGGCGTGAGCCACCATGCCTGGCCTATAGAGTGCTTTCTATTTGCCAGACATTGTGCTAAGCACTTTAAAATGCATTATTTCATTTTATCCTCAGATCAGCTCCATAAAATAACTACATTACCTCTACATGTATATAGATATATGTATCTATATATACGTATATCTACATACATTGAAAGTCTCACCAGTGTTTTAACTTTTGCTTTCAACCACTATACATATTTTAAAGAGCTTAAGAGGAGAAACAACCGTTTGCGTTTTTAAATTTTCCCAGATACCATTTCTGCTGCTCTTTATCTCTGAAGTTCTAGTATTACCACTGGCATAATTTTCCTTTGGCCTAAAGACCTTCTTTTACTTTTATTTTAGAGCAGAACTTCCGCCAACACATTCTCTTAGATTTTCTTCATCCAAAATGTCTTTCTTCTTTTTCTTTTTGCCTTAATTGTTAAAGGGTATTTTTGCTGGATATAGAATTCTGGATTGACATTTCTCTCAGTACTTTAAAGATGTTCTGTAGTTACTTGAATCGCTGAAAGGCTTAAAGTTGGGGACTGGCTCTATCACATATACGTTTTATAGAAAGGTTCATTACTTTCATATCTTCATTGTGGACCATAGCCTTTATCATCACAAAATTTTGTCTCATTTATGAGTTTTTAAATTTTGCTTTGAACCTAAACTTTTATAACTCCTTTCTATTTCCTACAATGTGGAGTTTATCGCGGACAGCACAGGCAGTTGGAAATATATATCTGGAGTTTAGCAAAGAGGTCTAGGTAGGAAAATGGATCTACAAGTCATTGATATTTTGGCCGGGCGTGGTGGCTCATGCCTGTAATCCCTGCACTTTGGGAGGTTGAGGCAGGCTGATCACAAGGTCAAGAGATTGAAACCATCCTGGCCAACATGGTGAAACCCCGTCTCTACTAAAAATACAAAAATTAGCTGGGTGTGTTGGCACACACCTGTAGTCCCAGCTACTCGGGAGGCTGAGGGAGGAGAATCACTTGGACTCAGGAGGCAGAGGTTGCAGTGAGCCAAGATCATGCCACTGCACTCCAGCCTGGTGACAGAGTGAGACTCTGTCTCAAAAAAGTCATCGATATTTTGGTGGTAATTGAGTCAACTGTTAATTAGGGTAAAGTTGGGGAAACTAAATGCTGAGGACTATCACGTGTAAGAGGGATGTTTGAAGGAGGAATAACTGGTCAAGGAAATCGGGTCATAAGTGGCAACAGGAAATTTAAGAAGGATGTAGTAGTCAAAGGTATCATACATGCATTGTATATGTATGTAGATATATATCTTTCAATGTATGTAGATATACGTCTACATACATACACAATGTATGCATGTAGATATACATTGAAAGTATAGATACATATCTATCTACATACATTGAAAGTGTATATAGATATATACACACATACACACACACACATACATACAATTATAAGGGGGGGCTAGAATAAAGAAACCTATATGTTTGCAATACTTTTACATTTTATTTAGAGGTAAAATGCTAACTCTAAGTAGGCAGGTTAGGTATATATTTTGTAATTCCTACAGCAAAAACATAGCACAGATATAACCAAAAGCCAATTAATAAAACATAACACTAAAAAATATTCAGTTAATCCAAAAATAGGCAGAAAAAAGAAACAGAAGAAACCCCCCAAAAAAGAAATAATCAGAAAACAAATAATAAAAAGGAAACCTAAATCCAATCATTATCAATCATATTAAATGTAAATGGTCCAAAACACATTAATTAAAAGACGCTGTCAGATTACATTTAAAAGAAAAACGAAAAAACAAGAAACCATTTGAAAATATAATGATATGGCCAAGTATGGTGGCTCATGCCTATAATCCCAGCGTTTTGGGAGGCTGAGGTGGGCAGGTGGCTTGAGCCCAGGAATTCAAGACCAGCCTGGGCAACATGGCGAAACCCCATCTCTATTTTTACAAATTAAAAAATAAATGAATATCATGATATCTAGATTAAAAGCAAAAGGGTAGAGAAAGATGTCATTTTAACACTAGTCAAAAACAGTATTATACTACTAATATAGAACACTAATTTTATATTAATATTAAATAATTTTTTTTTCCCCCGAGATGGAGTCTTGCTCTGTTACCCAGGCTAGAGTGCAATGGCATGATCTTGGCTTACTGCAACCTCTGCCTCCCGGCTTCAAGCAATTCTCTGGCCTCAGCCTCCCAAGTACTTGGGATTACAGGCAGCTGCCACCGTGCCTGGCTAACTTTTGTATTTTTAGTAGAGACGGGGTTTCACCATCTTAGCCAGGCTGGTCTCGAACTCCCGACCTCAGGTGATTCACCTGCCTCAGCCTTCCAAAGTGCTGGGTTTACAGGCATGAGCCACTGCACCTGGCCTGTTTGGGTTTTTTTTTTTTTTTCTTTTGAGATGGAGTCTTGCTCCGCTTCCCAGGCTGGGGTGCAGTGGCGTGATCTCGGCTCACTGCAATATCCAACTCCTGGATTCAAGTGATTATCTTGCCTCAACCTTCTGAGTAGCTGGGACTACAGACGTGTGCCACCACACTAGGCTATTTTTCTCTTTTTAGTAGAGATGGGGTTTCGCCATGTTGTCCGGTCTGGACTCGAACTCCTGACCTCAGGTGATCCACCCGCCTCGGCCTCCCAAAGTGCTGGGATTACAGGCATGAGCCACCATGCCTGGCCAAATAATGGTTTTTAATATAATTATTATTACCAGAAATAAAGGTTATTTCAGAATGACAAAGGGGTCAAATAATCGAGGACAAAACTGTAAATGTTTCTGCATCTAATAACAGTGCCTCAAAATACAGGAAGCATAAACAGACAGAATTTCAAGGAGAAAGAGAACAAACCCATAACAATAGTTGCAGACTTCAACACTCCTTTCTCAGTAATCACTAGAACAAGCAGACAGGAAATCAGCAAGGATAGGGAAGACCTTAACACGATCAACCAACTTGACCTAATTATTATTTATGAAACACTTTACCTAACGGCAGCAGAACACATCTTTCCTATTACAAACTGAACATTGACCTAAACAAACAATGTTTCAGGCCATATACAAACCTCTACATTTTTTTTAATTCATCATAATGAGTATGTTCCCTAACCATAATGGAATTAAATTAGAAACCAACAACAAAGATGTCTGGGAAATCCCTAAATGTTTGAAAATTAAACAATACGTTTTAAAACAAATCATGGGTCAAAGAGTAAGTCATAGTAGAAATTTTACAATATTGTGAACCAAATGAAAATGAAAATAAAACATGTATCACAAATTCTAAGATTTGTTTTTAAAAGTGCACAAAGGGGCTGGGTGCACTGGCTCATGCCTGTAGTCCCATCACTTTGGGAGGCCAAGGCAGATGAATCACCCGAGGTCAGGAGTTCGAGACCAGCCTGGCCAACATGGTGAAACCTCATCTCTACTAAAAATACAAAAATTAGCTGGGCGTGGTGGTGGGCGCCTGTAATCCCAGCTACTTGGGAGGCTGAGGCACGAGAATAATTTCAACCTGGGAGGTGGAGGCTTCAGTGAGCCAAGATCGCACCACTGCACTCCAGCCTGGGCAACAGAGCAAGATTTTGTCTTTAAAAACAAAAACAAAAAAATGCATAAAGGAGCACAGTGGTTTAGCCTGGAATCCCAGCACTTTGGGAGGCCAAGGCAGGAGGATTGCTTGAGCAAAAAAATTCAAGACCAGCCTGGGCAGTATAGTGAGAACTCATCTCTATTTAAAAAGAAAGAAAGAAAAATCAAAGAAAATGAGGTATATATGCACAAGAGGATATTATTCAGCCATTTAAAAAGTGAAGTCATCTATAAAGCTTAAGGTTTGGAAAATAAAATCTGTTTGCAGCAACATGGATAGAACTGGAGGACATTATGTTAAGTGAAATAGGCCAAGGGCAGAAAGACAAGTATCACATATTCTCATTCATATACGAGAGACTAAGAAGTTGATTTCATGGAGATAGGCAGTAGAATGATGGTTACCGGGGGCTGGGAAGCAGGTAGGGATGAAGACAAGTTGATTCATGGGCATAAAAATTCAGTCAGATAGAAGGAATACGTTTTAGTTTTTGTTTGCACAGTAGGGTGACTAGAGTCAACAATAACTTAGTGTATATTTTAAAATAGCTAGAACATTTGTTATCTTCCCAATACAAAAAAAAAGGATAAACATCTGAGATGATGGATACCCTAATTAACCTGATTTGATCATTACACACTGTATGAATCTATCAAAATATTACATGTACCCTTATAAATATGTACACTCTACCTTAAGGAAACAGTGAAAAAAGAAGGTGTGGAACAACGACCACAACAAAATCAAAGAGGAAACTCTTTGTGAACTTGGGTTTGTCAGGCCAGGAATCAGCAAACCATGGCCAATCCACTACCTGTTTTTGTAATAATCAAAACAATATAATTGATAATTTGTAAATTATGTGAAATTCAAACTGCAGTGTTCATAAAGTTTTATTGGAACAGCTATTATTCATTTACATATTGTCTATGGCTGCTTTCATTGCTACAATGGCAGAGCTGCAACAGGGACAGCAAGGCTGAAATATTTACTATCTGACCTTTTACAGAAAAAGTCTGGCAAGGTCTGGGTTAGGTAAAGTTGTTAGATGAACACCAAATGTGTAAAAGAAAAAATGTGGTAAATCAGACTTCATCAAAATTTAAAACTTATGCTCTGGGAAAAAGACACCGCTAAGACAATGAACAACAAGGCACAGATGGGGAGAAAATGTATGAACATCACACAGCCTAACAAAGCACTTATATCCAAAATATATAAAGAACTCTTACTACCCAATAGTAAGAAATTGGCCAGGCATGGTGGCTCATGCCTGTAATCCCAGCACTTTGGGAGGCCAAGGTAGGCAGATTGCTTGAGCTCAGGAGTTCAAGACCAGCCTGGGCAACATAGCGAAACCCCATCTCTATTAAAAATACAAAAATTAGCCACACATGGTGGCATGCATCTGTGGTCCTAACTACTTCGGAGGCTGAGGTGGTGGGAGGATCACCTTGAACCTGGGGTCGGGGGGAATGACAGGCTGCAGTGAGCCAAGATCATGCCACTGCACTCCAGCGTGGGTGAAAGAAGGAGACTCTGTCTAAAAAAATAAAAGAGGCCTGGCGTGGTGGCTCACGCCTGTAATCCAGCACTTTGGGAGGCCGAGGCAGGAGGATCACGAGGTCAGGAGATCAAGACCATCCTGGCTAACATGGTGAAACCCCGTCTCTACTAAAAATACAAAAAATTAGCTGGGCGTGGTGGCGGGTGCCTGTAGTCCCAGCTACTTGGGAGGCTGAGGCAGGAGAATGGTGTGAACCCGGGAGGGGGAGCTTGCAGTGAGCCAAGATCGCGCCACTGCACTCCAGCCTGGCGACACAGCGAGACTCCGTCTCAAATAAATAAATAAATTAATTAATTAAATAAAAGAAGAATAACAATAAAGAAAGCAACCCAATTAAACATCTTAAATAAAGATTTTGGTATCTTGGCCAGGCATGGTGGCTCATGCCTGTAATCTCAGCACTTTGGGAGGCCGAGGCAGGCAGATCGCTTGAGCCCAGGATTCGAAATCAGTCTGGGCAACATATCAAAACCCCATCTCTATTAAAAAAAAAAAAACTAGCCAGGTGTGGTGGTGCGCACTTGCAATCCCAGTTACTTGGGAGGCCGAGAGGTGGGAGGATGGCTTGAACCCAGAAGGTGGCGGCTGCAGTGAGTGGTGACTGTGCCACTGCTCTCCAGCCTGGGCAACAGAGCAAGACTCTGTCTCAAAAAAAAAAAAAAAAGATTTTAGTATTTTTCCATAAACAATGATATACAGATGGCAAATCAAAAGATGCACATAAAAAGAGGCTCAGAACCATTAGTCATTAGGGACAAGGAAATTAAAACCAGAAGAAGCTACCACCATATACTTATTAAGGTGGCAAAAAAAAAAAAAAAAAAACTTGAGGCCGGGCGCGGTGGCTCACGTCTGTAATCCCAGCACTTTGGAAGGCCGAGGCGGGCGGATCACGAGGTCAGCATATCGAGACCATCCTCGCTAACATGGTGAAACCCCGTCTCTACTAAATATACAAAAAAATTAGCCGGGCGTGGTGGCGGGCACCTGTAGTCCCAGCTACACAGGAGGCTGAGGCAGGAGAATGGCGTGAACCCGGGAGGCGGAGCTTGCAGTGAGCCGAGATCGCGCTCCAGCCTGGGTGACAGAGCCAGACTCCATCTCAAAAAAACAAAAACAAAAACAAAAACAAAACCTGACAATATCAAGTGCTAGGGAGGATACAGGGCAACCGGAACTCTTCATACATTTGCAGGTAAGAATGCAAAATGGTACAGCTACTTTGGAAAACAGTTTTGGCAGTTTCTTATAAACATACAACCCAGAAATCATACTCCTAGGTATTTACTCAAGAGAAACAAGAATTGTGTTCAGACAAAAAACATTATGGAAATGTTTACGGCAGCTTTATTCATAGCTGCCACAAACTAGAAATAATTGAAATATTCAACTATTGAACAGATAAATGCACTGTGATACACTCATATAAGGGACTGCTACTCAGCAATAAAAAAACTACTGATACAACAACATAGATGAATCTTAAATACATTATGCACTGTACACGTATAAACTAAAAAATTAAAATACCTTTTTAAAAGTCAAACAGGCCGGGCGCGATGGCTCACACCTGTAATCCCGGCACTATGGGAGGCCGAGGCTGGCGGATTACCTGAGGTCAGGAGTTCAAGACCAGCCTGGCCAACATGGTGAAACCCTGTCTCTACTAAAAATACCAAAAATTAGCCAGGCGTAGTGGCGGGCGCCTGTAATCCCAGCCACTCAGGAGGCTGAGACAGGAGAATCGCTTGAACCTGGGAAGCGGAGGTTGTGGTGAGCTGAGATCGCGCCACTGCACTCCACCCTGGGCAACAAGAGCGAAACTCTGTCTCAAAACTAAATAAATAAAGTCAAACAGTACATGAAAAAATAATATGATTAAGAGAGGTTCACTGCAAGAATGTAAGGGTGAATCAATATAACATCTAGTAATATAATTCTATGAATATACACTACTGTAATTAATATGTAGCATGCAGGACGAAAACTATATGATCATCTCAAAAGATGCTCAGGTGTCATTTAACAAAATATAATAGCCATATCTGATTTAAAAAAAAAAAACTTAAACAGAAAAAAAATTGAAATAGGTGAATATACTCAACACACTAAAGGTCTCAAACCAACAGTTAACCATTAAATATCTGCATCAGTTCCATTAAATTGGGATAGCATACTAAGATGCCTATCATTATAACTAACATTTGACATTGTTTTGGAGGAGGTGGTAGGGAATGCAATTTTTTTCTTTTTTCTTTATTACCCAGGTTCCCATCAATGGTAAAGGCAATGTAATTTGAAGAGAAAAAGGAGATATAAATATAAGAAAATCAGATGTGTACATGATTCATGTTTGCAGATGACACAACTTTATTCCTAGAATAAAGTTATTCCAATCAAAGCAAAAGCTACAAGAAACAATTAGAAAAAAGAATAGGTGGCTGAATTCAAAATTAATTTTTTAAATTAATGAGTTTTCAACTAGAAGTCCCCTAGCAGAGCAGGTATTTTCATAGACAAATTAAAGATTAAATAAGATATCATGGCATAAGTGAAAATATTTAGCAAATAAATTATACTTCATCCAATTTTGTAAAAAGTACGTACATATACATGTGCCAGGTGCGGTGGCTCACGCCTATAATCCCAACACTTTGGGAAGCTGAGGCGGGCGAATCACCTGAGCTCAGGAGTTCGACACCAGCCTGGGCAACACGGTGAAACTCCATCTCTATTAAAAAATACAAAAAATTAGCTGGGTGTGGCAGCGAGCACCTGTAGTCCCAGCTACTCAGGAGGCTGAGGCAGGAGAATCGCTTGAACCTGGGAGGTGGAGGTTGCAGTGAGCCGAGATCGCGCCACTGCACTCCAGCCTGGGTGGCAGAAGAGAAAAAAAGAAAAAGTATGTACTTTTTTGCTCAAAAGAAAAAAAAAAAGGTATGTATGTATGTACACATGTCCACCCAAAGATGGTTAACTAATGAGAGGAACCAAAATATTAATGTTCTGGGTTTTCTAAATTTTCTACATTACTTTCCTGATAAAGGGAAAAAGCAAAAATAAAATGTAAAGGTTTTTTTTTTTTTTTTTTTGAGATGAAGTCTCACTCTGTCACCCAGGCTGAAGTGCAGTGGCACGATATCGGCTCACTGCAACCTCCGCCTCCTGAGTTTAAGCGATTCTCCTGCCTCAGCCTCCCAAGTAGCTGGGACTACAGGCACCTACCACCACGCCCGGCTAATTTTTTGTATTTTTAGTAGAGACGGGGTTTCACCATGTTGGCCAGGCTGGTCTCGAACTCTCGAGCTCAGGCAATCCACCCGCCTTGGCCTCCCAAAGTGCTGGGATTACAGGTGTGAGCCACCACGCCTGGCCAAAATTTAAAGGTTTTACTAGATTTCCAGAAGCATTATTTATGAAAGTCAAAGCTTTTTTCCTAAACTAATTATCGAAATCACAGACTAAAGAATGTCAAGAGCTCAAAAATGGGGTGAACAAACTATGGCCGGCCACAGCCTGTTTTTGGAAATAAAGTTTTACTGGAACACAGCCACACTCATTTGTTTACTTATTGTCTATGGCTGCTTTCATCCTACAAGGGCCGAGCTGAGCAGCTGTGACATAGCCAGGTGGCCTGCAAAACCTAAAATATTTACTAATTGGTGCCCTAAGAACAAGTTTGCCAATCCCCTGACCATTAGATCATCTAGTCCATCCTATACTGTACAGGTGAGTAAACTGAGGTCCACACAAGAATGACTTCTCTATGGTCCAAACTCAAGTTAAGTAAGAAGCAAGGAAGACTCCATTTCCATGGTACTTTCCACCACTTGGCCAGGAAACTCTCAAAACAGACATCCTGCTGTTTGGGAGGTAAACCTCAGGGTCTCATATCACATCGCAAGTGAGTGTATTTGCCAATATATTGATGAGAAGAGGACTTTGGGCCTAGTCAGTATCCAAGAACAACTGCTAAAGGTCTGAGTAAACCTTAGTAGACTAGAAAAAGTTAATTTAAAAACCACACAGGCCAGGCGCAGTGGCTCACGCCTGTAATCCCAGCACTTTGGGAGGCCCAGGCGGGCGGATTGCCTGAGGTCAGGAGTTTGAGACCAGTCTGGCCAACATGGTGAAACCCTGTCTCTACTAAAAATACAAAAAAATAAGCCGGGTATGGTGGCATGTGACTGTAATCCCAGCTACCTGAAAGGCTGAGGCAGGAGAACTGCTTGAACCAGGGAGGTGGAGGTTGCAGTGAGCCGAGATCACACCACTGTATTCCCGCCTGGGTGACAGAGGGAGACTCCATCTCAAAAAACAAACAAACAAACAAAAAACAAACAAGCAAACAAAACACATAAGCACAGACTAGGGAAGGTTTAAAAACAAACAGATGCTGAGAGTATAATCTGGTTCAGTCTTTTAAATAGCACACACTGTAACCCAACAATCCAATCCCACTCCTAGGAACCTACCCTACAGAAACACCAGCTTAAGTGACTAAAGATACATCTCTAGCATATTTAAGACAGCACTGTCTGTAAAAGCAAAAAGGGCCTGAATTCTAGGCAAATAAATATTATCAGCAAATGCAGTTATGTGTTAATAAAGAAGGGGGCACTTCATGCCTTTACCTTACAGAGGGTCCTGACCTTCTGCGCATGTAAATTTGTGACCCTTGCCATAAACAATTTCCACTGTTAGGTTTCTTCCGAGACAGAGAAGATTCACAACTCATGCCATTAAGGCAGTTAAGGACAACCAATATACCTGGAAGACGGTAATCTTCCAAGTTACAGAGGATCAGAAATCCAATGCATTTCACCTGGATAATTCAGACTCAAAAGTTCAAATATTTATCTGAAATTACAGTAAAGCCACTTTAAAACTTTTTATTCTTTGTGCAGCACTTTGAAAGCACAGTACAGTCATAAGGTGGAGAAATGAGTAACTTACTGAATGAGACTTTCAGAAGTGTGTGAAATAGTTTTCATGTCTACAAAAACAGGGAAAACTGCACTTTCTTTCTAGTTGTTCTCTTGATTACTGTGAGAAGAGTGTTGAAGTCTACAATATTGTTAAGGATGTGTCTGTTTCTCCTTGGAGTTCTATGAGTCCTCATGTATTTTGAGGCTCTGTTATTAAGTTCATAAACCTTTAGGAAGGATTGTTTTTGGATGGGCTAAGATATTATTCGCTATTTTAAATGTTGGACCATCTCTTGAGACAAATATCCAAGCAAGAATTAGAGAGGAAAAAGGATAAGAGAAATTCCACACAGATTAATATATGCATTTCTGAAATACTTTTTAACTTCCATAAATAGAATATACACACAGACCTCAAAAGAGGCACTATGAACATAGTGAAATTGAGCAAGAAGCCATTATTTCTAGTAAATCATATAAACTGCACCTACTGAATGTTGCCATTTGGTATGAATCACATGGCCAAGCCGTTTCCCAAGTGTGGGAATTACAGAACATATCCATGAGTAGAGAGGAGTCTAAGCATAACTTTCTTAGCAAATCTCAGGGGGGTTCCACAGACAAATAATTTGGCCAGTGACTCCTGCGTAAGAGGTTTTATATAGGAGAACCCAGACACACTACGACATACTAACATCTCACAATTCAGTTTGCATATCAATATTTACACTTTTATAACACTGAAATTCTCTGAGTTATCAAATTTAATTTCTCAACCAAAAGTCTCTGAATCCTAATCCTTCCTTCCCTTCTGGCCTACATATATGACTCTTAGCTTACTTTTACCAGGACTGTGGCAGATTTTCTAACTATGTGTTAACTGACTGCCTCTTCACCCTACCACCAAGAACAACAAATAATGGAAAGTCATCTCACACATGACCCCAAATCTTATTGCAGAAATGCAATACCATCACATACACAAATAATGCTGGGCCCAGAGTCTCCACAAAGGAGGACCTCACTCAGCCAGACCGCTGGGGCTACCCAAGCTGTGCAGGATTTAGGGCAAATAAAAGGCTAGAAAAGGAGATGTTAGGTAAATTCTCACTGGTCTAACAGAGGCAGACTGACTACAGTGAGTCCAGGAGAACTTTCTGTAATGATATGAAATGCCCCAAATGCTCTACCTTTGTGTGGTGCAATACACGTGGCTACAGAGCACTTGAAATGAATGTATAACAGCTAGTGCCACTGGAGAAACTGAAGTTTTCATTTTACTTAATTTTTTTTTTAAGAGATGGGTTCTCACTCTGTCACCCAGTCTGGAGTGTGGTGGCACAGTCCATAGCTGACTAGAGCCTCAAACTCCTGGGCTCAAGCAATCCTCCCACCTCAGCCTCCCAAGCAGGTAGAACTACAGGCATGCCATCCTATGCCCAACTATTTTAATTCTTTTGTGAAGACAGGGTTTTTACAAAACCCTGTTGCTCAGGCTGGTCTTTAACTGATGCCTCAAGTGATTTCCCACCTCAGCCTCCCAAAGTATTGAGACTACAGGTGTGAGCCACCACACCTGGCCTACTTAGTTTTAATTAATTTAACTCTCCACATGTGGCTAGTAGCTACCATACTGGACAGTACAGAGGATGAAAACAACCCACAGGCTTTATTTGACTCAACATTCAGTTCCACAATTACCTGTGCTGCCTACTGCATTCAAGAGATTTAACCAGGCACTCCAGAGACTGAATGGGACTTTCCCTGCCCAAAGTAGGTTGTAATGAAGGAAGGGCCAGATCATTAAAAGGCCATTTCAGTTCCACCTCTTAACAGATATAGATATAGATAAAGGGGTTAAATAATTAAGAGGATAAAACAATCCTTCCTAAAGGTTTATGGACTTTAGGAAGGAGCCTCAAAATACATAGATGCAGAGCCTCAAAATACGTGAAGATTGCTAGAACTTCAAGGAGAAACAGACAAATCCTTCACAATAGCTGTAGACTTCAACACTTCCCTCAGTAATCAACAAAACAAGTAGAAAGTCAGACAGATCTTAATAACACTATCAACAAACTTGACGTAATTGATATTTATGCAATACTCCACCCGACAAGAGCAGAATACAAAATTCTTTTCAAGTACATATGGAATATTCACTTAGACTGACAAAATTTTGGGGTGCAAAACCTCTAAAAATGTTTTACAAAATTAAAGTCATACAAAGTATGCTCTCTGAACAAAATGAAATTAAATTAGAAACCAGTAACTGAAAGATACCTAAAAAAAAAAATCCCCAAATATTTGGCTAAAACAATTAATGCACGAGGTCCTGGAGGTTAAGGGGGTGGGAAACAAAGGAACTCAGCCCCAACTGGGGGTAAAGGGAATGGTGATCAGAGAAGGCAGGCTGGAGAGGGTGATGGATGGGTGACTAGGAGGTGGGTCTGTGAGAACTACGAAGAAATAAGTATTACTAGATCAATTTGAGATGAAGAGAAGAAATAAGGAGTGAACAAGGAAAAGAGAAATAAGGGGGATGTAAAAAGTAAAGTAGAGGTTCCTCTTCAAGACTTTCCTCTCTAATTAAGAATAAATAGTAACTTCTCTTAGAAGCAAAATTTATTCAAAGACCTGTGCTAACATTCTTAAATATCTGCTAGCCATAATAAAGAAATCAATGTACTTTATGTTCTTAGCTCCCACAATTTAGCCTAAATATTTGCCCTGGCACGCTTAGGCTGGTCCAAGCAAGCATTAGGTCATAGCCTGTTCCTCTTCCTTATTTAAAAGTGTTTTTACCTTTCTCAACATTCCACAAGTTACTTCCTCCTTCCTTTGTTCCCCTCTACCTTTGCCTCTTTTAAAAAGTTCTAAGTTACTAACCAATCGGGACAAATACAGAATGTGAGGTCCCGTTCCAGCCAAAGGAAACCGGAAACAGCAGTAAGGTAGATGCGTCAGGTTATAAATGACCCTATCTCCTTTGTTGGGTGTACTCTCATGGCAAAACTGCCCGTGAGTGTACCCTTTCTGCAGGAAGTAAAAATGGCCTTACTAAGTAAACTAAATTTATGTTCAAGTGCTGTTTCTTCACGGCACCGGGGAACAAGCATTTCAAACAGGAGATTTAGAAGTCAGTTCATCCTTGACTCCTTTCCTCCCGCTCACCACATCCCAGCCTAACCAATCTATCTCATTCAGGATTCATTCTAATGCCTGAATTATTTTCTGCCAGGTGCTGTGGCTCACACCTGTAATCCCAGCACTTTGGGAGGCCAAGGCGGGTGGATCACTTGAGGTCAGAAGTTCAAGACCAGCCTGGCCACTTGAACCGAGGAAGAGGTTGCAGTGAGCCAAGGTCATGCCACTGTACTCCAGCCTGGGCGACAGAGTGAGACTCTGTGTCAAAAAAAAAAAGAAAAGAAAAGAAATTAAAATTGAATTTGCAATAATCCAGCAAATAATCCTATTTATATACCTAAGAGAAATGAAAATATATGTATAGATAAAAACATGTACACGAATGTGCTCAGCAGCATTATTCATAATAGCCAAAAAGTGGAAACAGTTCAAATGTCCATGAACTTACGAAATGGATAAGCAAAACATGGTCTCTGGGCACAGAGGTGTGTGCCTGTAACTCTAGCTACTCTGGAGGCTGGAAGGCTGAGGCAGGAAGCCTGAGCCCAGGAGTTTCAGGTCAGCCTGGGCAACATTGCAAGACCCTGTCTCCATTTAAAAAAAAAAAAGTGGTACAGCCATACAATGAAGTGTTATTCAAATATAGTACTGATACATGCTAAGATATGCATAAACCTTAAAAACAGTAGGCTAAATGACAGAAGCCATACATTATATGATTCCACTTAATAAGAAATGTCCGTAAGAGGCAAATCAACAGCAAATGAACGTAATTACTGGCTGCCAGGGGAGAGCAGGAGGGAGGTGAAGAACAGGGAGTGACGCCATAGGCATGGGCTTCTTTTGCAGGGGCGTAAAAACAAGCTGGAATTAGGTAGTGTTAATGGTTGCACAACTCTGTCAATACACTAAAAAAAACCACTAAATTGCATACTTTACAAGGGTACATTTTACAGTATGTAAATTATATCTCCATAAAGCTGTTACCTTTTAAAAACTGAATTTTCATAAATATTGCTTGAAAATCATTCTGCAATTTAAAAGATGTTCAATAAATGTTAACTATTACTGTCGCTATTTTTAAAATGTGACACTCTCAAAATAATATTTGAATATAACTATCAAGAAAAACATAAAAATTGTAGATATATACCAGCAGACAAAACAATTGAAACATTATATTTACACGCATTTTAATTCTTTCTATATGGTCACTTTCGATCTTTTAAAGTGTATTTTAATGTATAATTTTTTTTTAAGTTAAGAAACATGCTGCCTCCTGATGCTTATGTTAAAGAACCAAAAGCATGAAAAAAACTAGAGGCCGGGTGTGTTGGCTCAGGCCTGTAATCCCAGCACTTTGGGAAGCCGAGGCAGGTGGATCACGAGGTCAGGAGTTCAAGACCAGCCTGGCCAACACAGTAAAACCCTGTCTCTATTAAAAAGTACAAACATTAGCCGGGTGTGGTGGTGGGCGCCTGTAGTCCCAGCCACTCAGAAGGCTGAGGCAGGAGAATAGCTTGAACCCAGGAGGTGGAGGTTGCAGTGAGCTGAGATTGTGTCACTGCACTCTAGCCTGGGCGACAGAGTGAGACTCCATCTCAAAAGAAAAAAAAAATAGAATAATTAGTGTCAGTGTTAAGCTAGTGCTGAGATCATAACCACTGTCAACAGGCACTCAAAGAGAAGGAAGAACAAGGTGCGCAACAGGACTCAAGGAAGATCTCCCAGGAAGAGGGATTCGAGCCTGGCTAAGGAGCAGGAAGGGAAAAGGGCATCAGCTAGGATTTGTTCCTGTGTCACCCAGATTACCACTTGCTCACCATGACTACCACTCTCTCACCCCCATGTCTCCATCATTAAGGGTCTTTAGTCAAAGGGAAGACACAGGGTCTTGAGGACTGAGGAAAGGAGGACCTAACAGAAGAGACCAGAGCTCCTGGTCTTAACATCCCCAGTCCTGTTATATGCATGTTTCAACACAAACTTCCAAACATGCCCATGGGTGAGCAGAATTGAACAGCACGAACTGTATGCAAGACTATTTATCACTGCGTAACTAGGACATGCCTCTCCACTACTCACAAATCATGTTGCCCAACTTTTTCAAAACCCTTTTGGCTCTCACTTTAATTATCATGTTTAATCTCTTGAGGTACTGATACCTGAAAACAGATGTCATTAATTTCCCTTATAATCTTGACCTCCCTATTGTTACTGAAAGTACTACCATTCTTAGGGAGGTGTAGGTGATGCATTCCTCTCTCTACATTCTATGTGTCAAGGCCAGAAGAACTCTAGAGTACCTCCTGGACTGATCTTCCATTTAGGACTACAAAACCCACCAGCTATCTTGTCCTTGTCAATCCATCCTGCAGAACAGAAGCTATGCTTCAAGATCTTCTGATCATCCCAATACCCAAAATTAAACAGATTCGAAACAGATTTGAGAGAGAGGGCTACACCAGTGGTTCAACAGCATCTCTGTAATTTGATGTGGTTCTGTTTCATGTTTATGCATGGTGCTGCTGGGAATACAGCATATCTTCTCGGGGTGTCAGGAGTGAAAAAGGCCTGAGGATCACGATCCAGCCCAATCCCTATTCTACAGAAGAGGGGGAAAGTACAGTTGCTATAGCCTGATCCTCTAAGTACTGCCCAACACAACATACAAGGGAGTTTTGATTAATTTCCTATTCACACACTCAGGCTCTTGTTACACCGAGTTACTTGAGACTGCCCACACTTTACTATCAGTGCCTGCCGCTCCCTCCCGCTCTCTCCCCCTCCCTCCCTCAATCTGCCTGTCCTTACTCTCCACATGCCCATCCAGGAAGCCTACACCCACACCAATCCCCTTAAACAGGGTATATAATCTCACCCTCCTTTAAATGCCCACTGCACTTTGTACCTCACTTGTAACGATCAGAAATTATACTGAAAAGATATTAAGTTGACACTGGTGGGAATAATATTGTCAAACCAGTGACAAATTCTGTTTGAGGTAAATCTATGGTTCATTGATGGCATCTCTGCCACTGATCTCCACTGTCACAATCCTTAGAGGACATAAATCACTAACTGTCCCAGGATAACACCAGGGCTTTTGTTTTATGAAGTCATCAGAGGTTCCAAGTTTTAAAATTCCAGGTAAGTATTCTCAGAAGTCTCACATAAGACTGAGACTGAAACACAAGAACCATTCTGTTTTACATACAATTTCTTAAAATTAGCAAATGCTTAATTTCAAAGTGCTGTCAGAACTTTACCAAATGCCTATTGAAAACACTTCCTATATAATCCTTCTCATTATATCGGCAATGTCATAAAATCTATAGGCTGAAGTAATTCTAAATTTAAAAAGTAAAAATAAATTAAAGCATTATTCAGCCATATGCTTTCGGCTAAAGCAAAACTAGGTGGTTGCAATTTTATACTAAAAAGTTGTCATCCTTACATTTTTTCCATAAAAGGAAAACAATCTTCAATAAATAAACCTTTCATGACTTTAGTAATATCAATTAATGCCTCTGCATTGTTATATAACCTACAAAATACTGAGTTATTTCTTATATTAGGAGTTATTTCTTATGTTAGGAATGTCACATGTCAGTAATTAAGCCAACGCTGTAAACTATAAAAATTAATCAAATTACTCTAAATTACCAATAAAGTAAATTCCTCTTTCAGCCTTTGCAGTACAACAGGATTCAAATTCATCAATCATACTTCTTTGTGTGTTATTCAGATATCTTAAACCAGTTCTAAAATTTTTTTCTTCCATCTACACATTTACCTGACAGCCTTCCACCCAGGAAGTACAGACTATAAAACCAATGAAACTAGTACTTAGCCTAAACAACTCACTGTCACGCGTTGTTACTCATTCGAGGCAAGTGGGCATGTTCTAAAAGTTTGGAACTCAAAATGTCACTCACATCCGGGGGGTGGGGGGCGAGGGGAGGGAACTTAAAGAGTGGGTCAATAGGTGCAGCAATCCACCATGGCACACGTATACCTATGCAACAAACCTGCACGTTCTGCACATGTACTCCATTTTGTTTTTAGAAGAAATAAGGAAAAAAAAAAGTCACATCCATTTTACCATAATCTTAAGAAATAATGCTTTGCAAAAGGTAAAACATCCAAATTAACATCACAGCCAATAAAGGAAAACGCCTGGCAAGCAATATGAAATAGCAACTCAAAAACAAAGTAACTCTTGCAATGAAAAACATTCACTGGGCCAGGCCAGGTGGCTCATGCCTGTAATCCTAGCACTTTGGGAGGCTGAGGCGGGCGGATTGCCTGAGTTCAGGAGTTCAAGAACAGTGTGGGCAACATGGTGAAACCCCATCTCTACTAAAATACAAAAAATTAGCTGGGTGTGGCAGCGTGCACCTGTAGTCCCAACTACTCAGGAGGCTGAGGCAGGAGAATTGCTTGAACCCGGGAGGTGGAGGTTGTGGTGAGCCAAGATCGTGCGTGCCATTGCACTCCTCCCTGGGCAACAGAGCGAGACATTCACTGATCAAATTGTCCATCAAAATCCAATTAGAAAAGAACAACAACAACAAAAAACCAATTAGGACAATTTTTAGTTTCCTAAATCCAAAATATTTAGGGGTTATGACACCCACTGTAGAATTATCGAAACTTCATGTACTACAAGTTCTCATCTACTAACAATAATTTATCCAACCAATCTTTGATGAGCACTTGCTATGTGCAAAACACTTACAGGAGCTGCAGAGGGAATACGCTCAATACCTATCTCTACAGAGTTAATAATTTCATATAAGGATAGGACAAGTAGACACACAGTAGGCTACAGGTGTCATTAAGAAAAACAAAATCTCAGGCCAGGCATGGTGGCTCACGCTTGTAGGCCCAGCACCTTGGTAGGCTGAGGCAGACGGATCGCCTGAGGTCGGGAGTTTGAGACCAGCCTGACCAACGTGGAGAAACCCCGTCTCTACTAAAAATACAAAATTAGCCAGGCGTGGTGGTGCATGCCTGTAATCTCAGCTACTTGGGAGGCTGAGGCAGGAGAATTGCTTGAACTTGGGAGGCAGAGGTTGCATTGAGCCAAGATCGAGATTCTACCATTGCACTCCAGCCTGGGCACCAAAAGCAAAACTCCTTCTCAAAAAAAGAAAAACAAAATGTCACAAAAGTATCAAAAGTAAACACATTTTTTTAAAGAACACCTAGCTACAAATTGTAATTTAAGTCAGCATATGCACAGCCATCAATCCTAAATATTATTTGCTAGGCCTTCAAATACGACTTAAAGTTAGCTGAACTGCCCTGCCAAAATGTCTCAGCTCTGTCTAACCAGAAAAAACTTCCTCCAGGGGTGTATGCAATCCAGTCTCCATGTTTCAATTACCGGCTCTGGGTACAAAGACCAACATGTGATTTCTTAAGGTAAAAATTATTACTATAAAAGATGTACTAGCCCAGGCACGGTGGCTCACGCCTTTAGTCCCAGCACTTTGGGAAGCTGAGGTGGGCGGATCATGAGGTCAGGAGTTCGAGACCAGCCTGGCCAACATGGTGAAACCCCATCTCTACTAAAAATACAAACATTAGCCAGGCGTGCTGGTGGGCGCCTGTAATCCCAGCTGCTGGGGAGCCTGAGGCAGGAGAATCACTTGAGTCCGGGAGGTGAAGGTTGCAGTGAGCCAAGATTGCGCCATTGCACTCCAGCCTAGGCGACAGAGCAAGACTCCTTTAAAAAAAAAAAAAAAAGCACTAAAATTAAGTTGGCAAGAATTTACATGTACTCCTTTTTACATATAAGACATAAATATCTGACATTTGATTCATTCCCTTCATTCTCCAGCCAGCCTCCCAGGGCAAGTCTGGCGAGGATTCTGACCATCGGGCAAAAGAAATTACCTTTTTTCAGTTTATGTTAGGACAACCTACGTGGGTTTACATTTGGCTTAATATAATACTACCCTACTTCTCCAATAAGTATTTAAGCATTTATTAAAAAACAGAAACTTTTCAATTTAACCACTTCTACTACCCTAGTCTCTCTGAGAAAGACAGGACACACCTCACTTCAAGGAAAAAAGGGTCCTTTTTCCTCACAAATACTTCCTCATAAACTTTATTTTAAAAATGATTTTAAAACCAGATTCTAATTTAATTAATTTAGATTTGCAAAATTATAAAGGACAAGTCTTGCCGGTTGTTGCTTCGGTTATGTTAATTTCACAATTTAGTACACTGCAACTACGTATTTAATACAAAGCAGCCTTTGGGCGGGGCGGGGCGGGGCGGGGCGGTTAACAAAATGCATCTCAGCACCAGCCTAGAGAAACTTTTCTGTGTGTAAACAGAAGAGGGGTTACCATGGAGAAATTCATTACGGATTTCGGGAGGGCTTTTTCCTCAGAAATAGAGTGAAAAGAATAAGTCGTTGTGTAATAAATCTGATACTGACGCTGTGTGACTTAGAAGTTGGTCCAAAAGTTCATCTTAGGCACTTATGCCTAGATGATCAACTACACATCTTCTGCAACAGGTGACACGAACCTGCATTTCCCAAGCAAGGCAAAGCGATCAAATGAGTTAAGACGCGTGTTCCTGCGGTCTTGTAAATTTTTGATTTAACCAAAACAATTTTGAATCAGATGAATTACCAAATTTCGTTGGGTCTTGTTTGGCTTTCTGCTTTGCTTTTTAATCAGCCATTTACCAGAAACTGTTGCACGGGCCCGTTAGCACTCGAAGAATAAAAACAAACACACAAGACCAGATAAGGTTCCCCTACTAACCCAAATGATCCGTTTCCTTAACATAATTTTAAAACCACAGCTAGGGGTGTGAAAACAGATTGTGGCACACAATCTGTCCAAATCCTTAATTCCCTTTTAAGGAACAGATATATAATAAAAATCCGAAAGGAACCACATTAGAAATGAAAAGAGGTTTGCAAAACAAGAGGCTTCTTTCATTCCAGAAAACTACCAAAACAAGGGGAAAAAATGAAAGCAATGGATATGTGTTTGCCCAAGTTTCAATCTTGCCCGGTGGAGACACTACACTGGTACAAATTCTGAGGAGGAAAAAGAGGAGGTTGGCGGGAGGCGGGAAGAGAGAGCGAGTGTGGCCCGCCAACTGCAACAATGCAATCTCCATTTTGAACAATGCGCCTCTTTCCTCCTATAAATCTGGTTTTTTGCCACTTGATGTGCCCTCGCATTTCCCCTCTGGGGGTCGGCGGGGTTGGGGGGAGATCGGAGCAGGATGCACAGCACACGAGTGAGCAAAGGGGGAGGGCAGAGAAGGTGGGGAAGGAGTCTGCAGCAACTGGGCTGAGTGGGTACCTGGAGTGCTGCTGTAGGTACTATGGCTCCTGACGCTGCTTTCCGTGCAGTAACTGGCGTCCTCCTACACCACTTTGTTGACAGCCCTCCAGACCGCAGCCGTCCGGGCCAGGTGGCTGCCCCCGCCTCCCCCCGGCCGGGGCGCTGGTGCTGGGGTGGGGCCGGCGGCGGCGGCTTTCTCCGGCTACTGCTGCCCATCCTGGGCGAGCTCAGGCGCGTCTTGGGCGCCACCTCAGCCTGGCGGCGACCCACCTGCCCGGGCTGCTACCGCGTTGCCGCGAGCGGAACCCCGGATGGGTCCGGACGTGGGCAGCGGCAGCGGCGGCGGGGCCGGGGCGCAGCGCTCCGCAGAGGGAGCCGCGGGCTGCTTGGTCGGCCTGCCCCGCCGGCCCCTCATGTTGGAGCCGAGGCGGAGGGAGAAGGGAAAGCGGCCGGGAAGGGGCGGGCGCAATGGGCGCAGTGGGGGCGGCTGGGGCCGGGTGGGGAGGCCAGAGGGGCAGGGCAGGAGGGGCCCGGCCTGCGGAAGCGGTTGGAGGGAGAAGGCTCAATCCGAATGGCTGGGGCCCCACTGCGGATCGCCTTCAGCCTCCATCTCGTTTCTTCCGTTAACGGAGCGCGGTCACGTGAGCTGAGCAGCCTACGAGCCTGGGACGGGGCGAGGTGGCGCAGCGGCTGCTTGGGGGAGCGCGGGAGCATTGAGTCGGGGGCAGAGAGCCTGGGGCGCCGGGGCTGGGCGCAGCGAGGCGCGGCTGGACTCCGGGCTTGGTGGCGCGGTTGAGAGAGACGCGCAGCTGGCGAAATGCCCCGCGTCTAAGGCCTTCGGAGACCATAGTCTCCGCGGACCCCTGGCTGGAGCCCAAAGCCGGTCGGACCTCCTCCCTGCGTCTCCCCTTCCGCGGCTCGGAGAGGAAGGCAGGAGAGCCCCCAAATATTCCCCTCCCGCCCTCTAGGGAAACTGAAGCTGAAAGAACCAGCGAAAGAAAAAAAAGTCTCGGAGTGGGGCGGCCCGAGCGACCTAAGGGACGGGGCAGTGGCAGCGACCGAGGGAAATTAGTCGGGGTGGGGGAACAGGGAGACAAGCCCCCAGAATTTAGGAAACTCCTAAATTCTACTAAAAATACAAAAATTACCTGGGCATGGTGGCGGGTGCCTGTAATCCCAGCTACTTGGGAGGCTGAGGCAGGAGAATCGCTTGAACCCGGGAGGCGGAGGTTGCGGTGAGCCAAGATCCTGCCATTGCACTCCAGCCTGGAGAACAAGAGTGAAACTACGTCTCAAAAAAAAAGAGAATAGAGAGCCATGCAGTCCACGCGGGATTGTGAGCTGTGGTGTGAGAGGGTGAAGCCAGAGAACAAGGCGGCGCTGGAGGCGTGGGTCAGGCAGACAGGCATCGCCTGGTGCAGGTGAACGGGCAGAGGAAGTATGGCGGGCCACCCCCAGGCTGGGTGGGCAGCCCGCCGCCGGCTGGGTCAGAGGTGTTCATCGGGCGGCTGCCTCAGGAAGTGTATGAGCACCAGCTATCCTGCTGTTCCAGCGCGTGGGCCGCCTCTACGAGTTCCGCCTGATGATGACCTTCAGCGGCCTGAACCGCGGCTTCGCATATGCCCGCTGCAGCTCGCGGCGCGGCGCGCAGGCCGCCATCGCCCGCTGCACAACCACCCGCTGCGGCCGTCCTGCCCGCTGCTTCTGTGCCGCAGCACCGGGAAGTGTGAGCTGAGCGTTGACTGCCTGCCGCCGAATCTGACCCGCACCGCGCTGCAGCCCGCGCTGCAGCCGCTGGGTCCCGGCCTGCAGGAGGCGCGGCTGCTGCCCAGCCCCGGACCGGCGCCCGGGCAGATCGCTCTGCTCAAATTCAGCTCGCACTGGACCGCTGCCATGGCCAAAAAGGCCCTGGAGGAAGGGCAGCCACACCTCTGTGGAGAGCAGGTGGCTGTGGAGTGGCTCAAGCCAGAACTGAAGCAGCGACTTCGCCAGCAGCTTGTGGGTCCCTCCTTGTGGTCCCCACAGCCAGACGGCAGCCAGTTGGCCTTGGCAAGGGACAAGTTAGGGTCCCAAGGGGCTCGGGCTACCCTGCAGTTGCTGTGCCAACGAATGAAGCTGGGCAGCTCTGTGTTCCTCACCAAGTGTTTGGGCATAGGACCTGCTGGCTGGCACCGCTTCTGGTACCAGGTGGTGATTCCTGGGCATCCGGTGCCCTTCAGCGGCCTCATCTGGGTTGTGCTGATCCTAGATGGCCGGGATGGGCATGAGGTGGCCAAGGATGCTGTGTCTGTACGGCTGCTGCAGGCACTCATTGAGTCTGGGGCCAACCTCCTGTGGTCTGCTGGGGCTGAGGCAGGTAGCATGGTTAAACAGTGACTCCATTCTCTCTCCACAGGCAGCCCGAATGGGCATGCACAGCCTGTGTCAGGCCCCAACCCAGCAGACCTGGGTGGCCACTATCTGACCCCCAAAGGTGGGGAGGGGCATGGGCCCAGGCCCATCAGCCTCCCTGCTGGGACAGGGACCTATGGCACCTGGGGGCAGCTTAGGTTTTGCTTAAGTTGTGGTGATGGGCCTTGCCCTCCCCCTCCCAGCCCAGGGTCCAACCTGACCCAGTTATCTTCCCTGGCCATTCCTTGTCCCACCCCCACCCGATCATACCTTCCCCCCTCTGCCACAGCTTAGCATGAATCTTCTTTATTGTCCTGATTTGTCCTGTTTGTTGGTTTTTATTTGTGGGGAAGGGCAGCTGAGCCAAAGGGGTCAGGAATTATGCCCTTTGCCTCCACCACATGGCATTCTGGTTTTGGTTTCTGTATAGTTTTGGGTCTTTCTATGCTGGTTGTATTTATATTAAACCCCTGGTTAGTAAAAAAAAAAAAAAAAAAAAAAAAAAGGCCGGGTGCGGTGGCTCACGCCTGTAATCCCAGCACTTTGGGAGGCTGAGGCGGGTGGATCACGAGGTCAGGAGATCGAGACCATCCTGGCTAACATGGTGAAACCCGGTCTCTACTAAAAATACAAAAAAAAAAAAAAAAATTAGCCAGGCATGGTGGCAAGCGCCTGTAGTCTCAGCTACTTGGGAGGCTGAGGCAGGAGAATGGTGTGAACCCAGGAGGCAGAGCTTGCAGTGAGCCAAGATTGCGCAACTGCACTCCAGCCTGGGTGACCGAGTGAGACTCTATCTCAAAAAAAAAAAAAAAAACAAGAATAATAGTCTCCAATCCCGTCCAGGTTGCTGCAAATGCCATTAATTCATTCCTTTTTATGACTGAGTAGTATTCCACTGTATATCTATACCACAGTTTCTTTAGCCACTCATTGATGGGCATTTGGGTTGGTTCCACATTTTTACAATTGTGAATAGTGCTACTATAAACATGTGTGTGCAAGAATCTTTTTCGGCCAGGAGCGGTGGCTCACTCCTGTAATCCCAGCACTTTGGGAGGCCAAGGTGGGTGGATCACAAGGTCAAGAGATCAAGACCATCCTGGCCAACATGGTGAAACCCCGTCTCTATTAAAAGTACAGAAATTAGCTGGGCATAGTGGCACACGCCTGTAATCCCAGCTACTTGGGAGGCTGAGGCAGGAGAATCACTTGAACCCGGGAGGCAGAGGTTGCAGTGAGCTGGGATCGTGCTGCTGCACTCCAGCCTGGCGACAGAGCGAGACTCCATCTCAAAAAAAAAAAAAAAGAATCTTTTTCATATAATGACTTAGAAAGACTGAACTCTTACCTGGGCTGTGTGTGTTCTCTCTCTTTTTTAGTTCATTCACTCTAGCTATGTGGGGAGGACATTCAGGCAGTGTGTGGAGAAGTCCAGGTAGTAAGCCAATGAAGTCTTCAACCAATATTCAGTGAGGAACTACAGCCTGCCAACAACCAACGAGTGACCTTGAATGCATATTTTCTCCCAATTGAGTCTTCAGATAAGAGTGCAGCCCCAGGCCACTGCTTGACTGAAACATCCCAAGAGAACTGAGCAGAACCACCCAGCTAAGTCCCTCCCAGATTCCTGACCCACAGAAAGTGTGATATAATAAATGTTTTTTGTTTTAAGCTGCTAAATGTTGGGGATAATTTTTTTTTTTTGACATGGGCCTCACTCTGTCGCCTAGGCTGGAGTGCAGTGGTATGATCATGGCTCATTGCAGCCTCAACCTCCAAGGCTCAAGGGATCCTCCCATCTCAGCCTCCCAAGTAGCTGGGATCACAGGTGTGTACCACCACACCTGACTTTGGTTTTTTTTTTTAAAGTAGAAACAAAGTCTTGCTTTGTTGTCCAGGCTGGTCTGGAACTCCTGGGTTCAAGTAATCCTCCATCTTCACGCTCCCAAAGTGCTGGTATTACAGGCATGAGCCACCATGCCTGGCCCAATTGTTAAATCTTTTTTAAATTTTATTATTTTTTTCTTTTTTGTTCAAAGTGTTAATTTTTTTTTTTTTTTTTTTTTTTTTGAGACAGAGTCTAACTCTGTTGCCTGGGCTAGAGTGCAGTGGCACGATCTTGGCTCACTGCAACCTCCGCCTCCCAGGTTTAGTTCAAGCAATTCTCCTGCCTCAGCCTCCCGAGTAACTGGGATTACAAACACGTGCCACCACACCCAGCTAATTTTTTGTATTTTTAGTAGAGACAGGGTTTTGCCATGTTGGCCAGTCTGGTCTTGAACTCCTGACCTCAGGTGATCCACCCTCCTCGGCCTCCCAAAGTGCTGGGATTACAGGTGTGAGCCACCATGCCCAGCCTAGTGTTAAATCTTTATAACAACATAAGTACGAGGTTGAGACTTATTACCCTGTTTTACAGATGAGTAACTGAGGCACAGAAAGGTTGAGTTACTTGGCCAAGGTTATACAACTAATAATTACAGGATACCAAAACCGCTAGCTTCTGCCAGTGCTCTTAATATAAGGTTGAAAGAAAAAAGAAAAGAGCCAATTAACATAAAACATAGCTGTTAGAAGCCTCCTTCTACAAATGGCGATGAAGTCTAAGTTGATAATCATAGCCGCCTTCTTCCACCACTTCTTCCAATCCCCTTTCGAAGGGTTCTGTGCCTCATAGGGACACTCAATACTTTATTCCATAAGACCTGACTTCTTGGTGGTCTTGTTTTTATTGGGTTGCTCTACTTTTCCATTAACCAGGTCTTAGGGTCAAGAGCCTGCTAAGATGTGTCCCCAGTGAATTTTTGGCTTTCAGACATAGCCTCCTTCCTCTACTAAGTAACAGAGCCATTTTCCTCTTGCTAATCATAGGTAAAGAGGCTAGTTCGGTGATGGTTTTAGTTAGCTCAGGCTGCTATTACATACTGGGTGGCTTAAACAACAGACATTGATTTCTCACAGTTCTGGAGGCTGGGAAGTCCCATATCAGGGTGATAGCATGATTGGGTGCTGGCAAGGGCTCTTTTCCTAGCTTGCAGATGGCTGCCTTCTTGCTATATCTTCACTTGGTGGACAAAGAGAAGAAAGGCTCTCTGGTCTCTTCTTTTTTTTTTTTTTCTTTTTGTTTTGAGACAGAGACTCTCAGATGCTCTCTCTGTCCAGGCTGGAGGCTGGAGTGCAATGACATGATCTGGGCTCACTGCAACCTCCACCTCCCGGGTTCAAGCGATTCTCCCACCTCAGCCTCCCAAGTAGCTGGGATTACAGACTTGCGCCACCACGCCCAGCTAATTTTTGTATTTTTAGTAGAGATGGCTTTTCACCATATTGCCCAGGCTGGTCTCAAACGCCTGATCTCAAGTGATCCACCCACCTTGGCCTCCCAAAGTGCTGAGATTTCAGGGGTGAGCCACTAGCCAGACCACCTGGTCTTTTCTCCCAAAGTGCTGAGATTTCAGGGGTGAGCCACTAGCCAGACCACCTGGTCTTTTCTTTTAAGACACTCATCCCATCATGGGGCACTGTCAGCCTAATTACGTCCCAAAGACCCCACCTTCTAATACCATCACATGGAGGTGAGGGCTTCAACATAAGAATTTGGGGGTCGAGGCGGGGCGCGGTGGCTCACGCCTGTAATCCCAGCACTTTGGGAGGCCGAGGCGGGCAGATCACGAGGTCAGGAGATCGAGACCATCCTGGCTAACACGGTGAAACCCCGTGTCCACTAAAAATACAAAAAATTAGCCAGGCGTGGTGGCGGGCGCCTGTAGTCCCAGCTACTCGGGAGGCTGAGGCAGGAGAATGGCGTGAACCCGGGAAGCAGAGCTTGCAGTGAGCCAAGATCATGCCACTGCACTCCAGCCTGGGTGACAGAGCAAGACTCCGTCTCAAAAAAAAAAAAAAAAAAAAACAATTTGGGGGCTGGGCGTGGTGGCTCATGCCGGTAATCCCAGCACTTTGGGAGGCTGAAGTCAGCAGATCACCTGAGGTCGGGAGTTTGAGACCAGCCTGACCAACATGGAGAAACCCCATCTCTACTAAAAATACAAAATTAGCCGGGTGTGGTGGCGTATGCCTGTAATCCCAGCTAACTCGGGAGGCTGAGGCAGGAGAATCACTTGAACCTGGGAGGTGGAGGTTGCAGTGAGCAGAGATCGCGCCACTGCACTCTAGCCTGGGCAACAAGAGCAAAACTCCATCTCAAAAAAAAAAAAGAATTTGGGGAGGATGCAAACACTTAGCCCATAATAGTAGCCGCCTTCCATCCTTATTGATTCAGCAGCATGAGGAACTTTAAATGGCCAGCTTCGGCTGGGCAAGGTGGCTCATGCTTGTAATCCAAGCACATTGGGAGGCCGAGGAAGGAAGATCACTTGAGCCCAGGAGTTCCAGAGCACTCTTGGGCAGCATACTTGCCCATAGTGTAAAAATTAGCTGGGCAGGGCTGGGCTTGATGGCTCACACCTATAATCCCAGCACTTTGGGAGGCCGAGGTGGGTGGATCACCTGAAGTCAGGAGTTTGAGACCAGCCTGGCCAATACAGTGAAACCCCACCTCTACTAAAAATACAAAAATTAGCTGGGCATAGTGGCGTGCGCCTATAATCCCAGCTACTTGGGAGGCTAAGGCAGGAGAATCGCTTGAACCCAGGAGGCAGAGGTTGCAGTGAGCTGAGATCACACCACTGCACTCCAGCCTGGGTGACAGAGACTCTGTCAGAAAACAAAACAAAACAAAAAAAAAAACAGGCGCGGTGGCTTATGTCTGCAATCCCAGCGCTTTGGGAGGCTGAGGCAGGCGGATCACAAGGTCAGGAGTTGAGACCAGCCTGGCCAACATGGTGAAACCCCGCCTCTACTAAAAAAAAAAATTGCCAGGCGCGGTGGCACATGCCTGTAATCCCAGCTACTCCGGAGGCTGAGACAGGAGAATCGCTTCAACCCAGGAGGTGGAGGTTGCAGTGAGCCAAGACCGCGCCACTGCACTCTAGCCTGGGCAACAAAATGAGACTGCGTCTCAAAAAAAAAAAAAAAAAAGAAAAAAAATTAGCTGGGCAAGGTGGCATGCGACTGTAGTACCAGCTACTCAGGAGGCTAAGGTAGGAGGATCTCTTGAGCCTGGGAGCCTGGGAAACAAGAGTGAGATTCTGTCTCAAAATAAATAAATAAATAAATAAATAAATAGATAGATAAATAAATACATACAATAAATGGCCAGCCTCGGCTTCCAGTTGAATAAAACCATAATAGTATTTCCTGATCTACACATTTCTTCCTTTGGCACTAGGACCTCTGGACCCACTGAGTCCCGGGTCCCTGGCAAGGAAAGCAAAAATTCTTCATGTGAATTATTAGGGGCCACAGTGGGAGGAGCCACTCCCATCTCCTCTCCTCGGTTCCTGGACTCATTCTAGCATGGTCTAAGTCTAGGAACGGCAGTGCTAGCAGAAGTCCCGCAGGCAAGGGAGGCAAATCCACACCCAGAACACAGGTCTGTCGTTGTGAGGATGAGGCACTGTCCTTACACCCCAGTCTGGTCCTACAAAAAAGGATGGCCTCTCAGGGTGCAACCTTCACCTTGGAGCAGCGCCCTCTGCTGGCCGCCTCTAAGATCTGTGGCTACTTGCATCCCCCTTCTAATCTTTCCCTACCTCTGTTGGTTCAAATCATCTCTCAGTTTATTAATCCTTGGAAAGAATTACATAGCGGTTATTCACAGCTTGTAAATTACAATAGAAAGGTTCCTTTCAAATGGTAGAGTTGCACTAAAGAGGAAATTGGGTTTATAAGAAAATGGAGGCAAAGAACTTAAGTTTTAAGAAAAAGCACTTCAAAACAGAAGGGCAAATGGAAAAGGGGGATATAAAACAAACCAATAAAAATACCATCTGAGGGTGTTACTGTCCAAAATTAAAGAATAAGATGCATCACTAAGCCCTTTGCACTCGTGTTGACCTCGTAAGTAAAAATTATTACTTAGAATAATAATAAGTGGTGCACACTACATTCCCTGTCCCTCTTCTAGACTTTTTTTTTGTAGAAGAATCAGAAAACAATTTACTAACCTCCCTGTTTGATATTAAAAACTCAATAGGAAGGTTTTTAATATTTTCTGTCAGTACAAGTTGAACTTGATTGTGTCAACTGAAACCCTAGAGGTTTGTGTATCAGTAGAATGCAAGAACATTGTTAAAGTTGCTTACAATCTTTTTTGTTTTCCTTTCCATTCCATTGTATCAATTTTTTGAGTAACTTTCAAATGGCTAGAAAATGGTCTTTTTGCTTTGCCCTTTTATAGCTGAAATAACCAGCTCCATTCTTTTCATGAGTAGTAAGTTGATATATTTATTTATCAGGTATCTTTCAGTTGTCACTAAATACTGTAGTTTTCTTGTGTTGTATGGAAATTATAGTTCAATTATTCTAATGTGATGGAGTGCAACGAGTCATTGTAGAACTTTTCACCTGTTAATGTTGAAGTTATACCTCTGAACTTCTGCTGTGGATATCAAGGAAATAATAAAGCGAAAACCCTAAGACATTTGAAAAAAAAAAAACCCAGCCTGGGAAACATGATGAAAACCCATCTCTACAAAAAATACAAAAATTAGCCGGGCATGGTGGCACACACCTGTATTTCCAGCTACTTGGGAGGCTGAGGCGGGAGAATCACTTAAGCCCAGGAAGTGGAGGTTGCGGTGAACTGAGATTATGCCACTGCACTCCAACGTGGGTGACAGAGCAAGATCCTGTCTGAAAAAAAAAATCAATGAATCAAAGAATGGTGACCCTAGTAAATACCTGATACTTTATTTATTTGGCTCAATGAAAATAAAAAAGAGAATTTTATGCAAAAATTTCAGACAACTGAATTTTGCCAAATGATTCCATTTACTAAGGATTCCATCTTTGGTTCTAATGTAGCATATATTCCCTGTGGAGGAAATGGATTTCTCCAAATAACTGGATCCATAGTCATGTAATGCTAGTGGGGACAATCACCCCAGCTTAGATACCATCAAATGAATTCCAACATATGTGGGCTCTCCCATTATTTGTCTTCTCACCTGCCAGCCTGCCTCTCTTGGCAATGCTAGGATTCCAGAATCAGGCCCTAAGCTCAGCAAGGGCCTCCATGAGGGCCATATTACACCCTAAGATTCCCAGATGTCTATTTGGAACCACCTTTGACTTACTCCCTTATTTTGCCCCTGAAACTGCATGGGGACAAAGAAGAAATCATAAAAACAGGGATAATGGATATGGCCCTAAGTATTTTAATGTGGCCTATCAATAGTGTCGTCATACCATCCCTGTTTACCAAGCCTTTATGGCAATTTCTTCACCTTGATACTGTTGACATTTTTGGCTGGTCATCATTTTTTTATGGGGGAATTGTCCTGTGTGTTTTAAGACGTTAAGCAGGACAGGTGAGGTGGCTCACACCTGTAATCCCAGCACTTTGGGAGGCTGAGGCGGGCTGATCACCTAAGGTTGGGAGTTTGAGACCAGCCTGACCAACATGGAGAAACCCCATCTCTACTAAAAATACAAAATTAGCCAGGCGTGATGGTGCATGCCCATAATCCCAGCTACTCGGGAGGCTGAGGCAGGAGAATCGCTTGAACCCGGCAGAGGTTGCAGTGAGGCGAGAGCGTGCCATTTCACTCCAGCCTGGGCAACAAGAGCAAAACTGTGTCTCAAAAAAAAAAAAAAAGATGTTAAGCAGCGTCCTTGACCTCTGCCCAGATATTGCCAAATGTCACTTGGGGAGCAAAATTGGCCCAGTTGAGAACCACGGGACTAAAGTAAGCAGAATTATCAGGATAAAACAGACAATTCACCTCTATCATACCAGAGTTTTTTGTTTGTTTTTTGAGACAGGGTCTTGCTCTGTCACCCAGGCAGGAGTGTGGTAGTGTGATCATAGCTCACTGCAGCCTCAAACTCCTGGGCTCTCAGGAGGCTGAGAAGCAGTGAGTCACAATTGTGCCACTACAATCCAGCCTTGGCAACAGAGTGAGAACCTTTCTCAAACAAACAAGAGGAAGAAGAGGAAGAGGAAGGAGAGGAAGAGGAGGAAGAGGAAGAGAAGGAAGAGGAAGAGGAGAAAGGGGAAGGGAAGAGAAGGACAAGGAGAAGGAGAAGAAGAAGATTCTGGGGCTCAAGCCATCCTCCTGCCTGAGCCTCCCAAAGTACTGGGATTACAGGTGTGAGTCACCGAGCGTATTAGTCAGGGTTCTCTAGAGGGACAGAATTAATGGAATATATACAGGAGTTTATTAAGTATTAACTCACAGGATCACAAGGTCCCACAATAGGCCATCTGCAGGCTGAGGAGCAAGGAGAGCCAGTCTGAGTTCCAAAACTGAAGAACTTGGAGTCCGATGTTGGAGGGTAGGAAGCATCCAGCACGGGAGAAAGATGTTGGCTGGGAGGCTAAGCCAGTCTCTCACATTTTTCTGCCTGCTTATATTCTAGCCTTGCTGGCAGCTGATTAGCTTGTGCCCACCCAGATTAAGGGTGGGTCTGCCTTTCTCAGCCCGCTGACTCAAATGTTAATCTCCTTTGGGAACACCCTCACAGACACACCCAAGATCAATACTTTGTATCCTTCAATCCAATCAAGTTGACACTCAGTATTAACCATCACACTGAGCCTGGCCAAAGCTGGACTACTTGTAAGCTTTTGTCTGGAACCGTGATTTGGGAGCAAGTGGCCCGAGGACGATGAAAACTATCAGAGGTGGCTGGGCACAGTGGTTCATGCCTGTAATCCCAGCACTTTGGGAGGCGGAGGTGGATGGATCACTTGAGGTCAGGAGTTTGAGACCAACCTGGCCAACATGGCAAAGCCAGTCTCTACTAAATATACAAAAACTGGCCAGGCATGGTGGCTCACGCCTGTAATCCCAGCACTTTGGGAGGCCGAGGCAAGTGGATCGCCTGGGGTCAGGAGTTCGAGAGAAACATGTTGAAACCCCATCTCTATTAAAAATATAAAGAACTAATCAGGCATGGTGGCAGGCTCCTGTAGTCCCAGTTACTCGGGAGGCTGAGGCAGGAGAATTGCTTGAACCCAGGAGGTGGAGGTTGCAGTGAGCCGAGATCATACCACTGCACTCCAGCCTGGGCGACAGAGCGAGACTCCATCTCAAAAACAAACAATCAGAGGCGCTGACTGCAGTGACAGCCATCCGGCTCTGACAGTTCCTGTGCTTCCAGCTTCTTGCTATTTCAGGGGCTCTGGTCTTGATTCTTGCAGGTTCCCAAACCTGGTCCTACAGCTCCCCACCTCCTGTCTCTTTAGTGGTTTAGTGGGCGCCCCCTCCCCTGTATCTTTCTAGTGAGTTTTAATGTGCTTTGCTTAGGTAGGGCTGGTTTGTTTCCATTATTGGCAACAAGAAGGAATTCGTCAAGGAGTCTAAGAAGTTGTCTGGAGAACCAAGAAAAAGATTTCCTGGAAGCATAGAAAGAGTGCATTTCCGGAAGAAAGATTCATCAAGAATTTCAAACATCAGGGCCAAGTCAAGCAGGACAGGAACTGAAAGGTGCTCCTCAAATTTGCCTATGAAGAGGCCACTGCTGGGGAGGAGTGTGTCAGGCAGCAGTGGAGGGAGGACAGCAAGTGTAAAGGAGACTCTGCAACTTCCACCTCCCAGCTTCAAGCACTTCTCATGCCTCAGCCTCCTGAGTAGCTGAGATTACAGGCGTGTGCCACCACACCTGGCTAATTTGTGTATTTTTAGTAGAGATGGGGTTTCCACACAACCGGAATACTACTGAGCAATAAAAAGGAGTGAACAGTTGTCCCTCGGCATCTGCAGGGTATTGGCTCCAGGACCCCCTGCCGACACCAAAGTCCACAGATGCTGAAGTCTTTTCTATGAAATGACATAATGTTTGTATATAGCCTCAGGTATGCTTTAAATACCTAATACAGTGTAAATGGTATGTAAATAATTATACTGTATTTTAAATTTTCTACTGTTTTTGTTGTCTTACAGTTATTTTATATATTTCATTTTTTTCAAGTATTCTCCATCCATGTTTAGTTGAATCCATGGATGAGGAACCTGCAGATCTGGAGGGCCAGCTGTAGTGATGGGTGCAGCAACATGGATGGTAGCATAATTTCAAAAAATAATATGATAAGTGAGGCCAGGTGAGGTGGCTCACACGTGTAATCCTAGCACTTTGGGAAGCCAAGGCGGGCGGATCACTTGAGGTCAGGACTTCGAAACCAGCCTGGCCAACATGGTGAAACCTCGTCTCTACTAAAAATACAAAACTTAGCCAGGCGTGGTGGCAGGTGCCTGTAATCCCAGCTACTCAGGAGGCTGAGGCAGGAGAATCACTTGAACCTGGGAGGTGGAGGTTGCAGTGAGTCTAGGTCATGCCGCTGCACTGCAGCCTGGGCAACAGTGAGACTCCATCTCAAAAAAGAAAAAATTATGCTAAGTGAAAGAAGTCAAATACAAGAGGCTACATGCTATATGATTTCATTTATAAGATATTCTGGAAAAGGCAAAACTATAGGAAATCAGATTAGTAGCTAACAGGGGCTGATGGTGGGAGGAGGTGATTGACTACAAAGGGACACGAGGGACCTTTTTGAGGTGACAGAAATGCTTTATATTGGGAATGTGGTGGTGGTTATGTAACTATACATTTGTCAAAACTCATCAAATTGTACACTTAAAAAGGGTGAATGTTAGTATATGAAAATTATATCTCAATAAACCTGACTTAAGAAAATAATAAAACAAACCTAAAAACGCAACAAGGTGAAAATAAGTCTAAGAAAAAAATAACTTACAGTTTTTCCAGTTCAACGGTCATCATGAGAATGTTCTTAAGTGTTGTAAGTGGGACTTGCGTTGTTCCCACGTCTCTGAAGAAGAAAGCCGAAACAGTCATGATATGAACCCCAATAAAAAATTCTGTACTTAAAAAGATAATTCAAGGACATGTGATTACTTCAATTTTGGCTTCCCTATAAAACAAGCCAGTTCAACAGTTTATTTGCCGCAAAATTCCAGAGAGCTCTTATTAAAGAAATTAAAGTTGATTTGCATCATCAAATTAATGATATTCAAGAGTAGGTCTTACACTGTTTTTTTTTTTTTTTTACCATTATCTTACTTCTCAGTTTCATATTGCATTCACCCATCTTGAATATTTACTCTTTTCTTCCTTTTTAGAATAATGAACACCTTTTCCCCTTTGCTTTCTTGGTTAAGTAATATTCCTCCATGTGTCTACATGTTCCAAATCTATATGGGTTCTTCAACACTGTTCTCTTTCCCCTGCTGGCTATCTTGACCATTACACATCCTTTCCTTTGCCAATAATGTTTTTCAATAACTCAGTTAAAATTTAAATTATGACATTTTAGCCTAAATGCAAAATACTTAATCTTTGATGAAAAATTTAAAAAGAGTATAAATCATCTCATGACTCCCAAGAGTACTATAGTACTTACCGATATTTTAATGCCAGTAATTTAAAGAGATACGGATCTTCAACAGTTGTCAGAGGATTGCGATTGAGAATTCTGAAAAATGCAATGGAATTAAAATAACCTGCATTTTCAATGTGTGAAACTGCATAAGAAGTTTACATTCATTTTTTGGTATGGAACTTGTGGGTAAAAAAAAAAATCATTTTCTGTTTTTACCTAATAAATCAACATTAGACTCTGTAAAGCATTATTCCTTCGGGAACTACCTAGATCTCTAGGAGATAAAGTAGAGGAGAGAAAGAGGGGGAAAAATAGGGAAAAAAAAGTGGATAGCAAAGAAACAATATGCCACAGAACTTTTCAGGTCGAAAACCCTAGAAGTGACTATGTTGGTAGGAAGCCCTGATTCTGTAGGAAACACTATTTCTAGTGTCCTCCATAATTCAAGTTGCTCATCTTCTTGTTTTGTTTTGTTTTGAGACAGAGTCTTGCTCTGTAGCCCAGGCTGGAGAGCAATGGCTCCATCTCATCTCACTGCAAACTCCACCTCCCAGGTTCAAGCGATTCTCCTGCCTCAGCCTCCTGAGTAGCTGGGATTACAGGTGCCTGCCACCACACCTAGCTAATTTTTGTATTTTTAGTAGAGACAGGGTTTCGCGATGTTGGCCAGGCTGGTCTCGAACTCCTGATCTCAGGTGATCCACCTGCCTCGGCCTCCCAAAGTGTTGGGATTATAGGTGTGAGCCACTGAATCTGACCGCTTGCCTTTTATCTTTATAAAGTTATTAAAATTTATGGTTTAATTTGCAAAGTTAAGAAAAAAAAATAGGACCAATTCTTTTGCTTTATAGCCAAAGAAAAAGGGATAAATCTAAGAGGAGGAACTGGTCAAAACCATACTCCCATCACATACTCCCACTTGTCTTCTTGTATGACATCATAGCCTTTGTTACATTGCATGTAATCACCTGTCTACTTGTCAGTCTCCTGGACTATCAGCTCCCTGAGGGCAGAGACCACATCTTATTGTCATTGTCATCCCTGTGCCTGGCATGATGTCTGAAATTTACCAGACATTTAATAAATGTTTATTGAATAAACAAATGACATTTTATTTGTATGTCAATAAAATGAATAAATTCTTTTTGATGCAAATTTTTATTCCAAAATGCTGGAATCAATTTTCTTTTTAATTCTTTAAAGTGAACAAGGAAAAGAAAAGAAACAGGAAGAAATAAAAGAAAATCTGCCTTTAGGTTAACCCAAGAATCATCACCATACTTTTGCAGAAATTATAAAAATAATAATTATTACAGTGAGTATCTATTGGGCTGCTAGGTATTTGTGATCAGCATTTCACATTTAATCCTCACAATGCCTTATGGGCTAGATATTATCATTGCCCTATTTTATAAATGAGGAAACTGAGGCACAGAGAGGTTACATAACGTCCTACATCACCAAGCTATTAAGAAGCAAAGCTGTAATTTGAAGTCATGTGTTTTAATCTGTATGAAGAAAAAGGGTTTACTTTAACCTTATGGTTTTTTAATTTTTATTTTATTTCTCTTTCTTTCTTTCTTTTTCTTTCCTTCTTTCTTTCTATTTCCCTCCCTCCCTCCTTCTTTCCCTTTCTTCCTCCCTTCCCTCCCTCCCTCTCTTCCTTCCTTCCTGCCTCCCTCCCTCCCTCCCTTTTCTTTTCTTTTTTTTTTTTTTTTTTTTGACAGGAAATGGCACTTTAATAGTTGGGGCCAGGGTGACAGGACCAAGATGGGGCTAGCCTGTGTCAGTCAGGAAGCCTCCCTCTCCTGCTGGGATAGGGCCTTGCGGCAGCTCCTCCTCCCCGCTGAGGTCCTAGGCCTGCCACAGGCTAGCATGCCAGTGAGGTCGGTGGCAGGAGCCACCCAGAAGCCCCGCAGATGACAGAGCTGAGAACAGGGACTTCACTTCCATGTGTTGCCATTTCCTCACTGGAAAGTCCTTGGGAGGTGGCTGGGCTCAGCCTGAGCTCAGGGTTCTTCGGTGGGTGTTGGGACGGGGCAGGGCGGGCACTTGCAGGTGGCACAGGCTTCATCAAGGCAGGACATGGGCTTCATCAAGGCAGGAGCCAGAGCACCCGAGCCCTGGCAGGGGAGGTATGGCCCAGGATGGGGCAGGGCCGTGTGCTCCTGGAACGGACATCCTTCTCTGCCAGAGACCTGCTCCCCAAGCCCTGTCCCTCCCAATCCCCAGGCAGCCCACTCTGCCCTCCATAGATGAATCTAATCCCATATATTACAATAAACTGCATTTGCCTCTCCCCATTGCCCCACCCTCCCCTACCCTGAGCCAGCGGCCCCCACTTCCTCATCCCCTGGCGGTGGCAGGTGCCCCTCCTCAAGCAGTGCCACATCCTGTCAGCAGCCAGCTGTCCTGGCACTGGCCTGAGGGCCGGGGGACGCAGAGGGCGGGGCTGCGCGGCTACTCCAGGTAGATATCTTCTGTGGGGCAGGTGTACTCCACAAACTGCTTGTGAAACTGCTGGAATGCTCTCCCCACGGACTCTGCCAGGGCTTTGGTGGAGTCTTCAGACACAAAGACGTGGCAGGCAAACCGGTGGTCGGCGAGGTGCTTGGTGATGAACCCAAAGTACTTGTTGTTCTTTGGATGATATCCGCGGAAAGAGATGTTTTTTAACTGGAAAAAGTGGCTACATTTATTCCCCTTGGCCTCCTGGGAGTCATCGGCCTTGACACCTATCTTCACACCCCGCACGCTGATCTCCAGGACACAGCTGGAGGGCGGGTTAAAGTGCACGGTTAGCCGGCGGGTGGTGGCAATCTTTTGCATAGCGGCAGAGAGGACGACATCGCCCTTGTGATAGGGAACCTGGACTGAGCCCAGGAACTTCACCCGGAACTGGTCCACCCAGTCACTGTTTTTAGCCAGGGCTGCCATGTGCTCGGGCTCCTTGGTGACTTCGATGGCGTAATAGGCAGTAAAGAAGCCCCGGGCACCAGTGCGCATGTTGTAGGCCTCGTACCAGTAGTCTTCAGCCTGGAGCTCCACTAGCAGAGGGTCATCCACTTCCAGCTCAGGTTCGTCTTCGTGTCGAGGCACAAACCTGAATATGGTCCGGTGGGTCTGCTCCTGCTCCTCCCGGTTGATGATGCAGGAGAACAGCCCGAAGGACTCGGCACTGGAGGAGCGGGAGCGGCCACTCATGAAGATGTTCAGGAACTTCTTGGAGAAATGGACGTCGGGTTCGTCAGGCGTGGAGTCCTTGGAGAGGCAGGCAGGAGGCTGGGGCCGGGAGGCCTCCTCATATTCCTCTCCGATGGCTGACTCATAGGGCGAGGAGACGGAGGCACAGTTGTCATAGACGATGGCCGAGTCACTCTCGTCACTGTAGTCTCCGAAGCACGGCCGCAGGCTCACCGGCTCCAGCTGCGCGTGCTCATCTACCAGCAGCGTGGGCTGTTGGTGGAGGTGCCTCGATCTGTGGTGGGGGCGGGGCTGCTCTGGGGGGGCAGCTCATCGCTCAGGCAAATGGGTTCATGCGGTGGTGTCTGCTCCCCTGTCTTCAGGGGTGAGGATGATCGAGACACCCGATCCTGCCAACTGTACTTTTTGCCCAGAGAATTATTATTCAGTGTGTCCTGAGACAACTGCACCTGCGGAAAGAGGTTGAGCGTGGTGGGCCGCTTGGGCCGGTACGTGTCCCCGCTGCCCGGGCCCTGGCTCTGGCCTTGGCTCTGGCCCTGGCCGCGGGACGCCGGCTCCTGGCCGGACTCGGCCTTGGGCGGCCCCGCTCCCGGCCGCCGGGCCGCGCGCTCCTCGTCGTCGTCCTCCTCGTCGTCCTCGGCCCCGGGAGTGTCCCCCGTCGCGTCGATCAGGTCCATCTGCAGCATCTCGGCCTGCAACCGGCTCCCCGCGCCGCCGCCACCCGCAGAGCCCTCCCTTTTCTTTTCTTTTTTCTTTTCTTTTCTTCTTTCTTTCTTTATTCTCTTCATGTCCCTTCCTCCCTCCTTCTTTCCCTTTCTTCCATCCTTCCCTCCCTCCTTCCTTCCTCCCTCCTTTTCTTCTTTCTTTTTTCTTTCTTTCTTTTTTCTTTCTTTCCTTCATTTCCCTCCCTCCCTCCTTCTTTCCCTTTCTTCGTTCCTTCCTCCCTCCTTTTCTTCTTTCTTTCTTTCCTTCCTTCTTCTTTCTTTTCTTCCTCTCCCTCCCTTTCCCTTCTTCCCTCCTTCTTTTCCTTCCTTCCCTCCCCTTCCTTCTTTCTCTCTCTTTTTCTCTCTCTTTTCTTTCACTCTTTTCGCCTTCCTTCCTTTTTTCCTTCCTTCCCTCCCTCCCTCCTCTTTCTCTCTCTCGCAAAAAAAGAGTAAGCAGACATAATATCAATATATTCATTTACCTCAAGGACTGAGAATAATGAATTTAGTTCATGCAACTATGATTCTTCTTGTCATTTATTCAAGAAACTTTGAGATTCATTCCCATTATAGCTAAACACTCTTGACACTGGGAATATAAAGATAAATAACTCACAGTCCCCACCCTCAAAGGTTTATAATAGAGTAGGAGAAGGGAAACAGTAAACAAAAGTTTGAAGTGTGATATAGTGAAATATATATATTTGGTCTTTGACCTCATTTCCTCGTATACACTTAGAATCTCCAAAGTGATATCTTCTTGTATGCAAACAAATTGACTGGTAGCTTCAGGATGGGGGCTGGCGGCAAAAGACCAAAGCAGGATTAGAGGGTTGGGACTTTTCTTCCCCACCCCCCAACCTCCCAGGAGGTGAGAGGAGCTGAAGATTAAGTTCAGGGACAGAAAAAGCTGCCCTTGAAAATTCAAGGCCTTGAAAATGCAGAATTAAGTTTGAATATGAAAGGGAATAATAGACCCAGTGCTTTGGGAGGCTGAAGCAGGAGGATCCTTTGAAACCAGGAGTTCAAGACCAGCCTGGGCAAGGTAGGGATGCCCTGTCTCTACAAAAAAAATAGAAAAATTAGCTGGGCATGGTGGCATATGCCTTTAATCCCAGCTACTTGAGAGGCTAAGGTGGGAGAATCATCTGAGCCCAGGGAGGTTGAGGCTGCAGTGAGCCATGATTGCACCATTGCACTCCAGCCTGGGTGACAGACCCAGCACTTTGGGAAGCCAAGGCGGGTAGAACGCAAGGTCAGGAGTTCAAGACCAGCCTGGCCAAGATGGTGAAACCCCATCTCTACTAAAAATACAAAAACTAGCCAGGCGTGGTGGCAGGCGCCTGTAATCCCAGCTACTTGGGAGGCTGAGGCAGAGAATTGCTTGAACCCGGGAGGCAGAGGTTGCAGTGAGCCAAGATCATGCTGCTGCACTCCAGCCTGGGTGACAGAGTGAGACTTCGTCTCAAAAAAAAAAAAAAAAGAATAGATTTCCTGTGACCAATTTCGATATTATTTATTTTTAGCCAAACTTATTGACCCAGAATGACCAGTTTAGATAAATCGTGGTCCTGGGATGGAACACAAAAAAGTGGAATTTTATTAGAAAAGGAGAAGGGGAGTGGCTATTGAATATTGATGTTGTGTTCAATATAGTGAGGGTTTTTTATTTTGTTTTTTGAGACAGGGTCTCAGGGTCTTGCTCTGTCTCCCAGGCTGGAGTGCAGTGCACTGGCATGATCATAACACTGTAGCCTTGAACTCTTCAGGCTCAAGTGACCTTCCCACCTCAGCCTCCTGAGTAGCCAGGACTACAGGCATGCACTGCCACACCTGGCTCATTTTTCAATTTTTTGTAGAGATGCGATCTCACTATGTTGACCCGGCTTGTCTCAAACTCCTGGGCTCAAGCAATCCTCCGACCTTAGCCTCCCAATGCACTGGGATTATAGGCAAAAGCCACTACACCTGGCCTGAACTTTTTTATTCTAAGGATTTGCAGAGTTTCTGTTTAAGCCATTATCTTCAAATAATGGTTTTAATTTCTTTTTAATCCTTATGTAAAATACCTTATTTCTTTCTTTCTTTCTTTTTTTTTTTTAGATGGAATTTCGCTCTTGTTGCCCAGGCTGGAGTGCAATAGCACGATCTTGGCTCACCACAACCTCCACCTCCCAGGTTCAAGCGATTCTCCTGCCTCAGCCTCCCGAGTAACTGGGATTACAGGTATGTGCCACCACGACCTGCTAATATTGTATTTTTAGTGTAGATGGGGTTTCTCCATGTTGGTCAGGCTGGTCGCGAACTCCCAACCTCAGGTGATCCATCCATCTTGGCCTCCCAAAGTGCTGGGATTACAGGCATGAGCCATCGTGCCCAGCCCTATTATTCTTTTTTAAAATTTTTTTAAAATTGAGATGGGATTTTGCCATGTTACCTAGGCTGGCCTCAAACTCCTGGGTTCAAGCAATCCTGCCACCTCTTTCTCCCGAAGTGTGGGATTACAGGTGTGAGCCAGCGTGCTTGGCTCTTTATTTTATTTTATTTTATTTTATTTTATTTTATTTTATTTTATTTTATTTTATTTTTTGAGAGAGAGTCTTGCTCTGTCACCCAGGCTGGAGTGCAGTGGTGTGATCTTGGCTCACTGCAACCTCCACCTCCCAGGTTCAGTGATTCTCCTGCCTCCCTCTCAAATACCTGGGATTACAGGTGCCCACCACCACGCCTGGCGAATTTTTGTAGTTTTAGTAGAGATGTGGTTTCATCATGTTGACCAGGCTGGTCTTGAACTGCTGACCTCAGGTGATCTGCCCACCTTTGCCTCCCAACATGCTGGGAGGGTGTGAGCCACGGTGCCCAGCCTTTTATTTTTTATTTTTTATTTTTAATCTGTCTTGATTTTGCTTCCTTCCTAAACAGTTTTGGCTTCGTGATCACGTAAACCAAGAGTCACAAACTGAAATGCCATCAAGGGGCCAAGCAGGTAACAAAATTCAAGTCATACAGGTTCAATGTCTTAGTCACCCCAGGCTACAACAGAATATCATAGACTGGGTAGCCTAATAATACAGATCATTTTCTCAGGGTTCTAGAGGCTAGAAAGTCCAAGATCGAGATTCCCAAAGGGTTAAGTTTCTGGTGTTGATGCAGGGCAGGTAAGCCACAAAACTGGGGCTTAGACTGAGAGGGTTCTTGGCTTCACCCAGGAAATAATTCAAGGGCAAACCGAAGGTGTTAGAGGCCAACTTTTTTTTGTTTCGGGACAGGGTCTCACTCTGTCACCCAGGCTGGAGTGCAGTGGCTCACTGCAGACTCTGCCTCCTGGGTTCAAGTGATTCTCCCGCCTCAACCTCCTGAGTAGCTGGGAGTGCAGGTGTGCGCCAAAACACCCAACTAATTTTTTTGTATTTTTAGTAGAGATGGGGTTTCACCATGTTGACCAGGCTGGTCTCAAACTCCTGGCCTCAAATGATCCACCCGCCTCAGCCTCCTAGAGTGCTGGGATTACAGGTATTACTCACTGCACCTGGCCTAGATGCCAACTTTTATTGAAGCAGTGGCCTATAGCAACAGCAGAGGGACTGCTCCTTGCAGAGCAGGGCTACCCTGTAGGTAGTGTGACCAGAGTAGCAGCTCAGGGCAGTTCTGCAGTCATATTTACATTGACCTTTAATTATATGCAAATTAAGGGGCAGACTATACAGACATTTCTAGAAAAAGGCTGATAACTTCTGGGTTGTCAAGTTGTTGCCATTGAAAGGGGTGGTAGGCTGAGCACAGTGGCTCATGCCTGTAATTCCAGCACTTTGGGAGGCCAAGGCAGGTGGATCATGAGGTCAAAAGTTCAAGACCAGCCTGGCCAAGATGGTGAAACACTGTCTCTACTAAAAATACGAAAATCAGTTTGGCGCTGTGGCAGGCGCCTGTAATCCCAGCTACTCCGGAGGCTGAGGCAGGAGAATTGCTTGAACCTGGGGGGTGGAGCTTGCAGGGAGCCAAGACTGTGCCACTGCACTCCAGCCTGGGCGACAGAGTGAGACTCCGTCTCAAAAAAAAAAAAAAAAAAAAAAGGCGGTGGGGTGGTAACTCTGGGTTCTGCCATGGAAATGGTGGTAAACTGACATGGCGCACTGGTGAGCGTGTCTTATGGAAAGCTGCTTTCATCCTGTCCCTGTTTCAGCTAGTCATCAATTTGGTCTGGTGTCCAAGCCCCATCTCTGGAGTCCAGTTCCACCTCCTACCTCAGCGTGGGCTTTATTACCTGGCTTGCCTTCTTGAAGTAGCTTCATGTGGCAGAGAGAAAGCTAGGGAGCTCTCTGGGTTCTCGTCTCATAAAGACACTAATTCTATTAGATCAGTGCCCAGCTTTATGACCTCATTTGACCTTAATTACTTCCCATAAATCCCCTTTTTTTTTTTTTTTGAGACAGAGTCTTACTCTGTCACCCTGGCTGGAGTGCAGTGGCATGCTCTCGACTCACTGCAACCTCTGCCTCCCAGGTTCAAGCAATTCTCCTTCCTCACCCTCCTGAGTAGCTGGGACGAGAGGTGCGCACCACCATGCCTGGCTAATTTTCGTTTATTTTTTTTTGAGATGGAGTCTTGCTCTGTCGCCCAGGCTGGAGTGCAGTGGTGTGATCTCGGCTCACTGCAACCTCTGTCTCCCGGGTTCAAGTGATTCTCCTGCCTCAGCCTCCCAAGTAGCTGGGACTACAGGCGTGTGCCACGACACCTGGCTAATTTTTTTTTTTTTTTTTGTATTTTTAGTAGAGATGGGGTTTCACTGTGTTAGCCAGGATGGTCTTGATCTCCTGACCTCGTGATCTGCCCGCCTCGGCCTCCCAAAGTGGTGAGATTACAGGTGTGAGCCACTGCACTCCGCCAAGTTTTTATATTTTTAGTAGAGATGTTTTTAGTAGAGATGGGGTTTCACCATATTGGCCAGGCTGGTCTTGAACACCTGACCTCAAATGGTCCACCCGCCTTGGCCTCCCAAAGTGCTGTGATTACAGGCTTGAGCCATCGCATCCAGCCCCACAGTTAATACTTAATGATGAAAGACTGTAAGTTTTTCTCCTAAGATCAGGAAGAAGACAAGGATATTCACTCTTGCCACCTCTATTCAACATTATACTTAAATTTCTAGCCAGGAAATTAGCAAGAAAAAGAAATAAAAGCCACACAAATTAGAAAGGAAGAAATAAAACCATATGTATTTGCATATGACATGATCTCGTATGTAGGAAATTCTAAGGAATCCACAAAACCGTTAGAACAAGTAAACAAATTCAGCAAAGTTGCAGGTGTAAGAGTGATATAAAAAAAATTGGCCTGGCGCAGTGGCTCATGCCTGTAATCCCAGCACTTTGGGAGGCCTAGGTGGGTAGATCATGAGGTCAGGAGTTCGAGACTAACCTGACCAACATGGTGAAAACCCATCTCTACTAAAAATACAAAAATTAGCTGGGGGTTGTGGCACGCACCTGTAATCACAGCTATTCGGGAGACTGAGGCAAGAGAATCGCTTGAACCCAGGAGGCAGAGGTTGCAGTGAGCCGAGATCACACCACTGCACTCCAGCCTGGGTAACAGAGCGAGACTGTCTCAAAAAAAAAAAAAAAGTAAATAAATAAATAAATTGTATTTCTATACAGTAACAATTAGCAAGCTGAAAATGAAACTAAGAAAATTCATTTACAATATCGTTTACAAACACACACTTAGGAATAAATTTGACCAAAGTGCTAGACCTTTTTCTTATTTATTTATCTTTTGGTTCCTAAAGTATCCACACCAAACACAAAATAAAGCAAAATCTTTTTTTTTTTTTTTTTTTTTTTTTTGAGACGGAGTCTCACTCTTTTGCCCAGGCCGGACTGCAGTGGCGCTATCTTGGCTCACTGCAAGCTCCGCCACCCGGGTTCACACCATTCTCCTGCCTCAGCCTCCCGAGTAGCTGGGACTACAGGAGCCTGCCACCGCGCCTGGCTAATTTTTTGTATTTTTAGTAGAAACGGGGTTTCACCGTGTTAGCCAGGATGGTCTCGATCTCCTGACCTGGTGATCTGCCTGCCTGGGCCTCCCAAAGTGCTGGGATTACAGGCATGAGCCACCGTGCCCGGCCACAAAATCTTAATAGTAATAAATTAATTTTGCAAAGTTGGAGGATACAAGATCAACGTACAAAAATCAGTTGTTTATTTATTTTTTAAGAGACAAGACCGCTCCTCTCTCCGGTCCGTGCCTCCAAGATGACAAAGAAAAGAAGGAACAATGGTCGTGCCAAAAAGGGCCGCGGCCACGTGCAGCCTATTCGCTGCACTAACTGTGCCCGATGCGTGCCCAAGGACAAGGCCATTAAGAAATTCGTCATTCGAAACATAGTGGAGGCCGCAGCAGTCAGGGACATTTCTGAAGTGAGCGTCTTCGATGCCTATGTGCTTCCCAAACTGTATGTGAAGCTACATTACTGTGTGAGTTGTGCAATTCACAGCAAAGTAGTCAGGAATCGATCTCGTGAAGCCCGCAAGGACCGAACACCCCCACCCCGATTTAGACCTGCGGGTGCTGCCCCAGGTCCCCCACCAAAGCCCATGTAAGGAGCTGAGTTCTTAAAGACTGAAGACAGGCTATTCTCTGGAGAAAAATAAAATGGAAATTGTACTTAAAAAAAAAAAAAAAAAAGAGACAAGACCGCACTATGTTGCCGAGGCTAGAATGCAGTGATCATTTAAAGGCACAATTATAATGCACTATAGCCTCAAACATGGCCGCAAGCAATCCTCCTGACTCAGCCTCCCAAGTAGCTGGTACTACAGGTGGTGCACCACTACACCTGGCTCAGTTGAATTTCTATACACCAGAAATGAACAATCCAAAAATGAAATTAATAAAACAATTCCATTTGTAATGGCACCAAAAAAAAACTTAGGAATAAATTTAACCAAGGAAGTGCAAACTACAAAACATTATTGAAAGAAATTAAACTTAAATACATGAAAAGACATTGTGTGTTCATGGATTGAAAGACTTACTACTCTTCACATAGCAATGCTTCCCAAATTGATCTACAGACTCAACACAATCTCTATCAAAATCCCAACTACCTTTTTTGCAAAAATGGACAAGCTGATTCTAAAATTCACATTAAATTGTAAGGAACTTCAAATAGACAAAACAATCTTGAAAAATAAGAACAAAATTGGAAGACTCACGCTTCTTGATTCAAAATCTAATTCAAAGTACCAGTAGTTGAGCCCCTGGGCACTGGCATAAGGACTGACATATAGATCAATGGAATAGAATTGAAAGTCCAGAAATGAGTGCCCACATTACGATCAACTGATTTTTTTTCTTTTTTGAGACAGGGTCTCACTCTGTCACCCAGGCTGGAGTGCAGTGATCAAGGCTCACTGCAGCCTCCGTCTCCCGATCCCCCTGCCTCAGCCTCCTAAGTCACTGGGACCACAGGTATGTGCCACCACGCCCAGCTAATCTTTTTTTTTTTTTTTTTGAGACAGAGTTTCGTTCTTGTTGCCCAGGCTGGAGTGCAATGGCGCAATCTCGGCTCACCACAACCTCCGCCTTCTGGGTTCAAGCGATTCTTCTGCCTCAGCCTCCCTAGTAGCTGGGATTACAGGCATGAGTCACCACACCAGACTAATTTTGTATTTTTAGCAGAAATGGGGTTTCTCCATGTTGGTCAGGCTGGTCTCGAACTTCTGACCTCAGGTGATCCACCTGCATTGGCCTCCCAAAGTGCTGGGATTACAGGCGTGAGCCACCATGTCTGGCTTGCCCAGCTAATCTTTTTAATTATTATTTTTAGAAATGGAGTGTGCCTATATTGCCCAGGCCGGTTTTGAACTTCTGGGGCTCAAATGGTCTTCTTGCCTTGGCCTCCCAAAATACTGGGATTACAGGTGTGAACCATGGTGCCCAGCCAAGGTCAACTGATTTTTAACAAATATGCCAAGACAATTCAATGAGAGAAAGTGTAGGAAAAAAAGTCTTTTCAAACAATGGTCCTGGGACAACTGGATACCCACACACAATAGAATGAAGTTGAACCCTCACCTCATATTATCTATAAAAATTAACTCAAAATATAACAAAGCCTTTGTTTATAAAACATTTGTTAGACTGAAAAGTAGAAAACTCTTTTTTTTGTTTTTAGATGGAGTCTTGCTCTGTTGCTCTGTTGCCAGGCTGGAGTGCAGTGGCATGATCTCAGCTCACTGCAACCTCCACCTCCTGGGTTCAAGCCATTCTCCTGCCTCAGCCTCTGGAGTAGCTGGGACTACAGGTGCGTGCCACCACGCCCAACTAATTTTTTTTTTTTTTTTTTTTTTGAGACCGAGTTTTGCTCTTGTTGCCCAGGCTGGAGTGCAATGGCACGATCTTGGCTCACCGCAACCTCTGCCTCCTGGGTTCAAGCGATTCTCCTGCCTCAGCTCCCAAGTAGCTGAGATTACAGGCATGCGCCACCATGCCCCGCTAATTTTTTTGTATTTTTAGTAGAGACGGGGTTTCTGCATGTTGATCAGGCTGGCCTCGAACTCCCGACCACAGGTGATCCACCCACCTTGGCCTCCCAAAGTGCTGGGATTACAGGCATGAGCCACCGTGCCCAGCCCAGTTTTTTGTATTTTTTTAATAGAGACGGTGTTTCACCATGTTGGCCTTAGAGGAAAACATAGACATACATCTTTATGACCTTTGGATTAGCAAGTTTTCTTAGATATGACACAAGTGTTTAACACAGAGCTCCCATATGACCCAGTAATTCCATTCCTAGGTATATATGCAAGAGAAACGAAACAGAAAAACTTAAAACACACACACATATGGCGAAACCCTATCTCTACTAAAAATACAAAAATTTTGCTGGTGTAGTGGCTCATGCATGTAATCCCAGCACTTTGGCAGGCTGAAGAAGGTGGATCATTTGAGGTCAGGAGTTTGAGATCAGCCTGGACAACATGGTGAAACCCCATCTCTACTAAAAAATACAAAAATTAGCTGGGTGTGGTGGCACACGCTTGTAATCCCAGCTACTTGGGAGGCTGAGGCAGGAGAATCTCTTGAACCCAGGAGGTGGAGCTTGCAGTGAGCCGAGATCACACCACTGCACTCCATCCTGGGCAACAGAGACTCTATCTCAAAAAAAAAAAAAAAAAAAAAGAAAGAAAAATTAGCCGGGCATGGTGACAGGTGCCTATAATCCCAGCTACTTGGGAGATTGAGGTGGGAGGATCAGCTGAACCTGGGAAGCAGAGGTTGCAGCCAGCCAGGATTGTGCCACTGCACTCCAGCCTGGGCAACAGAGTGAGACTCCGTCTCAAAAAATAAAAATAAAAATAATACACACACACATATACACATACACCTCTTTATTTCTTCAGTGAGACCTGAAGATATATATCCATAACATAAGAACAGGATGCTATAAAAAATGAACAATAAGAAAGCAAGAAAAACTATCATAAATTAGAAATATGATAGCCAAGGCTGGGTGCAGTGGCTCACACCTGTAATCTCAGCACCTTGGGAGGCTGAGGCGTGTGGATCACTTGAGGCCAGGAGTTTGAGACCAACCTGGCCAATATGGTGAAACCCCGTCTCTACTGAAAATACAAAAATAAGCTGGGCATGGTGGCCCACGCCTGCAATCCCAGCTACTCAGGAGGCTGAGGCAGGAGAATCACTTGAACCCAGGAGGCGGAGGTTGCAGTGAGCTGAGATCAAGCCACCGCATTCCAACCTGGGTGACAGAGTGAGAACCTGTCTCAAAAAAAAATAAATAAATAAAAGCCAAAATTAAAAATTCAATACAAAATTTGAAGGTTGAAGAAATCTCCTAGAGTGTAGTATTTAAATTCTTTTTCTTTTGAGACAAGGTCTTGCTCTGTCTCCCAAGCTGCTGTGCCGTGGCGCCATTCTAGCTTACTGCAAGCCTCAAACTCCTGGCCTCAAGCAAGTCTCATATCTCAACCTCTCAAAGTGCTGGATTATAGGCATGAGCCACTGCAGCTGGCCAGAATGTAGAATTTAAAAGGTGTTGAAAAATATAAAAAATAAGAAAATTGGAGGATTGAGGCTGGTTGAAGGCAGAGGCAGGAGAATAGCTTGAGCCCAGGAGCTTGAGTATAGCCTGGGAAACACAGAAAGCCCATCTCTATATTAAAAAAAAAAATTCTTTTTTTTTTTTTTTTTTTTTTTTTAAGAGAGAGTCTTGCTCTGTCACCCAGGCTGGAGTGCAGTGGTGCGATCTTGGCTCACTGCAACCTCCACCTTCCGGGCTCAAGCAATTCTTATGCCTCAGCCTCCCATGTAGCTGAGATTATAGGTGTGTGCCACCACACCCGGCTAATTTTTGTATTTTTAGTAGAGACAGGGTGGGGGAGTGTTGGGGGAGATGGGGCATGGCAGGGAGGGGATGGCGGGTTTTACCATGTTGGCCAGGCTGGTCTTGAGCTCCTGGCTTCAGGTGATCCTCCCACCTCAGCCTCTAAAAGTGGGATTACAGACATAAGCCACTGCGCCCAGCATTTTTTTTTTTTTTTTAGACAGTGTTGCTGTGTTGCCCAGGCTGGAGTGCAGTGGCACAATCTCGGCTCACTGCAACGTCTGCCTCCTGGGCTCCAGCGATTGTCGTGCCTCAGCCCCCCAGTAGCTGGGATTACAGGTGCACACCATCATGCCTGGCTAACTGTATTTTTAGTAGAGATGGGGTTTCACCATGTTGGCCAGGCTGCTCTCAAACTCCTGGCTTCAAGCAATCCACCTGCCTCAGCCTCCCACAGTGCTGGGATTACAGGCCTGAGCCACTGCACCAAGCCCCAGCTCCAGATTGTGAGTTTCAGAGCCAGGCTAGATAGGATTCAGACTCAGAACTGTGAGATTTCTGCTGCTCAGGCTGTTAACCAGTGACTCATGGTTTTTTTTTTTTTAGGCAGAGTTTTACTCTTGTTGCCCAGGCTGGAGTGCGATGGCTCGATCCCAGCTCATTGCAACCTCCGCCTCCCAGGTTCAAGTGATTCTCCTGCCTCAGCCTCCCAAGTAGCTGGGATTACAGGTGCCCGCCACCATGCCCAGCTAATTTTTGAATTTTTAGTAGAGACGGGGTTTCACCATGTTGGCCAGGCTGGTCTCGAGCTCCTGACTTCGTGATCTGCCCACCTCGGCCTCCCAAAGTGCTGGAATTACAAGCGTGAGCCACCGCGCCCTGCCTGACTTGTGGTCTTTTGAGATTATTTCTGATGTCCCATAGACATTTCAAAAGCAAAATGTCAAAAGCTACACTTGCCTCTCAAACCTTCATTCTCTCTGTGTGATAGGCACCCTCCTTCCCATCTTCCTTCGCTTCCATGGGTCACTCAAAGCTGAAGACCTGCAAGCCATCTCAGGATCCTGTCCTGTATCCCATCAACACTCATCACACCCTCTCAATTCTGGCTCCTAAATACCCCTTGGATTTGGCCTCTCCTCCCCGTTCCCCACTGGCATTGTTTTATTTCAGGTCTTTATGATTTCTTGCCTGGGTTTCTGCAGCAGCCTCCTAACTGCTCTCCCTGACTCCAGTCTTGCCCTCTCTGTTTCATTTTTCATATTGCACACAGGGTGATTTTTCTAAAATGTAAATGTGACCACATCTCTTGCAGGCTTAAAACCTCTCAAAGGTTCTTCACCTCCTCAAGGCTGCAGCACACACCTCCCAGCACAGCTCTGCAAGTTGACCCCGCCCTTCTTCTCCATCGGTGGTTCTCAGAGTGTAGCCCTAAGAGCAGCAGCACTCTGACCCGCTCCATCAAGATCTCTAGGCTTGGAGCTTGCGAGACTATGTAAACAAGGCCAGTTTTTTGTTCGTTTGTTTGTTTTTTGGAGACAGAGTCTCGCTGTGTCACCCAGGCTGGAGTGCAGTGGCTTGATCTTGGCTTACTCCATCTCCACCTCCCAGGTTGAAGTGATTCTCCCGCCTCAACCTCCTGAGCAGCTGGGACTATAGGTGTGCACCACCACACCCAGCTAATTTTTGCATTTTTAGTAGAAATGGGGTTTCAGGCCGGGCGCGGTGGCTCACGCCTGTAATCCTAGCACTTTGGGAGGCCAAGGCGGACGGATCACGAGGTCAGGAGATCGAGACCATCCTGGCTAACATGGTGAAACCCCGTCTCTACTAAAAATACAAAAAATTTAGCCGGGCATGGTAGCGGGTGCCTGTAGTCCCAGCTACTCGGGAGGCTGAGGTAGGAGAATGGCGTGAACCCAGGAGGCGGAGCTTGCAGTGAGCCGAGATCACGCCACTGCACTCCAGCCTGGACGACAGCGAGACTCTGTCTCAAAAAAAAAAAAAAAAAAAAAAAAAAAAAGAAAGAAAAAGAAAAAAAAAAGAAATGGGGTTTCACCACATTGGCCAGGCTAGTTTCGAACTCCTGACCTCAAGCGATCCACCCGCCTTGACCTCCCAAAGTGCTTGGATTACCGGTGTGAGTCACTGTGCCCAGCCAACAAGGCCAGTTTTTATGCACATTTAAGTTTGAGAACCACATTGCAGTTAATCTCATCTGGTTTCCTTTCTTGAACTCCATGCTTTAGCCTCATTGAACCATCAGTTTCTGGAAAATGGTATATTATCCCTCACCTTCTATAATTTGCACATGCTATTCTCTGCCCTTATCCCATGGCAATGGCTTTGTCTGCTTTTATCCATATTCCCCACCTCTGTGGAAACTGGAAGGCAGGGTCACCACCTTATTCATCTTTACATCTTTAGGGTCTTGGACCTGACATACAGTAGGTGCTCAATAACTATTTTATTTCTCTCTCTCTCTCTTTTTTTTTTAGAGAAGGGGTCTCACTCTGTCACCTAGGCTGGAGTGCAGTGGCTCAATCATGGCTCACCTCCCCCTCAACCTCCTGGGCTCAAGCAATCCTCCTGCCTCAGCCTCCCAAGTAGCTGAGACTACAGGCACTCACCACCATGGCCAGCTAATTTTTAATTTTTTTGTAGAGATGGGGGTCTTGTTATGTTGCCCTGGCTGGTCTCCAAATATTGGCCTTAAGTGATCCTTCCACCTCAGCCTCCCAAAAGCGCCACTGCACTACAGCCTGGGCGACAGAGTAAGATTCCATCTCAAAAAATAAAAATAAAGATAATACACACACACATATACACATACACCTCTTTATTTCTTCAGCGAGACCTGAAGATATATATGCATAATATAAGAACAGGATGCTATAAAAAATGAACAATAAGAAAACAAGGAAAACTATTATAAATTAGAAATATGATAACCAAGGCTGGGTGCGGTGGCTCACGCCTGTAATCTATTACAGGCGTGAGCCAGTGAGCCTGGCCATTCAATAACTATTTTCTTAATGAACATTGAGGGTGAGATGAGCAGAAACGTAACTGCTAAAAGCAGGCAACATTCAGCTACCAGGATTTATGAGGGAGAACACAGTAAACTGTGCTATTACTTAGGAATACCTAGAGTCAATGTACATTTATTTTCATTTTACTCTAGCCCCACTGGTGATCTCTGCCCAGTAATCTAACTAAATTGATGACAGTGGGAATAAAAGGAAATCATAGATATGTATTATTGTAAAGGAAAAGAAATGCAAATGAATGGGTACAGGGACAGTCTATACAATTGAAGATCTCATCTCTTCATATATATATATATATTTTTTTTTCTTTTTTTTTTCAAGACAGGATCTTAGCACCTACTATTTGCAAGACTCCCCCTATGTTAACCTTTACAGCAACTCTCGGATGGATGTTTTATTATTGAGAGAACTGAGAGACAGAGGTCATTAAATATTTGTCCAAGATCCTACAGCTGCAACATGGTAAATCCACTGCTATTGGAACTTCCTGTTAAGTGAGTTCCATGGCCCCAAACTGCATTCCCACCCATGTTGCTCACAGATTGGTCACAATGTGGCTCACAGTCATAGGCACAGGTGAATGGAACAACCATTATTTTCGATAATGATTCTGGGGTATCATCTTTGACTCAAAAACGCAAACTGTTATTATTATCTATGCAGTCTACAGCCCTCTGCTCTACCAGCTGAGCTATCGAAGAGTGCACAAGCTGTTATTATATCACAAGATTTTTTTTTTCAGACAGGGTCTTATTCTGCGGCCCAGGCTGAAGTGAAGTGGCTCGATGGTAGCTCACTGCAGCCTTGAACTCCTGGGGTCAAGCGATCCTCCTACCTCAGCCTCCCAAGTAGCCGAAACTACAGGCAGGCACCACTATGCCTGGCTGACTTTTGTATTTTTTGTAGAGACGGGGTTTCGCCATGTTGCCAGGCTAATCTGCAACTCCTGGGCTCAAGCAGTCTGCCCACTTCACCCTCCCAAAGTGCTGGGATTTCAGGCTAGAGCCACCATGCCCAGCCCACAAGATCTAAACGCTACTGTTGAAGCAAAAAGACTTGAAGACAGAATTTGCCCTCCTAATATAAGCCCATGGTAACCTGAACCTCCTTCACCCTAACTCTCATCACAGTGTATTGTGATTACTTATTGAGGATGAAATTTGATTTTCCTTTTTGATGTACTTCTCCAACACAGTACCTGGTATGTGGAAGGCACTCAAACTAGGGCCAACCTGGTGCCAGCTAACCTGGGACTAGTGCAAGCTCCTGAAATTCACCTGGTCAAGGGACACATGTTCACAGGATCTCCTGGGGTTGTGTCACCAAAAAAAAAAAAAAAAAAATTTCACCTGGTGTCTCTAGTCACCATGATTTTCTCTAAAATGCCACACAGAATTCTATGTATGGAATTTTTTTCTTTTCTTTTTTCTTTTTCTTTCTTTTTTTTTTTTTTGAGACAGTCTGTCGCCAGTCTGGAGTGCAGTGGCGTGATCTCGGCTCACTGCAGTCTCCTCCTCCCGGGTTCAAGCGGTTCTCCTGCCTCAGCCTCCCGAGTAGCTAGGACTACAGGTCCGTGCCACCACGCCCAGCTAATTTTTGTATTTTTAGTGGAGATGGGGTTTCACCATGTTGGCAAGGATGGTCTAGATCTCTTGACCTTGTGATCTGCCCGCCTCAGCCTCCCAAAGTGCTGGGATTACAGGCGTGAGCCACCGCGCCCGGCCAAAATTTTTTAAAAATAAGGAAAGTTCAAGTTTACTTTAGATACCATAGTTCAGGATTTAAACTCCTGTCCTTACTTTGGAATGTCATTTTAGATACTTATGTGATTGACTGAGGAAAAAGACATTGTAACTGATCTTATCCCCTTTTAAAAAAAAAACCAGCTAACAATTATTCATTTAGTCTTCTGTACATTGTGTGAAATAAAATATAGAAGACTAGGGGACAGTTTCTGCCCTCAAGGAGCTTATGTGGTTTTTTTCGTGCGTTTTTTTGTTGTTGTTGTTTTTGTTTGTTTGTTTGTTTTTTGACATGTTCTTACACTGTCACCCAGGCTGAAATGCAGTGGTGAGATCTCGGCTGACTGCAACCTCTGCCTCCCAGGCTCAAGCGACCCTCACCTCAGTCTCCTGAGTAGCTGGGACTACAGGCATGCACCATCATGCCCAGCTAATTTTTGTGTGTGTGTTTTTGTAGAGACGAGGTCTCGCCCTGTTGCCCAGGCTGGTCTCGAACTCCTGGCTTCAAGTGATTCACCTGCCTCAGCCTCTCAAAGTGCTGCGATTACAGTCATGAGCCGCCTCACCCCGCCAGTCAGGCTCTTAAAAAATCCATCACACAGGCCGGGCGCCATGGCTCATGCCTGTAATCCCAGCACTTGGGAGGCCAAGTCGGGCGGATCACGAGGTCAGGAGATTGAGACCATCCTGGCTAACACGGTGAAACCCCGTATCTACTAAAAATAACAAAAAATTAGTCGGGCATGCTGGCGGACGCCTGTAGTCCCAGCTACTCAGGAGGCTGAGACAGGAGAATGGCGTGAACCCGGAAGGCGGAGCTTGCAGTGAGCTGAGATAGTGCCACTGCACTCCAGCCTGGGAGACAGAGCGAGACTGTGTCTCAAAAAAAAGAGAAAAGAAAAAAAATCCATCATATGTATTCACTAATTTAATCTTCACAACAACTCTAAAGGGTAGGAACTATTTTTTTTGCCCCATTTTACAGATATGAAATGAGAGGCTGTGTTGAAGGTGTTTTCTGGGGTTGATTTAAATAGAATTAATAAACTCAGAAAAAAGATTCTTAATCGATAAAGGTGGTTTTTTTTTTTTTTTTTTTTGGTTTTTTTTTTTTTTTTTTGAGTCGGAGTCTCACTCTGTCATCCAGGCTGGAGTGCAGTGGCGTGATATCGGCTCACTGGAACCTCTGACTCCCTGGTTCAAGCAATTCTCCTGCCTCAGCCTCCCGAGTAGCTGGGATTACAGGCATGCGCCACCATGCCCGTGGTTTCACCATGTTGGCCAGGATGGTCTTGATCTCCTGACCTTGTGATCCGCCCACCTTGGCCTCCCAAAATGCTGGGATTACAGGCGTGAGCCACCGTGCCCGGCCTTGGCTTTCATTCTTATTGTCCCATGGTTACCAGAGCCTAAAGAGGTAAAGAGGTAAGACCTATGAGGCTCTCACAGTTTTTTTTTTTTTTTTTTTTTTTTGAAACAGGGTCTCGCTCTGTCGCCCAGGCTGGAGTGCAGTGGCGCGATCTTGGCTCACTGCAGCCTCCGCCTCCCGGTTCAAGCAATTCTCCCACCTCAGCCTTTCCAGTAGCTGGGATTACAGAGGCGCGCCACCACGCTTGGCTAATTTTTTTTTTGCATTTCTATTAGAGATCGGGTTTCACCATGCTGCGCAGGCTGGTCTCGAACTCCTGACCTCAGGTGATCCACCCACCTTGGCCTCCCAAAGTGCTGGGATTACAGGTGTGAGCCACCGTGCCCGGCCTCTCTCATAGTTTTATTATTCTATTTTCCACAGACCCTTCCTCCCTTAATTTTCATGCCTCTTTAATATTGTTTCTTTTACCTCACTGACATTCTTTTTCGTCCTCCTACCTTTTACTGTGGGTGTCTTATTACCCTTCTTTGGGAGTTTATCCTTTAGCATGTCATAGATCACTATCTTTAGGCAGAGGACCCTGCATCTTCTCTAGTCCTGATTGTCTACCCTTTCTCAAGTTCCATAACTTCAGTTGCCTCTGGGACACCTTCACTGGGTTTTACAAAACCCTGTTACCGGGAACTGAACATATTAAAAGCTAAGATTCCTCCCCAAATCTGCATGTTGCGCCAATTTTCCTGCCCAATTATCTTGTCTGTCCCCTGGTTTTGCGACCTTATTTAAACATTTAAATCCTTTTCTTTAAATTGGAATCTTGATGAGTGGTGCAAAAATCAATGGATACAAATGATATGCCGAGATATGTAAGTCTTCCGCCCACTGGTTCCCTAGGCACTCAGTTCCTCTCCCAGGAGGTAACCACTGTTGCCAGCTCTTAGAGTGATTTTTGATTCCTTCTTCTACCGGCTCTATCTCAAGTCCTTCCCTGTCTGTGAGATGTGTGCCCTTTCCTTTCCAGGCCCTAGTGAACTGATATCTGGTTGAGTTTATATATAAACATTTATATGTGTATATTTTATATACATATATAACATCTCTCCCTATGGCCTTCCGGCCTGGAGTTTTCATCACGTCGCTTCCTGGATGAAAGAATCTCGAGGGGTGAGGGGCAGGGGTTGGGGGTGATGGAGAAGAGAACCTAAAGGGGACTTAGGTAGGGGGTTCAGAGTTGCCAACTGGCGTGACGCTCTGTCAGGATTCCTATTCCTATTCCTCCCACCTCAGGCCCCCTTCTAGTCCTCTCAGCCAAAAGCCTCTCGTTTCCAAGGGCTGAGACAGAGACAGAGACAACGAGATGCACAGAGACAGAGACGCCAAGGCACCTGCATCCCTCTTCCCCTTCTGTCCCGCCCCATCGCTCTGACGGACACCATTGCTCAGCCAATGGCGCTCACGATGTGCCCCTGAAGGGCCAATGAGCGCCAGAGGAGGGCGGAAGATTCCCCGCCCCCACTTCTAGGCTTGGTTGAACCGTGCAGGTAGGTCCGGGGCTGGGGGAGCTGCCTTTGGCACTGGTGCCCCTGGGGGTGGGGGCACGAGTGGGCCAGGGTGATGGTGAGGTAGAGGAGGTGTCCCTGACCCGACGAGCTCGAGGGAGCGGCCTGGCTGGGAGGCGGGGGGCCGCGGGGCCCGGGGAGCGGGCGCCGCCGAGGGCCCTGGAAGCGGCGGGGCTGGGGGAGAGGGGACGCGTGTGTGGGGCACGGGGACGCCCGCCCAGCGCCCACTCGTAGGCCTGGGACGCGGGCTGCCGGCCGAGTGGCCTGAGGGCCTGGCTGCCCGGGGGGCGGGCCGGGGCCGCGGCCGGGGGCGCGGAGCGGAGCTCGGGGCGCCAGGCCGAGCCGAGGTGGGACGGACCGACGCGGAGAGGAAGGGAAGCCGCATCCCGCGGGGCGCCCCTCCTGAAGCGAGCCGGGCAGCGGCCGCGGGCGCCCCTGCCCTGAGCCCACCCCGCGCTCTGCCCTCCCTAACAATGGGAATGGGGCAGAAGGAGGCGCCCCACTGCGGGGAGGTGAGGGGTGGGTTTGGGACTGGGGTCCGCGGTGGGGGGAGGTGCGATCTCGGGCTCTCGCCTCTCCGCTCCCTCTGGCTCTGGAGTTGGGGGCCCCTGTGGGGCTCTGAAGTCCGCCTGAGACTTGGGTCAAGAGTCAAACTGTCGCCCCCCGCTCCTCCCCCAAAATCCGGTGAGCGGTAAGGAAAGTGATGCCAAGTCTTCGAAGCCTCAGTGACAAACGCATAGCAAGAACACATCCACTCCAGAGGTGTTTATTTTTTATTTTTATTTAAAAAGGGGTACTTTTCGACATTTATTTTTAAGAAGTGGGTGCTGTTATTTTTGTCCCTACGCGGGCAAGCCTCCATTTTAAGCGAAGCAGTAACTGGTTAAGCTGGAATTGTATACAGGCCCAGGACTTGAACGAGGATCCTACCAGAGGTCATTTAGTCCATCCTCCTGCCTCCAGGCAAATTTACCTTCCTCCCACCCTCAAAATTAAGTTGCTCGGTCTGCTTTTAACGATCTCTGGGGAAGAAGGGTCCTTTATTTGTTTCTAGTACTTCAGTCAAGAATAGGTTTTACTTTTCATGTGGAATTGACTCTGAAACTTAAGCATAATCTTGGGACAGTCGGGATGATTAGAGAAGTTTTACTTTACTAAATATAATTAAATGTGGCAAGGGTCTTTTTTAGACGGTTAATTAACAAATCACGTTTAGTGTTTATGAAGTACCCTGGAAAATTACTTTATTCTCTCTGGGATTTTGGCTAATTGTTTGATAAGCAATTTTACATTATCTAAAATACGTGTTACATATTTATTTCTCTTTTTATGTAAAGTATGTTTCTACACACATATATATGGAGACACACATTTGCCCTTTTCTAAAGGGGACTGTATTTTCTATACTTTTTTAGTGCGATGAGGCAAATAGTACTTCAAAATCCCTGCCCAGGTAGCTTAAACTATTTGCATTGTCTTGATTATTTTTTAGTCTAAATGAAAATCCTCTCTTTCAGATACCTTCTCGAAACAAAAGATTTTCCTACCTGCTTATACTTGGTAACCGAGGGAATTTCTAAGACTTCTTGCTCATTTCTGAGTATTGTCTTTATATCCTGACACTATGAATGCTACTTGGATGCCTCTTAAGGTAAGATGTGTTATTTTTTCATTACCAGCCTCATTTTATTCATTTTTCTTTAGAATTGGGAATATTGTAGTTTTTGAATTTGCTATTCTTCACTTCCTTTACCTGCCATTTCTCTTGCCTCTTGTGTTTGCTTCCTAGGATTGATTGGCTATATCTTACTTTGTATCTCTACTGTTCTTTGATTATCGGTGTGAATGTTTTAATGAAGTTCTCAAATTAACTTCCATTATAATGAAAGGCAGTGATCTTTTTAACTTTAAATTATGGCAACTTACATAGTTGTAAAATTATGTTCCGGTCTTAGGATGGGTTGGCAATTCAAACATCTAGGTCCACTTTTCAAACAGGTACTTTAGAGTCATAGGTACTAGGGTGTGTCCCACTCTTGCAAATCAGTAGCTGATTCACGTGTTACAAAAGATGTGTCATTAACCATTTGTTTACTCTGAAACTTCATATAGTATATTAGGGCATTCTAAGACCTGCTGGTTTACACGTATGACTCTTTCAGAGTCCTCCTGCTGCACCCCAGTCCTTTGTGTGACATTTCATACTATTTTTCTCAGCAGGTAGCACTTACACCAAGTTTTATTTCACAGGGTAAACCTCATTTGGACAGTGTGGACAGATGACCTTTAGATGAAAAAGCTCCCATTGATGTGGTTCTCCAGTCTCTTTGGCTCCTCTAATCTCTTGTACATAGATGGCCAAAGAACTCTCCATTAGGACTAAGCAAAGGGCAGAGCTTAAGACTTAAGTAGGTGGCTTCTTTGATTTTCTTGTGACTAAAAATACATTAAAAAATAAAATTAAATAAAAACAAACAGAAAAGACGTAAGGAGGGGATGGGAGGAAGGACAGAGAAGGATAAGGAGTCTTGGAAACCCTCCACCAGCTTCGCCTTTCTTCAGAGTTGGATACTAGCTTAGTTAAGATTGTTGGGTGCTAATCTGCTCTGTGGACTTCCAGATTGATGCAGAGGAGAAATCAGACAATAGTGCAGTGTGTGTAACCTATATATCTGGACTTGTGGGAAATCTTAGGTCATGTAGGCTGAGTTCTCATCTTCATTTATGTTTCAGCTGCTATTGCTGGATAAGAGTGCTTATATTAATATACAGGAAGCCAAAGTGACACAGTTTTTCCAGCATTCTCCCTGTAGAGTTGGAGGGGTTGCATGGGGAATGCAACCAGAAGTTCTGAACCCGTTAAGAATCAGAGGACCTGTGTAAGAGTGTTTCGACTTAGCAAGTGTTGAGCACCAGTGTTGGTGGCCTCTGTCCTCTTTAGGAAGCAGGCAAGGGGATTGAGATCAATACATTGGATTTCATTTTATAGTTTCCTAGGTTTTAACGAATGTATTTGGTACACAAAGCCCTACTTTTAAAGCTATTTCCAGTGTTTAAGGTTTTACCTCTAAATCTCTCTGAACCTGGGTTGTAATACAGTAACCTCAGAAGTTCTACTAGAGGTCTCTGGCATGGCAGGAATAGAGAAAGGAAATCAGCTCCATATCGTGAGTTACCACCTGTTACTACTTAAGAATGCAGTTAGGTGGTTGCCTTAATATTATGTTCCTTACCAATCCTTTGCTCAGTGGGAAACATCTTCTAAGTGTAAACCAATTTTTGGGGGTAATGTTTTCTTCCTATTTTTATTACTTAGAAACCTTAAAAATTACAGTGTTCGTCTGGTCAGAAAAAAAGGTCCTTTTTGCGGGGAGGATAGCATTGAGTTTGTGGGCTGGAAAATAGAAGTGGGGAGAGGGAACTTTATTCTCTTTTTCATTGGTGAATATCCTTAAAACATTTCTAAGATGTAGTTTCAGATTGGAGCTACTTAATTTAAGTAAAAAGAAATGATAGGTTAATTAAAGTGCATATTTTGGAGCCCAAATGTTTATTTTATATAGATCTTATATTTTGTTTCCAATTATCTTATTGTAGAATGAACTCTGTCGTTCTGTCAGGCATTGCGTAAATGTTAGACTGAGTATGTGCTTGTTTCCATGCGTATAGAAAATAGCGTCACACTCACTCAGTCTTCACAAATGAAAATGCCAGAGGAGGCAAGTAACAAGGAAGAATAACTCCAAACCAAAACTCCTCAATTTAAGGCACTCTCGTTAATTAGAAGTTCTCATGGAAATTATTATTTATCCCTTTTTCTCTGTGTTAGGGGTCTGTACCTTTTTAAAGCCTGAATATTTCTAGCCACGACTAAGCAATGTCAGTGATGTTACTAGGGTCTAGTTGTCAGGGTTAGGGCTAAGGAGTGGGTGAGATGGGAGAGGAATAGGGAAAGGAAGGAGAATTGAGTGAGTTGGAGAAAAGAGTGAAATGAAGATGAGGAGGAGAGAAAAGATACAGGGTCTTTAGTGTGTAGCATGGAGCCATCATCAGTTGTCTCAGGTAGTTCTTAGGGCTGCTGGATGCCTTGTGTGCTAGACTGAACTATGGTGAAATGAAGTAAAAACTGTTCTTGACAAGCAAAACGAGAGAATTAAAACATAATTTAATATGATATAGAAAGATCTGCAAGGCAGACAGTTAAGTGATGAAAGCAAGATGCAGAACAGTATGTATGATTTGATACCCTTTGTGTTTTTTGGGAAAAAAAAACAGGAGAAAAAGATAATTTGCATTGGTGTATGTATGCAAAAAAACAAAAAAGATATTTAGGGCTGGGCATGGTGGCTCACACGTGTAATCCCAGCACTTTGGGAGGCCAAGGTGGGTGGATTACCTGAGGTCAGGAGTTTGAGACCAGCCTGGCCAATATGGTGAAACCCCGTCTCTACTGAAAATATAAAAACTAGCTGGGGCGTGGTGGCACACACCTGTAATCCCAGCTACTCGGGAGGCTGAGGCAGGAGAATTGCTTGAGCCTGGGAGACGGAGCTTGCAGTGAGCTGAGATCACGCCACTGTACTCCAGCCTGGCTGACCAAGCGAGACTCTGTCTCAAACAACAGCAACAACACAAAACTTTAGAAAAATAAATAAGAAAATGGTGGCACTGGTTACCTGTTAGGTCTAGGAATTGTTCAGGTAGAGGACAGAGTAGGGAGGAGACTTCTCATTGCATTATATCTTTTTACACTTTCTGATGTTTGTATCAGATTTTAAAAATTAAATAGAAAATTGAAAATTTTAGCTGGGCGCAGTGGCTCACGCCTGTAATCCCAGCACTTTGGGAGGCCGAGGAGGGCGGATCATGAGGCAACATGGCAAAACCCCATCTCTACTAAAAATACAAAAGAAAATTAGCCAGGCATGGTGGTGTGCACCTGTACTTGCAGCTACTTGAGAGGCTGAGGTGGGAGGATGGCTCGAGCCTGGGAGGTGGAGGTTGCAGTGAACTGTGATTGCGCCCCTGCAGTCCAGCCTGGGTGATAGAGCCAGACCTTGTCTCTTGTCTCATTAAAGAAAAAAAAAAATTAACTTGTTCTTAAAGTTTTAGTAAAAACAGGTTTTCATTGTATATCCCCTTAAGTTAGCAATTAGATATAATCTCAGCATTCTTCTTCTTTTTTTTTTTTTTTTATGAAACAGAGTCTCGCTTTGTTGTCCAGGTGATCTTGGCTCACTGCAACCTCCACTTCCTGGGTTCAAGTGATTCTCCTGCCTCAGCCTCCCGAGTAGCTGGGATTACAGGCGCCTGTCACCATGGCCAGCTAATTTTTTTTTTATTTTTAGAGAGATGGGGTTTCACCAGCTTGGCCAGGCTGGTCTTAAACTCCTGACCTCAGGTGATCCACCCGCCTCGGCCTCCCAAAGTGCTGGGATTACAAGCATGAGCCACCGTGCCCGGCCTAATCTCAGCACTCTTAACCGTGTGACTTTGGGCGATTTCTTAATCTCTTAATTTCTTAATCTCTCTGAGATTCAGGTTCCTCCTTCATACTGGAAATAATAACACTTACTTCAGAGGACTTTTGTATTATATCTGTAAAGGACATAGGGCAGTGTTTGGCTCAGTGGACTACTACTTATCGTAATTACTAATTTTTTTTTTTTTTGAGATGGAGTCTTGCTGTGTCGCCCAGGCTGGAGTTCAGTGGCACGATCTCGGCTCACTGCAACCTGCGTCTCCTGAGTTCAAGCAATTCTCCTGCCTCAGCCTCTCAAGTAGCTGGGATTACAGGCACATGCCAGCATGCCCGGCTTGTTTTTCTATTTTTAGTAGAGACGGGGTTTCACTATGTTGGCCAGGCTGGTCTCAAACTCCTGGCCTCAAGTGATCCACCCGCCGTGGCCTCCCAAAGTGCTGGGATTACAGGCGTGAGCCACCACGCTAGCTCTTATTGTAATTACTGTTAATAATAGCTCCTCATAGCCTAGTGGTGAGAGAGAGGGCTCTGGCTATGTGATATTGGGTAAGCTCATTAACCTCTTAGAACCTCGGCATCCACACCGTAAAAAGGGTGTAATGATAGTACCTAGATCCTAGAGTGGACTTTATAAGGATTAAATGAGTTTATTCACGCAGAGTGTTTAGAACAGTACCTGGTAGGTACTTAGTAAACCTGAGCTGCGAATTTTCTTATGACATCTGTTTGCTAAGGCTGCTGCCACAGAGTGACATATGCTGAGTGGCTTAAATAACAGAAATTTATTGTCTCCCTGTTCTGGAGGCTAGAAATCTAAGGGCAGAGGCATGCTTTCTCTGAAGCTACTGGGACAGGATCTGTTTCAAGCCTCTCTTCTAGCTTCTGGTGGCAGCATAACTCCAGTCCTTATGTAGAGTTCTCCCTGTGTATATTTCTTTTGTTTTTTTAGACAAAGTCTTGCTCTGTTGCCCAGGCTGGAGTGCAGTGGCATAATATTGGTTCACTGCAACCTCTGCCTCTCAGGTTCAGGTGATTCTCCTTCCTTAGCCTCCTAAGTAGCTGGGATTACAGTCACGTGTCACCATGCCCAGGTAATTTTTTGTATTTTTTGTAGAAACAGGGTTTCACCATGTTGCCCAGGCCGGTCTTGAACTCCTGACCTCAGGTGATCTGCCTGCCTTGGCCTCCCAAAGTGCTGGGATTACAGGCATGAGCCACAGCACCCAGCCTAAATTTTGTATTTTTTGTAGAGGCAGGGCTGCACCTTGTTGCCCAGGCTGGTCTCAAACTCCTGACCTTAAGTGATCTGCCCACCTCAGCCTCCCAAAGTGCTGGGATTACAGGCGTGAGCCACTGCGCCCAGCCTCCCTGTGTGTATTTCTTTGTGTCCACAATTTCCCCTTTTTTATAAGGACAAGTCATAATGGGATTAGAGTCCTCCCTGATGACCTCATTTTAACTTTATGACCTCTTTGGAGATCTTATCTCTTTCTTTTTTTTCAGAGTCTCTCTTTGTTGCCCAGGCTGGAGTACAGTGGGGTGATCTCAGCTCACTGCAACCTCCTCCTCCTAGGTTCAAGTGATTCTTCTGCCTTAGCCTTCCAAGTAGCTGGAGTTACAGGTGCTCGCCACCATGCCTAGCTAATTTTTACATTTTTGGTAGAGATGGGGTTTCTCCACATTGGCCAGGCTGGTCTCGAACTCCTGACCTCAAGTGGTCCACCCACCTCGGCCTCTTAAAGTGCTGAGATTGCAGGCGTGAGCCACCGCACCTGGTCTGAAGATCCCATCTCTAAGATCACATTCTGAGGTACTGAATGTTAGGAGTACTACATATCTCTTTTTTTTTTTTTTTTGAGACAGGGTCTCCCTTTGTCATTCAGGCTGGAGTGCAGTGGCACTTGGATCACTGCAACCTCCAGCCCCCCATCCTCCCGTATACTCTAAATCAGTGGTCCCCAACCTTTTTGGCACCAGGGACTAGTTTCGTGAAATATAATTTTTCCACAGAGCCGGGGGCCGGAGAGGGGGATCAGGGATAGTTTTGGGATGATTCAGCACATTGCATTTACTGTGCACTTTATTTCTATTATTATTACGTTATAATATATAATGAAGTAATTATACAAACTCACTGTAATGTAGAATCAGTGGGAGCCTGAGCTTGTTTTGCTGCAACTAGATGGTTCCATCTGGGGGTGATGGGAGACAGTGACAGATCATCAGGCATTAGATTCTCATAGGAGCACGCAGTGTAGATCCCTCACGTGCAGTTCACAATAGGGTTCACCCTCCTATGAGAATCTAATGCTGCAGCTGATCTGACAGGAGGTGGAGCTCAGTTGGTAATGTGAGCCATGGGAATGGGACGCGGCTGTAAATACCGATGAGGCTTCTCTCACTCACCTGCTGCTCACCTCCTGCTGTGCAGCCCCATTCCTAACAGGCCCAGTTCTTAAGAGTACTGGTCTGTGCCCCAAGGGTTGGGGACCCCTGCTTTAAATCACCTCTAGATTAGTTATAATGCTGAATACAACATAAATGCTGTATAAATAGTTGTGAAACGCTATTGTTCATGGAATAATGACAAGAAAAAAGTCTGTACATGTTCAGCACAGATGTAGTTTTTTTTTTTTTCCTGAATAATTTCTATCTGTGGTTGGTTGAATCCATGGATATGGAACCCATGGATGTGGAGGGCCAATTCTATAGTAACAAGTCACTGTCTCATTCCTGTCCCTTAACCATTCGGTTCCCCTCGCATAGACAACTTTTTTTTTTTTTTTTGAGACAGAGTTTTGCTCTTGTTGCCCAGGCTGGAGTGCAATGGCTCGATCTCGGCTCACTGTGACCCCTGCCTCCTGGGTTCAAGCGATTCTCCTGCCTCAGCCTCCTGAGTAGCTGGGACTACAGGTGTGTGCTACCATGCCCAGCTCATTTTTGTATTTTTACTAGAGATGGGGTTTCACCATGTTGGCCAGGCTGGTCTCAAACTCCTGACCTCAGGTGATTTGCCCACTTCGGCCTCCCAAAGTTCTGGGATTATAGGCATGAGCCACCATGCCTGGCTGACAAACATTTTTATTTCTTATATATCTGTCCAGACATATTTTATGTATATACTGGCAGCTCTATATACATATATTCCCATTAAAAAACACATTAGTAGTATACTATTCATGTGTAAATATACTTTTTTTTTTTTGAGATGGAGTTTCACTCTTGTTGCCCAGGCTGGAGTGCAATGGTGCGATCTCGGCTCACTGCAACCTCTGCCTCCCAGGTTCAAGCGATTCTCCTGCTTCAGCCTCCCGAGTAGCTGGGATTACAGGCGTGTGCCACCACGCCCAGCTAATTTTGTATTTTTAGTAGAGATGGGGTTTCTCCATGTTGGTCAGGCTGGTCTTGAACTCCCGACCTCAGGTGATCCACCCGCCTCGGCCTCCCAAAGTGCTGGGATTACAGGCATGAGCCACTGCGCCCGGCTGTAAATATGCTTTTTGTAGGTTCTCTTAGTTCAGATGTAGGACCAGTCTGATGTTAGGTTCTTAGGTAAGGACCTATATAAAGATAGTATAAAATGGTACCTAATATTACAAAGCTTTTTTAGGAATGGCAAAGGGATAATATGGCAGCTTCCTCCCTGTCAGTTCTGCATTGGTGACTAAGGATCTCAAATTTCTGGATAATCTGGCTTGCTTAGTTACGACGAGAGACCAGAACTTGCTGATAGCATATGAAATCTTCGGGGGAGTTTTGAATGTTTTTCATTTTTTAATCTGATATGATGTAGCAGACATGACATTGACTCACATGCAAGCCCCAAACATGCCGAAGCTGCGGGAGCTCTCTATCAGCCATAGTAGGCTGCTCTGTTGCCGTTGGTTCAGGCAGCTGTTGAGTGGGCCTGGGAGGCACGGAGGGAAAGGGAAGAGGGCCGGCACTGGTTTACTCTCCTAGACATAGTCGTGAAATCTCATGGTCAAAGGAAACCAAGAAGTCATCTTATCCTGCTACTATTTTCCTTCCAGGGTCTCTTCTGCAGGGTCCCCATGAATTGTGGCTGAAGTTGTGCACAAACAAGTATCTCCAGTGACAGGAGTGCCTTCTGAGGCAGCCATTGCATCTTCATCTGCTGACACTCTGCTAGGCTGACTTCTGTAGTTTTCACCACTGATCTTCAGTCCACCTCACAGAGCTCTATAAAACGCTTAAATCCTCTTTACATCATAGACTTTCAGCTACTTGAAGATAGCCATCAGCCGCTACGTGACTCTTTTCTCCAGGTAAAATCTCCAATTATAGCAGCTGTTCTTCATATGGCCTAGTGTCTAATGCCTTTGCTCTCCTGATCATTTTTTGAATTTTTTCAGTTTGCCCCGGTCTCAGAGTGTGGGATCCAGCACTGCCCATATAACGTTCCCAGGATGTTCTGACTGATGTAGAGTAAGCCTGGTATCACCCATGTCCTAGGAACTGAGACCCCGTCACTACTGGTGATGCAGCCTAGGATCAAACTGTTCTTTTGGCAGCCACTTCACATTTTTGTGTTAAGGGCTTACTCTTAGCCAAACACAAATTTTGTTTTGTTTTGTTTTTTGTTTTTTCCGAGACAGGTTCTCACTCTGTCACCTAAGCTGGAGTGCAGTGGCACCATCTCAGCTCACTGCAACTGCTGCCTCCCGGGTTCAAGCAATTCTTTTACCTCAGCCCCCCCAGTAGCTGGGATCACAGGTACGCGTCACCACGCCTGGCTAATTTTTGTATTTTTAGTAGAGATGGGGTTTTGCCAAGTTGGCCTGGCTGGTTTCGAACCCCTGACCTCAAGTCATCTGCCCACCTTGGCTTCCTGAAGTGCTGGGATTACAGGCCTGAGCCACCACACCTGGCTGACAGATTGTTGTTATCATTAATGTCACATGAACTACTGCCAAAGGCGTCTCCCCTTCTTGTGCTTGGAGGGTGTGTTGGATGCCACCTGTGCCCCTCCCTGGAGATGCTTTTGGCCCCACAGCTTCCTCCAGCCAATGTAGCAGTGACTGGGTCTGTGCAGGTTTTGGTCACCTTCACTCAGGTGTGATGGGGTGGTGCCTTTCTTTGGCCTGCCCCAGGTATCTTTTACTTTTTGGGATGTATTTGATGCTATAGTATGGAATGCTGCAGAGACTTCCGGCACCAACCCCCTGGAGTTGGACTTTATTTCACAGGTTGAGGGCACCATCCTCCACAAGAATCCCCAACTTCAGCCACCAGCTGGCAACAGGTTTGGGGGTCCTCAGCCCACCCTCACTTCTGGCCAGATGGCTACAAATTTGGCGATTTCCACTACCCCCTCAGGTTTGATCACTTGTCAGAATGATTCACAGAATTCAGGGACATGCTATGCTTACAACTACAGTTTTATTAATTGATCAATAAAGCAAAAGGATATAAATGAACCAGTCAAAGGGAAAGACACATAGATCTGGGAGGACACCAAACGCAAAGCTTTCATTGTTCTCTCCCCGTGGAGTCAGGGGCTGTTACCTTTCCAGCACATCGATGCGTGACAATGTATAGAGTATTGCCAACCAGGGACGTGCTCCTGAGCTTCAGTATTTGTCATTTTTATTGGGGCTTCCTTGCATAGGTACGATTGATTGAATCATTGGCCATGTGACTCAAACTTTAGCACCCTCATTTCCCCAGAGGTGATCTTGTTAGCATCCACTATCTAGGGGCCCACTCTGAGTCACCTTGTTAGCATCAACTTAGAGGTGTGGGCCCGCTATGATAACAAAGATACTGCTGATCGGGCGCGGTGGCTCACGCCTGTAATCCCAGCACTTTGGGAGGCCGAGGCGGGCGGATCACAAGGTCAGGAGATCGAAACCATCCTGGCTAACATGGTGAAACCTTGTCTCTACTGAAAATACAAAAAATTAGCCGGGTACGGTAGCGGGCGCCTGTAGTCCCAGCTGCTCGGGAGGCTGAGGCAGGAGAATGGTGCAAACCCGAGAGGCGGAGCTTGCAGTGAGCCAAGATCGCGCCACTGCACTCCAGCCTGGCGGACAGAGCCAGACTCCGTCTCAAAAAAAAAAAAAAAAAAAAAAAAAAAAAGATACTGCTATCACTCTGAAAAGTCCAAGGGTTTAGAGGCTACCTTCTAGAAACTGGGGACAAAGACCAGCCAAATTCATTACTATAAGATGCCCATAGGAATCTCTTGGTGTTCATACCAATGTGACCCAGAAGTATGGGTGGCCTAACACCTGTTGAGTTGTTCTTGAGCAACAGGGAATGGGTACTGAAGGATACTTGTTTCCTCTTTTGTCCTCTGGGTGGACAGTTCTGACAGGCATTTGATATGGCTTCTTAGAATGTCCAACAACGGTGAGCAGTGGTCCCATAGTGGGGGCCCAGCTTGATAACTCGTCCTTCTATTGTCTGTCCCTCCTGCCCTGTTTTACTCCCTCAGCCCCTCATTCCTGATCTCTGGGATCACTTCCCAAAGAACGTACCTGCACTTAAGCTTTTGTCTCAAGTTTTGCTTTAGAGGGCTAGCCCTAGAATGCTTTTATTATACTAAACTTTACATGTTTTAAAAAACAATGTTTTGGCCAGGGGCAGTGTCTCACGCCTATAATCCTAGCACTTTGGGAGGCTAAGGCAGGCAGATCACCTGAGGTCAGGAGTTCGAGACCAGCCTGACCAATATGGTGAAACCTCGTCTCTACTAAAAATACAAAAATAAGCAGGGTGTGATGGTGTGCCTATATTCGCAGCTAATCGGGAGGCTGAGACAGGAGAATTGCTTGAACCCAGGAGGTGGAGGTTGCAGTGAGCCGAGGTCACGCCACTGCATTCCAGCCTGGGCTGCAGCAAGACTCCATCTCAAAATAAATAAATTAATTAATTAAAAAAAAGTTTTTTTCCCTGACGTGGAAATTAAGTGATTAGAAAACGAGACTAACTTTTTCAGGATATATTCTTGTTGTTAATATGGTGCAGGGCTGTGATGCTTCTGCAAAATGTAAGTTGAGTGTATAGCAGGCCTCCTAACTCTAGAGATGATGTATCCTTCCGTATCGATTGCCTTTGTGAAGTCACACACATAAGCAGGGAGAAGTCGTGAAGATACATAAACAGCTGCGTTTTCCAGGCTCAGATCACTAACATGCTCGTGATTTCTTTCTAGGTCTGATTTTTATGGTTGACAGTAATGACAGAGAGCAGATTGATGAGGCCTGGGAAGTGCTAACTTACTTGTTAGAGGACGATGAGCTCAGAAATGCAGTTTTATTGGTATTTGCCAATAAACAAGTATGTTGTTATTGGCTTTCTGAATGCTGGAACTGAAATTTACTGCCAAATGTCTCACTTGTAAATACAGACATTTAAATGAGATGTCTGCCTCCCTCTCTCCAGTACCAACCATAATATCTCCCACCATCTCCTTGCTAGAATGTCTTTTTTTTTATTGAGACAGAGTCTCACTCTGTTGCCCAGGCTGGAGTACAGTGGTGTGATCTCAGCTCACTGTGACCTCCACCTCCCGGGTTCAAGTGATTCTCCTGCCCCAGCCTCCCAAGTAACTGGGATTACAGGCATGCGCCGCCATGCCCACCTAATTTTTGTATTTTTAATAGAGACTGGGTTTCACCATGTTGGCCAGGCTGGTCTGGAACTCCTGACTTCAAGTGATCTGCCCACCTCGACCTCCCAAATTGCTAGGATTACAGGTGTGAGCCACTGAGCATCTACTAAGTTCCAGACTTGGTTTTAGGCTTAAACCAAGACAGATAAAGTCCTTGTGTTCTTGGAGTTTACGTTGCTAGTGGGAAGAGAGTCAACCAATAAATAACATGAAATGTGCCAGGTGTGGTGGCTCATGCCTGTACTCCCTACACTTTGGGAGGCTGAAGCGGGGGGAATCACTTGAGCCCAGGAGTTCAAGACCAGCCTGGGCAACATAGTGAAACCCCATCTCTACAAAAAAGTACAAACATTAGCTGGATGTGGTAGCATGCACCTGTGGTCCCAGCTATTCAGGAGGCTGAGGTGGGAGGATCACTTAAGCCTGGAAGTTCGGGGCTGCAGTGAGATGAGATTATTCCATTACGCTCCATCCTGGGCTACAGAGTAAAATAAATAATAATACGTGTCAAATGGTTTTTAAGTGTTGTGGAAGAAGCAAAAGCATAGTAAAGGGGCAGGGCGGGTGTGGGAAAGACTGGGAATGCCTCTCTGATGAGATGACATCTGAGCGGAGACCAGAAGGCTGGGAGGAAGGGAGCCACACGATTCTAGGAACAGCATGGGAGCCAGTGCAGCTGGAACAGAATGAGCAGGGGAGAGAGAGAGGAGATGAGATTGAATCATATAGGGCCTGTTTTGGAGGAGGAAAAGGGCTTGTACATAAATGTAAAACAGTAAAAGAAACATGGGAGGAAGACCAAGCGTAGAACTATCCAGCCTCAGGACTCTGAGCTAAACTAAGCATGAAAAAGAAGGTAGAAAGAACCACGTGGAATTGTACCAGTCTGAGATGACCACCGTCACATTCTGACATCCTTCCTTCACTTTCTCTTCCATGAGTGCATTCATTATGTAATTGTGATCATACTGTTGTGACAATGTTGCATCCTGTTTTATCACTTTAGATTTATCAAAATCATTGTCTCTTGTTTTCCAACTCTTTGTAGACCTGATTTTAAACGGTGGATGGATCATCATTTGTACAACCGTTACTCTCACTGTTCAGGTTCAATGTCAGTCCAGAGTTTGCACTAGTGAACATATGACTATTAAAGAAAGAAAATGACTCTGGAGGGTGTGTGTGTGTATGTGTGTGTGATTTTTTTGTTTTGTTTTGTTTTGAGACAGGGTCTTACTCTGTCGCCCAGGCTGGAGTGGAGTGGTGCGATCACAGTTCACTGCAGCCTCGAACTCCTGGGCTCAAGTGATCCTTCTTCCTCAGCCTCCCAAGTAGCTGGGACTGCAGGCACGTGCCACCATGCCCAGCTAATTTTTTAATTTTTTTGTAGAGCTGAGATCTTGCTATGTTGCCCAGGCTGGTCTCAAACACCTGTGCTCAAGCTGTCCTCCCACCTCAGCCCCGCAAAGTGCTGGGATTATAGGTATAAGCTACCGTGCTTGGTGCCTCTGTTGTTTTCAATGATAAAAACAGAATGTTCTCATGGTATAAATACGCATACAGTTGAGAATATTCAAGTGAAATATTCTGGTGCTACTATTCATTGTTAAATTTATTCTTTCTCTTTCCAGAGGTCCAACTTTCTCTGCCTGTGTAAACAATTGTATGATTATGTTCTTTCACTTAGTATATCTTGGAAGTCCTTCCATATCAGTACATCTACAGCTACTTTAATTAATTAATTAATTTATTTATTTATTTATTGAGATGGAGTTTCACTCTTGTTGTCCAGGCTGGAGTGCAATGGCGCTACCTTGGCTCACCGCAACTTCCGCCTCCTGGGCTCAAGCAATTCTCCTGCCTCAGCCTCCCGAGTAGCTGGGATTACAGGCATGCGCCACCACTCCTGGCTAATTTTGTATTTTTAGTAGAGACGGGGTTTCTCCATGTTGGTCAGGCTGGTATAGAACTACCAACCTCAGGTGATCCGACCACCTCGGCCTCTCAAAGTGCTGGGATTACAGGTGTGAGCCACCGTGTCCAGCCTTACTTTGTTCTTTAATGCTGATTTATTCAAATTTAGTTTGAGCTTATTCTGTGCCAAGCACATTTCAAGGCACTTGGGATACATCAGAGGACGAGATAGACCAAGATTCCTGCCCTTGTAAAGCTTGCATTCTAGTTAGGGGAGACAGATAGATAGTCAATAATAAATATACTTAAATAAGTAAATGTCGTGATATAGTAATGTATGGTGAGTGCCATATTGAAAAGATGGAACAGACCACTTCGTTGAGGTCTCCGGTCCAGGAGGCTTTGTGGACCATAAGGACTCTGACTCGTATCCTGAGAGAGGGGGAGCTGTTGCAGTTTTGATAGAAGAATGATTCAATCTGATTCACCGATGGCTGGGTTGAGAATAGGCTTCACGGGAGCAAGAGCAGAGAAGTAGGGAGGACAGTTAGGAAGTTATTTCAGTCATCCAGGTGAGAAGCGATGTGGTGTCAGATCACGGCGACAGCTGTGGAGTTAGTAAGTGGTCAGATTCTGGATAAATTTTGATAGTGGAACCGTTAGGAGTTCCTGACAGATTGGCTGTGACATTGAGAGTAAAAAAGTAAGGATAATTTCAAGCTTTTTGGCCTGAGCAACTGGAAGGTTGGAGTTGCCATCAACAGAGAAGACTGTGGGTTTGGGCACGTTTAACAGGGAAGAGCATATTTCGCTATATGGATACAACAGTATACATTGACTTTTGAATGTTCTTTTTCAAGGATCTCCCTAATACTATGAACGCGGCAGAGATAACGGACAAGCTCGGCCTCCATTCCCTCCGCTACAGAAACTGGCACATTCAGGCTACTTGTGCCACTACTGGACATGGGCTTTACGAAGGCCTGAACTGGCTCGCCAACCAGTTCCAGAACCAGAACTGATCAGAAGGATCTATTCTTTGTGCCTTGTGGCCACATCAGCTAGCCTCTGCTGTGTGCACGTGTACGTGTGTGCTGGGAGTGGAGGCAGCTTTCTCACAGTGCCTTATCCATGCCATAAGAAAAGCAGTGTTACATTTTAAGAAACCCAGTGTTAAGTTTTAAACACCACCTTCCATTTCAGTAGCTTTGATGATCATTTTTGCAATTGATGGAGAAGTCCAGAGGGCTTGCTGGTGCTCGAAGGCCAGAGCGGGCTTCATGGAGGCGAGTTGGAGCGGGGACTGAGTTCAGCTGTTGCAATCCTGGTCTGGCGTCTGGAGTCCTGTTAGTCTTTGGCATCCTTTCGTAAAAAGGAAGGAATTGTCATTCTTTTTTTTTTAAAACCATATTTTTACTGTACCTTTTCATGTTTATTTATTTTTTATTAAAAAAATTTTTTTTGAAACAGCCTCCCACTCTGTCGCCCAAGCTGGAGTGCAGTGGTGCGATCTCAGCTCACTGCAACCTCCGTCTCTCGGGCTCAAGCAATCCTCCCACCTCAGCCCCCTGAGTAGCTGAGACTATGGGTGTGCACCACCACACCTGGCTAATTTTTGTATTTTTTGTGGAGACAGGGTCTTGCCATGTTGCCCAGGCTGGTCTGTAACTCCTGAGCTCAAGGGATCCACCCACCTCAGCCTTCCAAAATGCTGGGATTACAGGCATGAGCCACTGCGCTACCGAGAAATCGTCATTCTTTACCACCACTGCTGCAGCTAGCAGCTCACTCTTCAGTGCTTTAAGCAAATGATCCTCAGGAAAGAAAAGGTATTTGCTTATTGCAGGTGCAAAGAGGCTCAGATTGGAACTTTTCCCTGAAACTATATTGTAGCCCAGAGTTCCTGATGTAAGACGCTTTATTTAAAGACATCCGTGAGCTTTTTCACTGGCATATCAATACTTCATAACACTAGGAAGGTATCCAGCCTTTTCCTTATGCTAGTTCCTTCCCTTATTTGCCAGATGGGGACCCTGTGGGGAGGTGACCCAGTGTGAGGCCGAAGCTCTTTCCCAGAGCCCCACAGGCCAGTGGAGGGTCGTGTTTGTGCTCTGGGCATCACCGTCTTGGGTCTCGGTCCCCTGCGACTGCAGCTGCTACATCCCTCCCTGCTCTGAGATAAATGTTCTTCCCATGAAGCAGACGGTTCACTTTTGGGATGGCGCTGTCTCCAGGTTTGGCTGTCTCAGTCCAGATGATGTTTGGTTAGTTTCCATTCCCAGAACCACAAGCCTTTGAGTTCTGAAAGTTTGTGACAGAATCAAGAGGCTAATTTGGGAGATGTGAGATTCCCAGCCCACCTGGTATTGCCCTCGAGTTAGTGGTAAATTTTGCTATGGAAAATATCTCTTGTCAAGACCAAGCTCCGGCGCATTGCCTCCCTCTTTTGGATGGCCATGGCATCTCATGAACCACTTGGAAATGTGTTTTATGTTGTTCTCCAAATATTAATAAAAATATCCCGGAGAGGAGGTTCACTAAGTAGCCTAGAGCTCGTTTGTCCAGACAATTGTTGGCCATATTAGTACCTAAGCACTTCTATTTAAACTTTTTCTTCTTTTTTTTTTTCTTTTTGAGATGGAGTCTTGCTCTATCACCCTGGCTAGAGTACAGTGGCGTGATCTTGGCTCACAGCAACCTCTGCCTCCCGGGTTCAAGCGATTCTCCTGCCTCAGCCTCCTGAGTAGCTGGGACTATAGGCGCCCGCCACCACGCCCAGCTAAATTTTGTATTTTTAGTAGAGACAGGGTTTCATCATGTTGGCCAGGCTGGTCTTTAATTCCTGACCTCAAGTGATTCACCTGCCTCGGCCTCCCAAAGTGCTGGGATTATAGGCGTGAGCCACCACGCCTGGCCTATTTAACCTTCTAAAACTACTTTTTCAAGAAATATTTATTCGAATTATAGAAGATTGGCCAGGCACAGTGGCTCATGCCTGTAATCCCAGCACTTTGGGAGGCCAAGGTGGGAGAGTCGCTTGAGCCCAGAGTTTGAGATCAGCCTGGGCAACATGGCAAGAACCTGTCCCAAATTTAATATAATAAATTTTAAATAAAATTTTAAAAATAAAATTAAATAAAAAATTATACAGGAGGGCCATGTCAGGTGAATTTTAACTGAAGCAAACCTTATTTATTCATAACAATGAAGTTTATATTACTAGGAAAAAATTTCATTCCATGATAAATGTGTGGTATCATGTTTTTCTTCAAAATATTGAATTTAAAGAATGTTCATTGCAATACTGGCAACTAAGTCCAGATTTGCTTTTTAACCATGGAGTAATTTCTGAGAAATATTTGTTTTATTTTATTTTATTTTATTTTATTTATGTTATTTATGTTATTTATGTTATGTTATGTTATGTTATGTTATGTTATGTTATGTTATGTTATGTTATTTTTTTGAAACAGAGTCTTGCTCTTGTTGCCCAGGCTGGAGTGCAATGGTGTGATCTCTGCCTCCTGGGTTCAAGCGATTCTCCTGCCTCAAGCTCCTGAGTAGCTGGGATTACAGGCGCCCTCCACCACGCCCGGCGAATTTTTGTATCTTTAGTAGAGACAGGGTTTCACCACGTTGGCCAGGTTGGTCTTGAACTCCTGACCTCATGATCCGCCTGCCTCGGCCTCCCAAAGTGTTGGGATTACAGGTGTGAGCCACCGCACCCGGCCTCTGAGAAATATTTAGATTGTACGCCTCAAATGGGCAGGGACTGTGTCTTACACTTTTGTATTTATGCTACAGCTTACCTAATACAGTGCCAGGCCTCGTTAAACACTTATTGATTGCTCAGACGATAAAGAACTTGCTTTGGAAGGAGGAGAGGATAGTCATGTGCTTCTGAATGTATTGAACTTCTTGAAATCTCTTTCCTCATCAATTTTAGCAGAGTTTCTATTGAAACTCCTAGGGTGTGTTTATGGAAGACAAACTGAGATGTGCTGTCCCAGCCTTAGGCCCTGGCAGTACGCCTTGCCTTTTCACGGCACACCCACTACAGCCTTTCCCACACTGTGACACTGGAGCTGGTGAGTCAAAGTAAGTATAAGTGGGGAGCACTTTTCAGTACAGTAGTTTTAAGGAAAGACTTGGGTCTCTGAAAGCCATGTTTGCATCCCTGCCATGTCCCTCACTGGCTGCTAGCCTCAGGCCACTGACTCTTAGCCTCTGTATCTCGGAGCCTCAGTTTGCTTAACTGTTAAATGGGGATACTGATACCTGCCTCATAGAGTTATGAGGATTAAGTGTCTCCTACCTTTGAATGTCTTGCTCCGGTGTTTCCCTGGAGATATCTTGTCCAAGTATGAACAGCAGTGCTGGCCACAAACTCATCAGCATTATTATTATTATTATTATCATTATCATTATTATTATTATTATTATTGAGACAGAGTTTCACTCTGTCACCCAGGCTGGAGTGCAGTGGCACAATCTCAGCTCACTGCAACCTCTGCCTCCTGGGTTCAAGCGATTCTCGTGCCTCAGCTGCCCGAGTAGCTGGGATTACAGGCGTGCACCACCACATCTGGCTAATTTTTGTATGAGTAGTAGAGACGGGGATGCACTATGTTGGCCAGGCTGGCCTTGAACTCCTGACCTCAAGCGATCTGCCCGCCTTGGCCTCCCAAAGTGCTGAGATTACAGGCGTGAATCACTGCGCCTGGCCACTTTTAAAACATTTCTATCACCCTGAAAAGAAACCCTGTACCCTTTAGCAGTCACTCCTCATTTCCCCTGTCCTCCGCAGCACTGGGCAACCACTAACCACTGACCTACTTCCTGTCTCTAGATCTGGTGGAGATGCTTTTTAAACTTTTTTTTACTACCCTGTGGTCCCTGAGGAGCATTACACTGAGAAGTTTTCTCCTATTTTGTCTTTCATTCTCCACATCCTCTTTTGTTCTAGTGCATGGCATGGGAAGCCCTCTCTAGGAGGATGCTGTGGCCACACAAGTGCTGGACGAACCGCTGGAGTAGGTGACTTCCAAGGTGTCCTGATGTAGTAGCTATTAGACAAGCTCCTGCATTTGGCCAGTAATTAGCATGCTGCTGCACATTGCCACTAGGTGGTGCTGCTGCTCCATTCCCAAGTAACCCACATGCATCCCTGGCTGGGGTCAGCCTTGGGGTTTCCCAAGTGTAGAGGAATCCATCTCTGTGCCTGTGGTAATGGCTGGACACCAGGAGAGACCCAGAAAACAGGGATATCCTAGAAGAGAAAGGCAAAATAAGCACTCAGAGCAGAGGACATTTGAGTGTCAATAATGAAGGTGGCAGCAGTAATCATGGCTATCATTTACTAAAAATAGTGGATATTGGCCAGACATGGTGGCTCACACCTGTAATCCCAGCATTTTGGGAGACCAAGGTGGGTGGATCACTTGAGGTCAGCAGTTCGAGACCAGCCCGGCCAACATGGTGAAACTATCTACTAAAAATACAAAAATTAGCCAGGTGTGGTGGTGCACGCCTGTAGTCCCAGCTACTTGGGAGGCTGAGGAAGGAGAATCACTTGAACCTGGGAGGTGGAGGCTGTAGTGAGCTGAGATCGCATCACTGCACTCCAGCCTGGACAACAGAGCAAGACTGTCTCAAAAAAAAAAAGTAGATACTGTGCTAGTCACTTGATACACATCATCTCTGATCTTTGCACTGAGCGAGGCATGTGTATTATGTCTGCATTACAAAAGGGGAAAAATTAAGGTTCAAGAAGATAAAGTCACCAGGCATGGTGGCGCATGCCTGTGATCGCAGCACTTTAAGAGGCTGAGACAGGCGGATTGGTTGAATCCAGGAGTTCAAGACCAGCCTGGGCAACATAGTGAGACCTCATCTCTACAAAAAAAATAAAATTAGCTGGGTGTGGTGGTGTGTGCCTGTAGTCACAGCTCCTCGGGAGGCTGATGTGGAAGGATCACTTGAGCCCGGGAGATAGAGGCTGCAGTGAGATGAGACTGAGCCATTGCACTCAGCCTAGGCAACAGAGTGAGACCCTGTCTCAAAACAAAACAGAAATAACAAAAAATAAGGTGACTTGCTGGAGGCCACATGGCTGTGAGCCAAATACAGGTCTGGGTTATCAGGGCTCACATACTTCTAAGTACACCCTACTGCCTTGGAATCTGCTGAAGACCAAGCCCCTGCCCCCAAGCCATGGCAAAGAAGGAGGGAAGGAAGCAAAGGTGCCCAGCGGGGACAACTCGGGGAGGGGCGAGGTGCCCAGGGCCCAGGAAGGCCAAGCAGCATGTGGCAGGGCAGCATCAGGTGACTCCCAAGAAGGAATGAGGAGAGGATATGAGGAAAGAGCCACAGCACAGAGGCCTGCTGTTAGGTCAGCGGAGACCACGGCCCATGGGACCTGGATCTACCCTTGATGCTAACAATGTTCTTTGGGGAAAAAATCTATAATCACAAAGTTTCTGCAACTGGACTGTAGTCATGGTTGCAGAACTGTATAGATTTACTAGGAACCATCAAATTGTTCACTTACAATGGGTAAATTGTACAGTACATAGGTTATCCCTCAGTAAAGCTGTATGAAATTTATAGTCATGAAACTAATAGTGACAAACGAGCTGGGTAAGTAGGTCTCAGCTGTTCTGTAGGCACTTTGAGAAGAGGAAGAGTAGCATCTCGGTTTTAATAAAAGAAAGCCTGGCCCATGGCGTCCAGCTTCTGCTTGAATACTTTCAGTGCCCGGGAGCTCAGTATCTCAAAGCAGCCCACTCCTGTTTAAGAGAACTCTAAACCTTAGAATGTTGAAATACATCATTATTATTCTAGTACTGCTGTGAAAAATAAATGTCTTTGTTTTGCCACATAACATTTCTCTGAGAGCTTGAGGACAGTTATTGCATTTTCCCAAGTCATTTTTATCTCAGACAGAATTCCCTGATGACCTGTAGGTTTTTTGTTTTTTTGTCTTGTTTTGTGTGTGTGTGTGTGTGTGTGTGTGTGTGTGTGTGTGTGTGTGTGTGTGTGTGTTTTGGAGATGGAGTCTCTGTCGCCCAGGCTGGAGTGCGGTAGCATGATCTTGGCTCACTGCAGCCTCCACATTCCGAGTTCAAGCAATTCTCCTGCCTCAGCCTCCCAAATAGCTGGGATTACAGGCGTGAGCCGCCACACCTGGCTAATTTTTGTATTTTTAGTAGAGATGGAGTTTCACCACATTGGCCAGGCTAGTCTCGAACTCCTGGTTTCAGGTGATCCGCCCTCCTCGGCCTCCCAAAGTGCTGAAATTACAGGTGTGAGCCATTGTACTTGGCTCTCCTTGTGTTTTTTACAGGACAAGATTTCCAGCCTCTCCCATTCTCCCATTCTCCTGGTAGCTCTCCAGGAGCTACCCCTTTGATCTGTCCACATCCTTCTTAAAATGTGGGGACCCATGGGGAACCTGAGATTCTGCAGATGCCAGCCCAGTGCTGTGTGGTTAACAATTTGGATCCTAGCATTAAGACCCCGGGTTCAAATCCTTGCTCCACTGTAGGCCAGCTGTGTGACCATGGTTAAAAACATCTACCTTACTGAGCTCTAATGTCATCATCTAAGTTATTGTGAGGATTGTACTGACCCACACTTTCTATCTGCCCAATCCCTTGAGGTGGGCTCAACCTGGGTTGGCAATGGTTGGGCAAGGGAGAGCGATCAAAACAGCAAACTGTCACACTGCTGATAAGCCAAGCAGAGACACAGCCACCATTAGGAGAAGGGGCTCTTCCATCTCTATCTATCAGGCTTTTCTCTCATGGAGCTGTAACCCCTGGTAAAGGAGGTGAGGAACTTGCTGGGGGGAGCACACAAACACCTGCTGATGTGCCTGACTTGGATACCCAGGAAGTTGCTGGCTTTCTCTTCCTTTCCCCAACATTTTTATTTGTTTGTTTGAGGCAGAGTCTTGCTCTGTCACCCAGCCTGGAGTGCAAAGGCGTGATCTTGGCTGAGTGCAATGGCATGATCTTGGCTCACTGCAACCTCCGCCTCCTGAGTTCAAGTGATTCTCCTGCCTCAGCCTCCTGAGTATTTGGGACTACAGGCGTGCGCCACCTCACCCGGCTAATTTTTGTATATTTAGTAGAGATGGGGTTTTGTCATGTTGGCCAGGCTGGTCTCGAACTCCTGACCTCAGGGGATCCACCCGCCTCGGCCTCCCAAAGGGTTGGGATTACAGGCATGAGCCACTGCGCCTGGCTGGCATTTTTTTTTTTCAACATAGTCTCCTCTTGATCTCATCCTTTGTCCACTGCACAAACCCCTCCCCAAAACGATCCCCAAGGAGGGGGGCTCCCGAACTAGATCATCCTAGGGTAGGCCTACCCGGTTCAATCTTAGCCGGGTCTATGGTGCCATCTGATTGAAATCTAACTTGACTCTCTTCTCACTGACCTCTTCGGGGTCCCAGGGGTGTAAACATCCTGCAGCCTTCCGCCAGCCTTGTGTCTTCAATGTTCCCCTCCATTCATGACTCTCCTCACTGTATTTCTACTAACTTACTCTTACATACAAAACAGATCTTTCCCCCTTCCTGTACATCAGATATCATTTTGGATCGATACTACACCCAAGGCTGGGTGTGGTGGCTCATGCCTGTAATCCCAGCACTTTGGGAGGCCGAGGCAGGCAGATTACTTGAGGTCAGGAGTTTGAGACCAGCCTGGCCAACATGGTGAAACCCCATCGCTACTAAAAATACAAACTTAGCCAGGCATGGTGGCGCGCGCCTGTAGTCCCAGCTACTTGGGAGGCTGAGAAATGAGAATCACTTGAACCCAGGAGGTGGAGGCTACAGTGAGCCAAGACTTCACCACTGCACTCCAGCCTGGGCAACAGAGGAAGACCTTGTCTCAAAAAAAAAAAAAAAAAGAAAAAAGAAAAAGAAAGCAGACTACACCCCCGGGTACTTACATAAATGAGATCATTTCTGTAAACACAGCGCAGTAGCAGCATCTAGTATAATAAGCACTCAATAAATACGAGCTATTATTGCTGAGGCAATGCATATTGGGGCTCTTTTTCTCCATCCTCTTGTGTAGCCTAAGTTTGCAGCTGTGTTTGGCAGCCGCCTCATACTAATGAAGCACACTGGGCTTGGGATCATTTCAGACCTGCAGATCTCTTTTGCATGAAATGCAATGGGGCCGGGGCTCCCTCTTCTGCATTTGTGCACCTGCTTTTAAGAACATAATGAATGATTGGCATTTGTCTCTTTTCATTTCATCTAGGCTTTGGCCCATCATCCTAACCTGTTGGCTTCATTTTGAATTTTGGATTTTGTTATTGAATGCATCAGATCTCCCTCCAAGCTTTGCTTCCTATAAATTTGATACCCATGACTCATAAGTCATCATCTGAGTCATGATAAAAAATACTGAATAAGGCTGGGCACGGTGGCTTACACCTGTAATCCCAGCACTTTGGGAGGCCAAGGCAGGTGATCACTTGAGGTCAGGAGTTGGAGACCAGCCTGGCCAACATGGTGAAACCCCATCTCTACCCAAAATACAAAAATTAGCTGGGTGTGGTGGCACCCACCTGTAGTCCCAGCTGCCTGGGAGGCTGAGGCATGCAAATTGCTTGACTTTGGAAGGTGGAGGTTATACTGAGCTAAGATGGCACCACTGCACTCCAGCCTGGGTGACAGAGGAAGTCTCTGTCTGTCTGTCTCTCTCTCTCTCTCCATATATATATATAAAATTAGATGGGGACATACCATCAGAAACTTCCCTCCAGCTTGATTCATTTGTGTAACAGTAACAGATATTTACTAAGCACCTATAATGTGCTCTGTAGTGGACACTGTTCCATTCATTAGATGTGGATGTTCAGCCATCTATGTAACTTGGCTAATCATACTTTAAATCTAGCCCTTATTTCTCCATCTTATCCACCAGGAATCCTGAAAGATTCTATCAAGTGCTTTGCTAAAATTAAGTATACAATATGCGTAGCAATGCCTTCATGTACCAATCCCTCAGCAATGGAAATAAGGTTAATTTGACTAATTACTCCTAGTAAGCCGCTTTGACCACTGGTAACATCTGCCATCTTTTATAAGCCTATCTGATTGCAGATCAACCTCAGACATACCCATCTGTAGTTTCTGGAATCCACCTTCTCTCTCTCACAAACCTGGGCGACATTTGCTCATCTCTAATTTTTCTCCACCCTTCTCAGCTTCCTGACTTCTCAATATTTACAGTAGGAGTTTGCAATCACACAGTAAAGGTCTTGGATATATTTAGTTGGAGTTAAGAGCGTTGGGCTCCCATAAAGCAGTAGGGCTCTCCTTGAGTTTAGTTTATATATATTTAGTTGGAGTTAAGAGTGTTGGGCTCCCATAAAGCGGAAGGGTTCTCCTTGAGTGCTGCATCATCTGTCTTAGATCCCGATTTCCCCATAATCATGTTTATTATCCTTTCCAGGTTGAAGATTATTCTCTCTTCTAAAGAAAATAGAAGAATATTAGGAGAAAAGACACTTGAAAATGTTCACTCTTTTATTCACATTACATCATCTGTCTTGAATAATGGGTCTATCTCTTTCCTGTTGCTCTGGCCCTGAAAAAAAAATTAGCTTTTTAAGGCTGCTTTTGTTACGTGTGCATTTTCTTGTAATCCCGTCATTCTGGGATTTAATAATAATAGTATTAATACCACCTACCATTTGTTGGTTACTTACTGTGTTTTAGGCACTGTGCTAAACGCCTTCCATGTATTCATCTCATTAGTAAACATTTCTGAAACTATTCTTACAATTTGTCTTTTAGTTTTTCTTGTTCTTGTCCTCTTAAAATCTGAGCTTAGCCATGAGCTCTCAGTGAAGCTGCTTGTATTTCTTTAAAAACCCTCTTTGCTTCCTCCAAGTGGAGTGGGTTGTACTTCTGAGGTCAGGACAAACTGGGCACCGGAGGAGTTCAGCCTTCCGAGGCTGCAGGAGGGGTGGGTCCCCTGAGGCGAGCAAGATGATGTAAGGCCTTGACTTGGGGTAACAGACAGCCACAGATGGGAAGAGAGAAGCCAACATTTAACCACGGAAGGATGTGAAGGGCGGAGAGGTGGGTTGAGCACTGGGCCCCGGGTGCGGGGAGTGGGAAAAGGTCCAAAGGTGAAACCTGGGAAGCCTGGGCTTGGGTCTGGAAGTGGAGAGAAGGAAGTCGTTCCAGGGGGAGCTGTGAGCAATGTGAACCCATCATTTCTGTTTTCACCAGCGAGGGTGAGAATTGAGTCCACAGGAGTGGCTCCCTCCTCTGCTTCCTCGACCTGCAGAGGGCTAAGTGGGGCAACGAGCAGGGTAAAACTTTTCAAGATGCTCTGCTCTTAGCAGAATGAGCTGTTCTGACCATTTCCCAAGAGCCAAATTTCCTCATCAGTCCTGAATGTTGCCTCTGTGCTATGATTTGCGTTAAAAAAAAGATACAGTCTCCCCACTGTGTTGTCAAATCTGAAATAAGGGACTGTGTTTTTGCAAAATTCTCTTCCAAGGCCAAGCACAGGGTCAATGTTCAGCAAATATTTGGTGAGTTAATGAATGAAATGAAAGCACTCTCCTTATGCTCCTTGGCTGAGTGATGTGGAGAAGAGTTCCAGAACAATATAATTTAGTTTCTTTCTCCTTTTAACCGAGCCTAGAAATTCTCCACAAGGCATATGCAAATACCCCAGACATGTATTTTTCCAGGCGTGTGTTTTATGTGCAAATACTCCTGCATATGTATGATTTTATTTTACTTTTTGAGACAAGGTTCATTGTCCAGGCATTGTCTAATGCACCAGTGCATTGGTGCCATCTCGGCTCACTGCAGGCTTGACTTTCCGAGCTCAGGTGGTCCTCCCACCTCAGCCTCCCAAGTAGCTGGGATGACAGGTGCACACCACCATGCCCAGCTAATTTTTTGTATTTTTAGTAGAGGTGGGGTTTCACTATGTTGTCCAGGCTGGTCTTGAACTCCTGGGCTCTAGCAATCTGCCCACCTTGGCCTCCTAAAGTGCTGGGATTACAGGCATGAGCTTCTGCTCATATACGTTACTTGTTCATCTGACTGAAGACCCCAAAAGAGACCAGCACCCCAAAGAAGCATGTATTTCTCTTTGGAACCAGAAGCAAACATCCTTCTGTTTGCTTGGGATGCATGGGATGAGCATGCAGTAGGTGTTTAATAAATACTTGTTGACTAATTAGGGGGCATAAATATGTAAAAGTGGTAAATTAGCAAGAAAGAGCTGCAGTGTAGATAATCAAATAACAAAGTTGTCTAGGACAAGAGAATCTATCTCTGAGGGCTCTGTGTAGGAGGAGAGGTGGTGTTGGCTAGTGAGGCAGATCTGCCTTCTAATTAGGCTCCAATCAGGATAGTATTGCAATTAGCTCGGGATATTATAGCAGTTAGCTTCTATTCTTGGAACAAATTCCTGGGAGATTTAAGTTGGGTGGTAAAAGAAGGTTGTCCCAGGAATAAATTTGCTGTGAACCGCTTTGGAGTGACTACTTCATATGTGCCTAATTGAACCGCCAATGTAAACCTGATTGGATTGTTTCCTTCTTTATCAGCGACACTTAAACATGAGCTCAGGAATTTGGACAGCCACTTAACAACAGAACACAGCTCGGGAAATTGCAGATTTCAAATTTCAGAAAAGTCGATGAATTTAGACAACTTGAGTGTCTTCTTTGTGTTAGGGTAGACAGGCTTTGGCCTCCAAGATCTGGCTGACAAGTGCTTGCTGCTGAGACAGGCACTGAAAAGAGTAAAAAATATAATGTCTTCAATTATCTTCCCAGTTATTGAGACACTTAAAAACTCCACCCCAGCCCACCCTGACAGTCTCCTGTAAGGAGCTCAGTTTTCTCTGTGTCAACCTGATGACAGACCCAGGAGGATGTTGTGTCTGGGAATGTTTGCTCTTCCTGGCTGGGGTGAGTAGGGCTTGGCAGCAGAGACAGTGCGAACAGAACCAAGCCACGAATCCTGGCTCTCAGTCCATCCAGCCAGCAGCTTTTCGCTTCATCCTTCACCCTCCACACTTCTTCTCTTTCTTCTGCATCAGGAGAGGCAGATGTAGAGCCCAGAGTTTTTTGTCAAAGAGCCTGAGTTGGAATCCTGCCTGGCACCATCGCTGGGGGGTGACTGGCTTTCTGAGGCCCAGTTTCGTCATCTGTAAAATGGGCATGATAATATCTGCCCAAATCATTTCAGGAGGTTGGTTGTTGAGAAGAGGTGGTGCCTGTACGACTGCCCTAAGCTTGAAAGGACAGCAATCGGTGCCGGCTTTGTAGCTCACAAACTTTACCTTAAATGCTGACCATCACAGGGTCTTGGGACAGGCCCTAGGACCAGCCCCCCCACCCTTGCTGGTGCAGGGCTTCCCTGCAGATGGCGCTGTGCCTGGAGAATGCAGCCAGCAGTAAATCAGGGCAGCTTGATTAAACATGTCCAAGTCTAGTCAAGCCAGACTAGATGTGGGCGTGTTTGGCACTATAGGTGGATCCAGTCTGGATTTCCTTTACCTGCATGTCCTGGGTGTGTATCCCTCACAAAAGTTCCCCCCGCCATCACATTCACACCTCACCAAATTAAGCCACCCAGCCCCCACTTGGCCCCCTAGGAACCACTGCAGCAGGCAGTGTGTTTAATCCCTGTGAAGCATTTTAGCATTAGATGAAGATGACGCCTTGGGCTCCCATCCGCCTGTGACAGAGGCTGCCAGCTCCACTCTTGGAAACACCCTTGTTTTGACTTAGTTTCCCATCCAAGATGAAGGTAGGCAGACTGAAAAAGCCAATGCTAAAAGAAAGAAGACCCCAAGACCCCTGTATGAAGCTTAGAAGGCAAAGGCCTGTCTTCACAGAGCCAGCTAAAGAGCTAGGCTTTGGCGCCACCACATCCTGTTTGGAATCCAAGCTCCACCGTTTAGCATTTGTGTGACCAGGGGCTTGTTAAGGAAGGCCCCAAGGCTCCCTTCCCTGCGTATAAAAAGAAGAGATGGTACCTGCTTTATAGGATGCAGTGGTGAGGGTTCAATGAGAAGAGGCTTGCAATAGGCTTGGTATAGTGCCTGGCACATGGGGATATTCAAATAGTGCTGACTATTAGATCAGGAGCAGACATTGGGGTAGGAGGTATCAGCCCGGGGAGGAGACGACAAGGAGAGTTAGGGAGGGAAGGACGTGCCAGGGAAGAGACGGTGGGCTCTGCAGAGGAAGGCTTCTTGGTACCTCTCGAAAGCTGCTGTGGGAACACACCTTTACTCTGCTGACATTTTCAGACAGCCGTGCTGGCAGGGATCTGGGCACCTGGCAAAGCGAGCTGACCATCTGGCCGGCTGTTTCTGCAACAAAAAGAGATGGTGTCAAAGGTTTTGGGAGCTGGGCTCCTTTGACCCACAGTTGGCACCGGAGGCCAAATAAGTCCTCCTGGAGACCATCACCTTCTCATCAGCAATCTTCCAGCCAGCACACTGCAGCGGCCAGGGAGTGCAGGATTGTCTCCAGGAAGCCAGTGCCAAGGCCAGAGGCCCAGAGCCTGCACTGAGCAAATCGCCAGGGAGTAGTGACAGCCCTTCCTTCCTGGTCAGTGCTCTTGTCCCATGGGGCTACTATCTCCTCTGGATCCTATGAAGACTGCTCCCTGCCACGGCCATGATTACGTGTCACACTGCATGGTTAGAAGGGCAGGTTCTGAGGCCAGGCTGCCTGGGTTCATGCATTAGCTGTGTGGCCTTGGGCAAGTTACTTAGCCACATTTTGCCTCAGTTTTCTGGACTACAAAATGGAGTTGTGAGAGTTCACCAAGTTCATGCTTATAAGGAGATGGCAGCAGTGCCTGGCATTTAAAAAGTGCCCCACAGGTGTTATCTGGGGCTGTTGTCATCTCTGTGGCCAATTGTGCATCGGTTCCAGGTCTTGGGGTCATGTCTGTGTGCTTGGTGCCCTAGGTGCCCCAATATCTAGTCTCTTTTTCTCCCATTAAAAAATCAATCTCACTTCTCTGTCTCCCTATCTTTCTCCCTTTCATCTTCCCTTTCTTAGCACATTATTTATTCAACAAACACGGATGAAGTGCCTGCCCTGTGCCAGGCGCTGGGGAGGGGGAGGATGGGGGGCTACAGAGATGGAATAAACAGTGAGCCCTGCACAGGACCCTCCGAGTGCCCACAGCTAGGCAGAACAGCAGTTAGTCCATGCTGATGCAGGATTCATCATCGTCACGGGGGAGCCAGAATCTGGAGACACCCAGGCCCTGAAGACGGAGCCTGCCCAGCCCCCACCGAAAAGAGAGCTGCTATTGGCCTCAGCGTCCAGGAAGAGCCGGGTGATTCAGCGGGATGGAGATCCTCCTTCCCAAGACAAGATGGGGGCAGCAGAGGTGAGATTCTGGCTGGGAGTGAATGGGTCTGCTGGCTGACAGCTTGGCTGTCACATTCGAAAGCTTATCCGTGGACAGTGCCCCTCTGCCCTGCTAATGACAGGGATGTCACTCACAGGTCTCCCCTGGATTGTGCAGAACCAGACATTGCTGCCTTTGCCTAGGCAGGGTAATAGATATCATGAGGGCTTGGGAAGCTTCGGGGGGAAAGTTAGGCTATCTGCCCACCCCTCAATCATGCCACGCATCCCCAGAGTCACACAGAAATGTTCTTACACACCTCTGTGCCTTGGCATGGCTGCTCCCTCTGCCCAGCCTGCCCTCCCCTGGATCGGGCCTTCTCCATCTGAGCGTCCCACATGTCCCCAAGCCTCAGTCCCCAGGAAGCTCTGGGAGCCTGCAGTGCTCCAGGATCACGGGAGTCCCTACCTCCCACCAGTGGCCCTGATGCCTTGGACATGCTTTTACTACCACACTGTCACACTGGGTGGTCATTATTTGTTTAGGTGTCTGTTCTCCTTACCCTAGACCTTGAGTTCTTGAGGCCAAGAACAGCCAAGTCTCAGCTTTCTCTGCAGGACCGAGCACATAGTGGCACTCCGCAAATGCGTGCTGAGGAATGGATTGTCATTACTGATGTCATCATCCACCCCTGCACAAGTCTTGACACGGAGCAGCCTCCCACCCCTGCTGGAAGCCTGGCTTAAAGTGACCAACCTGCTTTAGTGAAGGGTTGGGGTTTGGAAGGCCCGCTGGATACAAGGATCTAGAATGAGGAGGTCTTTTCCTATTGAGGACCAAAGCTCTCAACTCTTTTTTCCTAATAAACTAGGAGAGACCAGTTTGGAATTGTCTCTAAATGTACAGGATGAGTTTGAGTTTAGGGGTAGCGGAGCCTCTTGTTCCCAACTGAAGGCACTCACGAAACCTGAACTGCACCCACTTGGAGGAAAGTGAGACGGGGCTTCCCAGTGAGAACCCAGGGAGATGCGTCAAAGGCTACAGAGGGAACAAACAAACAAGCAATTTAGTTTAGATTTTTTAATGCAGAAATGAAGTGTTCCGCTTGTTTGCTTTTAAAATGGAGAACAGAGAACATAAAATGACTTCACAAATGAAGGAAGTAATTAGAAAAAATTCCTCCAGTTCTATGTGATGGCCAGTAAAGGAAGAGAGAGCACAGAAAAGATAGAACGGGAAGGGCAGATGGGAAGGAAGGAGAGTACGACACAGAGATGATGACGCAAAGAGAGAGAGTGAAGAAGAGATGAACATGGAACCATCCCTCCACACACACACATTTTGATCTTATGGAAAACCTGCTTTGTAAAATTAAAGTTTGTCTTTTGTTGTTTTTACACTGTAAGAGAGCGATTTGAATACATTTATTGTTTTCTGACTTCTAGAATAAGAAGTTGCCAGGGAGAAGTCCAATGCCATTCTTAGTCTTGATCTTTTTTTATAATCTTTTATTTTGCTCTGTGGAAAATTTTAAGTGTTTTTTTTTTTTTGAGATGGAGTCTCACTCTGTCACCCAGGCTGGAGTCCAGTGGTGCGATCTCTGCTGACTGCAACTTCCGCCTCTCAGGTTCAAGCAATTCTTGTGCCTCAGCCTCCCAAGTAGCTGGGATTACAGGCATGTGCCACCACGGCCAGCTAATTTTTGTATTTTTAACAGAGATGGGGTTTCACCATGTTGGCCAGGCTGGTTTTGAACTCCTGACCTCAAGTGTTCCGCTTGCCTTGGCCTCCCAAACTGCTAGGATTACAGGCGTAAGCCACTATGCCTGGCCTAAATTTTAAGATTTTACCTTCATATACATCACTATGAAATTAGCGTGGGCCTTTTTTCATTCATTGTATTGGGTGCACAATGGGCTCGTAAACTCTGCAGATGCAGGTCATTCAGTCCTAGGAAGTGATTTTGTATTATTTCTTTGATAATGGACTCTCCTCCATTTCTTCTACTCCCTATTCCTTTTGCTGGGCCTCCTAGATGGATCTTCTGCTTTTCTATTTTCTCTCTGATTTTCCATACCTTTATTTTTTTTCCTCTTCCAGGTAGATTTCCTTGACCTTATCTTCCAAATCTTCTACTGACTATTTTATTTATGGGATCAAATTTTCAGTACTTTGCACTGTTTTTCTGATTATTCTTTTTTTTAAAAAAAGTTTTATTGGAGGTACACTTTACATACTCTAAAATTCACTCATTTTAAGTGTCTAATTCAATGATTTTTAGTAAATTTACAGAGGTCTGTAACCATCACCACAATCCAGTTTAAATTATTCTTTTGTGTATAGTTGTTTGTTTTGGTATCATGGGTGAAATGTCTCCTCTTATCTTTGTGTGTGTGTGTGTGTGTGTGTGTGTATGTGTATGTGTGAGACGGAGTCTCACTCTGTTGCCCAGGCTGGAGTGCAGTGGCGCAACCTTGGCTCACTGCAACCTCCACCTCCCAGGTTCAAGCACTTCTCCTGCCTCAGCCTCCCAAGTAGCTAGGATTACAGGTGCCCGTGGCTACGCTCGACTAATTTTTTGTATTAGTAGAGATGAGGTTTCACCATGTTGGCCAGGCTGGTCTCGAACTCCTGACCTCAAGTGATCCACCCACCTCAGCCTCCCAAAGTGCTGGTATTATAGGCATGAGCCACTGTGCCCGGCCATCCTCCACCTGTTACAATGCAGCCAAAAGGCCCTCACTAAATGCTGTCCCCTAATTTCAGACTTCCCAGCCTCTGGAACTGTGAACCAAATAAACTTCTATTGTTTATAAATTACCCAACCCCTGGCATTCTGTTATAACAGCAAAAAATGGACCAAGACAAGGTGATATCTATCCTTGCAGATCCCTAAAAAAAGAGTTCCTGGGAGTTGATGGATCTTTAATACCTGCTTGAGGGACAAACCAGATACTCTTTTGAGAGCCCATCTAATTCTGGGATTCTACCCTCAAGTGGGTCGAGGGGCTCAGAGTTTGCAAAGCTAGAGAGCATCAGGACCAGGGACAGATCCAGGTTTTGTGAAACCTGAAGCTTATACAATTTTCGGTGCTTTGTATAAGAAAAATAATGCAAAATTATGGATGTCAAATTAGATACGGGGCCTAGGAAGGGGCTCGTAAACTCTGCAGTAGTGGGCCTTAAGCATAAGCTTATTAGCCTCCCAATAAAGCCTCCTCTGTCTAGGACAGAACCATATTCCTTTGGAGCCAGTAGATGTCAATGTGTTTTCCCCCAACAGACTTGGTCTTCCAGATTCTACATCTCCCTCATGATTTCCCCCACCCCCCAAATTTCTAACTCAGCAAAAGCTTATTGAATGCCCACTGTGTGCAAGGCATTGGGTTGGGCCACTTCATTACTTGCCTCTGTGGCAGGACTGAGATTATCACCCACCCAGGGAGAAGCACATCTGACTCAAGATGCCCCTGAGTCTGTGCAGGTACCATCAAGGCAGAGGAAGAGTAGGATGGGCACAGAAAACCAGATGGGAAGCAGGGCCACATCTGATCTAAGGACACAGGTGGTCTCCTGAGGACATCAGGCCCCTGTGCTCAGAGGAGAAATCCATGCTGCCCTCTGTCTCACTTCTAAAAGGAATTGTTGCCGCAGAAACTGCACAGAGACGTCAGAAACCTGAGTTGGAGTGGAAGGCTCAGCTGTCTTCCTGCTGCCCCTTTGTCAGACACATCACCCCTCTTGTGGGACTGGAGTCAAATGTCATCACTCAGAGTCAGCAGCCCTGCACTTGGTCTGGAGCCCCGCTGCCAGCCCTGTCCCCACAGTTGTCCCCGGCCCTGTCTGGGCCTTTTTGAGCTGATTGAACTACAGCATCTAGAAAACTCCAGGCCAATTCTAGGTTCTGTCTACAATCTCTGAGTGTTTTCTTTTCTCTTGGAATGTTTAACCAGCAGAAAAGCACACGCCAGCAGTGGTTTCTGAGGCCCTCTTCACCTTGCCAGATGACCAGGCCTTGCCAGGGACCCACTGGGTCTCTGTCATCTCCCCGAGCCTTTTTCCTCATCTGTAAAACTGAGACGAGAACCCCTATGAAGGGCTAGTTTTATGACTGTGGTCAAGGTCAACCTGGGTCTGGGTGTGGGAAGGGGTTACTGATATCTCACAGTCTATCTTCTGGTCTAGCTGCACAGGTGATAGCCACAGGTCCCCACCAGTTAGATGTAGTGTTGGAGATAATCAGGCAGGTCAGGGCCCTCGGATGCCCCAAATTTGCTTTATGGTTTATGACATTCTCCCTTGGTTTGTACTGACAATGCTGGCTGGGAAGGAATAAAAACAGCCAAACTTCTTAAGGTGATTTGCCAGAGAATTTTTATTTGGATACACACTGTACTGAACACAGACCTGAAAATGCATTTTAAAAGGCTTTCTAATGAAGCGAATACAAAACAACTCACACATTAGACAAACCTCTGTGGTATAGCCATACTGGGGAGAGCAGAGGCTTTCTCAGAGAAGGTGGGCCAAGGAAGAGGTGGGGGAGATGTGAGGATGGCCCAAGAAGGTTTAGGGAGGGATGGTTTGGGCTCCCCTCTGAAGTTCACTGTGACCCCTATGTCCACCCAGAGAGCTCAGTGCCCTATCTCTGTTATTTATACTAGTTGCTTCCCAAGCTTCCTGGGCTTTTCTCTAATTTGGGGTGCAATTTAGAGGCCCCACTGATGAACTTTAAAATCCATTGATATTGGGCCAGGTGTGGTAGCTCACACCTGTAACCTCAGCACTTTGGCAGGCAAAGGTGGGAGGATTGCTTGAGGCTAAGAGTTCAAGACCAGCCTGGGCAACATAGTGAGACCCCCATCTCTACAAAAATTTTTAAAATAAATTAGCCAGGCATAGTGGCCTGAGCCTGTAGTCCCAGCTACTTGAGAGGCTGAGGCAGGAGGATCGATTGAGCCCAGGAATTTGAGGCTACAGTGAGCCAAGATTATGCTACTGCACTCCAGCCTGGGCAACAGAGGGAGAACCTGTCTCAAGAAAAGAAAATCCGTTGATATTATATGCAAAACTTTATGGGTGTGAAAAAAATCTTACGTGGCCGGGTTTAGAATTCTTTTCTGGGAAGGGGGCCTGAGCTTTTACCTGCTCTCCAGTGGGTTCAGCACCCACCATGGAAACCATCATGGTAGACCATGCTAAGGCAGGAAAAGGTGGGCCAGCACATGATTCCAGCAGGGCCACTGCAAGAGTGGGGAATGCAGACCACCTCCAGTTTCGGGGTGGGCTGGGTACCCAAAGGAAGATGGAGACTCAAGCCCCAGGATGTCGTTTCCCTCACAAGGTCCATCCCCATGCTACCTGGACAGTAGTCAAGACCCTTCTACGGATGATCCCATTCAAAGCACCTGTTTGGCACCCCTGATGAACCTGGCACTTGTGGGGAACATGAGGAAGGTCAGACATGACCCTTGTCAGCCTGTATGGCGCTCCTAGTCTAGGGGGCTGGGGAAACAGGCACCCAGAGAAATTACAGGGTGCTGTGGAGTGTGCTACACATGAAGGTAAAATAACCGGGCAGCACGGAGGGAAAAGTTAGCTCAGCTCATTCGGGAAGCTGGAAGCCACCCATGGACCTTAGAGTGAAACACCAGCCACCCATGGGCCTTAGCATGAAACACCAGGCTGTGTGACTTCTGAGGACCTCAGTTTCCTTATTAGTACCATATGGCAGTAACTATTTATGGAGTTGGGAGAGTCACATGAAGTCATGTCCACACAGTGCATCCATGGATTGGACCTTCAAGCGGAATTTGCCTTGTGGAAAGATCTAGAAGGACACCAAAAGCAGCAAGGGCAACATGGATAGAGGCATGGCTCGGCAGGGCACTTTGTGCCGACTCAGCGATGGGTCCATGCTGTGACTTGGAGAGACTCACTTTTGATGGTCCAGCAGCGTTCAGGTTCAATGACTCAGTAATTCTTGATTCAATGATGTGGTCATTTGAAGATTTGTGGGTACCGGCGATTAAGTAAGCAGAGTGTTTATAAATCTAGGCTGCTGATAATCATAATAATAATCGCTGCTAAAAAATGATTGAGAGCTTACTATGTGCCAGGCTGCGCACAGCATTTATGGATTAACTCACGGAATCATTAGGTCACGCTAATGGAAGGGACTTGGGTAATCCCTTTGCCAAGGAGCCACCTGTCACCTTTAGTTTCAGTTTATTCCTCCCCCTCCCATTCTTACTCAGGCCTCCCCACCCTTACCTCCCCATAAGTCATGACCCTCTCCTAAAAGTCCTAGAAGTTCAGAGCCAGAAGGGACTTGGAAGATCCCTAGTCCAGTTCCTTTTTATTTTTATTTTTTTTGAGACAGGTCTCACTCTCCTGTCCAGGCTGGAGTGCAGTGATGGGGTGATCACAGCTCACTGAAGCCTTGACCTCCTGGGCCCAAGTGATCCTCCCACCTTAGCCTTCCAAGTAGCTGGGACTACAGTTGCATGCCACCACACCCAGCTATTTTTTTTTATTTTTATAGAGACAGGGTCTCACTATGTTTCCCAGGCTGGTCTCAAATTCCTGGGCTCAAGCAATCCTCCCGCCATGGCCTCCCAAAGTGCTGGGATTACAGGCATGAGCCACCACACCTGGCCTCAGCTCCTCATTTTATACAGGAGGAAATTAAGCCCACAAAAGGAAGGGACTTGCTTTTCTAGAGTACAGAGAAAGGGCCTCTGAGCACCTGTGTAGGTGCTTGGTGAATCCAGCCAGGAGGCCTGATTATCCTTCATTGACTATCCATGTGATCTTGGGTGAGGTTCAGAGTAACAGTCAAGCCAGTGCTCAGCTGGGTGTGTCCACACCTCCCTGGTACTCACATGCACTCCGCTCTTCTTCTGGCTGTCAAGTCCCTAGATGACCCAGGCCACCTCGTTTTCCCTCAGGTCAAGCAGCTGAGGTGGGGGTTCAGGCCTCTCCAGGGCTGTAGCTCAGGCCTCAGGAGGTGCAGGAGACACCTGGGAGGTTCAGAGAGGCACAGTAACTTTAGATGTGTGCAGGTGGCCAGAAATAGCCACTGAGCAGTTCTATGGCCCTGCCCAGGCCAGTACCGTGGCCAGCCTGGGAAGCTAAATCTTCAAGACTAGCTTAGTTAGGATTGCAGTCTGGTTTCCCCAAATCCTTCAAACCCAGAGCCATCCCAGGCTGGAGTGCAGTAGCATAATCATAGTAGCCTGAGCTGTCTTCCTCTGTCTAATCCCTTGACTGTATTCCAATGTCTTCAACCCTGAGATAGACTTACTGATACCCCTGAACTTGTACCTTCTCCCCTTCTCTGTCCCTCACGCCTGCCTGGCCCCATCACGGTCCTTTGCCCTTCCCAGTTGAGCCTCAGCTCTTGCCTGGCTTCACAGGGGTCTCCTCCCTGACGCCTGTTCTCACTTCACAGCCACCTGTAAGTCGACCCTGCCTTAATCTTCCACCAGCAGAATTTGTGTGGGAAAATAGACATAACATAAAATTTACCATTTACCTTTTTAATCATTTTTTTGTTTGTTTTTGTTTTTTGTTTTGTTTTTGAGACTGAGTCTCACTCTGCTGCCCGGGCTGGAGTGCAGTGGCACAATTTTGGCTCACTGCAACCTCTGCCTCCTGGGTTTAAGTCATTCTCCTGCCTCAGCCTCCCGAGGAGCTGGGAATACAGGCATGCGCCACCATACCCGGCTAATTTTTGTATTTTTAGTAGAGACGGGGTTTTGTCATGTTGGCTAGGCTGGTCTCGAACCCTGACCTGAAGCAATCCTTCTGCCTCAGCCTCCCAAAGTGCTGGGATTACAGGCGTAAGCCACCGCACATGGCCCATTTTAATCATTTTTAAGGGGATAATTTAGGGGCATCAATCACATTCAGGATGTTGTACAATCATCACCACTATCTATTTCTAAAACTTTTTCATTGCCCCAAACAGAAACTCTGAACCAATTAAGCAACATCTCCACATCCCCCACACCACCCAACCCCTAGTAACCTCTAATCAATGTTTCTGTCCTGCTAATTTGCCTATTCTAGGTACCTCATATAAGTGAAATATTTGTCCCTCTATATTTGGCTTCTTTCACTTAGCACAATGTCAAGGTTCATCCATGTTGTAGCATGTGTCAGAACATCATTCCTTTTTATGGCTGAATAATATTCCATTGTCTATATACACTTTGTTTATCCATTCATTTACTGATAACACTGGGTAGTTTCCATCTTTTGACTATCATGAATAATGCTGCTGTGAATATTTGTGTACAAGTATCTTGTTTGAGTTCCTGCTTTCTTTCTTTTTTTTTTTTTTTCTGAGACAGAGTCTTGCTGTTGTCACCAAGGCTGGAGTGCAGTGGCAAGATCTCAGCTGACAGCAACCTCTGCCTCCCAGCTTCAAGCAATTCTCCTGCCTCGGCCTCCCAGGTAGCTGGGATTATGGGCATTTGCCACTATGCCTGGCTTACGCCTGGCTAATTTTGGTATTTTTAGTAGAGATGGGGTTTCACCATGTTAGTCAGGCTGGTCTCAAACTCCTGACCTCAGGTGATCCACCTGCCTCGGTCTCCCAAAGTGCTGGGATTACAGGCATGAGCCACCGCGCCCAGTCTTGGGTTCCTGCTTTCGATTCCTTTGGGTACATACCTAGGAGTGGAATGGCTGGATCAAATGATAATTCTATGTTTAGCTTTTTAAGGAACCACCAAACTGCTTTCCCCAGTGAGAGCACCATTTTACATTCTCACCAGCAACATGTATGGGTTCTGATTTCTCCATCCTGAACAACTCTTGTTATTTTTGAAACAGGTTTCTTTCCTTTTCTTTCTTTCTTGTTGTTGTTGAGAAGGAGTTTCGCTCTTGTTGCCCAGGCTGGAGTGCAATGGCACGATCTCCACTCCTCACAACCTCTGCCTCCCTGGTTCAAGCGATTCTCCTGCCTCGGCCTCCCGAGTAGCTGGGGGATTACAGGCATGCGCCACCATGCCCGGCTAATTTTGTATTTTTATTAGAGACGGGGTTTCTCCATGTTGGTCAGGTTGGTCTTGAACTCCCGACCTCAGGTAATTTGCCTGTCTCAGCCTCCCAAAGTGCTGGGATTACAGGCATGAGCCACGGCACCCAGCCGAAACAGGTTTCTTATTCTTTCTAGCAACAGCCCCCTCTGGGTCATCTTCAGGAGGTTTCTGTTCTCTTTAGAACTCGACCTCAAATGGTCCCATCACATCCCAAGTCTCCTTAGCCCAACTGCTGCTGCAGTAGCCCAGGAAGTGGGGTGCTGAGATGAAGGTCCACATCAGCAGGTCTAGGGTGGGGCCCTGGAACTGGCATTTCTAACAACTTTCCAGCAGGTGCTGATGCTGCTGGTCTGGGGATCACTGGAGAACCAAGGCTTGAAGGCATCACATTTTATATTTTGCTCTAGGAGGTTTCTGCTTAGTTCTTTCCCTTCCACATTTGCATAAAACAGAAGCCCCGCAACTCAAGATCTTGTTAGGCTCCGGGGAGGAAGACAGGGAAGGGATTCCTTTCCTTCCTCAATTCCCAGACTCTCTGTCCTGCTCCGTCTGGAATATGAGTGTCCCCTGTTCTGTCTCTGCAAACAAGTCAGGGCCTTTGCTGGGGCCAACAGCGGCACAAGAATTAAAGTTCCAAGTTAGCTTTGGATCAGCTTCAATCGACTTTTCACTCTGGAGCTGTTCTAGGTGAGGCATTGGCATTTTATTCAGTGTGTTAAATGGCTGACAGGCGTTGAGTCTGGTGAAAGATTGCCCTGAAATACCTCCCCCAAGGCCTGGTGTGGGAAAAAAACAATGAAAGCCTGGCCTCTCCTCTGGAGCAGAGAGCCTTTCATCCAGGCCCCAGAGCCGTCCACTGAAGCTCTGTCCAAGGTAGCCAGTCACAGGGTCCTCTGCTTCAGAGCTCCCAACTCTGGCTCCCTCTGACCCGCCCCTTTCTCTTTCCCCCAAACTCTAGCTTTGGAGACCTTTGCCTACTGTTGGCCTCTGGTTTTGGCAAACAGTTTCCAACATCTCAGATTTCCCCATTTTGCATACAAATCACTTCCCTTCTGTGGGCCTCAGTTTCCCCATTGTTCAAATTAAAGAAACGACGAGAGCAATGATTTTGTAACCATGTTCCACAGAGCTCGAGGATTCGCTGAAGGCCAAGGTATACCCCGAGTTCGCCACCTCTGCTTTATTAGAGTGGCCTCGTTTGTATTTGATATCTGAAAGTTCTATGTAAACATCTCATTTGGAAGACAAAGTTCTGCTGGGAAAAAGTAGTTTGAAAATCAACAGCCGAGATGATCTTGAACATTTTCCCCTCTGGTTTCATCTTCTATATTCTATAGTTCTTTGACCATTACATCTTTTCCAAGTCCCAGCCTGCATGTGACACCAGTCTTGAATTTTCCTTGAGCTTCTGGAACTCAATGCTCAGGAACACGTGTTTCTTCCATGACAGGGATAGGGCAGTGGCCGGCTGGCTGAGTGGTGACTGCTGCAGCCCTCTGGCCAGTCTAGGAGGGCATGGCACCTCAAGCAAGGTGGAGTGGGGCTGAGTAGGGGAAGGAGGTTGCAGTGGTCACTACGAGCCTTCCCGGGTGTGTTTGTGTGTGTGTTTTCCACTTGGAAGACGCCACTCGCGAAGGAGTAGGAACCCGTTTCACAGTTCCCGTGACAGTCCTGTGTGAAACACCAGTGAACTCCCAGGCCCAGTGGAGGGTGAGAAGGGAGGTCAAGTGGGAGCCACCCACAAGGATGTTTTCTGGCTATCAAATTGGCCTCATGGGCCTGAAGTTGACACGCATCAGCACGATGAATGAGCCTGTAATACCTGATCATCAGGACAGAAGCAAGCGTACCTGGGATGCTTCTCTGGGAGCCAGAAGGGTGGTAGGAAGAGGGTAAAATATGCTGAGTTGAAATAGCTGAGGCTGTTTCTTCTGGAGAAGAGCAGGCAGAAGGCTAGGGTGGGTAGATGGGGGACTATCTATTTATCAGGCTCAGGTACACGTATCCTTATTGCAGGAAATGTGATGTACAGGCTTCTGGATTTATGGTGAGGGAGAGGCAGGACTCTAAATCATTTTGCAGACCCTGAAGCCCTGACTGGAGGCTTCTCAGGCTGGAATACATTACGTGGTGGGAGCTCCTCCAGTGATGCACCATCAATTGTGGCACCGTGGCTACTCCAGAGGCACTGGAAATATTCAAAGGGAGGAAGGAAGATGGGAACTGTGCAATGGCATTGTATGTGTAAAGGGAGTGCCCAGGCGCCTGGGGTGAGGGTGAAGCTCCCACTGGAGTTCCCATAGTTCTAGCTGTGCTCTGGCACTTAGCTCTGTAAATCTGCCCAAAGACCCTGACAATGGAGTAGAAAGGGCTTTGCAGTCAGACGAATTTGGGCTTGAATCCTAGCTCTACCGATTGGCAGCTAGATGACCTTGAGCAACTTATTTGAAAACTCCTAAATCTGTTTCCTTAGCTGTAAAGTAGGAATAATACCCAAGGATGTCACTGTTTGTTTTTCATCCACAAGCCAATCTCCCTTTCTCCTTTGATTTTGTTTAGATGAAACATTAGGGAAGAAGGGCCTCTCCTGCAGCTTCAGCAAGATAAACTGCAATTGGTCGGATCTAAGCATAATCATGTCATTTTCTTTTAGCTATTGATTGGTTTAGGAGAGGGCATGTGACCTAATTTTAACCAATGAGATTTTTCTTTCTGATTATGTCAAAGAGTCCTACTGTCATCTTCCTACCATAATGTGGTTGGGTGAGGATGTGATGCTTGGAGCTGTGGCAGCCATTCTGCAACCATGAGGTGATAAGCCTAAGAAAGAAAAGAAAACACAGCAAGGATGGTGATGCAGAAAAATAGAAAGAAGCTGGGTCCTTGAGCATTTTGCTGAGCTGTGGAACTGTAATAGGTTCATTGCTCAATGTGCGAGGCAAGTCAATATGCTGAGACACTAGGTTGCAGCAGAGAAAGAAGTTTAATCATAGGGTTGCTGGATGAAGAGAAGGGAAGGAACTTCAAATTTATCTCCCTGAGGAGTTTGGGGCTAGGGTTTTTAAAGGATTTTGGAGTGGGCCAAACTGTGGAGATCATTGATTGGCTGAAGAGTACAGGGTGAAGTCATGGGACAGGGAGATGAAGAAGCTGAATTCTCTTACTGATCCCATTCCTCTGTGAAAAACATCCGAAGTGATCCTTAAACAAAAGCCTTATGATTTTTTTTTGGAGGGGCTGTTAACAGCTTTATTGAGACATATACTACACATACCATACAATTCACCCACTTAAAGTATTCCTAGTATCTTCACAGAGTTGTGCAAACTTCACTACAACCAATTTTAGAATATTTTCTTCACCTCAAAAAGAAACTCTCTATGCTTTTGCTATCACTCCCCAACCCCCTACATCCCCAAGCTTTAAGCAACTATTAATCCACTTTTTCTCTCTATGGATATACCTATTTTGGGCATTTCACATAAGGAATCTAATATATAGTATTTATGACTGGCTTCTTTTACTTAGCATAATGTTTTCAAGGTTTATCCATGTTATAGTGTGTATCACTACTTTATTCATTTTTATGGCTGAATATTATTTCATTGTATGGATACGCTACATAAAATTTTAGGATTCGGCCAGGCGCGGTGGCTCACACCTGTAATCACAGCACTTTGGGAAGCTGAGGGGGGTGGCTCATTTGATGTCAGGAGTGTGAGACCAGCCTGGCCAACATGGTGAAACCCCGTCTCTACTAAAAATACAAAAATTAGCCAGGTGTGGTGGGGGGCGCCTGTAATCACAGCTACTTGGGACACTGAGTCAGAAGAATTGCTTGAACTCGGGAGGTGGAGGTTGCAGTGAACCGAGATTGTGCCACTGCACTCCAGCATGGCGACAAGAGTGAAACTCTGTCTCAAAAAAAAAAAAAAAAAAAAAAAAAAGCTTTAGGATTCTGATGTCAGAGACCCTGTCTGTAGGAGCAATGGGGATGCAAACAGTCAGGATCTAGCACTACCCGACCTTTAGCAACAAGGAAATGGGCCAAAGTGCAGCCTGATTAGTGCTGAATTCTAACTATATTTCTGTCCAGAACCTGGCATGCAACCCTTGTCAACCCTCTGGGGGCAGTGTCAGTTGCTGCATGGACTCTGGGATTGTGTGTGTCTCCAGACTTCTTATCTGAGAGTGAAGAATCTTTATTCCATATGACATTGGCAATTGGGTATTCCATTACCTGCACCTAAAGCATTCCTCCCTGTAGTACAGCAATCTCACAGGGTTGTTGTGAGCATTAAATAAGATAACAAATATGCAAAAATTCCAAGCCTAGAACTTGGTTTAGTGTAGGTGTTCAATACATGCTAATTTCTTCCCTCTCCTCTATTTTAATCTCTTAACTTTAGATTTTTTTTCTACTCTACCAATCTCACAAGATTGTGCTAAAAAACAAATGAGATCATTGTTATTTATTGCCACAATAATGCTGTATAACAAATAGCCACAAAACCTGAGTGGCATACCACAATAAACATTTCTTTAGCCCACAAACGGGAGACACTGTTAACTTGGGTAACAAAGGGGCGGATGCACAGGCCTGTGAATCTACTAAAAGCCATTGAATTAAATGGGTGAATTTTATGGTATGTGAATTACATCTCAACAAAGCAGCTAAAAAGAAAAAAGGAGGATGATTGCAGAGTAGGGAGAGGAGGGAAGAATTACTAGGTGGTGGTGATACCATCCATTTCCTATAAGGCTGCTGGGGCCCCACCATGCAGGACCATTCACAACCCTGCTTGTTAAGGTTTTCTCTGCCATCCTTGAAAATAATCACTGGTTGCATAACGGACGCTGTGGGGAAAGATTCTGCTGACAGCAATTCACTCTGTGGCTGACTTTGCTGGAGCACAAGCCCCCCTATCCCACAGGCCCAGACAGGAGCTGGGATCTCAGTGCATACAAGGAAGTAGAGGCACCAGATGAGAGATGGGAGCATCATCCCAGGGCTGCCTCCTTGGCCAGAAGGTGGCATTAAGGGCTTCTGTCCTGCTGTGTATTTGGAGAGGCAGAGGCATGTGGGAAAGGGAGAAAACGTTAGCGTGTAACAGCGACGAAGGGGCTGGAGCATGGGACCTACAGGGAAGGATGAAATGAACCGGGGTTATGAGCTAGAGAAGAGCAGCAGGAGGGGCAGCTTCACAACTATCTTCAGGAAACAGTTGGGTTATTAACCCCTGCAAGGGGTTATTAACCCCTGTATTAACCCCTGCGAGGGGGCCATGACAGGCTGCTCTCCAGTCTCTTTGAACTTGAGTCTGTAGGAAGCAAAGTTGCTTTCACAGGAAACTGGCAACTGCCTGCAGCATCTGAGCAAGTGCATAGGTCCCTGGTCCATGTGGACATGAGGTTCCCCCTTCCTGTGGAACATTCCCACCCCCACTGAAAAGCAGCCACAGACAGCATGTAAATGAATGGGCACGGCTGTGTTCTAATAACACTTTATTTATAAAAACAGGCCCAGTGAGTGTAGACTCCTGGAGAAAGACAGAACTGGGAGGGCCTCAGAGACCAGTGATTTCTAGTCCTGCCCGCATAGTAAAGTCACCTGAGAAACTTTCAAACACTACTCATATCTGGGCCCCATGTAGAAAGTCAATTTCGTCAACTTTCTGGGGGCCAGACCTGAGCATGGGCATTTATTCAAGTTCCCCAGGTGGTTCTGACATGCAGTCTGGGGTTAAGAGCCACTGCCCCAATCCAACTGCATCATTTTATACATCAGGAAACCGAAGCCCGGAGACAGCCAGCAGGTCTACGTTCTTACAGTCAGTCTGATTTAAGGGACTCCTCCAAAGCGGCAAAGTGCCATTTGGGTCAGATCTCTGACCTGAGCTGCCTCTCGGGGCTGTCATCTTTCTCTCCTCCTGACAGGTGGATTTTCCCATGTAAACTTTAGATCGGCTGATCTAGGAACTAAAATGAAAATGGGGCACCCTGAGGGCCCACTGGGGAACAGAGTTTGGGAGGGAACATGGAGGGCAGTTTTTTGTAAAGGTAGGTTTTAGAGAGAAACAACTCAATTTACTAGCTTTGTGTGACATGGGCAGGTTACCTAATCCAAGACTTTGTTTCTCCATTTATAGAATAGGGCTGATCATAATGTCTGCCTTGTGAGGGTGTTGTAAGGATTAGAAGGGATTATCCATGTAAAATGTTTAGCATTGTTCCTGGCACACAACCAGTGCTAATAAACAGCAGCATTTACAAGTATTTTTATTTTATCTTGGTATTAGATCCATTGCTGTGGGTGCACTTAGCAAAGTCAGAAGCAGGAATCCAGCTGGAAGGTAGAGGGCAGTCCAGGCATGGGCAATGGCCAAAGAAAGGCCATGAGGTGGGGGTGAGCAAGCTGTGATGAGACCCAGCTCTGGGGACCCATTCAAATGTCACCAAACCTGCCTGTGTCCAGACTGCCACCTGGAACCTGCTCCTCCTCTCCCCCAGCTCCTGAGCTTCTGTTCCGCTGTGGTCAGGGTCTTTACTGCACCCTGCTGGATTGGGGAAACTGCCCCTGGTGAGGGCAGGTGTGCCCTGTGTGTTGGTAGCCTCCAAGGGGCCTTGTACCTTGTGTGGCACACAATAGGCGTAGCCAGTCAGGCTGAAAAGGAAGCAGCTTCTAATAAACATTAAAATAAGAGAGGCACAGCAGGGAAAAGCCGTGGCAGGATGGCCAAGGAGCTTCTGTTTGATGCCATGGATGGGAAGCAAGAAGCTGTACTTGGCTGGAGCTCCCCACATACCCCTAAGGGATCCCGTGCTGCTCTGACCCAGGGCCATTTGCTCTGGGAAGAGAGTGCCTTGGTCCTGGGCTGGGACAGGAAGTCTTCCCTGACCATCACTGTCACATCCTTCCATGTGCTCTGCCTGTGGCAGCCCCTCCTCCAGAACTTGCAATCCACCCCGTCCTCACTACTAAGGCCGGGCCCAAGGTGTCTGAGCCCACCGCAGCCACCCTACCTGACACCTGGGCAGCCTTCCCATAGACCAGGGAGCGGGGGAGGAGGGAACAGACCAGTGGGCCTGGAAGGGGACTGGATAGTTGATTTGGGGTCCACCCAATTAGGCTCCAGGTGACTGTAACTGCATTCAGAATCCTGATGCCACCCCACCCAGCTGTACTAACATAGCAGCTTCATGTTCACAGGTGCTTTACTATGACTTGCCTCACTCCAGCTTCTCAAGCCATGCTCTTAACCTCTGATTCCTTTCTCAGGGTTCAGAGCTCTTTTTCAGGTGGGTCACGTGGGGGAAAAGGTTGATTTTTCAGCTGGTGCTGATGTGCCCTAGCCTACCATGCCTGACTGACCCCATTGAGATAAAGGGGACAGAAGACCCCCTGTCTCCTGGCTCCCCAAGACTTGCCTGGAGATTGGGGTGTCATGGGGAATGGCACAGAGAGCACACTAGGTGTTTTTTCTCCAGGCTTGCAAACCCAGCCTGAGGAGGCACCCCATTATCTTAGCTTCAGGGATTGTCCTTCTCCTCCAAGGACCCTCTCCCTGGGCCAGTGTCCCTTCCTCCTTAGTCCCACCAGGGTGGGGAGGCTGCAGAATCCATCTGGAGACAGAGAGCGTGGGATTGATGTGCTGTTTTTAGTTCCGTGGGAGAACTCACAACAAGGGGTTGTAATTTCTCTGCAATTTCCCTCCTTGATGAGGCATCTGTTGGCATGCTGTGAGGAAATTCTCATTGGAGCAGACAGGGCACGTCTATGGAGCCACTTGCATGGGTGTGACAAGGCCTCATCACTGTTTCTGCCTCTCAGAGGTCCTGGGCTTTGCTCTGAATCAGAGGAGCTCTGAATCTGGGGCCCATCCTCCTTCTCTACCTCTGTCCTCCTCCTCTACCACCTTCTCTGCCTCCCTCTCTGGCTGACTCACGTGTGGCCTCCAGCTGTCTCTGCCATGGGTGGCACCTGCCTGTGCCTCGGTCACCTCTTGTTTCTTGCACTGTCCGAGCCTGATGGTCCCCTCAATGGTGACCTCTGAGCTCCAGCACATCCACAAGCTCAGCTGATACTTTCACCCATACCATGTCCTGGAGCTCCAGGGATGAACAGGGAGCCCCCTCTCCACCCACTCACCCTCAGGTAGCTGAGTGCGTGGGTGGGAGGGAAGGCAAGACACTAACGTGAGATGCCTGTGCTTATGGTACAATGCACAGTGGAGTTTGGGAGCTCAAAGAGGGAAACCCTCATCTCTTGGAAGCACAGTGATTGGCAGAGCTGGAGGTCAGACAATTGGAGTTTTGCCCCAGGCCAGCCAAATACACAGGCTATGACATTTGGGGGAAATGATTAGATGTGTGATGGGGAATGTTACACTTACAGGATAGGACATGCTCTCCCATGCAGCAAGTACTTGGCAGGAATGGTTATTTACAATAGGAAGCTCCCAGGCAGTGCACATAATACTATCCTGCTCCTCACTGTCTCCCCAGCCACAACCAGGCACTCCCAAGCTGATGTGAGGACACCTTTATCATCCTTGTCCTGGGCATCAAGGTTGCCAGTTATAGTTCTGGTGGCTCAGGGTGCACCAGGGAGCAGGTGATGCTTTGCCTGAGTCTTGACGGGTGGGCAGGGGTTTGCCAGGCCGGTGAGGGGATGGAGTGCAGGGAGTTCCAGGTAGGAGATGGAGGTGGGCATCATATTCGGAAGAATATACATGGTTTGACCTGGCGAGGGCTTGAGGGTAAAAGGGCAGGAGATGTCCTCAAATGCTGGGTGGAGCCAAACCCTGAAGGCCTTGAATGTCACACTGAGAGGTCATGGCTTTTCACCTCCAGGCCTTTGCTCATCATAGACTGTGCCCCCTCAGGAGCAGGACAAGCAAGGTGCAAAATTTACGGAGACACTCACTCTCAGCCGCACCAGTGCACGCCGGCACCTGATAATGACTGCCTCCTTACTTTGCATCCTAGGTCCCCTTCCTAGGTCACCCTACACACAGCCCTGCTTAGGAGGGAGGTCACTTTCTATTCATCTTTGAGCGTGGGGCCTGAAACAGTGCCCAACCAGAGTAGAAGAGCAAGAAATGCATATAGAATTAATGAACAAATGAATGAACAAATGTTGTTCTCTCTGTCTGGAACATGTTTACCTTCCTCTTGGCCAGTCAAGGTGTGTCATTTTTTTTTTTTTCAGCTTACCTCTTCCCTGCAGCCCCTCCAGGCAATGCTGTCCTGAGTCCTCAGCTCTTATGTTGTATATATGTCCTATTTCCCAGCTGGGTGGTGTTCTTCTGTCTGGAAAAGGACATAGACACGGCAGGTGCCCTGTAACATCTGGGCATCATTGAATGTATCCCAGGCCCTTGGGTGGGAAATAGCCACTGCTGCTGCTGCTGCTGCTGTGAGTTTTGGTTTCCCTCCCTCCACTTCCTTCCCTCTCCTTCATGGGGCTAGACTCAGAGAAGGCTCCTGGAGGTGGTTGCTCCAAACTGCCCCTCCATAGATACAACGCATTTGCTCAGTTCGAGTTCCTGATTCCCCGCTTTGGATGGCTCCCAGCCAGCTGATGCTCATGCAGTCTGGAAGGCTCCAGAGGTCTTCTGATTTGCCCACACCCCCCATCCTCTGGATGGCACTCCTCATCAGGTATGAAACCCATGGGGTCTTGGCTAAAAAAACGAGGTTAAACACAACCACTCCTGGGCTGCAGAAACTCCGCGGATAATCAATGATGTTCCCCAGAAGGGGTCAAGACATTCACATTTTTTTGTCCAGTAGAGAATCTGTTTCAATCAGGAAGCTACTCTTGCTGTCCAGAAAAGTGGGTCAGTCCCCTCCCATGCTCACCTCGTGAGAACAGGGAGGACAGGCACAGGGCATCACGAGGGTAGCATAATTACAGAGTGCCCAGGTCAGGGCGCTGAGCCTGTACATCAAGAAGGAGGCCATGCCCTGGCATCCATCAGAACCTGGCATCCTGCATACTACATCTCAGAGGGCAAAAACCTCCTTGGGAATGCTGTTGCTAAAGAACCAGTGCTCAGGTGAACTTGAAGCAACTGCAGACAGAGAATGAGCAACAAAGGGCTTAGAGACAGTGCCAAACCCCAAACCTCCTGTGCAGCACAAAGACCTTGGGGCCCCCTGAGGAGGTCCAAGCTCCCCCAAATAAGGAACAAACTCCAATTCAATCAGGGAAAGAGCCGGGCATCCTCTTAGCCATTCCTGATAATAGGTTTTTTACTAGCTGTGTGCTTGTTAATTATGCCTGAGTTGCGAGAAAGTTTAAGGCATTGGTAACGAGCTCTGCCATTTACTAGCTCTGTTCCCTCAGGCAAGTTATCTAGCCTTGCTGGACCTTAGTTTCTCCATCTGTAAAACGGAGATAATTCTATCTACCCTCAAAAGGTCTAATGATTCAATAAGTCCTTAGAAAGTCTGGCACATCGTGGATACTATTAAGTATTGCCTGATAAGGATAATCAAAATATTTTCCATATAGTTTAATTACATTGAGCTCTCATTTTGAGTCTGTGAGGGCTAAGTCATTAAAACATCAATCATTTGTACTTTTCATAAAGTCCAAGTTCAAGAACATGTGTAGGTATTACAGCTACCTGAGCCAGGGGGCCGAACCTGACTTCCGAGAGCCAAGATTCTGACGCCCAGGAGGGCAGAACTAGGTAAGCAGCATCCCCTCCTTCCTGGATCCTATTCTTTTAAGGTCCATCCCTGCCAGGTTGGCTTCAAGTCACACAGACACAGCCCACCTTGGCTTTTTCGACCAGGCTGAAGGCAGCCCTAGTGTGTACGGAGTTGGTTCCTTCCGGTGGGTTCGTGGTCTCACCAACTTCAGGAATGGAGCCACGGACCTTCGCATGAGTGTTACAGCTCTTAAAGATGGCACGGACCCAAAGAGCCAGCAGCAGCAAGATTTATTGTGAAAAGCGAAAGAACAAACCTTCAACAAAGCTTCCACAGCATGGAACAGGGACCCAGGAGGTTGCCTGCTGGCTGAGGTTGGGTGGGCTTAGGGGGTGGCTAGCTTTATTCCCTGATTGTCCCCTCCCATGTTCTGTTTCTGTCCTATCAGAGTGCCCTTTTTTCAATCCTCCCCGCAATTGGCTACTTTTAGAATCCTGCTGATTGGTGCATTTTACAGAGCGTTGATTGGCTCATTTTACAGAGCGCTGATTGGTGCGTTTTTCTTTTTTGAGATGGAGTCTTGCTCTGTCGCCCAAGCTGGAGTGCAGTGGCGCAATCTCGGCTCACTGCAAGCTCCGCCCACCGGGTTCAGGCCATTCTCCTGCCTCAGCTTCCCAAGTAGCTGGGACTACAGGCGCCCGCCACCACACCCGGCTAATTTTTTGTATTTTTAGTAGAGATGGGGTTTCACCGTGTTAGCCAGGATGGTCTCGATCTCCTGACCTCGTGATCCGCCCGCCTTGGCCTCCCAAAGTGCTGGGATTACAGGCGTAAGCCACCACGCCCAGCCGATTGGTGCATTTTACAATCCTCTTGTCAGACAGGAAAGTTCCCCAAGTCCCCACTCTACCCAGGAAGTCCAGCTGGCCTCACCTCCAACTAGACTCGGCCATGGGGACCCTGCTTCACCGTTCTGAGTGTCTGCTTCTCTTGGCAATGGCAGAGAAGTTTATCTCCCCTGCTGTGGGGCAGTGGCAAAGTGGAAAGGAGAAAAGTTCAGTATCTGGCAGGAATGTGTTTCTTTAACATTTCTCTGTGCGAGAATGGGAAGAGTGGCACTGGGATGGGTTTTCTGCCATCACTGCTCAGGGCCTAAGAGCCAGGGTGGAGTAGCCCCCTTGCCCTGCTGAACTCGTGAAGGTGAGAATACCATAGGCAGCCCTTGGAGGGTAGGGGAGGGAATGAATAGGGTGGTTTGAAGAAAACTGATCTTGGCTCTGCTGACCCTGGCCTGGGCCAGGCAGCTCCCTAAGGGCATTGTATTATAACTGTTGGTAGAGGGGCTGCAAGATTGTGGGAGCATCCCCACAACCGGGTTGTGTCCAGAAAGTGTTCCCGCCCCTGCCCTTTTTTTTTTGAGACTGGGTTTTCTTATGTTGACCAGGCTGGTCTCGAACTCCTGAGTTCAAGCAATCCTCCTGCCTCAGCCTCTCGAGTAGCTGGGACCACAAGCACGCGCCACCACGCCCAGCTTTCCCACCCTCTTCTTCATCATTTTGCTTTCCTGGCCACAGGAGCAGAGGCTTTTGTGCCTGGCATCTCACCCCTTGGCCCTCTTCCAACCCCAGCTCCAGCAGCTGCCCCTCACTGTGCCTTTTCGGCTCAGTCCTTGCACAGGTGCAACCTGGAATGGCAATGGTGGGAGGAGGAAGTGGGAGGCAAGAGGAGGGGGATAGGTGCTTCAGCCTCCCGGCCTTCAGGGAGTCGATTCTGATGTGTACTCCACACCGCTTCAGGCCCACTTAAGAACCACCTCATTAACCCTCCTCACCCCCTGATTGCTTCACATGGTTGCCTCCCCGGTTAACCACCTGCATCCAAGTTGTCTCTGGCCCTGCTTCCTGGGAGCTGCACGCTCAGATCGCACGTGACTGCCATCCCCGTGAAGGTGATTGGCCAAAAGATAGAGTGTGTCCCCAAGCAGGGCCAATCAGAATCCTCCCCTGGGCAAACACGAGCTGCTCACGTGTAGGCACTGCGTAGGCTGCAGGTGGTGCCCAGCACGTGGAGGCGGCGGGATCTGGGATGTGCGAGAGAGGGTGAGACCCCTGCGAAAGAAGAGACAAGCAGGCGTGAGAGACTAGGGGAGCGTCTTGGGGTTTTGAGCACCTGAGGCTCTGGTTGCTTCCTTGGGTCTATGAGTCCCAGCTTTCCCAGCCACATGAGGTCTAACTTTCCTGGAGCTGGGGTGAACTGGGTCTGTTACTCAACTGAGAGAGACCAGGCTAAGAGGATGTTTCTGTCTTCCCTCAGGAACGAGGGGTCCCTGAGGGAAAGGACTGGGGCTCCTTCATCTCTATGATCCTAGTGCAGTGTCTGAAGGCATCAGGTACGTCATGATGAATGAATGAGTGAATGAATGAGTGAATGAGTGAATGAATGAATGAATGAAGAAAGGAGCGAACGAGAGAGTGGGTACATTGTGGATATCTTTTGCTGTTCTTCCTCCCTGCCATCACTGGGCCTACCTTCAACAGTCTCTTTTCCTATGAAATAGAAACAAGATAATTAGGCTTTAGATGGTGAAGTATTGCAGAGTAAAAAAACTTGAGTAAATGATTCAGGTCCCTTGTATAGGAGAAAAGGTGGGGCAAAGGAAAGATGGAAACCGAAGGCACCTAGTGATGCACACTCTTGATACATTACTTTAAAAATTTTTGACAACCCCACGGAGTAGGCATTATCCCTGTCTTACAACTGTGTAAACTGAGGCACAGGGTGGTCAAGTACTTTGCCTGAGGTTTTACAGATAGTAATCAGTAGACCCGGGGTTTGATTTAAGCCGTTCTCATAGGTGTTAGGTGGTATCTTGTAGCTTTAATTTGTATTTTCCTAATGTCTAATATTGTTGGGCATCTTCTATGTCCTTATTTGCCATCTTGTTTAGTTCATACTTGTTCAAATTTTTTGTCCATTAAAAAAATTGGTTGTTTACTGGTTGTTTATTGGCTTGCTATTGAGTTTTGAGAGCGTTTTTTTTTTAATTTTCTGGATACTAGTCCTTTATCAGATATACGTTTTGCAGATAGTTTCTTTTTTTTATATTTTTTTAAATTATACTTTAAGTTCTAGGGTACATGTGCACAATGTGCAGGTTTGTTATGTACGTATACATGTGCCATGTTGGTGTGCTGCACCCATTAACTCGTCATTTACATTAGATATATCTCCTAATGCTATCCATCCCCCCTCCCCCGACCCCATGACAGGCCCCGGTGTGTGATGTTCCCCACCCTGTGTCCAAGTGTTCTCATTGTTCAGTTCCCACCTATGAGTGAGAACAAGCTGTGTTTGGTTTTCTGTCCTCGCGATAGTTTGCTGAGAATGATGGTTTCCAACTTCATCCATGTCCCTACAAAGGACATGAATTCATCCTTTTTTATGGCTGCATAGTATTCCATGGTGTATATGTGCCACATTTTCTTAATCCAGTCTATCATTGATGGACATTTGGGTTGGTTCCAAGTATTTGCTATTGTGTATAGTGTCACAATAAACATACGTGTGCATGTGTCTTTATAGTAGCATGATTTATAATCTTTGTGTATATACCCAGTAATGGGATTGCTGGGTCAAATGGTATCTCTAGTTTTTGCAGATAGTTTCTATCAGCCTATAGCCTTCTTCATTTTCTTAATGGTATGTCTTGAAGAGCAGAGTTTTTTTTTATCTTGATATAGTACAGCTTATCCATTTTTACTTTTATGCTTGGTCCTTTTTGTGCCCTGGACCTGGAATCTAAACCCAGATCTGTGAATGTCAAAGTCCTTCTTCTTATTACATCTCACGTAGTGTTGCCTCAAAGTCTATTCTAAGGCCAGTGCCAGGCACCATGAGAGTCACCCAAGGAGCTTGCTTACAACTGTGGAGAATCTGCTTCTATGGGCCTGGGTAGACCTGGGAACCTGCATATTTTATAAACTCTCCAGGTGACTGGGTGATCAGCCAGGTGTGGAAGGGGCTCTAATGCAGGGACCCTGACACCCCTGAGCCTTTAGACCTGGTGGCTTCTTGGCCTCTTTTCTCCTCTCCTCTCCTCTTCTTTTTCTCTCTCTCTTTTTTTTTTTTTTTTTTTTTTGGTGGAGTCTTACGCTGTCACCTAGGCTGGAGTGCAGTGGCACAATCTTGGCTCACTACAACTCCACCTCCTGGGTTCAAATGATTCTCCTGCCTCAGCCTCCCGAGTAGCTGGGATTATAGGTGCGCGCCACCATGCCTAGCTAATTTTTGTATTTTTAGTAGAGACAGGGCTTCACCATGTTGGCCAGGCTGGTCTCGAACTCCTGACCTCAGGTGATCAACCCGCCTCGGCCTCCCAAAGTGCTGGGATTACAGGCATGAGCCACCACACCTGGCCTTCTTGGCCTCTTTCTAGCTGCCTCCTGTAAAGTGCTGGTGATGGTGACATTTCTAGGTCTGTTTCTTATGTGTCCCTTCCCCTGCCTTCCTCCCCAGCTCCTTAACACAGTATTTGACATTCAGCAGATGATGAAGACATGCTTTTAAACCAAGCGACCCACTCTCTACCAGTAGAGGCGAGTGGCAACCTCACTCCACAGCTGGCACTAAGCGAGCCAAGTAGAAACCATATAATTACTGACCTTGGTTTAGAGTGCTCTCCTTTAGCTCCTTCCCTCCCCAGCCGTGGGCGGCCACTTAAGCCGGTTGCCTCACCCTCTAGCCCAGCCAGAGGCTTCCACACCTAGAGAAACTGTTATTTTAAAGTAGCTCCAAGATTGGCTCACGGAGTTGAAAAGGACACTTGTGTAAGTGAACAGCTATGGCAGCCTCCAAATAAAAGAAAACTGGATTAATTTGGAACAGGGGATGGGAGTGGGGAAACGAAGTGTGTTTTGGCTTAGGAGCAAAACAAGCATCTAGAGGTTTAGCAACTTTCTCTGGCATGTCAGATTGTGACATGTCATAGGGTCAGAAGTGAATGCTGTAGGGTGACAAAGATGGTCACCTGCTTTCCCCCAGCCAACTGGGACTTCTTGGGGAACAGAAATGATTTCCTTCCCCCACCCTCAAAGGGAGCAGCAATAAGAAAACTAAGATCTATTGCCAGGGTTTTATATTTTATTTAATCCTTCCAATAACCCATAGGGTCAATATTATTCACATTTTTCACATGGGCAAACTGAGGCTCAAGAGGTTATAAGGATAGCCAGGATATGCTGGAGCCAGGATTAGGAATGTAGCAGAGGCTGAGCCATGTAATAAAGAGGCCTCAAAATACACTGCTTTAAAGAATGTTGACAGTTATTTCTTCCTCATAAAACATCTCCAGGTCAGTAGGAAAGCTCTGCTCCAGGCAGTCACTCAGGGACTCAGGATCCTGCTATCTGTGGCTTCACAGGTTTCTGGAATTGGGGTCAGCAATCTTTTTCTGTAAAGAGCTCGATTGTATTTTAGACCATGCAAGGCACGTGGTCTCTGTCCTGACTACTCAACTCTTGTATTGTGACAGTAGACATAGACAATATGTAAATCAGTGGGCATGGCTGTGTTTTAATAAAACTTTATTTACAAAACAGGCTGGATTTTTGGTTCAAGGGCTGTAGTTTGTTGATCACCATCCTAGGAGGGTGGTTCTCAAAGTATACTCCCAGGGAACTAGCAGTATCAGGGTCATTTGGAAACAGAAGTACAGCTTTTGCGGTGAGTGCCAAGGCCCTACTGAATTAGAAACTCTGGGGTTGAGACCCAGTGATGTGTGTTTTAACAAGTCCTCCAGGTGATTCGTATGCATGCTGCGGTTTAAGCATCATCACTGTTATGGGGTCCTACCTCTCAGCCCTGGCTGCATCTGAGCATCACCTGGAGAGTTTTAAAAACTCCTAATGCCTGGGCCATATCTCAGGGCCATTACCTTGGACTCTCTAGGGGTGGAACCAGAACTTTTAAAGCTGCCTGCTGATTCCAGAGTATTGCAAAGCACTGGCCTAGAGCGGCGTTATCACTGGTGTGGTTAAAGCTGGCTTGCCACCTGGCTTCCAACCACACCTGCTTCTCCAAGGTGGGGCACCCAGTGCTCCCTGAGATCTGGGTTTTGGTTTTTTCCTTTGTCTTATCCCCCAACCCCCTGGCACCCTGGCTCCTTCCTAGAAACTCTCTATGGGGCTTTGTGATTAGGGAGGACCTCAGTTCAAGTTTGTCGACTAACCGATCTCTGGTTAGGAGTGTTGCAATACGGGGTTGGGGGGATGACCTGTGCGGGTGAAGGAGTGTGGAATGGAAACAAACCAGGAGAGGAAGGAGGGAGGGGAGAGAGCAGGAGGAGGACTTGGATGTAGAAGCACCTGGCACAGTGGCATGTCACCAAGATTCAGTGAAGGCCAGTTCCCTTCCCCGCCTTTTCCTCCCCAGCTCCATCCAGCACCTGGTAGGTGCACAGCCTTCTGGAGGGAAGGGAATGCTATAGGGTGACAAAGAGCAGTCCCTGGGTGCTGCCAAGCCTTCCTTTATACAGTGAGCACTTAGCGTTGACAGTGTGCCTGGTAGTACAGTTGTCCCCCAGTATCTGTGGGAGATTTGTTCCAGGACCCCCATGAATACCAAGATTATCAGGTGCTCAGATCCTTTAGTATTCTAAATGCTTTATATGAATTAATGCATTAAATCCTCACGGCAACCCGGAGGGTAGGCACTGTAATTACCTCCATTTTACAGATGGGGAGCTGAGGCTTTAAGAAGTTAGGTGACCTGCACATGGTTACACAGGTGGTAAGTGGTTGAGCCAGGAGTCAATTCAGGAAGTTTGGCTCCAGAGCTAAGCTCTGCTGTCTTCTCTTCATAACTGCAATGGTGGCCTTTTTTTTTTTTTTTTTTTTTTTTTTTTTTGAGACGGAGTTTTGCTCTTGTTGCCCAGGCTGGAGTGCAATGGTGCAATCTTGGCTCACCACTACCTTTGCCTCCCGGGTTCAAGCGATTCTCTTGCCTCAGCCTTCCAAATAGCTGAGATTACAGACATGCGCCACCACGCCTGGCTAATTTTTTTTTTTTTTTTTAGCAGAGACGAGGGTTCTCTGTGTTGGTCAGGCTGGTCTCGAACTCCCGACCTCAGGTGATCCACCCTCCTTGGCCTCCCAAAGTGCAGGAATTACAGGCGTGAGCCACTGCGCCTGGGCCCGTGGTGGTATTTTTATTCCCATTTTACAGATGAAGAAACTGGGGCCATGCAACTTGCTCAAGATCACAGAGCCAGGAGGTGGTAGAGGCAGGACTCGAACCCAGATCTCCCTGCCAGCAAAGCCCTTGGATTTGCCAGCTTGCCCCACAGCCTGCATCAGGTTCCCCTCCCTTCTTCCCTCCATCTGTCCACCCAGCTTATTCTGGGTTTGCACGTGTGGGGCTGACTCATAGGGAGCAGGAGAGCCCATCCTCTGGAGTGAGAAGGCAGATTTTATTTCTGTTCAGAGCATCTTGGGCTGGTGCTGGGAGAGCTGCCAAGCCCAGCTGACACATTTTCTTCTGCCAAGGCTACTGAGTGGGTAGGCAGCCCCGGGGGGCTCTAGAGGGCCCCAAGACACCAACTCCTCAGATGTGTCTCAGCACCTAGGGGAAAGATGGGGATACCTGCTTCCTCTGCCTTAACTGCCATCTCTTTCCCTAAGGGAGTTTCCTGGGGCTAAAATTCCAGTTGCTAAAATCTTCCTCATTTCTCTGCTCTGGTCCAAAGCTGAAAGGAACCCCAAGAAGCCATTTGTTCAAGGCTTTTGCTTTTAGGCAATCAAGGTAGTCCTGGTTGTTCCCATTTTACAGATCACAGAAGCCAGCTGTGGTTCTCACTGGCTTGTCCTCCTTCCCGTTAGCCCTATGATACTTCCCAAATGTCCTTTTTCCTATCAGATCATTTCTCCTATCAAATGAGCATAAGAATCCCAGGGCACTTGCTAACTTTCTGGATCACCTGTCCGCTGCTGTAAAAAATTAGGAAGCAGTCGGTTAGAGCTGGGGCCCTTTACCAGATGCAGTGGCTAATGCCTGTAATCTCAGCACTTTGGGAGGCTGAGGCAGGTGGATCACCTGAGATCAGGAGTTGAAGACCAGCATGGCCAACATGGTGAAACCCCATCTCTACTAAAAATACAAAAATTAGCTGGGCGTGGTGGTGGGCGCCTGTAATCCCAGCTACTCGGGAGGTTGAACCTGGGAGGCAGAGGTTGCAGTGAGCCGAGATTGCACCACTGCACTCCAGCCTGGGTGACAGAGTGACACTCCATCTCAAAAAAACAAAAAAGAGCTGGGGCCCTTTAACAAGCACTGCAGGTGACTCTCATCATCTGGGATAATGGGAAATACTGGCACACAGAGACCTCCCAATGGGTGCCAGGATTCTCCCCCACTTAAGGTTCAAACCCCGACTGACTGTCTTAGCTGTGCCCCAAATTGTTACAATTGCCCCCCGCCTCTTGGATGAGTCTTGTGGGTTTGGCGGCTCATTCCCCTCCAAGCCCAACTCAGGCCATTAGAATGGGGCTGCAGGATGGTGTGGTGTGCCTGCATCCCCCACCCCGCCCACCCTTGCCCCTGGCCAGTCCTGCCTTATCCTCCAGGGGCTGTTCGCTGAGGATCATGGAGACCTTGGCAGTGTCCTCAGATCTATGGCTATCTTAGCCTCACTTCAGCCAGACACGCCAACACTCAGGGCTCCCCATTTGCCAAGGGTCCCTAGCCCATTTGTTTCTGTTCTATGTAAGAAAAGCCAAAAGTCACTGGAGAGGACATTTGTTTCAAGTTGTGATGGTTTCATAATATGTCTAAAAATTCGTTGAGCCTCCTTCCTGAAGTGGCAGAGCCTAATTTTCCTCTCCTTGAGTGTGGGTGGACTCAGTGACTTCCTTCTAATGCAGAAAGTAGAAACAAGAATATGTGACTTCTGAGACTAGGTCATGAAAGGCACCATGGCTTCCTTCTCTTTCCTGGATTACTCACTGCAAGGGAAAGCCAGCTGCCATGTTGTGAGGATACTCAAGCAACCCAGTGGAGAGATGGTGAGAAACTGAAGCCTCCTGCCAATAGCTAGCAAAGAAACGAGGCCTTTTGCCAAGAGCTGTGGGAATAAGCCATCTTGGAAGCCGAACCACCATCCCCAGTCAAGCCTTCGGAGAACTGCAGCCCAGGCCAATGTTTTGTCTGCAACCTCATTAGAGACCCTAAGCCAGAACCACCCAGCCAAGCTGCTGCTGAATCTCTGATTCACAGAAGCTGTGAGATACCAAACGTTTGTTGTTTTAAGCTACTAAGTTGTGGGTCATTTTTTAAATGCAATGATGGGAAACTAATACACAAGTCAGGAGCCACAGCCTTCATCGACAAGCTGAGTGGGTAGGTGAGAGGACTGAGGCAGGCGTGGTACCCAAAGACCTGGACAGAGAACCAGCATTTGTCAGGATGGAGTGCAGTGCTTGGATGTGTGTCCTTCCATTTACTGTTAGTGCTATTACCCCTGTTGTCCATGTCAGGAAACTGGGGCTCAGATAGGTCAGGTCATGTGACCAAGGTTGCCGAGCTCATCGGTGGCACAGCCAGGATTTGAGCCCAGTCTGTCTGCTCTGGTCCATACTTTCCCACTCTTGATGCTGTCTTGATGATCTCAGTGATTTTTGGGCAAGACCCACCGCTTTTGGGGCTTGCATAGAACTTGAGCCGACTGCATGCATATTGATGAGAAGGTTGAACCTGGTGCTCTCTGGCCCTGGATTCTCTAAGTAAGGTGTGTGAACCCTGCTCTCATAGCCTTTGCCCTGTAGGGTGCCCCAGGGTAGGTCAGCTCTGTCTGCTAAAGATCTAGTGAGCCAAGGATGAGGATGTGACAGCTTGGCTTTAAGAGCTCCTGTGCAAACGTGTAGCTTCCTTCAGCAATACCATCTCCTGATTCTCCCTCACAGACATGTGTGCCCAGGTCTGTTTGCAATGACACCAACATCACCCCTGCCCTTGGCCTTGCCCCTCTCTTCACCTCCGTCCTGATTCCTGCTCTGTAGCCACACAGATGCCAACAGCTGGCACTTGTCCAAGAAACATGTGCTCAAGGTCAGGTGCAGTGGCTCATGCCTGTAATCCTAGGTTTTTGGGAAGCTGAGGAGGGAGGATTGCTTGAGGCCAGGAGTTCAAGACCAGCCTGGGCAACATGGGGGTCCTTGTCTCTACTAAAAAAAAAAAAAAAAAAAAAAAAGCTGCACATAGTGCCATGCCTATGGTCCCGGCTACTTGGGAGGCTGAGGCAGGAGGATTGCTTGACTTAAAGAGATTGAGGCTACTATGAACCATAATCATGCCACTACACTTCAGCCCGGGTAACAGAGCGAGACCCTGTCTCAAAAAAAAAAAAAAAAAAAAAACAGAAAAAGAAACGTGCTTGGGGTAATGCATGTTGACTCCATCTTGTCACCCAGAGCTCAGCAGGAGGCACCTTCCTGGGAGAGTCAGATCAGGAGTGCACAGGGCTGGACACAAGCACCTGGGGCAGCCTCGGGAAGCTACTGCTCAGCGGCATCAGAAGATCCTGCCCCTCTCCCGGGGCCTGGGGCATTGCACTTGGCATCTGAAGCCCTTCCTCCACACCCCCTTCTGCAGGTGGGGGCAGAGCCCACTCTGGGATGCCTCCCTCTCCACAGCTCCATGCTTTGATGGGACACTCCCCTGCCACCTCTCTCCCAACCACAGCTTCTACCATAGCCATGGCCAACAGCCTCCATTAGCCTGTGCTTGCAGGACAGTCGAGGGGCTGCCTGGAGCCTCCTGCAACTCCACCCTCATCCTGCTCCACCCTCTCCCTGAAGAACCTCCACAGGCTCTTTGGTCCTGTTTGTGAGGAACCTGGCCCCTCATCCTGCTATTCAGGGCCCTCCAAGCTCTTTCCTGGGCCCTACACCGCACCATCCCTTTTCACAGCAGCCTCTTCCTAAGTGGTTTGAATTTTGGGTCCCCAGGCCTCCTCAAACTGAAACCCCATCTGTAGACACCCTGACTCCCCTCCACCCACCTCCCACACTAGAAGTAGAGGAAAGGCAGATGGATGGGGTGTCTGCCCAGCCTGAGGGGCAAGGTGTGGGGACAGGCAGGGAGGGCAGGCCCCAGGATGGACAGATGGACAAGGCATCTGGCTCTCCCTTTTCCTGAATGGCCATGGGAGGAATGAGGTTGCCACCCCATGCCTCTCACAGAGATGCTGTGAGTGTGAATGAGAACAGCTTGTGAGGGGTTCTGACAGGCATAGCCTGGTGCGGAGACCTTTTGTAACCTTCCGGACCTGGCATTGAACCAGAGGACGGATCATGTGACCCATGTTGCTCGGCCCTTTTAGCCTTCCCGGCTCATGGCTCACATCCCAAATACCCTCACGCTCTGCAGGCGCTCTTAACCTGGGGAGGGGTATGGATTTGTTTGAGGGTAGGAGATGCATTGCCTGTCTTAAATCTACAGCTGTATGCACAAATACTTTTTTATTTTTTTCTGGAGTGTTTGCCGCTTTTCAAAGGCTTTGCGAACCATAAAATGGTCTAACTAACTTGGTACCAGCTTTCCAGTCTAGGCCCACCTGGATGTTTACTCCCAGCAAATCTGGTTTCCAAGCTTAAGGGCTGTCAGCATCCATCCTGATGAAGCACTCGCCTCTTCACTTTGAAATTCTAACACCTAACCTGCTTCAGGGAGATCTGAGATCAGATCGGCACAGTGGGTACATCCTCTATCCTTCTCCTCCTAGGCTGACCTCAGTTTCCCTGCATCCAAATGGATCAGTGTCGGGTTACAGCTACACTCCAGGCTACTGACAATGTTCCCAGTGACAGGTAAATCTCCATCCCATGCAAACATCTTGCATCTGAGCAGCCCCTTTCCAAAGATGTTTTCTTTTGTTTCAAACACGAGGGCTTCTGCCTTGTGCAGGAGTTTTAGTGTGTTTCCCAGAACAGAACTCAGCCTCCTAACCTTAAGTATAAATAGGGTTGTTCACAAGCTAATGACTCTGATCATGGCAAGATGACTTCTATCTTGATCTCACCTAAATTCCTCCTCAATCCGTCTTTAACCTGAGGTCTGAAAGCTGACCACAGCATGTTCACAAAAGCTAAGCAGCAAAGAGAAATGGCTTCCCCAAAGACTGTCCTATCCCAGTACAACTTTGTCTTCTTCTTATTATTATTTTAGATGGAGTCTCGCTCTGTCACCCAGGCTGGAGTGCAGTGGCGCAATCTCAGCTCATTGCAACCTCCTCCTCCCGGGTTCAAGTAATTCTCCTGTCTCAGCCTCCCGAGTAGCTGGGATTACAGGTACCCACCACCACGCCCTGCTAATTTTTTGTATTTTTAGTAGAGACGGGGTTTCACCATGTTGGCCACACTGGTCTCGAACTCCTGACCTTGCGATGTGCCCGCCTCGGCCTCCCAAAGTGCTGGGATTACAGGCATGAGCCACTGCACCCAGCCATTTTTTTTTCACATATAATAAGTTCCTGAAAATGTCTAAGAATATAAATGTATCAAAGTTAGATAATAATCTTACACTATGCAAGAAGGAGGAGAGCCTGGCGGTTAAGAATGTGGACAGTGACCTACCTACACGGGCATAAATCTGCCACTTCCTAGGTGTGTGGCTGAGACCTCTCTGTGCCTCAGTTTTCTGAAAGACGGAATGATTATAGAAACCACCTTATAGGGTTCTTGTGCAAATTAAGTAATATATATATAAAGCGCTCAGAACAGGGTCGTATGCACTGAATATGTTAATAATTATTATTTTATGTTTTAAGGTGGATTCTATACTCAGCTAAAAATAATGACAACTCCCTAATTATATTTTGCTTCTAAGAACATTGATCACTTATAATTTATTTCTAAGGCCTTATTTTCTGGCTGAGTGCAGTAGCTCAAGCCTGTAATCTCAGCACTTTGGGAGGCTGAGGTGGGAGGATTGCTTGAGCCCAGAAGTTTGAGACCAGCCTGGGCAAAATAGTGAGACCGCCATCTCTACAAAAAAAAAAAGTAAAAAGTTAGCCAGGTGTGGTGGCACAAGCCTGTAAGTCCCAGCTACTTGGGAGGCTGAGGTAGAAGATCACTGGAACCCAGGAGGTCAAGGCTGCGTAGGCCATGATCATGTCACATCACTCCAGCCTGGGTGACAGTGAGACCCTAAAAAAGAACAACTATTTTACCCCTCACACATGAATCCAGTCAACCAACTTGAGTTAAATGAACACTGGGCTAAAATGAAAACAACTTTCATTTTTTATTTTTATTTTTAATTAATTAATTAATTAATTTTTTGAGACAGTCTTGCTGTATTGGCCAGGCTGGAGTGCAGTGGCACGATCTCAGCTCACTGCAGCCTCTGCCTCTCAGGTTCAAGAGAATCTCCTGCCTCGGCCTCCCAAGTAACTGAGGCCACAGGTGTGCCACCATGCCCAGTTAATTTTTGCATTTTTTAGTAAAAGCCAAATTTTGCCATGTTGGCCCGGCTGGTCTCAAAACTCCTGACCTGAGGTGATCCTCCCGCCTCAGCATCCCAAAGTGCTGGGATTACAGGCATGAGCCACTGTGCCTGGCCTCATTTTAATTTTAATTATATTAACTTTTTGAGACCCTTTCTTGTTTATTACCTAGTACCTATACTTTAAATTTTCCATTTTTGCTCATTTTTACTATCAATAAACACAACAACATATTCAAACAATTGCATCAACAGGCTATACAATATGAGCCAAGTGGAATAGAGATACTTCAAAAATGGGGCTGCTGGCTGGTAGTTTATGTCACCTCATGACATCCCAACATATTTGCCAGTGGATGTGAAAAAGTCCAGATTTGGTGAAGAAAAATCAATTTAGGAATGTCAAAGTCCAAACCTATAACAGTGGTGATGGTTCAAAAGCCAAAAATCCTTGAGGCTGGGACGTATGTCTGGGTTCATGTCAATGATCTTGTTGGAAGAGCAATTTGTTACCATGAAGTAGGAGACAGATAGTCTTCACTTTGATAACAGACCCATTCCAAGAGAGCTGGCTATAAAGAAACTATTCATAGTGTGAGTCACATTTTTTTAAAAATTCCATTATAAAACTAAGACGGTCTTCTAAAGGAAAATGGAGAGCTTTGAAAAGTTTTGGTGGATAGGGCCAGGTCTTTGTCATGCTGGGATTATGGTGAGAGAGATTTGAAAGCACTTTTAGTAATTGCTGTTCCTTCCTGTAGCTGAAGCTTCAAGGGGAGCTTCTTTTCTTTTTTCTTTTTTTTTTAAACACAAGTTTCCACTTTTATTAGTTTTATATAATGATGCACCAAGGTTCGTCTTGGGCCTCAGAATTTAGCTAATGTATGTGTTTTCTTTTCTTTCTTTTTTTTTAAATTTTATTATTATTATACTTTAAGTTCTAGGGTACATGTGCACAACGTGCAGGTTTGTTACACATGTATACATGTGCCACGTTGGTGTGCTGCACCCATTAACTCGTCATTTAGCATTAGGTATATCTCCTAATGCTATCCCTCCCCACTCCCCCTACCCCACAACAGTCCCCGGTGTGTGATGTTCCCCTTCCTGGTCCGTGTGTTCTCATTGTTCAATTCCCACCTGTGAGTGAGAACATGCGGTGTTTGGTTTTTTTGTCCTTACGATAGTTTGCCGAGAATGATGGTTTCCAGCTTCTGGAAATACGGTGAAATTTACGGCAGACTGCCTAAGTTTACAAGGAGCAACAGATACTCCAGGCTACCTCCTCAGTGTGGCCTGATCCCTCCCCCTTTTATTCTCCTAGAGAGTGTCTCACATTATAGCTGATAACACTCACTAATGTCTCCATTTCTTTTTTCTTTTCTTTTCGTTTTTTGAAGACAGGTTTGTTTTGTTGCCTAGGCTGGAGTGCAATGGTGCAGTCATGGCTTATTGCAGCTGTAATCTCACAGACTCAAATGATCCTCTAGCCTCAGTCTCCCAAGTACTTGGGACTGCAGGCATGAGCCACCAGGCCCAGCTAATTTATTTTTATTTTCATTTTTGTGGAGACAGGGTCCCTCTATGTTGTCCAGGTTGGTCTCCATCTCCTGGGATCAAGCAGTCCTCCTGCTTTGGCCTCCCAAAGTGTTAGGATTACAGGCGTGAGCCCCCGCACCTGGCCTTCAGTTCTTTTTCACCACATTTCATTGTGTCCTTTTGCGATTGGGGTTTAGATAGCTAGAGGTGGAGTTCTTTACTTTCCTGACAGTTAGGGTTTATGCAGTCTTGGTATGCTCCCTTCTTTGATGGCTACATTCTGGAAGCTGGGGAAGACGCGTGTAAGCCTGAGCAGTATGTCTGGCACCGAAACATCAAGAGAGCCCTGATGCCACCCGAGGCCTTCACATGTTGACGAGATGGCTATGTATACACAAGGGCTCCTGCGGCGGGCGGAGTGGGGGATGCCATCA